>NC_000005.10:108859807-109484807 GCF_000001405.40 Homo sapiens | reverse complement strand
GCCCCATTAAAACCCTTCCTCGTGTGCTCATGCACCTGTCCAACCACACCCACACACACTCCTTTTTTTTTTTTTTTTTTTTTTTTTTTGCTTTTATGGACTGTTTGCTGATTCTGTTAGTTTCTGGGACACAAAAGTGAGTGGCACATGACATGTGTTCCCTTCCAATTCTTTCTCCATATGTAAAGGAAGTTGTCACATAATTGTGTCACGGTGTGCATACAGTTTTCTACTCTTCTTCTGGCAGTTAACATAAAATCATAAGCAACTTTTCAATGTTGCTGCAGAATCTTCATAAATCAGTGTAGGAATTTTTGGTTTTTAACCAAAAGGTCTCACCTGTGTCGTTTAGTTGCTGAATTACCTTGGACAACGAATTAACCTCTCTGGGAATCACTTTATCTCTAAAAGGGTGTTGACAATATCTGCCTTGTGCTGTTGGGAGTAATAAATGAGGTGCAGGATGCAAAGTCTTAATGATGGCATACACTAAATGTCCAATCAATTCTAGCTAAAAATAATAACCTTCTTAAAATATGTTTATGATTGCACTGTATTCCATCAAGTGGAAAATAAAAGTTATTTTTGAGATTATAACCACTCTGACACATGAGGAAATGTTTATTATGCACCCACAAACTCTTTAAATTCCAATTTTAGCCACTTGAGTTTGATGCCCACCTACTGTCCCTGAGTGTAGTGACCTCTCTCTCTAGTCACAGTCCTTTCATGTGGGAATGTATTTCAGTTTATTCCAGCTCTGTCCTTTCCTTCCTTCATCCTGCATACACATTTCTCTCCAATAGAGCTAATAAAAAATATTTGCCTGCTGCATTAATGTTCACATTGAGGCTATTCATAGGAAGATTCCTAAATTTTTTGTATGACAGTCAACATTGCGTGCAGTTTGGAAGCAGAATTTCAGAATGTTTATGTATCATCCCAATAAATGGTTAAGAACTTAGTGAATGAATGGAAGTCCTTGCAAAGATAAGACATGTGTTAATGAGGAAGTTGTTAACTTCACAGGCTCTGTTTGAAGGCTCAGATTATTTGTGAAACCAAAGAAGCAGGAAGAATGAATTCTGCTGATTACTGCAGAGGGAGGGGAAGAGCTTTGGCTAGAAAGCTCTGGGTTTTATTTTTATAACGAAATCTCTGTAAATAAATAAATAGCACTAATTTACATTAAATTATCTTGTCAATATCTATAAATATGGTACATTCTGGTGATAACTAAACAATAAGCAGTGAAATTTTACTAGGGTTGGGTTCTATTTTGTTTTGAGGAGGGAGGAAGTGTTGCTATTGGAATGACAGGCTGAGTAGAGTTCTTCTACAGAATCCACTTTTGCAAATTTGAGCAGAAATAGAACTGATGAAATGATATTAGATAGCTCACAGAATATCTGGTAGGGCCAGAGGATCAGATGACAAATTTGAGCATCCAGGAGCCATGATAACCACCCCTTCTCTAGCAGAAACACCACAGATGCTGGCACTTGGCACTGATCCTCAGGACTGAGTTCCAGAAGTACCGCCACCCCAAGCCCCAGAACTGAATCCCTACAGCAGACCTGCCAAAAGACCAATTTTCCCAGTTGCCTCTGCCTCCAACCAAGAAATTTTCCTGTAGGGGATCAGTCAGGGTGGTGGGAGAAGTTGTACAGATAAAGTTATAGGAAATAGACACAAACCTTCTTGGAAGGCCGGGAGGTTTGCATAGGTTCAGTAAAAGATTTGGCTGAAGGCAGCTGAATTCTCTTAAAAGCTTAGGGTGTAGATACATAGGAATGTAGAGGAGTTTACCTAAATAGCTTGCTTACTCATGTGGTCCTAAGACCAACCTTTGATCATCGGCAGGCACATGACTGCTCTTTACGCAGGAGGTTGGCAATGTTAATTACCCTCTAGTGTTGTTTACTGGAGACATTTGTCATTTAATCTGTACTAAATAAATGCGAACTTCACCAGCTTGTCGGGGCCAAAGCTGTGGACTCAGGCAGCAAAGCCCCTTAGCTGCTCTGACAGGCAAAATATCTGTGTCAGTGTATGTCTTTCATCCGTCACTGGGTCAGGGTCTGCACGTCAGACCCAGCATCTTCCCAGTATGTCATCCCAGTGCTAACACTCCCTTCCTCCTCAAAACAAAACAAAATAAAACCCAACCCTAATAAAACTTTCATTGCTCCTTGTTTAATTCAAATCTGTCTTTCAGGGACAGTCCGATTAGAGTGAGTGAGGTCACATGACTATACCCTAATACAAGGGGTTTGGGAATGGAAATTTTCTGGCTCCCACTTTAGGAAGGTGAGACACATTATGTATGAAATTATCACAGTGTAGGATGCATGTTCAAAGACATTGAGTAGCTCAAGTGATGAATGAACATTATAGGGTCAGTCATTTTGAGTGTTCTGTATACACTGACTGTGAATTTCTGTCTCTAAGGAGAAATTTCTGCCATTAAGTACTTCTTGGCATGCTGATGAAGGACTCCACATTTCCCAGATTCCAGGACTGCTCAAACCCTTTGCTGCCACAAAGAAACCTTGCCATTCATGAAACATGTAGTCCCACTCCCTTCCTTTCTTCCCTCTCCAATATACCCAGCATTAGCATGGGGCTATAAAGATGATAAAAATTAAAGTGTGTGTGTGTGTGTATTACTAAATATCACATACTGTCATGGGGTGGCAGGTTCATTACTTCTCCTCTGGTATAAGGTTAGATATAATTGTAACAACAGAAAAAGGAATATATTGTTTTTTTAGAATTTTTTTTTTGAGATAGGGTCTTGCTCTGTAGCTCAGGCTGGAGTGCAGTGGCATGATCTTGGCTTACTGTAACTTCTGCCTCCTGGGTTCAAGCAATTCTCCTGCCTCAGCCTCCTGACTAGCTGGGACTGCAGGCGTACCCCACCATGCCAGGCTAATTTTTTTATTTTTGATAGGGACAGGGTTTCACCATGATGGCCAGGCTGGTCTCGAACTCCTGACCTCAAGTGACCTGCCCGCCTCGGCCTCCCAAAGTGTTGGGATTACAGGTGTGAGCCACCACACCCGGCATGTTTCTCAGAAATTTGATGGCATAAGAGGGAAATAGGATGCATGGATAAGATAATTAATTATAAAAGGTCTTGGAATGCAAGAAAATCATATATAATTTCACCATTATTAGTCATCCAAACCTAAGGCAGAATGCTAATTACTCACTCTAATTTAAAAAATAATGATTAAAATGGTCAGTGTTTCCAAATAATAACTGCAAAATAGTTAGATGGGAGGAAAATAAACCTATTCTTCAGTAGTGTATTTAGAAACCTTATCAATCTTTGATATTCATAGCTAAGGAGTCAATCTGCTTTGTAAATTTAATTATAAGCCAAATAATTAGTGTATGGAGAGAATTAATAAAAATATGTCAAGGTAATCACAAACCAGCTTCAAATAACTGATTTAACTAATGATGAGTTTTTCACTGAAACATCTGTATATGCTGGAGAGTTTCTCTAATATTATTTGATTTTAAAATATCTTTTAAAATTACAAATGCAGTATGTTTATGACAAAAAATTTAGAAACCTAGATAAGCAAAAAAAGAAATTACTCATTACCTCATGTATATTAGTCTGCTCAGGAGGCCATAGCAAAATAACGTAGACCAAGTGGCTTGAGCGGCAGACATTTACTTTCTTCAGTTCTAGAGGCTAGTAGTCCCAGATCAAGGCACCAGTCAATTTGCTTGATGAGGGCTTTCCTCCTGGCTTATGGGTGGCCACCTTCTTGCTGTGTTCTTACACGGGGCAGAGTAGGGAGAGGGTGGGGTGAGTGTGTACCCAGAAGCTCTCTGAAGCATTCTTAGAAGCATTATTTCCATCCTGAAGGTCCCACCCATATGACCTGTTTTAACCTTAATTACCTCCCAAAGACCCTGTTATATTGGTGGTTCAGGCTTCAACATATGAATCTGGGGAGGAAACAACATTCAGCCTATATCATGTTCAGGATAGAACCCCTGTTGAGTGTCGTCATTCTGTATTTTGCATAAGGAAGGAAACAAATATTGTAAAAAATGAAAATATACTGATTTGAAACTCTGCTTTTCATCTAACACTATTCTGAGAATATCTTTCCACTTAATTGAGTAATTACATAATTAAATATGTAAAAAGTATTTTAAATGTCTTCCACAATTTTTCTGTAACATTAGGGTTAATAACAACATAATAACTGTTAATAACAATGTATGGTTAATAACTACACTCTTAGTTTCCCAATTCACCTCTTGGTGGACATTTACATTTTCCTAATGTGTAATATTTTACCAATAGTTCTATGAAGTGCTATGAAGAACAATCTTGTGACTATTTCTTTGTTGTATCCCTATAATCATTCTGAGTAGTGGATTTCTGGGGCAAAGACTATGCATATTTTAAGACTTTCAATAGCATTGCCAAATGTCCCTTGATAAAGTTTATTCCAAATGTATTCCCAAGTAGCAAAATAAGAATGCCTGTTTTTTATGTATTCACCCTTAACTTATGTTAACATAGGGTAGTGTCATTTAAAAAACTTTTACCAGAGATATTACACTGTCACTTTAATTTAGTATTTAAATGTTCTATAGAAATTTTAATCAACCTTTACACTTAGAGGTTCCATCTATCATCAGAAAAGTCTTCCCCACCAAAAAATTAAATAAGCTTTCATATATATTTCACTCTAAACTTTTAAAGCCTGGTTGTATAGATTTACATTTTTAATTCATCTTGAGTGTATTTTAAACTTTATACTTTTTTCAAGTGATTAGCAAGTTGTCCCTATTTGTTTTGAAATTGAGTTGAATTATGCATAAGATTTTGTTATTTCCCACACAAAAAAGAATTCTAATTAGTAAGATATAAAAATAGGCCTTATGTTAAAGGATCCTTAAATATAAAGTAGTCCTCATGGTATAGACTCTTAGGATCATTTTATTATAAAGATTACGTAGATTGACTCCGGCCAGCTGTTGGTAATTTTATTTTTTCAAAAACATGGTGTGAACATGAACTATGACAACTCCCTGAATAACAATCTTAAAAATTAAATCTTCACATACATGATTTGGCTTCAAAATAAAAGATTGTAGATAAGTTTCTCCATAAGCATAACTTCATTCTAATCTTGAAATCAGCAAAATTAAAGACTACAAGCATAATTAATTTTGATATGACAAATTAATTCTTGCTGTTTCTTGGCATTTTCAACAAGGATATTGATTGTTATCATAATTTTTTTAACACAAATAGTTATCCAATAAAATCTGGAAATGCATTTTACTATTTATTTAGAACTTCAAACTGCCACTAGATGGTGTCATTAAGTCTTTGCCAAACTAGGTCCAATATAATGTAAAGTAAAAGATCTGAACTTTTTACTCAGCACTTCTATGTAGTTAATGATTAAGTCATCTCTAGACAACCATGACTTTAGCTGAATTAAAAAGAATGTCAAATTTTTATTAAAAATGTGTGCTAGTAGGCAATTGCAAGTGGCCTTAATCTTTCTTCTTAAGATGAGTATATAAAAATTAATATTACTATATATACTCACAATAACCAATTGAAAAATAATATACAAGATGACCCCATTCATAATAGCTACAAAATGTAGCCAAAATGTGGAATAATTCTAACAAAATATTGCAATGCTCCTTTATACAGAAAATTATCAAGCATTATTAAAGAGCATTTTGAAAGTCCTAAAAAAATAAAGGGATATACAATGTTCATGGATGGAAAGATTAAACAGTCTCTCCAAATTATCAGAAAGAAACTGACTGAAATGGTGTCTAATACAATTGTATAAATTAACAAATTGATACTCAATTCATACATAATAACACAAGACTCTACATAGTCTGTTCAACTTGAAGAAAAAAATGGGAGTAACTTGTCTTACTTGACCAATGAAACAGTATATAAATCCAAAGAAAAAAATCTATGGTGGCATCCCAAAAATCAGAGAAAAAATATAATTGGTTATTCATATGGGAAAAAAATTAAATATAAATAAAATTATTTACTATACATAAACCAAAAATAAATTCCAAGACAACCAAGAACTTGGATATTTTAAACCATAGCTTTAAAACTGTAAGAAGAAAATGTAGAAATTTATTGTTTTGTCTCAGGATAAGGAAGAATTTATTAAATAAGACACCAAAAGCACAAAATAAAAAGTGATAAATTTTTCCATGTTAAAACTCCTGTGTATCAAAAGATACCACAAATAAGGAAAAAAAAGACAAACAGTGGACTATAAAGAAATTATTGGAAACTTAAGTATCAAATTAATGGTAGTTGTTATTTCCAGGGAAAGAAAACATAAAAAACTTTGTTTCATTTATTTTACAAAATAAATTGTGAAATAAATAGGCAAAATGTGCAATATGTTGAGATCTGATAAAGTTGCATAACAAGTATGCATTTTTATATATTTAAAAATCTTAAATAAGATTTTACTCCAATATTCAAGTTTTATTTTTAAAGAAATAAAAATGTATTCTGACATAGCAGTTCAGCCAGCTGTCCCTAATAGCCTTACAGTGGGTTTTTTTCTTTTACAGTCACTTTTACAATGCTATCTTATCTTTATATTTAGGGAGAAATTCTTGTCAAAAATAATAAAGTGAGTCCTTTTGGGTTTTTAAAAATGATTTCTTCTAACACCTTCTCACAGGGACTAGAATTTTCATTTTGGCTTTTCCATTTGAGAAACAGTGATACCTCTGGAGGCATGCAGACTATTAAAATCGTGTGTCCAATGTCCTATTAAATCATTGCAAGTTTTTTAAAAGTATAGTTACTATTATCTGTTTGGTTATCAGAGCCACTTATTTTGCAGCTACCCTGGGCCAGTCACAAAAAATAAATTATAATTCTACCCTTTGCACAGCAAAGCTGCAGCTCTGCTGGCCAGATTTTTTTGTATCATAGTTCTTTCTCTTTCATACACACTACCTGCTATTTTTATATAACAAATTTAGGGCTCCAATATGCAAATAATTATACTACATTATATACTAAGTATAATAGAAAAAAATCTTAGCCATAGCTCTCCAGGAACTTGAATCAAGCAATAAGAACTACTTTTCTCAAATGGTTATCAGTCTTCACCAAATAATGAAATAGAGATATTTTGCCTTTAGCTTCCCAAAAATGTTACTCCAGTTACCTGAAGTCATGGGAGAAAGTTTTAGGAATTCACTTTTATTTATGAGGAAAAAAAAACTGACATTTTTATTCCTTCATACTAACCTCACCCTAAGTCAACTATCCTCTGTGTCATTGTTCCTCAAAAACCATGAAATTTATATGTGTTTTAGTAAATCAAGGGAAAATTTTAAAACATAAAGGCTAACTCTATCTCCTATCTTAGAAATTTGTGAGAAAAAGAGGCAAATGTAAGAATCACTGAGGGAAAAGATGCTTGTATGAAAGAAAATTTTCTTTTCCTTTTAAAAATTGCTTTGAGGAATTATTCACTTGCTTGAGAAGTATATTGATTTCAGTTGTTCAACTGTGGCTGAGGTTTAGGAGAACATGAGATAGATCCTTTCCTGGTTTCTGGTGTACATGATATGTTAAGTTACCATTAATGACGAGTCAAATTTGCCATTTAGACATACTCTAAAGAGTTGCCTGTGGAATTATTTATATACAATCTTTTTCTGATTATCGTAGAAAATTTGGAAAACACAGTTTAATGTTTTCACTTAGCACTGCATTGTGAACAGAACATTTTAAATAGAAGTCAATGTTTAAAAGTATTCAGATTTGAAAATTGAACCAAATGGAAAAAAAATTAAGTAAAATAATATGTGCTCCAGTCATGTTTTACTGGAATGGCTAGATATAAGGTAATTAGTCTAAGAAATTATCTACTCAATTCTGTCTTGAAAGTACTTCTCAAAAACCATTTGTCTAAGTAAAATTATCTTACATTTAAAAGCATTTAATTGTTCTTGATGCAACACATTGTTTATTAAAAATTCACTGAGAGCCAAATTGTTCTTGCTCTTCCTGACGCCTCCAACTCTTTTTGTCATAGGATTGAGGAAAACAATTATCCAACTATAGAATCATAAACAAAGATAAGTCAGGGAACAATATATTAAATTCCATGTAAAAGTGCTTTTCCCCCAAGTTCCACTAGAACCATTATTTGTCTTGTACCCTGATCCAGTGGTTGGTTGCAGCATGCATTTTCAGTGTTCATTCACTCAAATGCTGGTTTGTACCGTTTCCATTTCCTGCAAGAGTACAGACAGTTCTTGTTTGTGTCCACAATGCATTCCTGGAAATTATAACATATAGGGATCAGTGGTAACACAGACCACTCCCCACTGCCACCTGCCAGGACCAGTGTTACAACTGAGGGTCACAGAGCTAAGTATTTGTTATAAAAACAAGTAAACTGTAGCTATTTCCAGCAAACTTGCCATAAAAACAAAGATTCGACAATGAGATACAGCCATAATAATTTTAAACGTAAAATTCATAATCCACATCTTATACAGTTGTCAAGAGGCTTACATCTACATTGATTATACAATGGACAAATATACTTATAGCACAGAAAAGAAATAAAATTCTGCTATAATACGTTGACCATAATAAATTTAATAAATTCAATCAGCTTAATTTTCTCTTTTCTTTTAGAATTTCAAGGGGTAGGGTAATTGGTGTTTTTTTGGCCCAGAGCTTTTTAAAAAGAATCCCAAGGTATTCCCAGTTGTTTCTTCTTTTTTTTTTTTTTTTTTCCTTTATAAATGTCCACATACAGTCATTTAAAATAGCTCCACAGGCTGGGTGCGGTGGCTCACGCCTATAATCCCAGCACTTTGGGAGGCCGAGGGAGATGGATCACTTGAGGCCAGGAGTTTGAGACCAACCTGGCCAACATGGCGAAACCCCGTCTCTACTAAAAATACAAAAATTAGCTGGGCATGGTAGAGCAAACCTGTAATCTTAGCTACCTGGGAGGCTGAGGCATGAGAATCGCTTGAACCCGGGAGGCGGAGGTTGCAGTGAGACGAGATTTTGCCACTGCACTCCAGCCAGGGCAACAGAAAGAGACTCTGTCTCAAAACAAAAAAAGAAAAAGAAAAAGAAAATAACTCCGCAGAGTAAAACGGAGAATTTAGTGAATGATTTTATGGATGATTATAACAAAAAAGATGACAACGGCAATGGTGGAACCTCCCATGAAAGCATCTTTTCCTTTCAACCTCTCCCAGGGTCTCAGCTGATTCGAAGCTACCTTTGTGTCTTTTTGAGTCAGTCCAGTACATTCCTAGAAGGGTCTTAAACATCTCCTTCCCTGATTCACTGGCACTGCTGATGAAGTTTTCTTCGGTCTGTACAAGAAAATTTGGGTGGATGAAAGCATGAAGAACGGATTTGAGAGATGTTGTGATGGTGGACTTAGGACTTGGATAAAGACAGAACATGGTAAATTAGAAATGTCTTCAAATTCTTTGTTACTCTTTCCTTTAAGAGACTCCTTCTTCCTGTCTTGAATCTCAGCTAAGTGACTTGCTTGATCAATATGGCAAAGGTGGCATTCTGAGAATTGAAGCTGAGTCGAAGTTTTGCAGCTTCCTGCTGGACGTCTTGAAACACATTTCCTTGTTACTCAGCCTCCATTCTTTGAAGAAGCCCAAAAAACTCTGTGGAGGGGTCCACATGGAGAGGAACAGAGGTCCCCAAATGACAAGCCAGCTAAGCTCCCAGCCTACAGCCAGCACTATATTGCTACATGTGATTGACCCATCTTGAGCCACACCAGCTTCTCCACACACCATGTGGAGAAGGGAAAGGCTATCCCTATTGACCCAACCCAAATTGCAGATTTGTAAGCAATTAATAAAAAATTAATAAATGATAGTTCTTTTAAGCTAACAGGTTTTGGAGTGGTTTGTTTCTTAGCAATAGATAACTGGAAAGGTAAGAAGGGCAAAGAAAAAAATAAATTTAATATTTCAAATCTGAAGTAACAAGAAGATAATGCTTTTTTAAAAAAAGACAGTAAAGCGGGAGAAGATAGAACATTTGATTGAAATAGTGTGGGAAAACCTAGGTGTATAAAGAGTTTTGCTGGAGACCAGCAAAAATTATAGTTTGGGTTTAGTCTTGTTTACTTTATTAGCCATGGTATCATGTCTGCCTCTATAAAAACCTGAAATTCAATTAAATCTAGAGTGAGCTGCAAGTTTATTTGAGAATATACATGGCAGAGAGTTAAAGCTTTTAAAGTAAGAGAATATTAAATCCATTATTAAATAATTTGACTGCATAGTATATTATAATTATCTTCAATAGGATATGAATTGTGCAAATAATGTGCAAGATCAACATTGGTCTCCAATTCTTCCCGGGAAGTAAATCAGCTTAATGTGCATGAAATAGCAACATTCAATACTACCTTAATTTTCCCTTTGTTTCTAACGGGTTTAAGGAGGCTTCCAGATTTTGTACATTCAATCAATGCCCTGCAGATGTTATTCTTATGAGAATGTATGATCCCAAAAATGATCTCAAGAGACAATTCTTGTATTTCAGGGAAATACATATATATTGCTGTAATCAAGTGATGTATCTATTAGATGGTGTTGGCCAGGATTATGCCTATGTGTGCCTATCATTTAAATGTAGCCATATGAAAATAGTAGCCCTTTTTTATCCAAAGATAGGCAAAACACCCAAGTAATTTGTTACTTTAATAAATGTTTAGAGAAAAGCTATTGCATAATAACATGAAAATAGTTAGGTAGAACTACAACTTTCATGCTTGCTCATAGCTCATACTGCCAAATAGTTTCCAATAAATGACTTGTATCAACCTATTCAGTATGGAAGTTTTGCATTTTGCACTCCATCCACTTTGTTAAGGAGGATGATGGCAACTATTTTTTCAAAGGGCTCCAGTAAACAGTCTCTAAAGTTGAAATTTGAGTTATTTAATTCTTTTCATGTGTCGAAAAGCTTTGGGGACATAACTCATAGCATCTCTCCCGTGAACCAAAAGTTAATGTATTTTTACAGTACTTAACTTTTCATGGAATGGCTTTCACCTTTTGCCCAATAGGTCAATAAAGAAAATATATTGGAATGCTCTTCATCTGCTATCTCATCAGCTGTAAATATTCCTTGTATATACAGTGCCTGGCACACTTCACAATAGAATGTGAGGGAAGCAAGGAGAGAGAGGGGAGGACTCCTTTAGAAATCTACTGCTGTATCACACCAAGGATTAACTTGAGACTCTTCTGCTCAGTCTATGTGATTTACAGTTCCTTTAAAAAGTGACATGCAGGGCCAGGCATGGTGCCTTAGGCCTGTAATACCAGCACTCTGGGAGGCCGAGGCAGGTGGATCGCTTGAGCCCCAGAGTTTGAGACCAGCCATGGGCAACATGGCAAAACCCCATCTCTACAAAAAATACAAAAAATTAGCCGAGCTTGCCAGTGTGCACCTGTAGTCCCAGCTACTCCAGAAGCTGAGGTGGGAGGATTGCTTGAACCTGGGAGGTCAGGGCTGCAGTGAGCCAGATTGTGCCACTGCCCTCCAGCCTGGGCGACAGAGTGAGATATTGTCAAAAATGAAACAAAAAGAAAGAAGAAAAGAAAAGAAGGAGGGAGAGAGGGAGGGAGAGAACAGGAAAGAAAGGAAAAGAAAAAAAAAAGAAGAAAAGAAAGAAAAAAATTATGAATGTATGCAAATATACACATTTACCTGTAGGGTCTTTAGTTACCATTCTGCTATATTGACTAACACAACATAGGGTGAGTTTAGCTTTAACTTATAAGGCTTTAAAGGGTTTGGGTTACGTGCAGTTGAGTCTGTTCTCTGAATATTATCAGAGCAGCTAATATCAGGAATGGTTATCATAAGGATCATCATAACTGCTACTTAGTAGGTGACCTCAAGTACCAGATACTTTGCTAAGCTTTTGTGTACATTATTATTGTACTGAATTTATTACAACAACCCTGCATCATAGTATCATTATGCCTATCTTGCAGGTAAAAAAGTAGAGGTTAAATAATTTTATAAGGAGTAGAGCCAGGATTTCAACTCCAGACTATCAGTCTCCAAAGCTCCTTCTTTTTTTTTTTTTTTAGATGGAGTCTCACTCTGTCACCCAGGTTGGAGTGCAGTGGCACTATCTCGGCTCACTGCAAGCTCCACCTCCCGGGTTCATGCCATTCTCCTGCCTCAATCTCTCCAGTAGCTGGGACTACAGGTGCCCGCCACCATGCCCAGCTAATTTTTTGTATTTTTAGTAGAGATGGGGTTTCACTGTGTTAGCCAGGATGGTCTCCATCTCCTGACCTGGTGATCCATCCGCGTCAGCCTCCCAAAGTGCTGAAATTACAGGCGTGAGCCATTATGTCCGGCCCAAAGTTCCTTCTCTTTCCACAAGCCTTACAAGTATATTCAGAACCACTATCTTCACTGAAAAGTTATTGAGTAGCCATCACCATAAATGGTGTTTGGTTTGTAGTATGTCAGCTCCCAAATTTATTTAGAGAGACCTGCCATCAAAGTTTCCTTATGGAAGTCCAAGTAAGTCCTAGAACTTATTTCTTCTTTCTTTACCAAAGTCAATTTGATGGTTTTTAAAATTTATGTAAGACTATTCAAGATACCCCACTTTTAGGACTCTAAAAGTAAATTTTGTATCTCAGAATCTTGGGACAAAATTGATTCATTCATTCTATACTGATTGCATATGAAGCACTTGGCTTGACATTGAGAATATAGCAATAACAATATGAAGCTAGCTTTGATCTTGACAAGCCCACAATGATCTCTCTACTTTAAAGCCCAGTGAAATAAAATGCAATAATGTTATTGAGATAGGGAGAATGTATTAAAAGACACAAATGACACCAATAATTTGCAGGCTCCAAATTACTAGGTCTGAAAATTACTAAATGTTTATTAAGCACTAGATTACTTTAGGGCAAGCAAAAATACTGATCTCTCCCAGGACAAACACTTAGGCTCCCTCTTTCAAAAATAAATGTCAAAATATCTTTCTGTTATGAATTTCCAGGCAGAAATTGAAGTTCACTGATGCACTTTAAATTGCACCAAAGGATTAAAAAGGAGAAGAAATGTTAGAGAAGCTTTGGACATGGTTGGGTACTTTTAGATATGGTTAATACATTTTAATTCTGTTTTCAAATACTCTTGGTATTGAATAACAAGGGTGAATTAAGATGTAGTATAGGGAAGCATGCTTTGCAGGAGAAGGAGTTTAATCTGTGACCTATGACATTGACTTTCTTATCTAATATTTCTTTTTGAAATCTTTCTCTGCTGTGCTGCCACATAACTGTAAATATATCAATCTGTTTATTCTTCCTTCTCTGTGCTTCCATTCATGTATCTCCTTCAAGTTAGGAAAATAGGCTATCCTAGAGTAAAAATATTACTGACAATTCCAAAGTGAAAACAATTCTAATGGGAAATACCTTGGCACTATTGGAGGGGCAGCCAGCGCACTGTTCCTCATTATCAGTTAGAAACCAGCAGATGTTAAATTGACATATGTTAGGAAATAGCTTTCAGAAACTCATGTTTCAAAATGTATGAAAGAAAAACAGATGATGCCACCTTTTTTGGCTTAAACTAGATAACTAGAAGATCACACCAGATGTGTTGAGATGTTTCTCTTTAAAAATATGTTCTGTTTCCTGAGAAAGAATGCTCAAAAACAGAAATGAGAGATTTCCTCCTCCAAATGTACTTTGGTCTTCCTTTCATAAATTTAAAATGTTTATTGTGATTAAAATATTTGACAAAAATCAATGGGCAAAAACACAATGAATTCAATATTTTTATAGTTGTTATAGATTTTATAAACTGATTAATTACTCAATTCTCCATGAGAATTGGTCAGTGGAAATCTAAGTAGAATTGAGAGAAAACAAATAATGACAAAGCCTGGAAAATGTAGAACAATTGAATAATATAACTTGAGAAGTGAAATGTTAATCTTACTTGTCTGACAATTTTATTGTAAATGATTCATGCTCACATAGCACCTAAGTCCATTTTTTGTTACTATAAAAGAATGCCCAAGGGTGGGTAATTTACAAAGGAAAGAGGTTTATTTGGCTCACAGTTCTGCAGACTGTACAAGAAGCATGGCACTGGCATCTGCTTCTGGTGAGGGCTTCAGGCTGCTTCCACTCATGGCAGAAGGGAAAGGGGAGCCAGCTGTGCAGAGATCACATGGCTGGAGAGGAAGTATGAGAGCAGGGAGGTGCTAGACTCTTTTACCAATCAGCTCTCCAGGGAACTAATAGAGTGAGAACTCACTCACCCCCAAGGAAGGGCACTAACCTGCTCATGCAGGATCTGCCTCCATGACCCAAACATCTCCCACTAGGCTTTGCATCCCAACACCACCACATTGTGGATTAGATTTCAACATGAGATTTGTTGGGTGCAAACATACAAACCATAGCACATAGGTAAAGTATTAACACAAGAAAATATATTTAGAAGTTGGTGTTTTCACTGTACAGATTACAAGTTGACAAGAACACATGTTGTTTTTGCTTGCCCAGTATTCATTCTCCCTCTTCAGTTGACAGCACTTTAGACGAATACATTCAAGGAACCACCCCTTTTTCACACTCCACATAGCTTCTCTCTATGACTAGATGCTCTCTTGGGGAGAGCATGTAATCTGAGACTGGCCAATCAGTGGATTCTAACCTCAGGGGCTATAATGATTGATTCAGTGTTGGGCAAATGACCCAGGTTAGGCTAGTGAGATCTTGGATCTTTTGGTAGGATCACTGAGAAAAACAAAGTAATGCTTCCTGATATCTTTCAGTCTGTGGATCCAACTTATTTGTGAACTTCTAAATTAGCTGAGCTCCAATTCTCTTTGTTTAAACCCAGTTTGAGTTGTGTTTCTTTCAATTGCAATCAAGAGAGCATGATGATTATATGACAGGTCACTTTGGCTGAGGGAATCAGGGAAAGTTCCATGGAAGATGTAACCCTGGGCAAGATCTTGAAAAAAGCTAGATAGAAGGAAGCAGGGATGGAGAGAAAGGCATTGCTGATGGTGCAGCTGCATGAGTCAAGGAATTGGGGTCAATCTGAAAAGGAACATGGTTACAGGGGTCTCTGAAGCTCAGGATGCATGAAGGATTCCAGGTCTCTGGTCTTAGCCACCACATCCAAACTCCAGTCAGCCCTGTTAACTCCACAGTATGCCATGGAATGGGATATACTCCTAAGGAGAAAGAATGTGCCTTCGAGTGTGGAGACACACAGCCTGGAGCTGGCATGAACAGAGACAATGTAATGGTAATGGAGACATAAGCAGAGACCAACCTTCAAAGGTGAGAACCCCACATCCATGGTGAGAAAATTCTGGATCAAGCAGCATAGAAACTTCAAGTCTTCCCCGTTAATATCTTGGTTGCTCAAGGAGAATTGTGGAAGAATAGATTGTCTGAGAAAGGTCCCCACCGAAGATGGTGACTTCCTAACATTTTTGACACAGTAAGAAAGACATATCAGAACACATAAGAATATTTTAAAAATCAGGAGTTCATACAACAGTATTTATCCTTATTTACCTTTACTACTTGTTATGTACTCTGATATTTTCTATTCTTTCTTTCTTTCTTTCTTTCTTTCTTTTTTAATGCTGGTTGGACCCACTACATTGGTTCCATGGCCCACTTTGAAATCAAGTTTGAAAAATACTGACCTAACAGTGCTGTTAGGAAGCACCAGTAGATGTCACTGTAGGTGACCACGCCAGTGTAACAGCTGCAGCCAGTGACCATGACAACGTTGGCTCCCTGCCAAGAACCACAGTGTCACTTAACTGTGTTTATTTTACTTATTTTTTTTTTTATAGGCCATGTAGTTAGAAGGTTCTGCATTTCAAAAACATGAAGGGACACAGAGGGAAAACTCTCCTTCCCATTCCTACCTCTTGGTCACCTGGTTTTTTTCTCAAGGGTAAATAATGTTACTAGTTTTTTCTGTTTTCTTCCAAAGATATCTTATGCATGTAAAAGTGCACGTGCACACACATACACACACACACTTTTTCTCTTCTTTTACAAAAGGATAGCATAATTATAACACTGTTCTGTACCTTTCTTGTCTTTCCTTAGCATATATTAGGGATTCTTCTACCAGCACGCACAAAAGGAAAGCATTCCCATTCTGTTTATAGTTGCATAATATTCCACTGTACATAGTGCCATTATTCAAACAGGTACCTCCTGACTACACATTTGGTTTGTTTCCAATCTTTTGCTTGCACAAACAATGCTGCAGGGACTAACTTTGCTGACTCATCATTTTACACATATGAGCATATTGATCCTAGGATCCTTGGAAATTGATTCTTGAAACAAAGGGTATCTATATTTTTAATTTTGATAGATATTACAAAATTGCTGTCTAGAAGCTTTTCTAGTTTGTACTAGTTTTACACTTTCATTTTCTTGAAACTACCATTACTAAGTTTCCTGATCTTTGCCAATTAATAGGTAAAAACCACATCAGTGTGGTTTTAATTTACATTCTTTTGTTATGAATAAGTTTGGGTACCTGTTTCATATACCTAAGAACCAATGGTATATTTCCTTTTTTTGTTGTTTTGTTTTGAGAGAAAGTTTTCGCACTGGTTGCCTAGGCTGGAGTGAAATGGCACAGTCTCCTCTCACTGCAAACTCCGCCTCCCAGGTTCAAGCAATTCTCCTTGCCTCAGCCTCCCAAGTAGCTTGGATTGTAGCCATGCACCACCACTCTTGGCTATTTTTTTGTATTTAGTAGAGACGGGGTTTCACCATGTTGGTCAGGCTGGTCTTGAACTCCTGACCTCAGGTAATCCACCCGCTCAGCCTCCCAAAGTACTAGGATTACAGGCATGAGCCACCGCGCCCGGCCCCAATGGTATATTTCTTGTCTACTCTCTTTTCACATCCTTTACATCCACTTTAAAGAGCAGCCATCAGCCATCAGCTGTTAAATAAAGCAAGCACTAACGCTTGGCTCAGCTTGTCTAAATATCAAGTAATTGTGTATGTATTGAGCAAAAACTAGATCCTTGCTAAGCATTGTGCAAACCACTATGGAGCAGACAAGATATATATTCTAAGAATCGTTCATCTGTATGGAGCCAACATAATTATTCCAGCTACCTTCTCACCTGACACACTCTCAAAGTCTAGATTACCACCAGTGCAATACCAATCGCTAGGGCAGATAATGTAATTTGTCACCTAAATCCCTGTTAGTAACAAATACGCTAGGTGCTGGTGATACAAAGATGAATATGACAGTTTTTAGTGAAAAAATAAACAAAATAAAGCAACTGAATTGAAGGTATAAGTGCTGAAAACTGTTCGTGGTACATCAGTGGGTAAAGTTGGGAGTGGTCAATTCTGCTGAGGTGGAAAAGCTTATTAAAGGAGCTATATGGTGGGTAAGCTTCCTCGAGGGGGCTCCATAAGTACACACTCAGTTCACTCCACTATCTTTGCCTGCTTGACTTGCCAAAACATAGCTGGTTTTCTCAACAACTGAGTCTTTTAACTTAGCTCATTCCTGCAAATTACTTCCCATATTTGCTTTACATTGGTCTTTTCGTTTCCTTTTAATATATAACCTATAATCTAGGGTCCTGATCATGTTCCGTAGCCTGGGATTCTTTTATAATTAACACACTTAAAGAGATAGGTCCCTCAGTGGCTTCTGAGCAGAGGTTAGTCCTGGCTTTGACATCACACAGTGTCGAACCTGTGAGGAATGACTTTGGCTGACCAATAATGTGGTAAGTACAGTAACTACCACCAGAGAAAGCCTTTCCAACCCCTCCTTTCACCTGAAAAGCAAGGATTAGTTCTTACTCATACAAAGCCTACACAATGCAGGCATTCAATAAATATCCTTGAATGTGTGAAAGGACAGCAGGTACAACACTAGGCTGATGTCAAAGCCAGGCCTAACCTCAGCTCAGAAGCCACTGAGGGACCTGTGTCTCTAAGTGTGTTAATTATGGAAGAATGCCTGACCACAGAACATTATTAGGACCCTTGATTATCAAATGGTCACATCTGGGTCAGGTAGGTGAGTTAGGTTTTACAGTATCTCAAAGAGTTATTTAATTCATAACTTTGGAAAACAGATAAATAATAAAAGCATTTATTAACCACCAACTTAATTATATCGAGAAATATATATCCCAAATGTCTGCTGTTGGTATCACCTTATTAACTACGAATCTTACCTTACCTGGGAGTTATAACTCTCTAGCCATGAGTTCAGGACCTCAATTATCCATCATTGTGTTTTCTTCTGTTACTCACTTTCCCCCTTTCCTAAATCCCACACTGGTCCTTGTCAATTAGATAAATGATTTTCAGCCTGTCTCCACATTTGCTCAGTACCTAATGATTGAATTAGAAGGTTTGATAACTTCTGGTGCAGGACGGGCATTTGTCACTGCCGTATCTGGAGTCTCCTAGTGTCTTCTGTTCTGGACATCTACATGTCACGGTACTGTGTGTTGGACTTACCTTCTCACGTAGTCTTTTCTTGCTCAATATTTCTGGTTTTCAAGACAATATTCTGGTTACTTATTCTAAGGTATTTCTTTCTTTGTAATAATTGAGGTGGCTTTTTGGCTTAGAACTTTTTAAAACAATATCTAAGAAGAAATAAGGCAAAAATATTGGTAAATGATATTTATTTTTATTAAATATTTAGGTTTGGCATATATGTACCCAAGTTTCCCAAGACACACACACAGACACACTTTTTAATAAACAGCTAGTATTCCTTTTATAGGTATCTTATCATCAAAGGGACTATAATCTTGGGCCACCAGCTGGAAGGTCCATAACTGATTCTTTAAGCCTTACAACTAAGGACACTTTCAGATGTATTCCAGATCTCTCTTATCACATAGTCCATCTTCACTCCAATGGCTAAGACGTTGACCCAGTTTGGTCCCGTGACTGGTATTGGCCACACAATGTGCCATGACTGGTTCTCTCTTGGCTCCTCTGACCATTGGCCTTAGCAATTCCTGAGGTTTATGTCTCAGGATATTGCAGAAAGCTGTATCTTCTGCCCTGTATTTTGAGATAAGGAAGAGTAGCTTACAGAAGAAAGCTATTGTCTTGGAGTTCTTTTCCTCTTTCATTAAAAATTGTCCCTTAGCTTTCTGGTTTACATTTATGGCTTTGCAACTAAAGGATGAAGCTGAAATTAAACAAAAAGCTTTATGTTTTCAGCTTGAAGCTAAGATCTCAAAATGTGCTTTTCCCCATTTTTCTTATTCATTCTCAGCTTTTGCTGTCAATGTTGTTAATAACAAAATAAAATAAATCTCTTCTGTGGAATTATTTTTTAAAAGCTTCATTTGCTTGTTTGGCTAACATATAACTTTGCATCACTTCTAACAGTAGAGTTACTTTTCAGAATTTCACCTGTTACTTATTTGAGACTATAAAGAGTCAAGGAGCAAAGCTAGAATTCATAAATATTGTACCAATGCTCAGACCTGCCAGGCCACCTACCATATATAACCCTTCTGTTGTACCCAGTAGGTCAACCCACAGACCTCAAATGACAGCTATATGGCCCCTTCCAAATGCCCTGTGTGCCAAGGAAAAATCTTGGTATGTTAGATATATAGCCATTGATTCTCTTTTGTACTCAAGATGTCTTCGCATTAATAAAGCAAACCAACAGCAAATATTTCAGCCTTCTCTGACTACACTTCAAAGTTCAGAAGGAAGATTTTGTTTTAAAGAAATAATTCTGGTTGAGTTCAAAATAACCTGAAACTATAAAATTTGGAGAAAGTTTTGGTTTTTATTTTAAGTTAAAAATGCTTGAAGAAGAGAGAAAATTTTAAGTTATGAAAATACCTCATTTATCTTTGTGACATTTATACTTTATTAGATATAATTTCATTTTTATTAATGTAAGTTCTCAGCTCCATCAAATGCTAATAAAGTAGAAGTTGTAAGACCATATTTATTATCAGAGACATACAAACCATTTTTGATAGTAATATTTTCAAAAAGCTAATCTGAAGTCATGATGGGATACTTTTACTCTGCTTGGCAATACTATGAACTGATAAGATTCTTATATTTCTAATCCATCTCCATTTTCAATATCCAATCAAAATTTTAAAAATGACATTAAATCTTGAAGGTAATAATAAACCAGGGTCATTCCAAATTCCGTGATTGGATGGCCAATTGCATGTGAGTACATGCTTTGTTCAAAGTTTCCATCACGTTCAGGAGGAATCAGAGATGAGTAACAACTCTAATTTGGTTCTCCTTTTCCAAGGTTAACTGGTATTAGAAAAAGTACTTTCAAAGAATCTACACTTAAAACTGTGGCAAAAGCAATGCTTTGTGTTCACCTAATCCTGTTTCATTTTCTTTTCCTGAACACAAGAGAAAAGAGTATTTCATAACTTTCCTTATAGTTAGGCCAGAGAATATGCAACTAATTCTGGTCAATGGCCTGTAAGTAGAAGGAAAGGTGCCTCTTCCACAGTAATTGAGGCCACGTGTTGAGAGTGCAGCACTTCAAGATGGAAGCCACCTGGATCCTGGAGTCACCACATACTAGACAGAATCCTTCTTGCATTGGAACTTTTATGAAAAGGAAAGGTTCTTTTGTTGTGTTAAGTCATAGAGATTTCAGGATATCTATCACAGCAGGATAGCCTAGCCTGTCCTAATGCAATTCAGAAACAAATTTTCAATATAAGTATGGAAAAAATTATATGATTGACACTTCCTCTTAAAAGAAAATCAAAATTGTGAAAATGAGTTTATTTTCTCTTTAATTGTATAAAATATAGGTTATATTGTAATTATAATCGTATTTATGCCTAAAATAGAGAATGAATCAAATGTTGGACTTTTAGCAGGTTTTGTTTAAGGACTCTTATATGTCTAATAGCCTTTGAAGGCTACTCTAAAGATGGAGTATGTCTCCTTCTCAATCTTTGGAATTACTAAATTGAAATGTAATACACATCCATTTAGGATCCCTCTGAGGTAAAAGTATGAAACTTAACGATTGGATATTAGAGAAAGTCTTACATTTAAAAAGGTTTAAAACAGTTCAAGTTCTTAGAAAATCCTTTTAGGAGTTGCATAAAAGTTCATATATAAGAAAATCACATTTTTTATGCTTCTTCGAAAGAATAGGTACAGTACTGTTATTTTACTGAACTTCGGAGAGTTCATAAAAATTCCTACTTCTGGCTTTTTATTTATTTATTTATTTATTTTAACAGGGTGTTTCTGCTGTGAACAGAGGGCACATAGCAGCTGTTCTTTTTTTTTTAATACTTTAAGTTTTAGGGTACATGTGCACAACGTGCAGGTTAGTTACATATGTATACATGTGCCATGTTGGTGTGCAGCACCCAGTAACTCGTCATTTAACATTAGGTATATCTCCTAATGTTATCCCTCCCCCCTCCCCCCACCCCACAACAGGCCCCAGTGTGTGATGTTCCTCTACCTGTGTCCATGTGTTCCCATTGTTCAATTCCCACCTATGAGTGAGAACATGCAGTGTTTGGTTTTTTGTCCTTGCGATAGGTTGCTGAGAATGATGGTTTCCAGCTTCATCCATGTGCCTACAAAGGACATGAACTCATCATTTTTTATGGCTGCATAGTATTCCATGGTGTATATGTGCCACATTTTCTTAATCCAGTCTATCATTCTTGGACATTTGGATTGGTTCCAAGTCTTTGCTATTGTGAATTGTGCTGCAATAAACATACTTGTGCATGTGTTTTTATAGCAGCATGATTTATAATCCTTTGGGTATATACCCAGAAATGGGATGGCTGGGTCAAATGGTATTTCTAGTTCTGGATCCCTGAGGAATCGCCACACTGACTTCCACAATGGTTGAACTAGTTTACAGTCCCACCAACAGTGTAAAAGTGTTGCTATTTCTCCACATCCTCTCCAGCACCTGTTGTTTCCTGACTTTTTAATGATTGCCATTCTAACTGGTGTGAGATGGTATCTCATTGTGGTTTTGATTTGCATTTCTCTGATGGCCAGTGATGATGAGCATTTTTTCATGTGTTTTTTGGCTGCATAAATGTCTTCTTTTGAGAAGTGTCTGTTCATGTCCTTTGCCCACTTTTTGATGGGGTTGTTTGTTTTTTTTCTTGTAAATTTGTTTGAGTTCATTGTAGATTCTGGATATTAGCCCTTTGTCAGATGAGTAGGTTGCAAAAATTTTCTCCCATTTTGTAGGTTGCCTGTTCACTCTGATGGTAGTTTCTTTTGCTGTGCAGGAGCTCTTTAGCTTCATTAGATCCCATTTGTCAATTTCGGCTTCTGTTGCCATTGCTTTTGGTGTTTTAGACATGAAGTCCTTGCCCATGCTTATGTCCTGAATGGTAATGCCTAGGTTTTCTTCTAGGGTTTTTATGGTTTTAGGT
Organism: Homo sapiens; assembly: GCF_000001405.40. Lineage (NCBI taxonomy): Eukaryota > Metazoa > Chordata > Mammalia > Primates > Hominidae > Homo > Homo sapiens. The sequence goes on along the minus strand of NC_000005.10, from coordinate 109,462,257 downwards.
CTAACGTTTAAGTCTTTAATCCATCTTGAATTAATTTTTGTATGAGGTGTCAGGAAGGGATCCAGTTTCAGCTTTCTACATATGGCTAGCCAGTTTTCCCAGCACCATTTATTAAATAGGGAATCCTTTCCCCATTGCTTGTTTTTCTCAGGTTTGTCAAAGATCAGATAGTTGTAGATATGCGGCATTATTTCTGAGGGCTCTGTTCTGTTCCATTGATCTATATCTCTGCTTTGGTACCAGTACCATGCTGTTTTGGTTACTGTAGCCTTGTAGTATAGTTTGAAGTCAGGTAGTGTGATGCCTCCAGCTTTGTTCTTTTGGCTTAGGATTGACTTGGCGATGTGGGCTCTTTTTTGGTTCCATATGAACTTTAAAGTAGTTTTTCCCAATTCTGTGAAGAAAGTCATTGGTAGCTTGATGGGGATGGCATTGAATCTATAAATTACCTTGGGCAGTATGGCCATTTTCACGATATTGATTCTTCCTACTCATGAGCATGACATGTTCTTCCATTTGTTTGTATCCTCTTTTATTTCATTGAGCAGTGGTTTGTAGTTCTCATTGAAGAGGTCCTTCATGTCCCTTGTAAGTTGGAACCTAGGTATTTTATTCTCTTTGAAGCAATTGTGAATGAGAGTTCACTCATGATTTGGCTCTCTGTTTGTCTGTTATTGGTGTATAAGAATGCTTGTGATTTTTGCACATTGATTTTGTATCCGGAGACTTTGCTGAAGTTGCCTATCAACTAAAGGAGATTTTGGGCTGAGACGATGGGGTTTTCTAGATATGTCATCTGCAAACAGGGACAATTTGACTTCCTCTTTTCCTAATTGAATACCCTTTATTTCCTTCTCCTGCCTGATTGCCCTGGCCAGAACTTCCAACACTATGTTGAATAGGAGTGGTGAGAGAGGGCATCCCTGTCTCGTGCCAGTTTTCAAAGGGAATGCTTCCAGTTTTTGCCCATTCAGTATGATATTGGCTGTGGGTTTGTCATAGATAGCTCTTATTATTTTGAGATACGTCCCATCAATACCTAATTTATTGAGAGCTTTTAGCATGAACTGTTGTTGAATTTTGTCAAAGGCCTTTTCTGCATCTATTGAGATAATCACATGGTTTTTGTCATTGGTTCCGTTTATATGCTGGATTATGTTTATTGATTTGCATATGTTGAACCAGCCTTGCATCCCAGGGATGAAGCCCACTTGATCATAGTGGATAAGCTTTTTGATGTGCTGCTGGATTTGGTTTGCCAGCATTTTATTGAGGATTTTTGCATCGATGTTCATCAGGAATATTGGTCTAAAATTCTCTTTTTTTGTTGTGTCTCTGCCAGGCTTTGGTATCAGGATGATGCTGGCCTCATAAAATGAGTTAGGGAGGATTCCCTCTTTTTCTATTGATTGGAATAGTTTCAGAAGGAATGGTACCAGCTCCTCCTTGTACCTCTGGTAGAATTCGGCTGTGAATCCATCTGGTCCTGGACTTTTTTTGGTTGGTAAGCTATTAATTATTGCCTCAATTTCAGAGCCTGTTACTTGTCTATTCAGAGATTCAACTTCTTCCTGGTTTAGTCTTGGGAGGGTGTATGTATCGAGAAATTTATCCATTTCTTCTAGATTTTCTAGTTTATTTGCATAGAGGTGTTTATAGTATTCTCTGATGGTAGTTTGTATTTCTGTGGGATCGGTGGTGATATCCCCTTTATCATTTTTTATTGCATCTATTTGATTCTTCTCTCTTTTCTTCTTTATTAGTCTTGCTAGTGGTCTATCAATTTTGTTGATCTTTTCAAAAAATCCTGGATTCATTGATTTTTTGAAAGGTGTTTTGTGTCTCTATCTCCTTCAGTTCTGCTCTGATCTTAGTTATTTCTTGCCTTCTGCTAGCTTTTGAATGTGTTTGCTCTTGCTTCTCTAGTTCTTTTAATTATGAAGTTAGAGTGTCAATTTTAGATCTTTCCTGCTTTCTCTTGTGGGCATTTAGTGCTATAAATTTCCCTCTACACACTGCTTTGAATGTGTCCCAGAGATTCTGGTATGTTGTGTCTTTGTTCTCGTTGGTTTCAAAGAACATCTTCATTTCTGCCTTCATTTTGTTATGTACCCAGTAGTCATTCAGGAGCAGGTTGTTCAGTTTCCATGTAGTTGAGTGGTTTTGAGTGAGTTTCTCAATCCTGAGTTCTAGTTTGATTGCGCTGTGGTCTGAGAGATAGTTTGTTATAATTTCTGTTCTTTTACATTTGCTGAGGACTGCTTTACTTCCGACTATGTGGTCAGTTTTGGAATAAGTGCGGTGTGGTGCTGAGAAGAATGTATATTCTGTTGATTTGGGGTGGAGAGTTCTGTAGATGTCTGTTAGGTCCACTTGGTGCAGAGCTGAGTTCAATTCCTGGATATCCTTGTTAACTTGCTGTCTCATTGATCTGTCTAATGTTGACAGTGGGGTGTTAAAGTCTCCCATTATTATTGTGTGGGAGTCTAAGTTTCTTTGTAGGTCTCTAAGGACTTGCTTTATGAATCTGGGTGCTCCTGTATTGGGTGCATATATATTTAGGATAGTTAGCTCTTCTTGTTGAATTGATCCCTTTACCATTATGTAATGGCCTTCTTTGTCTCTTTTGATCTTTGTTGGTTTAAAATGTGTTTTATCAGAGACTAGGATTGCAACCCCTTCCTTTTTTTGTTTTCCATTTGCTTGGTAGATCTTCCTCCATCCCTTTATTTAGAGCCTATGTGTGTCTCTGCACGTGAGATGGGTTTCCTGAATACAGCACACTGATGGGTCTTGACTCTTTATCCAATTTGCCAGTCTGTGTCTTTTAATTGGAGCATTTAGTCCATTTACATTTAAGGTTAATATTGTTATATGTGAATTTGATCCCGTCATTATGATGTTAGCTGATTATTTTGCTCATTAGTTGATGCAGTTTCTTCTTAGCCTCGATGGTCTTTACAATTTGGCATGTTTTTGCAGTGGCTGGTACCGGTTGTTCCTTTCCATGTTTAGTGCTTCCTTCAGGAGCTCTTTTAGGGCAGGCCTAGTGGCGACAAAATCTCTCAGCATTTGCTTGTCTGTAAAGTATTTTATTTCTCCTTCACTTATGAAGCTTAGTTTGGCTGGACATGAAATTCTGGGCTGAAAATTCTTTTCTTTAAGAATGTTGAATATTGGCCCCCAGTCTCTTCTGGCTTGTAGAGTTTCTGCCGAGAGATAAGCTGTTAGTCTGATGGGCTTCCCTTTGTGGGTAACCTGACCTTTCTTTCTGGTTGCCCTTAACATTTTTTCCTTCATTTCAACTTTGGTGAATCTGACAATTATGTGTCTTGGAGTTGCTCTTCTCGAGGAGTATCTTTGTGGCATTCTCTGTATTTCCTGAATGTGAATGTTGGCCTGCCTTGCTAGATTGGGGAAGTTCTCCCGGATAATATCCTGCAGAGTGTTTTCCAACTTGGTTCCATTCTCCCCTTCACTTTCAGGTACACCAATCAGACGTAGATTTGGTCTTTTCACATAGTCCCATATTTCTTGGAGGCTTTGTTCGTTTCTTTTTATTCTTTGTTCTCTAAACTTCTCTTCTCGCTTCATTTCATTCATTTGATATTCCATCACTGATACCCTTTCTTCCAGTTGATTGAATCAGCTACTGAGGCTTGTGCATTCGTCATGTAGTTCTCATGCCTTGGTTTTCAGCTCCATCAGGTCCTTTAAGGACTTCTCTGCATTGGTTATTCTAGTTAGCCATTCATCTAATTTTTTTTCAAGGTTTTTAACTTCTTTGCCATGGGTTCGAACTTCCTCCTTTAGCTTGGAGTAGTTTGATCGTCTGAATCCTTCTTCTCTCAACTGTCAAAGTCATTCTCTGTCCAGCTTTGTTCCGTTGCTGGTGAGGTGCTGTGTTCCTTTGGAGAAGGATAGGTGCTCTGATTTTTAGAGTTTCCAGTTTTTCTGCTCTGTTTTTTCCCCATCTTTGTGGTTTTATCTACCTTTGGTCTTTGATGACGGTGATGTACAGATGGGGTTTTGGTGTGGATGTCCTTTCTGTTTGTTAGTTTTCCTTCTAACAGTCAGGACCCTCAGCTGCAGGTCTGTTGGAGTTTGCTGGAGGACCACTCCAGACCCTGTTTGCCTGGGTATCAGCAGCGGAGGCTGCAGAACAGCGGATACTGGTGAGCACCAAATGTTGCTGCCTGATCGTTCCTCTGGAAGTTTTGTCTCAGGGGGGTACCCGGCCGTGTGAGGTGTCAGTCTGCCCCTACTAGGGGGTGCCTCCCAGTTAGGCTATTTTGGGGTCAGGGACCCACTTGAGGAGGCAGTCTGTCAGTTCTGAGATCTCCAGCTGCGTGCTGGGAGAACCACTACTCTCTTCAAAGTTGTCTGACAGGGACATTTAAGTCTGCAGAGGATTCTGCTTCCTTTTGTTTGGCAATTCCCTGCCCCCAGAGGTGGAGTCTACAGAGGCAGGCAGGCCTCCTTGAGCTGCGGTGGGCTCCACCGAATTCGAGCTTCCTGGCCCCTTTGTTTTCCTACTCAAGCCTCCGCAATGGTGGGCACCCCTCCCCCAGCCTCGCTGCCACCTTGCTGTTTGATCTCAGACTGCTGTGCTAGCAATGAGTGAGGTTCTGTGGGCGTAGGACCCTCTGAGCCAGACACAGGATATAATCTCCTGGTGTGCCATTTGCTAACACCATTGGAAAAGAGCCGTATTAGGGTGGGAGTGACCCGATTTTCCAGGTGCTATCTGTCACCCCTTTCTTTGACTAGGAAAGGAAATTCCTTGGCCCCTTGCACTTCCCCGGTGAGGCGATGTCTCGCCCTGCTTCGGCTCACGCTGGAGGCACTGCACCCACTGTCTTGCACCCACTTTCCAACACTCCCCAGTGAGATGAGCCCAGTACCTCGGTTGGAAATGCAGAAATCACCCATCTTCTGTGTCACTCACGTGGGAGCTGTAGACTGGAGCTGTTCCTATTTGGCCATCTTGGCTCTACCCTCTCCTGGCTTTTTATTAAACAATAAAATTAAAATGGAATTTATTTCATACTATTCAGGTAAAATTGGTTATATATATATATATCTCTTATTTAGCTATAAATAAACCCAGAAAGGAGGATCTGACAGGTTGGATGTCCTCCCAAGACTGCTAGAGACCAAGCTTTTCTCACAAGGGTGCTTTAATACAGAAAGAGATAGAGATGGCAGCAAATGGGATAGAAATATTTTTGTTTTAAGACACAAAACTTACTGTATGTAACCAATACATTTTAAAAAGTGTATAATAATAAGATTTATAATAATAGAGTATATCATATGTAAAGCCAGAAAAAAAATCCTTGGTTTACCTGTTTGGATTGTTTGGAAACTAACACTTCAACAAATAATCCTTTGAAATCAGAATTCTATCATTTTCATTACCTCATTTCCCCAAATGGAAAACTGTCTTTTTAACATTCTTACTTTATTAGATAAAGTATGTGATGGACATAAAGATTTTATCCCTCCTTAGGTACATATAAATCTTGTATTTCTGTTGCATTTCACCTACCTTAAGAAAAAAAAAAGAAAGAAAAGTAAAGTAAGAAAAGATTGCAGAAGCTTTGTAGCATTGAGAAAATGCATTATAGCATTTCAGAATATTTTGTTTGCTTGACTGAGAGCCAGAAATGATTAAACACTAAAATACAAATAAAATGTTTCTCAATCCAAATAGATTGGAAAAGATTTTCTGTGTTCCAATACAGTATAATTAACAAATGCAATAATGATTTTTGCCAAGGATTTATTACATGAATTTCATCAAAATGTTGATTTAGATCATTTGACCCATTAAACCCAATTTTAATTTTATATAAAAATTTTGGAAGTTTGTATATCTTGCTAATTTGATATGAATATTAGAGTATTATAGTTAGTCTAAATTTTTTCTTTCATTTATTTTTATTAAAAAAATATTTAGGTGTGCGTTCTCACTATGTTTGTCCAGGCTGGTCTTGAATTACTAGTCTCAAGTGCCTCCCCCTATCTCAGCCTCCTAAAGTGCTAGATTACAGGTGTGAGTCTAAATAATTTTGATTTAGTGTATTTAATACGTAATTCATTCACGTAGTTCAAAACTCAGAAACTTTAGAAGGTATGCAAAATATAAAAGTCTACCTTCTGTACATGATCCTTAGCTGCTCAGGGCCAGTCACCTCTATAAGTAACCACTGTTAGATTCTTATGAGTCATTCTGGTGTTATTCTGTATGAAAATGAGCAGATACAAGTACAGACCAATGACGCATTCCATTTCTCAGTTTGCTTGTCTTCTCTGTAGCAGTGACTGGCACTTACCACGCTCTGCATGTAGAAACAGTTACCCCTTGGCCTTTCTCCTGGCTTTCTCCTCCCTCTCTAGCACTCCTCTCCCTTCTCCCTGGCAGGCACTGTTTCCTCTGTGTCCGGTACAAACCAGTTCTTCTGTTTTCACATGACATATTCTTCCTGAGTGATCTCATCTATTCCCATCAGGCATAAATAAAGGTATTAGCATCAAAGCCATTTGTGGATGAAGAAAGTCTTTTCAGAAAAGATGAGTCTGCAGAATAAGGAGGAGACTGTTAGAAAAGAGCAACAGTAAGGGGATTTCTAAATGGAGGAAACAGCATATAGAAAAGCTAAATGGATAAAAGAGGGGCAAGACCACAAATGGAGTTACCAGCTCAATGTCTAACCTAAAAGATATTTGTTGCAAATGATGAACCAAATAATGAATAATGTTCAAGGAATATTTTTTACCAAAAGTAATTATTTCGCTAAGTCAACCATACAAATTGTGGAAACTGAATGAAAGGAAACTAAACTAAAAGAACTGAGTCTGCGTGCAAAGCAAAATGTGAATAAAATCGTAAATGAACACATGCTCTACGAGGAAACTAGTTTCTCAGCCTCCTGGTCATTGCCAGCATACTACTCTGCTTAGGTCACCTCTATGTGTGGAAAGGTCATCCAGACAGCTTTGCAGATTGGCAATTTGTGAACCTGTCTCAAGATCTATAAAACATATTGCAGCAGAACTTCAAAGCACACTTTGCCACATGGGTGGGAGACCTTTGTTTCCTTTTTTTTTTTTCTGCTTTTTAAGTCTGTAAACCATAATAAGGGCACATCAAAACCCTGTTGCTTTCTAATGTAACACAACAATGACATATTAAGTAGTATGAAAAGCATTAGCTTTCTTTTTGGATACCATTTTTTAAATAAACATTTTTTTTCTTAGACTTGCCATTCTCTCCGCTGAGAGAATAGTCTTCCAAAGTTGCAAATTCTTGTTCAAAAGCCAGAAGGAAAAGAAGCCATTCTGAACATACTTTAGCTGAAGAACATTTCTGCCCCTGTGAGGACAGCGTTCTGACTACCTAGATCACAGGATTTTTGCCTTTAGCAGAATACTTTTTGTTGATAAACCTTTATAATCTAAATTGATTGTTTCCATGTCTGTAAGATTCCCTTAGCTATATCTAAAAAGGACTAGGAAGAAACCCGAGGAACTGGTTCCTACTGCAGGAACAGACTGTGGTCATTGTCCTGTCACTTCATTTCCCTGGATTCCATTATCTTCCACTGTGCTAACATCACAGAACTGGTAAGAGAATCAGGTAAAATAAAATTACTTTTAAATCACAGATGCTATCATACAGGTGTAGGAATCTTCTAAACTTGGACCTACCTCTTGTTTGGGGTGATACCATACTTATATTTCTTTTTATCGCAATGAGATGGCAATAGCAGAATACCAATAGATAAAGCATTTCATATTCCCTTAATTCTCTGTGTGGTGCAAATGATAAACAATAGCTAAATTGCCTCCAGTTCTCTGCCTAAAGGTAGGACTCTTCATCCATCTGTCCTGAGCTCCGGTACCAAGGTCTCTCAGTTGGCAGTTGGGGAATAGATGACAAAAGCTTTTTTCCAAAGTTTTACATCCAAGTCAATGTGGGGAACCCCCACATTAAAAAGGGTAAATTCTGATTCTTTTTATCCTTTCCCCAGGGCAGAACTATGACCTCAATGAGAAATACAATTATAGCTTCATTGCAGGAGATTTACAGATATTACCCACATATTCTCACTATAAACATGTAGCCTCTCTTTCAGAAAAGGGCATGGTGACCATGGCATACTTTCCTGAAGAACAATGGTTTTGACCTAATGATCTTCAATGAGAAGAAAAAATGATATGGAAATGTCAGAGGTCTCAAGCCAATTTGGAAATTTTCAGGAAAGTGTTCTCATAACAAGAAGTGGCGTGGTATAATTAGAAAAGAGTTGTCCTAAAGTGAGATCTGAATTCTTGTCTGGTTACCCCATTTTGTTCTGTGTAACCTTTGTAAGTTACAACACTTGCAGGCTCTGCTTCCTTACCACCAATGCATGCCTACAATCTCTAAGCCCGCTTACAAGGCCAACACACTATGGTTTTTCTAATCATAGCTGTCTTTAATATTTTGAATCCTGATGTAACTTACTGGAGGGGAGAACAAAATGAAGTTTGAGTCTCTCAATGTTTTTCAGTGAGTTTTTAAAAACTGAACTTTTTAATCAGAGAGGCAAAATTTTAGTGGGGCTAATAAAGGCCTGACAATGACTTTCTTCTTTTCATTTAAATGTGGGAGGATGCTATCTGTATATGGGCTAATTTTGTCCACCACTGAACCAGAACAAATCCAACAAACTATGCCTGAATGTCTATCTCAGTGAGACTGCAAGGGCCACTGATGAATCAGAGTTAAGATGAGAGGAGATGAGGTCTCTATATCAAATGGATGATCTGTTTGTATCTAAAAGCCACTGTGTGCATAGGTCATGTTTTTAAAAGGGAAAAATATTCTCTGGCTACTTTAAATCCTATGAAGCAACTTTGGGGTTTCTATTCAACAGAACAAAAGGCAAGAACCAAGAGTTTTAAGTTCAGTTCAGACTTCAAATATCTGAGCATCAGCATGTCAATAAATACAGGCTAAAGTCACAGCTTCCCCAACATCACTGTCTCTCAGTTTACATACAATGTAAAAAAAGAATTTGATACAGCATCAGTCAAAGGTTTATCAACATATTATTTTAAGGTAATGAGATAAGGAGTTAAGTACACGGAAGTCATCTCACAGAAAGGTCGAATTTAACAACAACTACAAAAAATATGTTTTGATTTTCTCTAGACAAAGTCAATCTTAGTAAATTCAGATAAACAAAAAATAGAAATAATAAAAATCAACTGCAAGTCCAGCAATCTGTTAATATTTCCATGAGTTTCCTTATATTCTTTTTTCATGAATATATGCCTCCCAAAGTGCTGGGATTACAGGAGTGAGCCACTGTGCTGGGCCTGAGTCAGTTCTAAAGAAGAGACTGCAGCAGAAGTGGCTTGGCATGGCTTCCAAAGCTAGATCATGACAGGCTTCATGACTGAAGTAAAGAGTATTCGCTTTTCTTTGCCACACTTTCCTTATCTGTGAGATGAGAAAACTAATACTATCAATTTCATAGAATTATTTTTATAATATCATGGTTAATATACATGAAAGCCTTATCACATGTGGCTTGTAAGCAATATAAAATTGCAATCTACTATTTATTAAGTTGATTTTTTACTTTTTAGAAATTTCTGCCTGTATTTGGTATATATTCACATGTGGTTAAAGCTCTGCAGGTAACCATGAGTATTTTCTTAGAAATTTATAAACATAGAGTTGCTGGATCAAGATGTATGCATTCATTCAGAAAACACTGTCGAACTCGATTCTCACTTTGGAGTGAGAAACTCTGTTCTATAAAAGGCACATGGCATCAATTATCCTGATTTTGTGGGTGGATATTCCCATCACTTCTAAATCAGCTTTCATATTTTTATTAAAAAACTAGAAATAAAAAAGCAAAACATACTTGAGTTAGCAAGAAATCTTATGAACTTCTATGTCTTTTGCTACAGAACTAACAAGACAGAGTTTTCAGTTATTTTGCATAAAGTATCTAATTATGGGCCTGGGAATGGATGTGAATACAGCATAAAAAGATGTTATAATGGCTGGGTGGCTCATGCCTGTAATCCCAGCACTTTGGGAGGCTGAGGCAGGCAGATCATGTATGGCCAGGAGTTCAAAACCAGCCTGGCCAACATGGCGAAACACTGTCTCTCCTAAAAATACAAAAATTAGCCAGGTATGGTTGTGTACACCTGTAATTCCAGCTACTCGAGAGGCTGAGGCATGAGAATCTCTTGAACCCAGGAAGTGGAGGTTGCAGTAAGCCAAGATGGCACCACCACACTCCAGCCTGGGTGACAGAGCGAGACATTGTCTCACAAAAAAAAGAAGTTATAATTATATATATATATACAAATATATACACACACACACATATATGCCTATAAATTAAAAGCCTATATAAGTCAGAGTGCCTTGAATTGCAATGACAGGTAACTCAACCCAAAACGACTTAAGAAAAACAAATTATCAACTTACATATCTATTCATATTAGCTCAGGCAAGGCTGGATCCAGTATTCATCAAATTTCACTCTGTCTCTAACGCTTGATCTCTTAGCCATGCTTTCTTCTATGTAACTTTGTTTCCAAATGGCCTATCTTCAGGCCAGAGCCCCTGAAATTCCCAGGTTTATGTCTTCCAGTTTTATAACATTATAGTCAAAGTTCTTATTTGTAACTGCTCACTCTGACCCTGAGGATTAAACAGAAAAGGAGTTCATTAAAAGACTACTTTGCAGGCTACAGAATTGTTGTAAAGGCCAGAGAACCTTGCTTGCAGCCAAATTTCCAATATGCACAGTTTAAAGAAACTACAGCCAGCACCACCACTGCTGCTGCCACCAACACTGAGGGCTTTCTTTGCACTGCTGGCAAGAGTTCAAATACTGCTGGCATCAAGGCCATTCCAGGCCGAGGAACTCAATCATGCAATCACTGCCACCCCCAAAGCCATACATCTCAGTTGCTATCCTCAACAAATAGTGCCCCAAGAGCTTCCTTCTGTAAGTTGTTGACTTCTCAATCTAACTTTACTATATCTGAGTGATTGGTGAAGTCATCTAACTCACAGATTTGTTTCCTATAGCGAAAAGGATGGGGATAGCAGCAAGTTTTCTGTGTTCTACCTTGGTGAGACAAGCCTCATTGGAGAAAATTCTCTGAAACTTAAGAATTTTGTTCAAAGTTGCTGGGCCAGAAAGCATGAGGAATGTCTGGAAGAATAGCTCCAGGAGAGAGAGAGTCTTTTAATGTATTCTGCCAAAACGCTCAGATCTAATTTTTATGGTCCTGGCAAAGGTCATGTATTACAGCTTAGCAATCACTCTCCTGATTTGGGAACCCCTGATTTGTCATATGCCCACTCCTAGAGCTTGATGTTGCAGCCAGTCCCATTTGAACTAATAACAGAACTGACAGTCAAGGAAGAATAGACTGTGACAGCAAAATCACCCAGCGTCCCCCACAAAACCCCGCCCTGGTCTTTACAGGGCTCCACCAAACCCCTGAGCCTGTCGTCTCTACCTGCTCCTCCCTGCTGTTCACTGAACTACAATTTGTGACTAATTCAGTCTGCAGACCCCTGGCCACACTGCTGCAGAGCCAGAACAGCAGCGTTATGCAAATCGTACCTATTCTGCCACCGGGGTTCTGGAAACAAAAGATACGGAGGTAGAAAGAGAGAAGAGAATTTCTTTGGAGGAACTACTCTGCGGGCAAATGAGAACTGAAGGGGCAAAAAACAGAAAGAATGAAAAGTTTGTTTCTTAAAGGCAGAGATTTGTTTTCCCTTCCATAAGTAGCAAAGGTTTAGGCTATCTACTTTCTTGTTCTACTCTAGGCACGTATTTAGGGCTCTTCGCAAAAGAGGAAGAAAGAAAAGCAGAAAGAGGTGAAAGAACAAAATGTTGATGGCTCTACTCAGAGCCATTACTGAGAAGGATGTGGCACCACCTCACACTGCTTCATATGCCTGTGGGTGTGTATATATGTATAATATAACATATACATACACCACGATGTTCAATTTTATTTCTTCTTGCACACTGAAACATAAGTGAGATAGGAAGTGATAGCAGGTGAACTATTTTTACGATCACATTATAATAAACATTTTAAAAATTGCGCATTGAAAAACCCAGCTAAAAATATGAAAAAGAAAAATCAGCATTATTTACATATTAGAATACTTCTAACATATACCAACAATTTAAAACTGAAGAATTGGTTTCTCTTGCTTAAATTCAAGAAGTATTCACATGTTATTATTGTGCAATTTTAGTTATTTCCCCTTTGAAAAATTCTGCAATTTTTCTTTTGATCTAATAGTTGTTTAATGAAGTGTAATTATTAAAAATTTGAATGTTGAAGAGCCTTTTAAAAGTTTGTTATTGGCTGGGCATGGTAGCTCAGCCTGTAATCCCAACACTTTGGGAGGCCAAGGCAGGAGGATCACTTGAGCCCAGGAGCTCAAGACCAGCCTGGGAAACAAAGGGAGACCCTGTCTCTACAAAAATTAAAAAAATTAAAAATAGCCAGGCGGCAGCTAGCACCTGTGGTCTCAGCAACTTGGGAGGTGTAGGTGGGAAGATGACTTGCCCCTGCGAGGTCAAGGCTGCAGTGAGCCATGGCACCACTGTACTCCAGCCTAGCTTAGGCTGGACATGTAATTCTAATACTTTGGTAAGCTGAGGCAGGCAGATTGTTTGAGCCCAGGAGTTTGAGACCAGCCTGGGCAACATGATGAATCACCATTTCTACCAAAAAATGCAAAAATTAGCCAGGCATGGTGGGGCACACCTGAAATCCCAGCTACTCAGGAGGCTGAGATGGGAAGATGGCTTGAGCCTGGAAGGTGGAAGCTGCAGTGAACTGAAATCATGCCACTGCACTCCAGCCTGGGTGACAAGAGTAAGACCCTGTCTCAAAAAAATAACAATAAATTTTATTATTAATTTCTAATTTTATTGCCTTATGTTCAGGAAGTACTATTGATATTATTTCAACTCTTTGGACTTTACTGAGATGTGTGTGTGTGCACGCATTTGTGTGGCCTAAGATATGGTACATTTTCATGAATGTTCCCTGTGCACCTGAAAATAAGACACCATTTGATATAAGTTCTGTCTTATTTGTAATTTTGGACATGATCCAGCAATCTGTTACAGCATGATATGTCACTATGCAGTTCTAGGCATGCAGAGACAGGCCTCACCCGAGGATATTAAAAAGGCATATCGGGCTGGGGGCGGTGGCTCACACCTGTAATCTCAGAACTTTGGGAGGCCTAGACAGGTAGATCATTTGAGGTCAGGAGTTAAAGATCAGCCTGGCCAACATGGTGAAACCTCAAGTCTACTAAAAAAATAAAAAATAAAATACAAAAAATTAGCCAGGCATGGTGGCGTACACCTGTAATCCAGCTAGTCTGGAGGCTGAGGCAGGAGAATCGCTTGAACCTGGGAGGTGGAGGTTGCAGTGAGCCAAGATCAACGCCATTGCACTCCAGCCAGGGTGACAGAGAGAGACTCCAACTCAAAAAAAAAAAAAATGCATATTGGAAACTGGCACTGAAGTGGCACTCAGATAAAAATCTTGAGAATAAAGAAGAAGCAGAGAGAAAATGCAAACAAGTAGCTGAGGTATATGAAGTGCTGTCAGATGCTAAAAAACTGGACATCTATGAAAAATATGGCAAAGAAGTGATAAAGGTATGGACAACTTCAAATCTATATCAACTTCTACTAAAATAGTTAATGGCAGAAAGATCACTATGAAGAGAACTGTCAAGAATAGTCAAGAAAGAGTAGAAGCTGAAAAAAGATGGCCAGTTAATGTCCTCACAAAAGATAGTAAGGAACAACTGCTGTGCTTGAATAACAAGTAATTCAATGCTCTCATTTAATGTTAAACTATAACAAGCACTATTTGAGGATTAACAGAAACATTTTTTGAAGATTTCAAATGAACTCAGCTTTCAATATAATTGCATCTAAAGTACTTATAAACAGCTATCAGAGCCCCTATTTGTCACAGACTTTTGAATTTCTTGTTTGGACCACATATTAGGTTGGTGCAAAAGTAATTGCAGCTTTTGCCATTACTTGTAATAATAAGACCATTTATTCAGTCTTTAAAATAGTTGTGAATCTCTCCACGCACTTTGCTTTAAAAACAAATACTCCAAAGTGAGCCATGATCTTTAGTACTGGTTAGACAAGACTGTACACTAACACCAGCATGGATCTGTTTTTCCATTGTGTCTGAAACCTGAGCCAAGTAATGTCAGCCTGCTGTGAAATTAACATTGCAAGTCAAATCTTCTACAAAAATAATTTCAAATTTTTTCAGTATTTAGTAGTGAAAAATACTAATGCATTAGTGGTAATATATTTCTGGTTTAATATAAATTAACGATGTTTTCCAGTTGTGCATGAATGTTGGCAACTTAGTAAGTTCTGACAATTGTTTAATTATGTAATGTTAAGCTTAAGTTTAAAAAAATAAGACTGGTAAATTGGGTCTTTGTCATTTGCTTAAAAAAAAGAAATGCAAATATATTTGGTACATTAAAAAAAAAAACATGACTGGGGAGGAGCCAAGATGGCCGAATAGGTACAGCTCCGGTCTACAGCTCCCAGCGTGAGCGACGCAGAAGACAGGTTATTTCTGCATTTCCATCTGAGGTACCGGGTTCATCTCACTAGGGAGTGCCAGACAGTGGGTGCAGGTCAGTGGGTGCGTGCACCGTGCGCGAGCCGAAGCAGGGTGAGGCATTGCCTCACTTGGGAAGCGCAAGGGGTCAGGGAGTTCCCTTTCCTAGTCAAAGAAAGTGGTGACAGACGGCACCTGGAAAATTGGGTCACTCCCACCCGAATACTGCGCTTTTCCGACTGGCTTAAAAAATGGCGCACCAGGAGATTATATCCTGCACCTGGCTCGGAGGGTCCTACGCCCACGGAGTCTTGCTGATTGCTAGCACAGCAGTCTGAGATCAAACTATAAGGCAGCAGCCAGGCTGGGGGAGGGGCGCCCGCCATTGCGGAGGCTTGAGTAGGAAAACAAAGCAGCCAGGAAGCTGGAACTGGCTGGAGCCCACCACAGCTCAAGGAGGCCTGCCTGCCTCTGTAGGCTCCACCTCTGGGGGCAGGGCACAGACAAACAAAAAGACAGCAGTAACCTCTGCAGACTTAAATGTCCCTGTCTGACAGCTTTGAAGACAGCAGTGGTTCTCCCAGCACACAGCTGGAGATCTGAGAATGGGCAGACTGCCTCCTCAAGTGGGTCCCTGACCCGTGACCCCTGAGCAGCCTAACTGGGAGGCACCCCCAAGCAGGGGCAGACTGACACCTCACACTGCAGGGTGCTCCAACAGACCTGCAGCTGAGGGTCCTGTCTGTTAGAAGGAAAACTAACAAATAGAAAGGACATCCACACCAAAAACCCATCTGTACATCACCATCATCAAACACCAAAAGTAGATAAAACCACAAAGATGGGGAAAAAACAGAGCAGAAAAACTGGAAACTCTAAAAAGCAGAGTGCCTCTCCTCCTCCAAAGGAACGCAGCTCCTCACCAGCAATGGAACAAAGCTGGACGGAGAATGACTTTGACGAGCTGAGAGAAGAAGGCTTCAGATGATCAAGTTACTCCGAGCTATGGGAGGAAATTCAAACCAAAGGCAAAGAAGTTGAAAACTTTGAAAAAAATTTAGAAGAATGTATAACTAGAATAACCAATACAGAGAAGTGCTTAAAGGAGCTGATGGACCTGAAAACCAAGGCTCGAGAACTACGTGAAGAATGCAGAAGCCTCAGGAGCCGATGCGATCAACTGGAAGAAAGGGTATCAGCGATGGAAGATGAAATGAATGAAATGAAGCGAGAAGGGAAGTTTAGAGAAAAGAGAATAAAAAGAAACGAACAAAGCCTCCAAGAAATATGGGACTATGTGAAAAGACCAAATCTACGTCTCATTGGTGTACCTGAAAGTGAAGGGGAGAATGGAACCAAGTTGGAAAACACTCTGCAGGATATTATCCAGGAGAACTTCACCAATCTAGCAAGGCAGGCCAACATTCACATTCAGGAAATACAGAGAATGCCACAAAGATACTCCTCGAGAAGAGCAACTCCAAGACACATAATTGTCAGATTCACCAAAGTAGAAATGAAGGAAAAAATGTTAAGGGCAGCCAGAGAGAAAGGTTGGGTTACCCTCAAAGGGAAGCCCATCAGACTAACAACGGATCTCTCGGCAGAAACTCTACAAGCCAGAGGAGAGTGGGGGCCAATATTCAACATTCTTAAAGAAAAGAATTTTCAGCCCAGAATTTCATGTCCAGCCAAACTAAGCTTCATAAGTGAAGGAGAAATAAAATACTTTACAGACAAGCAAATGCTGAGAGATTTTGTCACCACCAGGCCTGCCCTAAAAGAACTCCTGAAGGAAATGCTAAACATGGAAAGGAACAACCGGTACCAGCCACTGCAAAATGATGCCAAAATGTAAAGACCATCGAGACTAGGAAGAAACTGCATCAACTAATGAGCAAAATAACCAGCTAAAATCATAATGACAGGATCAAATTCACACATAACAATATTAACTTTAAAGGTAAATGGACTAAATGCTCCAATTAAAAGACACAGCCTGGAAAATTGGATGAAGAGTCAAGACTCATCAGTGTGCTGTATTCAGGAAACCCATCTCGCGTGCAGAGACACACATAAGCTCAAAATAAAAGGATGGAGGAAGCTCTACCAAGCAAATGGAAAACAAAAAAAGGCAGAGGTTGCAATCCTAGTCTCTGATAAAACAGACTTTAAACCAACAAAGATCAAAAGAGACAAAGAAGGCCATTACATAATGGTAAAGGGATCAATTCAACAAGAAGAGCTAACTATCCTAAATATATATGCACCCAATACAGGAGCACCCAGATTCATAAAGCAAGTCCTGAGTGACCTACAAAGAGACTTAGACTCCCACACGTTAATAATGGGAAACTTAACACCCCACTGTCAACATTAGACAGATCAACGAGGCAGAAATTCAACAAGGATACCCAGGAATTGAACTCAGCTCTGCACCAAGTGGACCTAATAGACATCTACAGTACTCTCCACCCCAAATCAACAGAATATACATTTTTTCCAGCACCACACCACACCTATTCCAAAATTGACCACATGCTTGGAAGTAAAGCTCTCCTCAGCAAATGTAAAAGAACAGAAATTATAACAAACTATCTCTCAGACCACAGTGCAATCAAACTAGAACTCAGGATTAAGAATCTCACTCAAAACCTCTCAACTACATGGAAACTGAACAACCTGCTCCTGAATGACTACTAGGTACATAACAAAAGGAAGGCAGAAATAAAGATGTTCTTTGAAACCAATAAGAACAAAGACACAACATACCAGAATCTCTGGGATGCATTCAAAGCAGTGTGTAGAGGGAAATTTATAGCACTAAATGCCCACAAGAGAAAGCAGGAAAGATCCAAAATTGACACCCTAACATCACAATTAAAAGAACTAGAAAAGCAAGAGCAAACACATTCAAAAGCTAGCAGAAGGCAAGAAATAACTAAAATCAGAGCAGAACTGAAGGAAATAGAGACACAAAAAACCCTTCAAAAAATTAACGAATCCAGGAGCTGGTTTTTTGAAAGGATCAACAAAATTGATAGACCACTAGCAAGAATAATAAAGAAAAAAAGAGAGAAGAATCAAATAGACGCAATAAAAAATGATAAAGGGGATATCACCACCGATCCTACAGAAATACAAACTACCATCAGAGAATACTACAAACACCTCTACGCAAATAAACTAGAAATCTAGAAGAAATGGATAAATTCCTCGATACATACACTCTCCCAAGACTAAACCAGGAAGAAGTTGAATCTCTGAATAGACCAATAACAGGAGCTGAAATTGTGGCAATAATCAATAGCTTACCAACCAAAAAGAGTCCAGGACCAGATGGATTCACAGCCAAATTCTACCAGAGGTACAAGGAGGAGCTGGTACCATTCCTTCTGAAACTATTCCAATCAATAGAAAAAGAGGGAATCCTCCCTAACTCATTTTATGAGGCCAGCATCATCCTGATACCAAAGCCTGGCAGAGACACAACCAAAACAGAGAATTTTAGACCAATAACCTTGATGAACATTGATGCAAAAATCCTCAATAAAATACTGGCAAACTGAATCCAGCAGCACATCAAAAAGCTTATCCACCATGATCAAGTGGGCTTCATCCCTGGGATGCAAGGCTGGTTCAATATACACAAATCAATAAATGTAATCCAGCATATAAACGGAACCAATGACAAAAACCATATGATTATCTCAATAGATGCAGAAAAGGCCTTTGACAAAATTCAACAACAGTTCATGCTAAAAACTCTCAATCAATTAGGTATTGATGGGACGTATCTCAAAATAATAAGAGCTATCTATGACAAACCCACAGCCAATATCATACTGAATGGGCAAAAACTGGAAGCATTCCCTTTGAAAACTGGCACGAGACAGGGATGCCCTCTCTCACCACTCCTATTCAACATAGTGTTGGAAGTTCTGGCCAGGGCATCAGGCAGGAGAAGGAAATAAAGGGTATTCAGTTAGGAAAAGAGGAAGTCAAATTGTCCCTGTTTGCAGATGACATGATTGTATATCTAGAAAACCCCATCATCTCAGCCCAAAATCTCCTTAAGCTGATAAGCAACTTTAGCAAAGTCTCAGGATACAAAATCAATGTACAAAAATCGCAAGCATTCTTATACACCAACAACAGACAAACAGAGAGCCAAATCATGAGTGAACTCCCATTCACAATTGCTTCAAAGAGAATAAAACACCTAGGAATCCAACTTACAAGGGATGTGAAGGACCTCTTCAAGGAGAACTACAAACCACTGCTCAAGGAAATAAAAGAGGATACAAACAAATGGAAGAACATTCCATGCTCATGGGTAGGAAGAATCAATATCATGAAAATGGCCATACTGCCCAAGGTAATTTATAGATTCAATGCCATCCCCATCAAACTACCAATGACTTTCTTCACAGAATTGGAAAAAACTACTTTAAAGTTCATATGGAACCAAAAAAGAGCCTGCATGGCCAAGTCAATCCTAAGCCAAAAGAACAAAGTTGGAGGCATCACACTACCTGACTTCAAACTATACTACAAGGCTACAGTAACCAAAACAGCATGGTACTGGTACCAAAACAGAGATATAGATCAATGGAACAGAACAGAGCCCTCAGAAATAATGCCGCATATCTACAACTATCTGATCTTTGACAAACCTGAGAAAAACAAGCAATGGGAAAAGGATTCCCTATTTAATAAATGGTGCTGGGAAAACTGGGTAGCCATATGTAGAAAGCTGAAACTGGATCCCTTCCTTACACCTTATACAAAAATCAATTCAAGATGGATTAAAGACTTAAACGTTAGACCTAAAACCGTAAAAACCCTAGAAGAAAACCTAGGCATTACCATTCAGGACATAGGCATGGGCAAGGACTTCATGTCTAAAACACCAAAAGCAATGGCAACAAAAGCCAAAATTGACAAATGGGATCTAATGAAACTAAAGAGCTCCTGCACAGCAAAAGAAACTACCATCAGAGTGAACAGGCAACCTACAAAATGGGAGAAAATTTTTGCAACCTACTCATCTGACAAAGGGCTAATATCCAGAATCTACAATGAACTCAAACAAATTTACAAGAAAAAATCAAACAACCCCATCAAAAAGTGGGCAAAGGACATGAACAGACACTTCTCAAAAGAAGACATTTATGCAGCCAAAAAACACATGAAAAAATGCTCATCATCACTGGCCATCAGAGAAATGCAAATCAAAACCACAATGAGATACCATCTCACACCAATTAGAATGGCAATCATTAAAAAGTCAGGAAACAACAGGTGCTGGAGAGGATGTGGAGAAATAGCAACACTTTTACACTGTTGGTGGGACTGTAAACTAGTTCAACCATTTTGGAAGTCAGTGTGGCGATTCCTCAGGGATCTAGAACTAGAAATACCATTTGACACAGCCATCGCATTACTGGGTATATACCCAAAGGAGTATAAATCATGCTGCTATAAAGACACATGCACATGTATGTTTATTGCGGCATTATTCACAATAGCAAAGACTTGGAACCAACCCAAATGTCCAACAATGATAGACTGGATTAAGAAAATGTGGCACATATACACCATGGAATACTATGCAGCCATAAAAAATGATGAGTTCATGTCCTTTGTAGGGACATGGATGAAATCGGAAATCATCATTCTCAGTAAACTATCGCAAGAACAAAAAACCAAACACCGCATATTCTCACTCATAGGTGGGAATTGAACAATGAGATCACATGGACACAGAAAGGGGAACATCACACTGTGGGGACTGTTGTGGGGTGGGGGGAGGTGGAGGGATAGCATTGGGAGATATACCTAATGCTAGATAATGAGTTAGTGGGTGCAGCGCACCAGCATGGCACATGTATGCATATGTAACTAACCTGCACATTGTGCACATGTACCCTAAAACTTAAAGTATAATTAAAAAAATAATAATAACATGACAATGAGTTGATGACATTTCATACATTTAAACTTCCCCTAATTAAAAAATATTTGAGATTCATCATTACCTCTTACATGGAAAGTTCAAGGAAAGAAAAATAATGTATAGACACCAGCATTTGAACAGTTCTTAGTTGATAATATAATTCCTTTGGTATTGTTAACATTATGTTTGGGCCGGGCGTGGTGGCTCACGCCTGTAATCCCAGCACTTTGGGAGGCCCAGGCGGGCGGATCACGAGGTCAGGAGATCGAGACCATCCTGATTAACACGATGAAACCCCGTCTCTACTAAAAATACAAAAAAATTAGCCGGGCATGATGGTGGGCGCCTGTAGTCCCAGCTACTCGGGAGGCTGAGGCAGGAGAATGGCGTGAACCTGGGAGGCGGAGCTTGCAGTGAGTCGAGATCGTGCCACGGCACTCCAGCCTGGGTGACAGAGCAAGACTCTGTCTCAAAAAAAAAAAAAAAAAAATTATGTTTGGATCTTTCACTCCAATATAGGCTGTGGTCTTTCCAAAAAAGTTTTAGAATATTAGTTATGCATTCTAAAAACAAATTTATCCTTATCTGATGCTGATCACTATAATTATTAAGATTAAAATTTATCAAATGTTAAAAATTAATTAAGTCACAGAAAACACAATAAGTGGTATTAAAGTGTTGCTCCCCGTCTAGGCTAAGAACAACTTTCTCCTTTGATTATTTTATAGATATATCTTTTATAGTTAATTTAATTTCACAACTCAACATTTTTTACCTGTCTGTTACATTTTATAATATAAAGAAAAATTTATGAGGCTATCGTCTATCCGTTTCTTACAAGTTTTTCTCCATATAGCAACAAATTGAAAATGTTGTGCTTATGAGAAGTTAGATGTGGTGTGTATTGAGAATTGTATATTCCAGTGGCCCTCAAGAACTCAAAAATGATAGCAATAGAATTCTTAATTAGACTTCAACTGCAAAATGAGCACAATTACTAGATATTTTGTGTCCACAATCTCCTACAAAAATACCTAGTAATTGTGGACACAATCTCCTACAAAAGGGACAAGTTCCTAAACCTTCAGAATCATAATATAAAGGTGATACCTGTCAGGCATATACCTGTCATATCATCTAAAGAAATCCAGAAAGGGAAAGTCATGGAAAACAGTTTGGTACCCTTCCCAGCACATATAAATGAGAGCTGTAGAGAATAAAGTTGGCACTATCCATCTCAGCAGATTCTTGAGTAAAGGGAATCTTGGGTATCATATTTTGAGTACCTTGATCCCTGTAGCAAGACTATATCCATAAAGATATGGACCTATCAGCCTTGGTAGTAACAAACATTTGATTTATCTAATGCCTGTTGTTAAGATTTCTATGTCTACCACATAACCTTCTAATCACATGTACCTTAAAGGCGAGAATAAGTTCTTCACTCTGATTATGAGTCTTCTTATTCCCATGATATTTTTCATTTTAAGTTGATAAATTCACGTTCCAGTGTTTCCTGTGGTCTCCCGGGTAGTTCAGGTTTAATCAGTGACACAGGACTCCTAGAAATTGACAATTGTTAGCAGACTCTGCCTAAGCCCACTTATAAATGCTTGTCTGTTTGGGGATTTATATACTGAGATCAGAAACTAAGCCACCATGGCTACAGTATTAGAAACCAGAAAATATCTGTAAACAAAGTGAGAATCTACAGTTTACTAAGAATAAAGTAATCAGGAAATGGCTGATATCACAAGCTGGATTTCACCATCCACCACTATACAGAGGACCCAATCATCTAAAACCTGCAAATGAACATCTTCTCAGAGCTGGGGACAGAGGTAAATGAGGCCCAAATGGCCTCTGATGTAAGATATTCTTCCCCACACACTTTCAATTTTATGATGAACAAGTAGTGTGTGTCAGAGAAAGGGACTCTCTTAATGGTTTTTCTTGATGATTACCCTAGAAATTAATAGCAGCCCAAACATGTCACTGCGGTGGCTGATATGATAGATATTGATCATGCAAGTAGGAAAGAGGGAGTAGAGTCAGGGGAACTTTCAATCTAATTACATAGCATATATCTTGGGCCTGACCCAGTAAAGAACTTGTATGTCCTAATTCACATATAAATTCTTCTACTAACATAGCTGTTTCCACTATGCCTACCACACTGACTATTAACCTCTTTTCAATCTTCCTAACCTGCAAGGGGACCATGTTTCAATTTCTGGATAAACTATGGACTTTAGTTAATAATGATGTGTCAATATTGGCTCATTAACTCTAAGCTATGTACCATACTAATGTAATAGATGCATGAATAGAAATTTTCTCAAGTGTAGGTTTTACCACAGCCAGATAACAAGTTACTAGCTAACAATAACTGAGTGATTAGTATGTGTCAAATGGTTATGACTGATAGTTTTATTTAATTTTTTTGAGACAGAGTCTCACTCTGTCGCCCAGGCTGGAGCACATGGCTCACTGCAGCCTCAGACTCCTGGCCCCAAGTGATCCTCCCACCTCAGACTCCCAGAGTGGTAGGATTACAGGCATGAGCCACTCTGCCCGGCACAACTGATAGTTTTAACTAGAACCAGAGGGATCAAGTGGGGTGAGAGAGCACCTTTTCAACAAAAGAGGGTGCTGTTTCCAAAATAGAAAAGGTTTTGCAAAGACAAAATAAAGGTTTTAATTTGCATTTCTCTAATTATGAGTGAAACTGAAGATCTTTTCAGATATTTAAGGGCAATTTTTATATCTTCTTTGTGAGTTGTCTATTTCTGTCTTTTTCCCATTTTTCTAATGATTAGTTATCCTCTTCCCCCTGTTTTTTATTTTATTTAATTTTCAAAATATAATTAGAAATAGATGTTTTAGAACAATTTTAGGTTTATGGAAACCTTGAGAAGATACTACAGAGAGTTACCATATACCCTACACCCAGTTTTCCCTATTATTAACATTTTACATTAGTATGGCACATAGTTTACAATTAAGGAGCCAGTATTGATACATTATTATTAATATATTAATGTTATAAAGTCCATAGTTTATCTGAATTTCCTTAGTTTTTACCTAATTATTTTTCTGTTCTAGGATCACATCTGGGATACAATATAGCATTTTAGAGGTGTATCTACTTAAGCCCCTCTTGGCTGTGTAGTTTCTCAGACTTTGCTTCTTTTTGATGATCTTGACAGTTTGGAGGAACTGGTCAGGTATTTTGTAGGATGCTGCACGATTAGAATTTGTCTGTTGTTTTTCTTATTCTAAGACTGGGGTTATTGGTTGTGTGGGGCAAGACCTCACAGGTAGAGAGCCACTCTCATCACATCATAGGGTACATTCTACCAACAAGTGATTTATGAATATCGATGTTAACCTCAATAACCTGGCTTAGGTAGTGTTTGTCAGTAGAGAACTACTGTAAAATTACTTCTTCCCATTTCTTTTATACTGTACTCTTTGAAATGAAGTCTCTATGCACAGCCCACGCTTTCAGGGTGGGGAATTATGTTCCATCTCCTTGAGGGTGAAGTAGCTAAATAAATTATTTGAAATTCTTCTGTACAGAAGATTTGCTCCTTCTCATCCATTTATTACTTTATTCAATCATTTATTTGTATCAGTATAGACTCATGAATATGTATTTTGTCCTAGGCTATAATCCAAATCCAATACCCTTTTATTTATTTTGTTGCTCAAACTGATTCAGCTTCAGCCAGTAAGAACTCTCTCAAGTTGGCTCCTATGCACCTTTGACACACCCTCATCAATATGGGTTTCAGGTTTTGCTTGGGGGGTGGGGCGTGTGTGTGTGTGCAGCATTTCCGTACTTTCTGGTATTATAAGATGCTCCCGGCTCATCTTGTATAGTACTTGCCCAAGTGGTAGAGTCAGCCGTTTCTCCAAGGAGCCCTGGTTTCTTTCGTTGGAGAATGGTATTAGAAACCACGATCTGGGTATTAAGTGTGCTTTTTGATACTGGTGTGTTTTCCCTTCTATTTTACAGAAAGAGTGATTTTTATATTTGAGAGATAAGCCCTTTATCTCTCCTATATGTTTTATCTAGTGTGTCAGTTATCTTTTAAGGTTATTTGTGATGTTTCTAATATGTAAACATTTTATATTCACCTAATAAAATATATCAATCTTTCCTGTTACTGCATTTTGACTCACAGAAAGCTTTTGTAAATACTGATGCTAAAAAGTGATTCACACATATTTTCTTCCAGTATTTGTATAGTTTCATTTCTTATGTATAAATCTATATGAGTTTTTAAATCAATTTTTCATTTTCTTCAAAAATAAAAAGCCAATTAGAATTATGATTGGGATGAAACTGAAGATATAGATCACCTGGGGAAGGTTGTCATCTTAACAATATTGGGTCTTACACTCTGTAAACATAATTAGAGTTCTCCATTTATTTAGGTCTTTTTAAGTTAGCTTTGCAATGTTCTATGGTTTTCAATGTACAAGGCTTGCATGGCTTTCATTAACTTTATTCCATAATATTTTAAATTCTATTGTAAATGGAGTTTTAAAATTTTTTGTTCATTGCTTATTGTTTGCTAGTATATAGAAATCCAATTTACAAATATTGATTTTGTATTCTGCAAATCTTAAATTCTTGTAATAATTCTAGTACCTTGTTTGTAAACTCCTAAGGGTTTTTTACATGTACAATCAAGTCATCTGCAAATGAGGACAGTTTAACTTTTTCCATTTCAATTTCTACAGTTTTTAACCCTGTTTTTCTTTTTGTATTATATCAGCTAGGCTGTTCAGTGCAATGTTAAAGTAGTAAGAATGGACATAACTTGGTTTGTTCCTAATTGTAGATACAAAGAATTGGGCTGTTTTCCACTGATAATGATGTTAACTGTAGGGTTTTTTATAAGTGACCTTAGTTAATGTGAGGAAAGCCTCTTCTATTCTCAATTTGTTGCAAGTTTTTAATCATAAAATAGTCTTGAATTTTAAAAAATGTTTTGGTGTCTGTTGAGATGATTTTGTGGCTTTTTCCTTTTATTTTAATAACACAGTGAATTACATTGATTGATTTTCAGATGTTTAACCAACCGTGCATTTTCCAAATAAACCTACTTGGTCATAATGCATTGTTCTTTTTATATGTTGTTAGATTTGATTTGATAATACTTTGCTGAGGATGTTTATTTCTGTTTACAAGATATTTTTCTCCATAGTTCTATTCTTTGGTTTTGACATCAAAGTAATTTTGGCTTCATACTTCATACTTTTTTGGCTTCATACTCTTCTACTTTCAAAAAGAATTTGTGTGGAATTGGTATGAATTCTTCCTTAACTGTTTGATAGAATTTACCAGTGACTAATCTGACATGAAGTTTTCTTTGGGGTAAAATTTTAAATTATGAATTCAATTTATTTCACTGATATAGAGCTGCTTAAGTTTTCTATTCCTGTTTGGGAAAGTTTTATATTTTAAGTAATTTGAATTTAATGACAGTGCTTCTTTTAAGATATTTGTATATTCCATCTAGATTGCCAAATTTATTAAAGTATTATAACAGTCTTCATAAGATAACCATAATATATATTAAATGTCTGTGGGATCTATGATCTATAATAATAACTCTCTCTTATTGCTATCCATAATTTATGTCTTTCTTTTTATCTTGATAATTCTGGCAAGAGCATTATCAATTGTATTTATTCTTTAAAGAAATCGTTTTTTGTTTCATTGGGTTTCTCATTTTACCATTTTCTATTTTATTGATTTCAATTCCCTTATTATTTCCTTTGTTCTACTTGCTTTTTGTTCAATTTCCCCTTCCATTTTTTTTATTTTCTGAAGCTGGAAGTTTTTTCTTGATAATTGGTTTGAGATGTTTCTTCTTTTTGAATATAAATATTTAATGCTATACAGTTCCCTCTAAAAAACAGCTTTGGCTGAGTATCAGACTTTTTAATATATCCTATTTTTATTATTAAGTTTAGAATACATCTCTAACTTTTTTGTACTTTAGAAGTATGGTGTTCAGCTTCCAAAAGTTGGGATTTTCTTTGTCAACTTATTTTATTTTATTTTATTTTATTTTTTGAGACAGAATCTGGCTCTGTCACCCAGTCAGGAGTGCAGTGGCACAATCTCTACTCACTGCAACCTCCACCTCCTGGGTCAAGTGATTCTCTTGCCTCAGCCTCCTGAGTAGCTGGGATTACAGGCATGCACCACCATGCCTGGCTAATTTTTGTATTTTTAGTAGAGATGGGGTTTCACCATGTTCACCGGGCTGGTCTCGGACTCCTGACCTCAGGTGATCCTCCCACCTCAGCCTCCCAAAGTGCTGGGATTAAGGTGTGAGCCAAGGTGCCTGGCCTGTCAACTTATTTTAAATTTAATTGAACTCCACTTTAATCAGAAAACATACTCTGTATGTGTGTAATCTTTTTAAATTCATTGAGACTACTTTTATGGCACATAATATGATCTATTCTGGGAAACTTGCCACGTACACTTGAAAAGAATGTATATTCTACTTTTAGTGGGTATAGTGTTCTCAAAATATCAACTAAGTTAGGATGGTTGATAGTGCTCAGGTCTTCTATGCCTCTGTTGATTTTTGTCAAGTTGTTCTAAAATTTGAGGAGGAGGTGTTATAATTCATTCATTACCATTGTGGAATTATCTATTTCTCCTTTTAATTCTTGCATCTCTCACCTCATATATTTGAAGTTCTGTTATTGGGCCCTAATGCTTATGTTTTTTATACCTTCCCGATAAATTGACATTTTTGACTTTATGAAATATCCTTCCTTTTCTCCAATAATATATTCTGTTATTAAATCTATGTAATCTGACATCAACATAACCACTCCATTCTTATGCTTACTCTTTACATGGTATATCTTTTCCATTCATTTACTTTCAACTTCTCTGTATCCTTCTGTTTAAAGTGCATTTTTTTTTTAGGCAGAGTCTCTTTTGCCCAGGCTGGAGAGCATTGGCACGATCTTGGCTCACTGCAACCTCCACCCCCAGGCTCAAACGATTCTCTTGCCTCAGCCTCCAGAGTAGCTAGGATTACAGGCACCTGCCACCATGCCAGGCTAATTTTTGTATTTTTGGTAAAGATGGGGTTTCACCTTGTTGGCCAGGCTGGTCTCAAACTCCTGACCTTAAGTGATCCACCCACCTCAGCCTCCCAAAGTGCTGAGATTACAGGAGTGAGCCACTGCGCCCAGCCTAAAGTGCATCTCTTGTAGACAGTTTATATTTGGAATCTGTTACTTTATTAATTATGACAAGTTCTGCCTTTTAAATAATGGGTTAGTCCATTAATGATTAATGTAATTATTAATATACATGGGTTTGGGTCTAGTATTTTATTTTTTACTTTCTACTTATCTCTTTTGCTTTTTTTCTTCTATTTTTCTTTTATTAATTTTAATATATTAGTTTTCTTTAGAATTCTGCTTTAATTTTTCAGTTGGCTTTTAAGATATACTTTTTTGAATTATTTTATAATTGATATTTTGTGGATTATAATATATACCCTTAACCTCTCACAGTTCACCCATAGTTAATAATGTACGATTTCTTGTAAAATCTTATTTTCTTGCAACTTTATTGTTCTACTTTCACTCTCCTTTTAGTAAGCCAGAGTTGTTATATATTAGATCTACATATATGATAAACCCTGAAATTATCTCTTTAAAATTTAATAAAAACTTAAGGGAAAAAAAGGCAAATGCAGCCTTCAGGCTTTATCCAAACCTTTATCATTGCCAATTCTATTCATTATTTTTCTGAAAATCTGAGTTTTCTGCATCTATTGAAAGGATCATGTGATTTCTGTGCTTTATTCTATTGACATGATATATTACATTAATTAATTTTTAGGCCGGGCTTGGTGGCTCACACCTGTAATGCCAGCACTTTGGGAGACCAAGGCGGGTGGATCACCTGATATCAGGAGTTTGAGACCAGCCTGGCCAACGTGGCAAAAACCCATCTCTACTACAAATACAAAAATTAGCTGGGCGTGGTGGCACACACCTGTAATCCCAGCCACTCAGGAGGCTGAGGCAGGAGAATTGCTTGCACCTGGGAGGCGGAGGTTGCAGTGAGCTGAGATTGTGCCACTGCACTCCAGCCTGGGTGACAGAGTGAGACTCCGTCTCAAAAAAGAAAAAACAAATTAATTAACTTTTGTTTTGTTTTGTTTTGTTTTGAAATGGAGTCTCGCCCCATCACCCAGTCTGGAGTGCAGTGGTGTGATCTCTGCTCACGGCAACCTCCGCCTCCCGGGTCCAAGAGATTCTCGTGCCTCAGCCTCCCGAATAGTTGGGATACAGGCACATGCCACCACGCCCTGCTAATTTTTATTTTTAGTAGAAATGGGGTTTCACCATGTTGGCCAGGCTGGTCTCAAACTCCTGACCTCAAGTGATTCACCCACCTCGGCCTCCCAAAGTGCTGGGATTACAGGCGTGAGCCACCGCGCCCAGTCTAATTAACTTTTAGGTGTTAAACCAACCCTGCATGCCTTTGATAAACCCCATTTGGCTATGGTATATAGCCAAATATACCATTTTTTATATGTTGCTGAATGTGGTTTGCTAGTAATTTGTTGAGAATGTTTATGTCTATACCCATAAATACAAGTGACATGCAGTCTTCTTTTTTGTGATGTATTTGTCTGGTTTTGATATCTGAGTAATATTGGCTCCTTGAAATAAGTTGGGAAGTGTTCCCTACTATTCTATTTTCCTGGAAGAGATCGTGTAGAATTAGTGTTGTTTCTTCTTTATGTGTTTGGGAGATTTTGCCAGTGAAAACATCTGAGCATAAAGTTTTTTGGAAGGTCTTTAACTATAAATTCAATTTATTTAGTAGTTATGGGACTACTCAGATTATATACTTCATCTTACGGTTTTCAAGGAATTTTTGCATTTTATCTAAGTTGTTGAATTTATGTATGTAGAGTTTTTTGTAGTGGATCTTTATTATCCTTTTAATTTCTACAGGGTCTGTAGTTATATTCCCTCTTGCATTCTTGAAATAGGTAATTGTTGCCTCCTCTGTTTTCTTTCTCAGTCTTGCTAGAAGTTTATCAATTTTAAAAATCTTCTCAAACAACAGCTTTTATTTTAATTGATTTTATTTACTCTTTTTATGCTTTCAGTCTCATAATTACTGGCCTTAAATTTATTATTTACTTCCTCCTGATTGTCTTGGGTTACTTTGTTCTTTTGTTTCTTGAGGTGAGAGCTTGGATTATTCAGTTGAAACTTTTCTTACATAAGTATTTAATACTATAAATTTCCCTCTAGGCACTACTTTAGCTGCATCTCACAGATTTTACTAGGTTGTGTTTTCATTTTTATTTAGTTCAATATTTTTTATTCCCCTTGAGAATTATTTTTTGACTGATGGATTATTTAGGAGTGTTTGAAGATTTTTCTGTTTTTTAAATTACTTTCTAGCTTAATTCCATTATAATCAGAGAATATATTTTCCATGACTTCAATTATTTACATTTGTTAAAGTTATTTTATGACCCAGAATCAAGTCTATCTTAGTAAATGTTCGTGTATTTCAAAAGAATGTGCATTCTGCGGTTGTTGGGTGAAATGCATTATACATGTCAACCAGATTCGGTTGGTTGATAATATTCAGGTTCTCTCTGTTCTTGATGATTTTCTGACTACTAGGCCTATCTTACTGAAAGAGGAGTGTCAAAATTTTCCCTGCTTTCTTTAATAACAGAAATTTCAAATTATTGTTGGGCATTTTGCTGCCTTGCCAAAAGTCACATTCCATTCTCTAGCTTCCATATAGCTGGGTGTAATTTCATGATTAAGTTCTGGCAATGAGGTGTGACCTGAAGAGATATATGTCACTTCCTAGTCATGCTAAAAAAGAAAGAGACTCTTATTCTTATCCTTTCCCTCTTCATGTCAGGAAATGGGAAGAGCTAGAGCAGAACCATCTTCATCCCTCAGATGGAAACCATATGTTGAGGATGGCAGAATACCCTGCACTATCTACTGCCGGACTATTACATAAGAAAGAAAACTTTCATCTGGTTTAAACACTCTATTTTGAGGGATTTTGTTACTGCTACTTAGCTTATACACTACTAGATACCAAAATTAGTAGAAATAAATTAGATTTGCATATTTTATATGCATAATATTTTAAAACAATTTTCAGTGAAAATAAGTTGCTGAATGATTTATATGAAACTGTATCATTTATATAAATTTGAAAATGTGAAAAATATATATTCTTTATGTATGAATAACTAAATTATAAAATTATCATTGTAATTATAATAAATTTAAAATAAATTATAAAACTATGCACAGGAATGACAAATTCAGGTTAGGAGTTAAATCTAGGGAAATTAGAAGGGAAATAAGATCAAGAAAACTACTCAAGAAACTATATTTGTTATGTTTTATTTACTTTTTAAAATACTAAAACTAATATTACAAATTTCATAATTTGACAAAACTGGGTGGCAAACATATGTATTAATGATAAATTTATCTAAAGTTTCTTAAGTTTTGGAATATTTCATAATTAAAAATAATAAAAAATAAAAGCCTTCAGGGAGAAAGTGGTATTTGCTTTGAAGGAAATGTAGGATTTATGCAGTCATATTTTGTGGATCTGTAGTAATTTCCTATTGCTGCTTTAACAAACTACCACAAACTTAGTGACTTAAAACAACACAAATTGTTATCTTACAGTTTTGGAAATCAGAAATTTACAATAGATCTCACTGGGCTAAAATCAAGATGTTAGCAGGAATTGCATTCTTTTCTTTTCTTTTTTTTTTTCTTTTCTTTTTTTCTTTTCTTTTTTTTTTTTTTTTTTTTTTTTTTTTCTGAGACAGGGTCTTTCTCTGTCACCCAGACTGGAGTGCAGTGGCACGATCATGGCTTATTGCAGCCTCAAACTCACTGGCTCAATCAATCCTCCCACCTCAGCCTCCCAAGTAGCTGGGACTACAGGTATGCAAGACCACACCCAGATTTTTTTTTTTTTTTTTTTTGTAGAAAGGGTTTTGTCCTGTTGCCCAGGCTGGCCTCAAACTCCTGGGCTCAAGCGATCTGCCCACCTCAGCCTCCCACAGTGTTGGGATTACAGGTGTGAGCCACCATGCCGGGCACCTTCTGCATTTCTAGTGGCTGCCCACATTCCTTGGTTCATGGTACCCCTTTCATCTTCAAAGCCAGCAATGGCTGGTGATGTCTTTATCACGTGTCGTTCTCTACTTTTTACTCTTCTGCTTCTCTCTTCCCTGTTTAAGTGCTGTGTGATTACATTGGGCCACCTAGATAATCCAGGATACATTATCTTAAAGTCATTTGATTCGCAAACTTAATTTTTGTTTTGTTTTGTGTTTTTTGAGATGGAGTTTCGCTCTTGCAGCCCAGGCTGCAGTGCAATGGTGCAATCTCGGCTCACTGCAACCTCCGCCTCTCAGGTTCAAGCGATTCTCCCTCCTCAGCTTCCCGAGTAGCTGGGATTATGGGAGCACGCCACTAAGCCCGGCTAATTTTTTGTATTTTAGTAGAGACAGGATTTCACCATGTTAGCCAGGCTGGCCTCAAACTCCTGACGTCAGGTGACCCGCCCGTTTCGGCCTCCCAGAGTGCTGGGATTACAGGCGTGAGCCACCGCACCCTGCGGCAAACTAATTTTATCTGCAACTTTAATTCTCCCTTGCCATGTAGCATAACATATTCATAGGTTCTGGGGATTAGGATGTGGAGTCTTTAGGGAGCTGTTATTCTGCCTACCACAGGGTCCATCAGTATTCTTTGTTTACAAGCAACAGAAAGTATCTCTAACTGAAGCAGATACAGAACTTGTTAGGTGTATAAAGGCTTAGCTCATTGGATTACAGAAAAGCTGAATAATTTTGTGTTGGAAAGGATGTGAAATCTGGGATCTAGAAAGTAGAAGATAATTGGCAATCTCTTTTAATAAACACGACTATCTTGATGAATCAGCTGAAACTGTTTGTATTATTATGCTGCTCAAGATTCAAATTCTAGGGAGAGAGAGAATCGGACTGGCTTATCTTGTGTAATGGATCCACTTTTATATACCAGGCAGGGGTGGAATGAACACCTTGACTGAGATACCAACCAAAATTGTTTGCAATGGGAGGAGGTTCATCCTCAATGGAAAATCTAGACATTATTACTAGAAGAAGAGAAAATATATGTCAGGCAGGTACAAAACAGAAATTCCCACTATACTGGAGAAAGGCATTTTGGGTGACAAGAGCAGTGTCAGCAAGTTTGTAGTGGAATCCTAATAAATTATATATTCTATAGACAAGTTTAGCTTGGCTAGCATAGTACACATAAATAGCCCTCACAGGATAACAACAGGAAATGTCCCATAATGCCCAGGGGAAAGATTTTTCCCAATGTTAGAGTGAATGGGCAGTTATCAAACATTTTAGAATAGAGGAATAATATGGTTTGAACTGTCATTAAGGAAATTCAGGTTGATGGCTTTATTAGCAAATGGAATCAGAAGTTAGATTCAGAGGTACAACTATGCCACTAATAGCTACGAACAAATCTTACCTGTCTGTTAATATTTCAAACTCTTTCTTGTATTAGAAACTGAAATTCTGGTTAGTGACAAACTCTAGTACTTTCCTAGAAATCAATGACTTCTTCAACGACTACAAGGAATCAACCCAAATGCCCATCAATGATAGACTGGATAAAGAAAATGTGGTACATATACACCATAGAATACTATGTAGTGAAGCCATACAAAGGAATGAGATCATGTCCTTTGCAGGGACATGGATGAAGCTGGAAGCCATTATCCTCAGCAAACTAACACTGGAACAGAAAACCAAAGACCGCATGTTCTCACTTATAAGTGGGAGCTGAACAATGAGGACACATGGACACAGGAAGGGGAACAACACACACTGGGGCCTGTTGGGGGAGGGTGATTTGGGGTGGAGAGCATCAGGAAAAATAGTTAATGCATGCTAGGCTTAATACCTAGGTGATGGGTTGATAGGTGCAGCAAATCACCATGGCACACATTTACCTATGTAACAAACCTGAACGTCCTGCAGGTGTACTCCAGATAAAATAAAATAAAATAATTTTTTTAAAAAGAAAGAAGTACAAAACTTTCTGCGACTACATACCTGAAAGCCCCTACACACAGACTTACCATAACCATAACCTCACCTAATGACAACCACAGAAAGAGACATACATAAAACTCTATTCCTCCTACTGTTTATTTTTGTCTATCAGACCCCGTAATTTTCTATCTCATTGTCCTTCCTATCCAGTAGGCATTTTTCCCAGTTATTCACTGAAGGACCTATACTTTAATCCTAGTCACATTTGTAAATTAGAACATACTTCATATAAAATTGCTAGGTGATTTTCAAGGAAAGTAACAAAAAAAGTCACATGTTTGAAGGATAATCTTTCATCTTCACAAAAAGAAGTGACCAAAATAAATTATTTGAAAGCCAAAAATGTTTACAATTTACATACATGAGAAAGATAAAAAGAATTCTTGGTCAGAACTACTCTTGGGAATCTGGAAGCAATGTGAAACTCAAGCTGTGAATCTGAAAAGGAATACAAAGTATTAACAAGCGCTATCAATGTACTACCATCGTTGCATAGAAATATTTTCCCGTTGCCTCTGAAACATCATTTTTTATCTGGATTATAACAGCTCCTCTTCTGTCTCCCTTGTTTTGCTGGCCAGTGGAAGAGATGAGTCATTTCACCATCTGGGCTAAAGGAAAGGGAGATGTATGGCTGAATAAAGCTGAATATTATCTGCATAATAATGGCCATACAGTCCAAAATATCTCTCATTCTCAGTGTCCTCATCTACACTTAGTCTCTTTCCAAAACAAAATTAGGGGGTATTCTACAAAAGCAATTTCTGGCTACTTATTCCCATCTCTAAGTCAACATTTCCAAACGTTTGGCAATAGAAACTCCAGGCAACATTAACTTTTTTTTTTTTTTAAACAGAGTTTCAGTCTGTTGCCCAGACTGGAGTGCAGTGGCACAATCATAGCTCACTGCAGCCTCAAACTCCTGGGCTCAAACAATTCTCCTACCTCAGCCTCCTGAGTAGTTGGGACCACAAGCATGCACCACCATGCTCAGCTAATTTTTTATTTTTTGTAGAGACAGGGTGGCCCTATGTTGCCCAGGCAGGCCTTGAACTTCTGGCCTCAAGCAATCCTCCAGGCCTGGCCTCCCAAAGTGCTGGGATTGCAGGCATAAACCACCATGCCTGGCCAATGTTAATTTTCTGAGGTTTGGTAATGGCTGAGAAACCTGGATTAGATTAATTTAATAAAATATATAGCACCATAAGGTTGGTTTGTTTGTTTTAAAGTGCCAATCAGAATTCTAAATAACACCACTTCCCAAAAGCAAGGTCAACATTTGAAAAGGTAAAGCCAGTTTTTGCTTGCAGGTAAAAATTAAGGTTACCCAAATGATGCATTTTCCACTCTGTGTGTGTGAGTGTGCGTGTGTGTATGTGCGTGCGCATGTGCACATGTGTTTGCTATTACTAAATAGCAAGATATAATTGTGAAGAAATAGACATATATCTTACCCTCATAGAGTTTATAGATGATTGGGATAAAAATATAAACTACATGTAAAAGGTACATATATTTCTAGGAATGAGACTTGTATTTAACATGTATTTAAAGCCTGAAATTCTTGAATGAATTTAGAGGAATCCTGGCTAAATGAACCCAACTGGGATTGAATTTGTGAAAGATCAGACATTGGAAAAGGGACACGAACTCAAATTGTTCCTAAATCTCCATTTGCCACCTCGAAGACAGGCAAAACATTTCAGGGATTTTCTGAGGACTCTGTACCAGTGGCATTCGTGACTCCCATGCCAGTATGTAAGGGGGATAAAGTATCTGGATATGGGACAGGGGGTTTACTGGGGGATGGAGCAGATGGAGAAGGGGTAGGTGAAGTGGGGACAGGCTGAAAAGAGTGTGACAGGCAAAAGGAAGGATCATCTAAGACATCAAAATCAGGGACAGAGGAAGTTCCCTGGAAGCATGCATGACAATTTTCACATAATTTTGGGTTTTGGGATAAAGCCAAAAAGACCTGAACATATGGAACCTCTGAATACAAAAGAAAATTATATGCTTCTTTCTGAGAGTTTGTGAGTCAAAATGGGATTAATTTTTAAGAATATGATCTAAGGGTAAGTAGGAATGAATAAGGAAGTGCAAGAGCCCTAGGGCATCCTTTTGTCTCACTCTATTCGGGGACATCCCACAATGGATAGAGGGCCTGCCCCTGCCTGTATGACCAGACCAGCATGTCCTTGTTTGAGTGGTCAGCTCAAACCCAATGTGAAGGAGAACTCACCATAACTTATGATGTAGTGTTTGTGATGAAGTTGAATCCAAAATTGAGTGCACCACCAGTGGAGTGTGTCTGCGCAGAGTGGAGATCGCTGCTGCTCATTTCCAAGGCATGGTTTACAGAGCGTTAAAGTGAAAGTGGCTGGGTGTGGTGGCTCACGCCTGTAATCCCAGCACTTTGGGAGGCTGAGGCAGGTGGATCACGAGGTCAAGAGATCGAGACTATCCTGGCCAACATGGTGAAACCCCGTCTCTACTAAAAATACAAAAAAAATTAGCCGAGTGTGGTGGTGGATGCCTGTAATCCCAGCTACTGGGGAGGCTGAGGCAGGAGAATCGCTTGAACCCAGGAGGCAGATGTTGTCATGAGCAGAGATCGTGCCATTGCACTCCAGTCTGGGCAACAAGAGCGAAACTCATTCTCCAAAAATAAATAAATAAATAAATAAATAAATAAATAAATAAATAAATAAATAAATAAAGTGAAAGTGGACTTGCTACCCTGACAGGCAATAGCAAATTCGTCCTTTTGTCTTGGCCTTTGGGTAACACCAGGGAGTGACTTGGACCAGAAACCCTCAATTCCCAAAGAGTACTCAAGCTGGCTTACTGGCAGTCAGAAAATAGAAAAGAACCCTGGCCAGTCTCTCACCTCTAAGAACAGCGACAGACAGGTATCCCTTCTCTAGGCTTCAGGATCCCACCAAAGAGTGGCCTCAGCCAGCTACCATCAACTCCCATGAGTAGAGAACCAGGGCACTGAGGGAAGCAGGGAGAAAAAAGAAGGGAGAAATCTCAGTAAAATCCCCATACAGACTACCAAGATGCTGGGCAAGGTGTCAGAGTCCCAGCATTAGAAAGTCGTCGACTCATGAGTTGGGAAGAGTTTACTGACAACAGTATAGGTTTGAAAAGGAAAGTTTTATTAGCATAACCACCTGATGGGTTCACCTTGCCCACTGCCTAGACAGAGCTAATTTATCAGGACAGGGGAACTGCAATAGAGAAACAGTAATTCACACAGAGCCAGCTGTGCAGGAGATCGGAGTTTTATTATTACTCAAATCAGTCTCCCTGAGCATTTGGGGATCAGAGTTTTTAAGGATAATTTGGTGGGTGGGGGATGGCCAGTGAGTCAAGAGTGCTGGTTGGTTGGGTCAGAGATGAAATCATAGGGAGTTGAAGCTGTCCTCTTGTGCTGAGTCAGTTCCCGGGTGGAGGTCACAAGATCAGATGAGACAGTTTATGGATTTAGGTGGTGACAGCTCATCCATTAAGTGCAGGGTCTGCAAAATATCTCAAGCACTGATCTTAGGAATAGTCTTGGGAGGGTCAGAATCTTACTTATAGCCTCCAGCTGCATGACCCCTAAACCATAGTTTCTAATCTTATGCTTAATTTGATAGTCCTACAAAGGCAGTCTCATCCCCAGGCAAGAAGGAGGTTTGTTTTGGGAAAGAGCTGTGATCATCTTTGTTTTAAACTATAAAGTATAAACTAAGTTCCTCCCAAAGTTAGCTCAGTTTACACCCAGGAACGAACAAAGACAGCTTAGTGATTAGAAGAAAGATGGAGTTGGTTAGGTCAGATCTCTTTCACTGTCTCAGTTACAATTTTGCAATGGCAGTCTCACAAGATAGAAAGAATGCTGCAGGAAAGTGCAGCAGGGCACCTCAGCAAGAGAGGACAGAGCACGCCACAGTGGATTTTTCCTTAGGGGTGTTTATGGACCTTAAAGTGGGAGCTTAAGAGTAATTTGAATCATATTAGCCATTTAGGTCATGACAAATCATTACATTTGTAGACATTTTGGTGTTAGCAAGGGTTGCACAACAAGTCTCAACATGCATGCATTCTGGAGATGTATAGAAATTCTAGTAACTGGCCGGGCACGGTGGCTCACACCTGTAATCCCAGCACTTTGGGAGACCGAGGCGGGCAGATCACGAGGTCAGAAGATCGAGACCATCCTGGCTAACTTGGTGAAACCCCGTCTCTACTAAAAATGCAAAAAAAATTAGCAGGGCGTGGTGGTGGCCGGTGCCTGTAGTGCCAGCTACTCAGGAGGCTGAGGCAGGAGAATGGGGTGAACCCGAGAGGCGGAGCTTGCAGTGAGCCGAGATCGCGCCACTGCACTCCAGCCTGGGCGACAGAGCGAGACTCCATCTCAAAAAAAAAGAAAAAGAAAAAAGAAATTCTAGTAACTTAAAAAATTGTGGAAAAGAGGTCTGGAACTAGATCCCTGCTCTAGGTAATAAGAAAGTCTAATTACTTCTGAATTCCTCAGTTAAGGAGTTTTGCCTCTGGATGGTCTGCTTGATGGCCACCAGGTGATCTTTGCTCTCCTCAGTCATCATCATCATAATTATCATTTAATCAGTGATAATTGTCACTAATTATTGAATGCTCACTATGTGCTGGATACTGACCTAACTGCTAATTATTGCACTATTCCTCACAATAATTCTTTAGGGGTAGGTGCTCTTATTCTCCTCATTTTCCACATGTAGAAAGCAAGAATTAGGTCACCCAGTTAGTAAGAAACAAATACGGACTGTAGACAAAACTTTTTTTTTTTTTGACAGAGTCTCACTTTGTCTCCCAGGCTGGAGTGCTGTGGCACTACCTTGGGTCACTGCAACCTCGCCTCCTGGGTTCAAGTGATTCTCCGGACTCAGCCTCTCGAGTAGCTGGGACTACAGGCGCGTGCCACCATGCTTGGCTAATGTTTGTATTTTTAGTAGAAATGGGGTTTCACTGTGTTGGCCAGGCTGGTCTCAAACTCCTGACCTCAGGTGATCCACCTGCCTCGGCCTCCCAAAGTGCTGGATTACAGGTGTGAGCCACCGTGCCCAGCCACACAAAACTTTTAACTACTATATTCTATTCTGAATAACTAGAGCCATCAGATCTAAAACTCATGGGTGGATGATATAAAGGAGGAAGATTTTGGCTGGGCGTGGTGGTGCTTGCCTGTAATCCCAGCTGCTTGGGAGGCTGAGGCAGGAGAATCACTTGAACCTGGGAGGCAGAGGTTGCAGTGAGCTGAGATTGCACCACTGCACTCCAGCCTGGGCGACAAGAGTGAAACTCCGTCTCAAAAAAAATTAATAAATAAATAAAGGGGGAAGATTTTATCTTACCTAAGTAAGAAATTTCTAACATTCTACTTCTAACAGTTCAGAGATGGAATAAAACCTTATCTCAATAAGCTCCCCAAATATTGCTGTGTTGAATAGACCTTGGGAAAGGATTTCTGCATTGAGTAAAAAGCTGGACCAATCAATATTGATTCTTCCTTCAAATTCTTCAGAATTTGTCTTTTCACTAACAGCTGATATCGTGCTGTGGATCTCATAGCCTATTTGTCTTGGCATTTTGCAATTACTACAATTTATATATATATATATATATATATATATATATATATATACATATATATATATATATACATATATATATATATATATATATATTTTTTTTTTTTTTTTTCCTGAAACGGAGTCTCGCTCTGTCACCAGGCTGGAGTGCAGTGGCACAATCTCGGCTCACTGCAAACTTTGCCTCCCGGGTTCAATCCTTTCTCCCGCCTCAGCCTCCCAAGTAGCTGGGACTACTGGTGCATGCCACCACACCCAGCTAATTTTTGTATTTTTAGGAGAGACGGGGTTTCACCATGTTGTCCAGGATGGTCTCCATCTCTTTACCTCATGATCCGCCCACCTCAGCCTCCCAAAGTGCTGGGATTACAGGCGTGTGCCACCACGCCCGGCCTAGAATATACATTTTAAAGGTACTAAACATTCATATTTTTAAGAGTTATGCTGATTGTTTGTTCTGATATTGGCTACATGCCCTGCCATGGACACTTGTCATTCCTGTTGCCTTCCTGGATTCTGAACTTCTTTCCTGTTTGAGGAATTCCCTACCATACAAATCTTAAGGGGAAGCAGAACTTCCCATTACTGTATAGTAGCAGAAAATGTCAACTATATGCTCTCCTACCCTCCACTGGCACATGATTTAGGCTCGAGTAATCAGACACCCCTCCAAGGACTTTTACTCAAAAGCTAGTGGTGTAAGGAAGCATGGTCAGGGAAGACTGTTTTGGCAGAAGCAGCAGCCAGTTTTGAGTGGCAGAGTTGCCAGAAGCACCATCCTGCATTGGTGCAGGCTGTGTCAGCCGTGCTCAGTGGAATGGCAGCAGTGTCCTCACCAGCCTTGTTAGGCAGCTGGCCTCAAGCTAGGAGTCTAGGTACCCAGCCTCCCTCTGTTCCTGTAAGTCTCCCAAGTCTGATTTTTCAGTCTTCTGGAAGCTACCTAATATTTTTTCAATAATTTCCTTTTCTTATTTAATCAGCTGGTTTTGTTTAATTACAACCCTAAAGGATACTGTTCCCATCATAAGCAAGTAGAATTCATCACTGTCAATTTGATTTTACAGTCTCTTCCTCATACAAGTGTGAGATTCATTAGAAGTTAAATGAATCTTTTCTGTTCACACAGTGCTCTGTGCTAGGTAGTGCTAACGACATACCTGGACATACAGCCTAGAGAAAGTCCTCTAGGCTTAAATAATCTACAAATCAAAGAGTGTGTACAAGACAGCATGTTATCTCTTCTTCCTCCTGAATCTACATTAAAATAATATTTCAAAAATTTAAAAGCATAAACCCTAAGTAACAAACATAATGGGAAGAAGAATATCAGCACATGAGAGACTTCAAGAAATTTTAAGAAAACAATTCAAATGGAGGACTATAACTGATAGGGCCAGGCAGAAAAACTTAAAAACTCAAGGATTCTTAGAAAGAGTTATAGCTGAGATGGGAAAGTGGCAAACTTAAAGGACACTAGAGATAGTCAGGATTTCAGAAAGCTAGGTATTAGCACTACAAAAGGCAGAAGTAAGATACAGAACTGTACACAGAGATCATTCAAAGATTTAATCAAACTGAGCAATAGATACTGTAAGTCACATACATAAGTTTAAATTTTCTGGTAACCCAGTTTTAAAAAGTAAAAAGAAACAGGTGAAATAATTTTTAATATATTTTATTTAACTAACATATAAGACACAAATATTTCAATATGTAAGCAATATAAAATTGTCAATGATATTATATATACATATATATATAGAGAGAGAGAGAGAGCACACTAAATCCTCAAAATATGGTGTGTATTTTATACTTCCTTGCATCTGAATTAAGACTAGCCTAGCCATGTTTCAAGTGCTCAATAGCCGTATGTGGCTAGTGGCTACTATATTGGAAAATAGCTCTATATGAAATTCCATGTAGAAAAATACAACAGCTAAGTGTCTATTCTGCCATACAGAGAAGTTAAAGGTGTTTTTCTTCTCTAAAGAAATGTAACAGTCCTAGGCCGGGCACAGTGGCTGACGCCTATAATCCCAGCACTTTGGGAGGCTGAGGAGGGCAGATCACCTGAGGTCAGGAGTTCAAGACCAGCCTGGCCAACATGGTGAAACCCCGTCTCTATTAAAAATACAAAAGTTAGCCAGGCATGGTGGCGTGCACCTGTAATCCCAGCTAATTGGGAGGCTGAGGCAGGAGAATCACTTGAACCCAGGAGGTGGAGGTTGCAGTGAGTCGAGATTGTGCCACTGCACTCCAGCCTGGGCAACAGAGCAAGACTCCGTCTAAAAAACAAAACAAAACAAAACAAAAAATGAAACAAACAATCAAAAACGACAAAAAGAAATGTACCAGCCCTGAAGCAAAGTTTTGGCATTCTAGTATTTATGGTTTTCCCAGCACAACAGTTAGCTCCCCTTGAAGTAAAGCCTGACAATCAGCAAGTCCCACACATATTCATGGACCTTCCAATTAATTTATTATTCAAATAAGAACACAAATGAAGGATTATCATATATTTGAAGAAAGCTTGCAATAAGAAAGAGAAATATTAAAATTTAAAAATGCTGTAAATGACACCGAAAGAAACCAACATAGTTCAAGGAACAGAAGGAATCTTAGCAAAGGGAAAAAAAAAAAAAATCTCTAATTAGAATCTGTACTGCACTCCAGCCTGGGCGACAGAGTGAGACTGTGTCTCAAAAAAAACAAACAACAACAACAAAAAAAACAGGATCTTTAGAGAAATTCAAGAAAAGATTATATCCATAATATAACAGGAATATGGCATGAAAAAGAAATCATAGGAATTAAAAAAACGATGGTTGAAAAATTCTGGCCAGGTGCGGTGGCTCATGCCTGTAATCCTAGCACTTTGGGAAGCCAAGGCAGGCAGATCACCTGAGCTCAGGAGTTCGAGACCACCTTAGGTAATATGGTGAAATCCTGTCTCTACTAAAATACAAAATATTAGTTGGGCTTGGTGGCATGCGCCTGCAATCCCAGCTATTCAGAAGGCTGAGGCATGAGAATCACTTGAGCCCCGAAAGCACAGGTTGCAGTGAGCCGAGATCGCACCACTGCACTCCAGCTTGGGCAACAGAGTGAGACTCCATCTCAAAAAAAAAAAAAAAGAAAAAGAAAAATTCAATACAAGTAATAAAATATAAAGTTTAAGAATTCTCCAAGAAATTTGAACAAAAAGAAGATGAAAGCGTGAGAGAAAACAATTGGAAGATATCTGGAGAGGAAAGAAAAGAGAATGGAGGAAATTATCAACGTAATAATACAAGAAAATTTCCCTGGGCTCAAAGATTTAAGTATTTATACAGAATAGGATTTACCCAATGCTTAGCACATGAGTCAAAAAAAAAGAAAAAGAAAGAAAGAAGAAAAGAAAAGAAACACATTTAGAACAAATTGTTGCAAAATTTTAAAACACAAAGAGGAAATGTACTAAAACTTTTCTGAGAGAAAAAAAATCAGGTTACCTACTGTAGAGAACTTAATCCACTCTAGCAAGTTTGGTCAGAAAAAAAGTGTATTATTTGTTACAAAATGTCTCACACTACTGTTGGGAAGGCTGATGAAATAGGCTCTAATTTGAGCTTCCACGAACTACCCCTAAAGTCACACTGCAAAACTAGGACAAAAGAACTTGTGCCCTTACCATAAGCACCAAGAGCTGCTTGGCAATTCAAGGAAAACTTCACTGTCACTCCCAGCTCCAGTACCACACAATCTCTAGCACAATTCGTACCAACAAGATGATGTCCCAACCTGACTCTGGACTGCCACAGAACTCAATATCAGATACTAGATCTTTGCCACAGCTGCTAGAGATAATTCCAATTCCTCCAAACTGAGTCTGCAGCAGAAACAGCCAAAACAGGAGAATGGTAGCTTTAACTTATGAAATTCACTTCACCTTCCAAATCTCATGTGGGTGCATGTAATTGGCAGAACCTATGTGATATCTGGCAGTCTAACAGCTAAGGAATCCAAGAAATGGAGTCCTAACAAGCGCTGTCTCCCATATTTAAAGGCATGTTAAAAAGTTGTAATGA
Organism: Homo sapiens; assembly: GCF_000001405.40. NCBI lineage: Eukaryota > Metazoa > Chordata > Mammalia > Primates > Hominidae > Homo > Homo sapiens. The sequence continues at coordinate 109,418,735 of NC_000005.10, read as the reverse complement.
AGGTTGAAGAAGCCAGCTCTGATTGTCTATCACTGTGGTACTTGTGCCTGCAAAGTCTGTAACTCCAGGGAAAAAGGTTTGAAGACTATAGAATATTAGAGGTGTGTATTATTGTTACTGACTGCTTAGCAAAGTATAAGATGAAGGAGATAAGCTCAGGTGAGAAATGGCTATTTACAAATAGAAATGAAACAGAAATTCCAGAAGTTTGGGGCTGCAAATGACTGGAAAAGTGAACTTCCACTACTAGACCCTAAACTGTGAGCTAAAAAAAAAACAAGAAAGGTTTTGATCAACAAAGACCAATTAAGACCAATCTTTATGAAAAAATTCAGTTTAAGAGCATGGCTTTCTCACCCAAGCCTGATGGAATCAAGGTATAATCACCATTAAATGGAAAGAGAGAGACACGGAAATGAGGAAGCAAAGAATTAAACCAGACTTGAGAATTAAATCTAGAAAGAAGTTTGAATATGGCTAATGATTCATAGAACTACCTAAAAGGAAAAGTATCAGAAATTTATTAAGAATTGGAAGGAATTATACTGCTAAAGAACCATGAGTCTAGACTTTAAAAATGCATTTTCCTATTAAAACTTTAAAACAACTGTCTGGTGTGCTTCTGGTTGAATTCTGCTACTAATTAACTCCTATCAGACTAACCTACCCACTGACAGCAACAATAAACACTAGGAAAACATATACAACAAATGTTTGAAGGCATAAAAAATTAGCAATGTTGGAAACACTTGAGAGCCTATGATCCTTGAGAAAAGGGTAACTCATGACGTGAGCTTCACATTCATACTGACGTTTCCCTAAGAGCAATTTGGTTTTTACCAAATTTACCAAATTGTGATACCAAGGAAGAGTTCAAACAGAAAGTGGATACACCAAGGACCCTTAGTACACAGAACAGACAGAGGTAAGAGTTCAAGGTTGCCAAAATGGCTGAACTCAAGAGGAAATACCCACAAGAGGAGAGAACTGCAAAGAAAGAAACTAAAAACTCTTTATACAAGTTTCCCTCAAGTTATTAGCTGACTCCTAAATGATTTATGCAAACAGCAAGACTACAAGAAAACCAGCAGAAAATACCAACTGAGACTATAATAAAGAGCTGAGAAGGTTTCAGCAGTCATATGGCCCAGCAGACAAAGATAGGAATTTAAGTCCTGCCGAGAGAGAGAGACCTTGGTCAATATCCCAGGCTTTCAGTTGAGACCCCAGAAGGGTAACTCTGTGAGTCAGGACCATGGCCTGGGAATAAGGGATATATCCTAGCAATAAAGGCAAAGCTGAAATAGACCAACCCTAACATAGCCTAACAGCAATCCTCCACAGATTCAAGGTGATCTGCTGGCAGATCATGATCGCTAATGACAATGACTTGCCTGCTAGATCAATACAAATCTCAGAAATATTTCAAACTCACTTTCTCCATGCTTTCTCCATTCTGTTGGCTGGATATTGATACTCAGACTGATCATGAAAGATACACGTATTAAAGATGGTAGACCTCAGTTTCCTAAATGTGAAGCAGAGCATCCTGCTCATTCTGCTAAATGGCATTTTAATAATAAGCAATATTATGTTGTGCTACTAAGACTTGAGAAGTTGATTTATTACAGTGACTAATATATAACCAATAAAACCTCTCTGTAGTCACCACCTCATTTAAATGCTATGACACACGTATTATGTTATTATCTCTATTTTCTAGCTCAGGAAACTAAGGCTCAGGAAAAGTAGATAATCAACCCAAGGACATACATGAAAAGGCTAAGATTAGATTTCCTATTTCTTCTTGAGTCAGTTTTGGTAGTTTGTGTCTTTCCAGAGATTTGTCATTTTATCAAGATTTTCTAGCCTGTCAGCTTACAAATGTTCTCAGTATTTCCTTATGTTAATCTTTTATTTCTGTAAGGTCAGTAGTAACGTCTCCTCTAACATTCCTGATTTTAGGAATTTGAGTCTTTTTTCTTTTTTTCTTGTTCAGTCTAGTGAAAGCCTCATCATTTAAAAAAATATATTTTTGAAGGTCCAACTTCTGGTTCTGTTGAAAACCAGACATTTAAAAAATATGACATGGCAGCTCTGGAAAATGGAGTCTTTCTCCCTCCTGGGCTTTTTTTGTTGTTGCTACCATTTATTGTTGCTTGTTTAGTCACTTTTCTGAACTACTTCTATAAAGTCTATATTCTTTGTCCTGTGTGGCTACTCGCACTGCTTCGTTAGTTTAATGTTTCTGCTTGCTTAGCTTAGTGTTCTGCTAATGAGTAGACATATTTTCTGAAGACCTGGAAACAACATATCTCCCAGGGTTTAGTGAGGGTCTGTGTGTACTGGAGCATGGCTTCAACACTAAGGCAGGCAGTTAATAACTCTCCCTTAGCCTTCACTTCCTACTTATGTAGAGCCTGAAGATCAGCCTAAGGTGAATGCTTAGGGTCTTCACAGGTCTTTCCTGAGTGTATGAACAGTTTCACACAGCTGTGGACATGTGTGTGAGCTTCTAGATCCCCAGGAATGTGTTGGAGTTGGTATTAGGCCATTTTCACACTGCTGACAAAAACATACCTGAGACTGGGCAATTTACAAATGAAGTGGTTTATTGGACTCACAGTTTCACGTGGCTGGGGAGGCTTCACAGTCATGGCAGAAGGTGAAAGGCATGTCTCACATGGTGGCAGACAAGAGAATAGAGTTTGTGCAAGGAAACTCCCCTTTTTAGAACCATTGGATCTTGTGATACTTATTCACTATCATGAGAACAGTACAGGAAAGACCCACCCCCATGATTCAACCATCTCCCACCAGGTCCCTTCTACAACACATGGGAATCCAAGATGAGTTTTGGGTGGGGACACAGCCAAACTATATCATTCTGTCCCCGGCCCCTCCCAAATCTCATGTTTCAAAACCAATCATGCCTTCCCAGCAGTCCCCAAAAGTCTTAACTCATTTCAGCATTAACTCAAAAGTCCACAGTCCAAAGTCTCATCTGAGACAGGGCAAGTCCCTTCTGCCTATGAGCATGTAAAATCAAAAGCAAGTTAGTTACTTGCTAGATACAATGGAGGTACAGGCATTGGGTAAATATAGCCATTCCAAATTGGAGAAATTGGCTAAAACAAAGGGGCTACAGGCCCCAGGCAAGTCCAAAATCCAGCAGGGCAGTCAAATCTTAAAGATCCAAAATGATTTCCTTTGACTCCATGTCTTGTATCCAGGTCATGCTGATACAAGAGATGGGTTCCCATGGTCTTGGGGAGCCCTCCCCTGTGGCATTGCAGGATACAGCCTCCCTCTCAGCTGCTTTCATGGACTGGCGTTGAGTGTCTGTGGTTTTTCCAGGCACATGGTGCAAGCTGTCAGGAGAGCTACCCTCCAAGGGGTCTGGAGGATGGTGGCCCTTTCTCACAGCTCCACTAGGCAGTGCCCGAGTAGGGACTCTGTGTGGGGGCTACAACCCCACATTTCCCTTCCTCACTGCCCTAGCAGAGGTTTTCTGTGAGGGTGTTGTCCCTGCAGCAAACTTCTGCCTGGGCATCCAGGTGTTTCCACACATCCTCTGAAATCTAGGTAGAGGTTCCCAAACCTCAATTCTTGACTTGTGTGCACTCACAGGTACAACACCACATGGAAGCTGCCAAGGCTTGGGGCTTGCACCCTCTGAAGCCATGGCCTGAGCTCTATGTTGGCCCCTTTCAGTCACAGCTGGAGTGGCTGAGACACAGGGTACCAAGTCAGTGGACTGCACACAGCATAGGCACCCTGGGCCTGGCCCAGGAAACTATTTTTTCCTCCTGGGCCTCCAGACCTATGAATGGAAGGGGCTGCCGTGAAGACATCTGACATGGCCTGGAGACATCTTCCAGATTAACATTCAGCTCCTCATTACTTATGCATATTTCTGAAGCTGGTCAGAATTTCTCTTCAGGAAATGAGATTTTCTTTTCGATTGCATTGTCAGGCTGCAAATTTTCCAAACTTTTATGCTCTGCTTCCCTTATAAAACTGAATGCCTTTAACAGCACCCAAGTCACCTCTTGAATGCTTTGCTGCTTAGAAATTTCTTCCGCCGGATACCCTAAATCATCTCTTTCAGCTTCAAAGTTCCACAAATCTCTAGGGCAGGAGCAAAATGCTGCCAGTCTCTTTGCCAAAACATAACAAGAGTCACCCTTCTCCATCTGAGACCACCTCAGTCTGGATTTCATTGTCCATACCATTATCAGCATTTTGGGCAAAGCCATTCAACAAGTCTCTAGGAAGTTCCACACTTTCCCACATTTTTCTGTCTTCTTCTGAGCCCTCCAAACTGTTCCAACCTCGGTCTGTTACACAGTTCCAAAGTCACTTCCACATTTTTGGGTATCTTTTCAGCAATGCCCCACTCTACTGGTACCAATTCACTGTATTAGTCCCTTTTCACACTGCCATAAAAATATACCTGAGATTGGACAACTTACAAAAGAAAGAGGTTTATTGGACTTACAGTTTCATGTGGCCTGGGAGGCCTCACAATCATGGCAGAAGGTAAAAGTAACGTCTCATGTGGTGGCAGACAAGAGAAGAGAGTTTGTACAGGGGAACTCCCCTTTTTAAAACCATCAGACCTTGTGAGACTTATTCACTATCATGAGAACAACACAGGAAAGATCTGCCCCCATGATTCAACCACCTTCCACCAGATCCCTCCTACAACACATGGGAATTCAAGATGAGATTTGGGTGGGGACACAGCCAAACCATATCAGAGTTTTCAAAGTTCCTGTGGACATCTCATTCTCCAGCTTTTCCTTTTGAGGTAGGAGATCAGCAGGATTTGTTTTTTGAGCGCTGGTCAATACCCCTGTCACTACTGCTCTTACCAGAGCAGGATCTGGTAGAAAACAGAGTGCAGTAAAGAAACCAGCTGAAACCAGCAAAGGGCAACAAAAGTGACCTCTAGCTGCCCACACTGTTCATTAGTATAAAGACACTCCTGCTGGGACCATGACAGTTTACAAATGCCATGGCAACAAGCCATGGCAACAGCCTGAAAGTTACCTTATATGGATCTAAAAACTCCTCACCTCTAGAAAGTTCTAATAATACACCTCTTAATTAGCATATAATTAAAAGTGGGTATAAATACAGCTTCCAACAGCCCATATGCTGCTACTCTGGGCACACTGCCCATGGGTTACCACTGCTTTGCAAGGAGCAGTATCTCTGCTGCTGCTGTACACTGCCACTTCAATAAAAATTGCTGTCTAACACCAGCAGCTTGCCATCGAATTTTTCCCTGGGTGAAACCAAGAACCTTCCTGGGCTAAGCCCCAGTTTTGGGGCCCTCTTGCCCTGCATCAGTTTTGAGTGTTTGGTTAAGCTGTATTTGGCCCCACCTGTTTCCACTGCCTAAGACAGTGGCAAAGTTAATCAATGTTTTTGTTTTTGACAAATGACCCCTGGGGAAAAGTCTTTGCACTGGGTGAGCCTGGAGTGAAATCAAACAAAGGCAGCCTTGTAAAATCTGCAGAACCACCAGATAGGTCAAATAATGACAGTTCTCTGGAAATTAAGCTCTTTAAAGGAGCTCCAACACCATTCTACTTCCCCTACTGGCTACCAGCCTGCTCGTTTTCACAATTGTGGGCTGTTGGTTTTCAAAGCTACAGTGGAGCTGGACATGTGGCTGTTAGAGTAGGGCAAGTCAAAATGACACAAAACTGGCTGTTCTTAGAGATTCAGCTATTTGAATAAATACTCCCTGGATTGCTGCAAACCTTTGGTAAATTTTCAGAGTTCTAAAAAAGTTAGTTCTGACAATTTTGCCAGTGTTCTCATTGCTGAAGAGAATTTTCAGAGGTCCTTACACCTTCATTTTGGCTGACATCACTTTAAGGCTATGATTAGAACATAGATCCTCTCACTCCTTGACCAAGCCTTCTTCTATTTAAATTAGTGGTCATCAAACTTTACGTATGTCAGAATTACCTGGAAGGCTTGTAAAAATACAGCTGGGCAACATACCTAGAGTTTCTGATTCAAGTCTGAGGTTGAACCTGAGAATTTGCATTTTATGTATTTATTTATTTTTTATTTTTATTTTTTTGAGACAGTCTCACTCTGTCACCTAGGCCGGAGTGCAGTGGCGTGATCTCTGCTCACTACAGCCTCTGCCTACTGGGTTCAAGGGATTCTCCTGCTTCAGCCTCCCGAGTAGATGGGACTACAGGCATGTGCCACCACGCCCAGCTAATTTTTGTATTTTTGGGTACAGACAGGATTTCACTATGTTGGCCAGGCTGGTCTTGAACTCCTCAAGTGATCTGCCCACCTCAGCCTCCCAAAGTGCTGGGATTACAGGCATGGGCCACCACGCCTTGCCAGAATTTGCATTTTTAAAAAGTTCCTAAGTAATGCTGATGCTGTTGGTGTAGGGATTATAATATACTTTAGGAACCACTGCAGTATATCATGTAGTACCTTCAATCCATTGCCTTAGATAGTGCTTCCCAACCCTGGAATCAACAATAATACATATAAGCGAATAATACATACTATTATCTCTATATAGTAATACAATACATAAGCTAATATGTATTTAGTACTTCATTGTAGGTATGATATGCTTTACATTGATTAGGTTATTTAATCTATACAACTCATGAATTGGTATTATTACTTTCCCATATTTATAATAAACTGGAAATCGAGGTCAGAGAACAAAGTAGATTGCCCAGAGGCACACGGCTACAAATGCAGGAGCCAGTATGTGAATATGTCTGCTTGATTCTAGAGTACAGGCTTTTTCAGCCTCCATACCAGTGTTTCTCATAGTAACATAGATCACTTATGATGCCTTGGTTAACTGTAGTTGGGACACGCATGCAGGATTAAAAACAATGACTCATATAGTGAGAAAGTGATTGCTATTCCGGCTCTATTTTTTCTATCCTTTGATGACATCATGATAAAAATACCATTTGAGTGCTGTATCTTTAATGTGTGTCTAATGCTTGGTAGCTTGCCCTTTTAACAAAGACAGTTGTCTTTAGACTTAGAGCCTTTAGTGGACAACAGTTTCTAGCCACAATTTAAAAACATTGTTTTGCATTCATTTTTCTTACAGTTACTTTCAACTTATAATAGGTGATGCTAGTTTTCCATTTATAGTACTTTTATAAAGTCTCCTTCTTAAAGAAATTAAAGAAAATATACATTTATTTAAAGAAAAAAGGACAGTGAGTAGTATACACAGATACAGTATGAAAAAGGTTGAAATTTGGGAATCCCTGCCTTCTAGAACAGGTTAATGTATCCAGTTGGGCCAATCTGGAACACCCTAAAGGGAAACTAGGGAAATGTAATTAAAATATGAATTTTGTTTTTTTTCAAAGAGGTACTTGGATGGTTAAAGTCAGAACTCCTATAGCAACACGTGTGAAGGCAGAGTAATATCAAGCAAGGAATGGTTTTTTGGTAAGAAACGTACTACAGGAGTGGGCTGGGATTCAGATTGGATTTCACAAAATGTCTGGCAAATTCTCATAAACCTAAATTTCTACAGTAAATTTTGGGTAATTTATTTCCATCAACAGCAAAAAAAAATTAGTCTCAGTTCACTGGCAAGAGAGTTCGCTGTTGTTAAGGGGACAGCACAAGAAGTGGGGCTCTTAATTCGCGGGGGAGGGGTGGCGATGAATATATCCTGGGCATCAGGCGACGGGTCGGGGGTGGGGAATAAGAGAAGACAGAGGGACTGTAATCAGATAAGCGGACACGTTTCAAGATGAATAAAGGGAATATGTGCGGAACGAAGAAACAGTTTTGTATCACTGACATAATTAACTAAACTGTTACCCAGGTTTAAATTAAGCAAGGTGTCCGGGGACTGCAGCTGTTGTATTTATTTTGGTTGCATGTGATGGGAGCTGTTACTTCCCGGCTTGACAAACAGCCTCAAGATGCAAGCTGGGAGGCTGTGGTCAGCCCAAGGCTATACAGAGGAAAGGCAGGCCTCCTCTGAACCCCGCCCCAGCAGAATAAGAAGCGAGGGGCAAGGGTCAGCGCGGAGAGGGAGGGTGGAAAGCGCCATATAGTGCCCAGGGTCAGGGTGGGTAAACAAGCCTTTCTTCGTGTCATTTTTTTTTTTTGTCTCACCGATATCTGCATTGTAACTGAACTTTATGCCAGGAGACCTTAACCTTGTTAATCAGGTTTCCAGTCGAATCAGGATCGATTTTAATGCCTCCATTTTGGTTGTTGCTGTTGGAATTTCCGAAAAAGCCTAACTGCGCCAGTCTTTCTGTTAGTTCTCCACACCCCCTTCCCTTTCCGAGACCCCGCCCTTTTCTCTCAGCCCAAACCACAAAAGGCCGCGCAGTTTTAGCTCCTACACGGTGCTCCGCCCCCTCCCCAAACGTCGCAGTACTGCAGGGAAAGGAGGTGGGCTCGGCTGGGGCGGGGGACTGAGTCGGCTTCGTCTTTCCGCTCTTCAGCCAATTGGTGAACTCCCCCTGAGGGAGATGGGGGAGCAGGCTGTAGAGAAGGTCCAAGTATTTTTCCCTTTTTCTGCCACGTCCCAACCATTGACGTGAGCCCACTCCTCAGGTTCTGATTGGGCGTATGCATTGTCCCCCAGCAGAGACCCTGTAAGCTGACTGGTCATCTCTGCTATGGGGGAGGGGCTTGCGTACTCTCCTCCTTCGCCTCCACCGCGGCGCAAGGGGCGGGACTCACCGCCACCGCCTCTGCTTCCGCCGCCGCCACCGCCGCCGCCGCCGCCACAGCCGCCAGCCGCTTCGCGTTCGGCGGGGGAGGAGTTGGAGGCGGAGAAGAAGGCGGTGGTGGCGGGTGGAGGTTCGAGCGCTGTTCTCGCTCCGGAGCCGCTGCACATTTCGGTGAGGGTTTTTTTTTTTTTTTTTCAGTCTGGCTTGTTCCGCTGTCGGGAGTGTGGGGGTCGGGGCGAGGAAATTGCTGCGTTCAGCTCCTCAGTTTCTCTGTCTCTAGCTTCGGAAGGAGCGGGGCTTGTCCCTGGCCTGCTGCGCCGGCCATGGTGGGTGGGGTTGATGGCTGTGGGAGGCCTTCTTCGCCTCCTGGGCCCTGTCCAGCCCGGACCCGGGCCGCGCTCCTATCCGGGACGGTCGCGCCCGCCGCCCCCCGACAGATGACATTGGTTGGTATCGGGGTCTTCGCTGCCGCTCTTTACTGCTGCCTCTTCTGCTGTCCTTGGTGACTTGGCCAAGGAGCCCGCTGGCTTTCCCCTACACTCGCCACTGTACAAGAGTTTGCCCCCCAACCAACACCTCACACCCACCTTCTGCGGTTTCCCGTCACCCCGCGTAGAGCGGAACCATCTTACGCCACAGGCCTGCAGCACCCCTCCCCCGAGGAGCCTTCTGTTGCCGTCGTTTTGCTGGGCGTCTGCATTTTCCCCGATTGTCAGTGAGGCTCGGCACGCAGACACCCCGCTCGAGCCGCAGCAGTCGCTCTACTCCCGGGATCAGCACCTTTCCGCCAGGGCTGCTCTCAGTTAGCGATGTCAGGCCAGAGCTCCTCTTGCAGATGCACCTTTAATTTGGCCTCCCTCAGATGACTGGTAATCATTTTGCGCACATTCAAAATGGTGAGGTTAAAGACGCTCAGACCAAGTTGAAGCAAAGGGGAGGTGGTAAATAGTCGTTTTGCAGGGAGGAGAGTAATCTGAGAGTTCCTTCTCCGGACATTAAAAAAAAAAAAATTTACATCCGCATAGGCGCTTCTTTTGAGTCTGCTGGTTCTGTGAAGTTTAAAATTTTCATTGCAGGCTTAATGTATTCTGTTTTATCATGAAATATTTGGTCACATTTCTTTAAAATGGCAGTCACCTTTGCTGAAGGCTACGGATCATTTGAAGTGTATGTGAATAAACCTGAGGATAACAGTAATAAACGTTTAAACTGTATTTTTCAGTGTTGTAATTGTCTTTTGGGGTTCATGTCATTTTTATATGAGATGACCACTTAATTTTAAAAATTCATTGCAGACATGCAAGTTTGATGTACACTTCAACAATATAAATAACGGACTGTTAGGTAAAATTTAAATATTTCTTTTCATCCCCCAGTCCCACTCCAGTGTAAAGTTGACAGTTTAGTGTTCATTTTTCAAAATCTTGCAAATGCACTTCTAGACACATACAAGTACACGTAAAGTTTTTTTTTTTGAGGGAGGCTATACCATATACCAAACATGTTTGCATACCGCTTGCTTATTGACTTAATTACATATGTTGGACATTTTTACTTTTTACATATAGGTCTCCCTAATACTTTTTAAAAGGCTAACTGGTATCTCGTGAGTTTGAATGGGCTATAATTTATTCTATTCCCTTTTTGAAAGACATTTAATTGCAGTTTCTTTTTGCTATTACAAATGATGATTTATAATGAAAATAACTTTCTAATTTATTGATCGATGTTTAATTACAAATTTTAATTCATCCTTGATTTTAAAAAATTAAACAGTATGGAAGAATGTAAGGTAAAAATTACCGCTTCCACTTCTAGTCCTGCTTGCATCTTGATTGTCAGCCACTGTTAACAATTCAGTAAACTTCCTCTATGTGTGATTATTTCTGGAGCATGGGTTCCTAGAAGTGAAGTTGCTCAGTTAAAAGATTATGCATATTTTAAATTTTGGTAACCCTTTCTCCCTCTTTATTACTCTTGTTGAAAATATTCTTGAATGTTTCTTATGCATTTCTTCTTCTAGGTAAACTTTAGACTGAACTAAAAATCCTTAGCTATTTTGAATAAGGTTATATTGAAATTTTAGATTAATTTGGAGACAACTGATCTTTATAGTATTGAGTCTCTCTCCTCAGAAATGTGGCCTCTCCATTTTATTCACATCTTGTTTTATACTGTTAGGGAAATTTTTATAGTTTTTCTTTTTTTTCTTCATACGTATAACATTCCTTCCTGGTATTCCTATTTTATGGTTTGATTCGTGTGGTGGATGGAAACTTTCAGTAACATTTCTCTCTCTCTGTTTTCTCTGGTTATAGCAAAACTTTTGAGTTTTCTATCATGTATCAGATTATTTTATTGAGTTGATTATCAGGAGATATTCACAGTTTTGTGGTTTCCTTTTCAGTTTTTATAACTTATGTGTTTTTCTCATTGCTTTTGCAATTATACATCTTATAAAATGTTGAGCACTGGTAGATTAAAAACTAATAGCACTGATAGCTAACAACAAACATGGCATTGTTTCTGACTTTAAGGGGGAATGCTTCTAATGTTTTAGCATTAATTATGATGTTTGGTGAAGCTTTCTGGTAAAGCCGCTGATATTAAAATATTTCCTTCTAGTCTTGGCTTTCCAAGATGCTTATGTTGTTGTTTTTGACATTTTTAAAAACCATAAATGAGTTTTCTTATATATATTTTTTTGACATCTTTTGAGGTGGGTATATGTGGGCATCACCAGTATTCCCTGGTTTATATTTTCCTGAGAGAGCACCCTCTTAGAAAATCAACCTTATTGAGGATAACTTAGATACAGTAAAATGTACTTATTTGAAATGTACAGTGTATTTTGTTTTGACAAATATGTGCTCTGTGACCACCACCACAGTCAAGAGTGGAATATTTTCATACCACAATTAAGATATAGAATATTTTCATCTCCCCCAAAGTTCCCTTTTGCAGTCAATCACAATTTCACCCTCAGGACTAGGAAAGCACTTATCATCTTTTTCTTGCTATAAATTGGTATCATTTTGTCTAGAATTTCATGTAAGTGGAATGATGTAATACATACTCTTTTGTATCTGGCTTTTTCTCTTGGCATGTTTTTCAGGATTATCCATGTTTTTCTGTATTTAACGGGTTCTCATTTTATTGCTGAATAGAAGTCCTTGGTATTGATTTACTAGTTTGTTGACCATTCCACCTATTTACAGATACTTGGATTGTTTCCAGTTTGGGGCTGTTATTAATAAATAGCCTTCATTTGTTGAACATTCCTTTATTCAATGAACATTCATTTATTTTGAATTTTTGTGAACATCTTTTTTTTCTTGGTAAATACCTAGACATGGAACTTGTTGGGTTGTATGATACATGGATGTTTATAAGAAACTGCCAAACTGTTTTCCAGAGTGGTTGTCACATTTTACATATCCATCAGCAGTGTATGACAGTTCCAATTGCTCCACATCATCCTCAGCACTTGGTTATTTCAGTCTTTTAAATTTTAGCCCTTTTAGTGGGTATATAGTAGTATCATACTGGGATTTTGATTTGCATTTACCAGATGACTAATGGTGCTGAGAATTTGCTCTAGTGTATGTCTTCCTTTGTGAAGTATCTGTTGACATTTTTTGCTCATTAAAAAACAAACAAACAACAATGGGTGGGCCTGGCGCGGTGGCTCACGCCTGTAATCCCAGCACTTTGGGAGTCCGAGGCAGGCGGATCACGAGGTCAGGAGATCCAGACCATCCTGGCTAACACGGTGAAGCCCCATCTCTACTAAAAATACAAAAAATTAGCCGGGCGTGGTGGCGGATACCTGTAGTGCCAGCTACTCCGGCTGAGTTAGGATAATGGCGTGAACCCGGGAGGTGGAGCTCGCAGTGAGCCAAGATCGTGCCACTGCACTCCAGCCTGGGCGACAGAGCGAGACTCCGTCTCAAAAAAAAAAAAAAAAAAAAATGGGTTTGTCTTATTGAGTTGTAAGCATTTTTTAATACATTCTTTATACAACTCATTTGACACACAGAGATACATAAACACACACACACACTGCAATCTGAAGCTTGTTTTTTTTTTATTTTCCTAACTTTAAAAGAAGAGCTTTTAATTTTGATAAATTCATCTTACCAACTTTTTCTTATGATTTGTGCTTCTGTGTTCTAAGAACTCTTTGCTTAATGCAAAGTTGTGCAGATTTACTCTTAGGATTTTTCTATAAGTTTTCTAGTTTTGGCTTTCATGTCAAGGCACATTATCCATTTTGGGTTAGTTTTTGTATATGGTGTGTAGTAAGGGTCAAGGCTCATTTTCTTTTCAAATGTATATGTAGTTCTAGCACCATTTGTTGGGACTACTTTCCTTTCCCCATTGAATTAACTTTGTCAAAAGTCAGTTGATCATATATGTAAATCTGTTCCTGTACTTTTCTCTTGATCTTTATGCCTATAATTTTGCCAGTACTGAGTTATCATGGTTATTTTTACTTATAAGTATTGAAATTAGGTAATATGAATCCTTGAACTTTATTCTTTTTCAAAATTGCCTTGGCTATTCTAACTTTACCGTAAAGCTTTTAGAGGCTGCGTGTTGGTTTCTACAAAAAGACCTGAAGGGATTTTAATTTGGTTTGTGTCGAATGCATAGATCAATTTAGGAAGAATCGACATCTTGAGTCTTCCAATTCATGAATACAGGTTGTCTCCATTTATGTAGGTCTTCTTTCATTTCCTTTGTCAGCATTTTGTAGTTGCAGCATGAAGATGTTGCTCATTTTGTTGGATTTATATCTAAGTATTTAATAATTGATACCATTATAAGTGATAATTTTCTTAAATTTTAGTTTCCAGTTATTCACTGCTATATGTAAAAATACAGTTGGTTTTTGCATATGGACCTTGATGCTTGCAACCTTGCTAAATTCATTCATTTGAGTAAATTTTTTGTAGATTCTCTGGAATTGTCCTATGTAGACAATCATGTTATTTGCAAATATAGATCAGTTTTATTATTTTTGAATTTATATGTAACTCCTTCCACCTTTTCTTCTTCTTAGACTGGCTAAGACCTCCATTATGATGTTGAATAGCAGTGGTGAAAGCAGATATCCTTCTCTGTTCCTGATCTTAAGAAGAAAGCTTTGAATCTTTCATTATTGAGTGTGATAGAGTGGTGCTATAGCTTGAATGCTTATGTCCCTTCCAAAATTCATAGCATTGAAACATAATCCCCATTGTGAGGGGGATCTCAAGGAGGTGATTAGGTCATGAAGCTTCTGCCTTCATTAATGGATTCGTGTGCTTATAAAAGAGGTCCCAGAGAGCTCCTATCCCCTTATGCCGTATGAGAACACAGTGAAAAAACTGCAGTCTGTGAACCAGGAAGTGGCTCTCACCAAACGCTGAATCTACCAGCACCTTGATTTTGGACTTCCCAGCCTCCAGAACTGTGAAAAATAAATTTCTTTTATTTTTATTTCTATTTTTTTTTGACAGAGTCTTGCTCTGTCGGCTAGGCTGGAGTGCAGTGGCAGTCTCAGCTCGCTGCAACCTCGGTCTCCCAGGCTCAAGCAATTCTGCCTCAGCCTCCCGAGTAGCTGGGATTACAGGCGTATGTCACCATGCCTGGCTAATTTTTGTATTTTTAGTAGAGACGGGGTTTTACCATGTTGGCCAGGCTGGTCTCAAACTCCTTACCTCAGGTAATCCACCTGCCTTGGCCTCCCAAAGTGCTGGAATTACAGGTGTGAGCCACCGCGCCCAGCCGAGAAATAAATTTCTGTTGTTTATAAGCCACTTCAGTCTATGGGAGCTTGTTATAGGAGTCCTAATGGACTAAGACAAGTGGCCTTTTATCATATTGAGGATGTTCCCATTCTATTCTTGGATTGCTGAGAGGTTTTTGTTGTTGTTGTTGTTGTTGTTGTTGTTTTTGAGATGGAGTCTTGCTCTGTTGCCCAGGCTGGAGGGCAGTGGCACCATCTCAGCTCACTACAGCCTCCGCCTCCTGGGTTCAAGTGATTCTTCTGCCTCAGCCCCCTGAGTAGCTGGGATTACAGGTACACGCCACCAAGCCTGGCTAACTTTTTTGTATTTTTGTAGAAATGGGGTTTTACCATGTTGGCCAGGCTGGTCTTGAACTCCTCACCTCGTGATCTGCCCGCCTTGGCCCCCCAAAGTGTTGGGATTACAGGCATGAGCCACTGCGCCTGGCAGAGAGTTTTTTTTTTTTTTTTTTTTAAATCATGAGTGGATGTTGATTTTAGTCAGGTATTATTACTGTATTTATTGAGATGATCATATGGTTTGTTTCTGTGTTAATGTGATGAATTACGTTAACTTATTTGCGAATGTTGAATCATCTTCCATTCTGTGGTTAAACCTCACTTGGTGATGGTGTATTATCTACTATCATTTTTATAAATTGGTGAAATTTTTTTTTTTTTTGCATCTATGTTCATGAAAGATACTTTTTCATATAATGCTGGTTTCATAGAGTTGCAAAGTGTTTCTTATATTTTTGAAAAAGAATTTATTAGGATTAGTATTATTTGTTTTACAATTTTTTTTAGAGTTTGCATGTGAACTCTTCTGGTCCTAGAGTTTTCTTTGCTGGAAGGCTTCAAAGGATAAGTCCAATTATCCTTTAATAAATACAGGATTATTAGGGTTATCTATTTCTTCTTGAAAGCTTTCGGTCTTTGTATGAATCACTTTCACTCACTAAGTGAGCGTTAGTAGTTTTTGTCTTTCAAGGCATTTGTCTTATTTCATTTATTCGTTGTCATAAAGTTGTTTCTTAATTATTTTAATGCCTATAACGTCTGTAGTGGTGTCTTTCCTTTCATTCTTGTTATTAGCAGTGTGACCTCTCATTTTTATTTGGTTCTAGGTTTATTTTATTAATCTTTTCAGAGTCAACTTTTTATTTGATTGCTTTTTTTTTAATTGTTAGTTTTATTGATTTCTGCTTCTTACTATTTCTTTCTATATGCTTTGGGTTTAAATTCCTCTATGTTAATTTATTAAGGTGTAAGCTTAGGTCATTGACTTGAGACCTTTTTTCTTTTCCTTCCAAGCACTGCCTGAGGTGCTTACACAAATTTGATGCACTGATTTTTTTTAAAGTTCTTATGTCACTTCCACTTTGACCCATGAAGGTTGCTGTTTAATTTCCAAATATTTGGTGATTTTGCATGTCTCTTTCTTTGTATAATTTATTTTAAATTCTTTGATATTTGTTTTATGACCAGAATATGGTTACTCTCAGTAAATGTCCCATGTACACTTCAAAATAATGTGTATTCTGCTGTTTAGCAGTGGAGTATTCTATATCAAGTTGATTGATGATGCTTGTTAGGCCTTCTCTTTCCTTACTGAGTTTTTGTTTGTTTCATTGATCATTGAGAGAAGAGTTGAAGTCTCCAAGTATAATGGTAAGTTTGTTTATTTCTCCTTTTCAGTTTTTGCATCATGTGTATTGAACCTCCTGTTAGGTGCATGTAAATTTAGGATTGTTAAAACTTTTTGGTGAATGAACCCCTTAATCATTATATAATGCCCTCTTTATCTCTGATAGTATTCCTCATTCCAAAGTCTACTTTATCTAATATTAATACAGCCTCTCCAGCCTCCTTTTAGTGTTTGTATATTATTTTCCATCCATTTAATCTGTCTTTTATTTAAAATGGGTTTGTTCTAGACAGCCTTTTTTAATTCATCTTGAAAAATCTGTTTTTACATTGAAGTGTTTAGACTATTTACATTTAATGTAATTTTGATGTAGTTGGATTTAAATATACAATCTTAATTGTTTTCTACTTATGTGCTCTCTGATGCCTATTTTTGAGTGCATTTTATCTTCACCATTGGCTCACTACTTACACTCAACTTTTCCTCTCTTTTAAAAAGTTAATTGGCTTCTCTGTGATTTATATTTTACATCTTTAATAATAGACCATATGGAAGCAATACTATACCACATTTTATATAGTGTCAGAGCTTTACAACAGTATATTTACAATGTATATTTACAATTTCTCCTTATCTTTTGTGCTATTACTGTTTTACCTTTTACAAATGCCATAAATGCATAATACCTTGTAATATTTGTTTTATTCCTGTGCTGTCTAGTATGGTAGTCATTAGCCAGTGTAGCTATTTAAATTTGAATTTAAAGTAGTTAGTACAAGTTAAATTAAAATTGATTTTCTGTGTTATAGTGGCCTCTTTTCCAGTGCTTATTCTTTCTGCATGAAGAACTTCCTTTCACATTTCTTGGACTTCAATTCTACTGGTAACAAAGTTCCAAAGATTGTTTCACAAATACTTTGTTTCACTTTTTCTTTTGAAAGATTTTGCTGGATATAAATTTATTGTTCACAGTGTTTTTCTAATATTAAGGATGCTATTTATTATCTTTTGACTTGCACAGTTTCAAATAAGAATTTGGCTGTGATTCTTATTTAGTTCCTTTTTTCTGCTGTCAGTATCAAATATGTTTTATCAGTGGTTTTTAAATTTTATTTTATTTGTTGTTTTTTTTTGAGACAAGGTCTCGCTCTGTTGCCCAAGTGGAGTGCAGTGGTACAAGCTTGTCTCACTATAGCCTTGAGCTTCTAGACTCAAGCAATTCTCCCACCTTAGCCTCCAAAAATCCTGCATTTGCAGGCCTGAGCCACTGTGCCCAGGCTGTCATTGGTGGTGGTAGCGGTTGTTTTTGAGACAGAGTCTCACTCTGTCGCCCAGGTTGGAGTGCAATGGCGCCATCTCAGCTCACTGCAACCTCTACCTCCCGGGTTCAAGTGATTCTCATGCCTCAGTCTCCCAAGTATCTGCGATCACAGGCTCCCGCCACTACGTCTGGCTAATTTTTGTATTTAACAGGGTTTCACCATGTTGGCCATGCTAGTCTCAAACTCCTGGCCTCAAGTGGTCTGCCCTCCTTGGCCTCCCAAAGTGCTGGGATTACAGGCATGTGTCATTTGGTTTTTTTGTTGTTGTTGTTTTGTTTTTTGTTTTTGAGACAGAGTCTTGCTTTGTCTCCCAGGCTGGAGTGCAGTGGCGCCATCTCGGCTCACTGCAAGCTCTGCCTCCCAGGTTCATGCCAGTCTCCTGCCTCAGCCTCCTGAGTAACTGGGGCTACAGGCACCCGCAACCATGCCTGGCTAATTTTTTTTGTATTTTTTTAGTAGAGACGGGGTTTCACCATGTTAGCCAGGATGGTCTCAATCTCCTGACCTCGTGATCCACCTGCCTCTGCCTCCCAAAGTGCTGGAATTACAGGTGTGAGCCACCATGCCCGGCCATATCATTCGTTTTTTATAGCAGGTTAAAGATGTTAACATCTTGGGATATGTGTACATTTTTGTGTGTTTTGTATTTATACTGCTTTTGTAGGGGGGAATCACTGAGCTTCTTGGGATTTATGATCTTTTAAATAATGTATGAAAAATTCACAGCATCTTTCTCTTCTAATGTTTCCACTGCCCGCGACACCCCCCCGCCCTTCCCCCCCCTCCCCCTGCTGGTTTGCTCTCTTTTTGTGGGGTTCCAGTTAAACTCATGGCAGCTCATTTAATGCAGTCCACAATTCTTGGAGGCTCTGTTTTGGTTTTTGTTGCTGTTGTTTTTTAACATGTTTCTTTTCAGTTAAATCACTTTTTATCTAGGCTTGGATCATTTCTTTTGACTTATCTTTTTCTTTTTTTTTTTTTGAGACAGTCTCAGTCCATCACCCAGACTGGAGTGCAGTGGTGTGATCTTGGCTCACTGCAACCTCTGCCTCCCGACTTCAAGCGATTCTCCGTACCTCAGCCTCCTGAGTAGCTGGAATTATGGGCGTGCACCACCACGTCTCACTAATTTTTTGTATTTTTAGTAGAGACGGGTATCACTATGTTGGTCAGGCTGATCTTGAACTCCTGACCTAAAGTGATCCACCCATCTTGGCCTCCCAAATTGCTGGGATTACAGGTGTGAGCCACTGAGCCTGGCCTGATTTATCTTGAGCTCACTAAAAGCTTCCTCCCCTAGTTTTTTAATGAGCCCATAGAATGCATTCTTCATTTCTGTTAACTGTTTTTTATTTTTTGCATTTCCATTTTCATCTCTCCTGAAATTTCTCATGAGTTGATGCATGTTCCTACCTTTGTGCTAGAGCCTTTAAAAGGGTAATCATAGTTATTTTAATTTTCTTCTCTGATAATTCTGTTAATTGCTTTATCTGGTTCTGTTTGTTGTTGTCTCTTGATAAAGAGGGTTTTTTCCTCCTCAGCTTTTTTGTCTTGTAATTTTTGACTGAATGGCAGACTTTATATGCAGAACAGTAGAGATTGTGGCAAATAATTCTTATGTCTGGATGTGAGTCTGCTTCTGCATCTGCTAGGCTTTTAGTGTGGTGTGGGGTTGATTCAATCTAATTCGTGATTGAGATGGGTTTGGATTTCGTTTCTGTGGTTGCATTGTGCTTAGTGTTACCTTGTGCTTAGTGTGACAGCTGAAGTGCCTGATTTTTCTAAGTGTTCCTACTTCACTGTCAACTTTCAGCTTTCTCTGTGTGCCCATACCTCAGTGGAGAAGTTTCTCCACACACTGTCATTATCCCCAGCAGTAGACTGTTGTTTCTTGATGCTGACTAGCCTGGAGATGGAGGCAGAGTTTTCTCTGTCTTCCTTATCTGTACTCAGTGTTACACAAGCCCTTTGTCTCTTGTTTTTGGGTATGGGCCAATGATGCTGTACCTTCTCTCCATGGTAGCCAAACTCTGCCTCATATCTTTTTTTTTTTTTTTTTGAGACAGAGTTGCACTCTGTCACCCAGGCTGGAGTGCATTAGCGTGATCTCGGCTCACTGCAACCTCTGCCACGCAGGTTAAAGCGATTCTTCTGCCTCAGCCTCCCAAGCAGCTGGGATTACAGCCATGTGCCACCAAACCCGGCTAATTTTGTGTTTTTAGTAGAGATGGGGTTTCACCATGTTGGCCAGGCTGGTCTCGAACTCCTGACCTCAGGTGATCCTCCCACCTTGGCCTCCCAAAGTGCTGGGATTACAAGCCTGAGCCCTGCACCCGGCCCCATTTCTTTGATAGGTTTTGTGCAGGAGAGATTTTCTGCTCCTTCCCCAGTGGTAGCAAATCTTCAGTGTACTGGTATAGGAGCCTGGACTATAAACTGTTTCCTGACTCTGCTCTAGGAGTAAAGGTCTTTTTCTTTTTCTTTTTTTTTTAAATTATACTTTAAATTCTAGGGTACATGTGCACAATGTGCAGGTTTGTTACATATGTATACATGTGCCGTGTTGGTGTGCTGCACCCATTAACTCGTCATTTACATTAGGTATATCTCCTAATGCTATCCCTCCCCCCTCCCCCACCCCACAACAGGCCCCGGTGATGTTCCCCTTCCTATATCCAAGGGTTCTCCTTGTTCAGTTCCCACCTATGAGTGACAACATGTGGTGTTTGGTTTTTTTGTCCTTGCAATAGTTTGCTGAGAACTAATGATGGTTTCGAGCTTCATCCATGTGCCCACAAAGGACATGAACTCATCCTTTTTTTATGGCTGCATAGTATTGCATGGTGTATATGTGCCACATTTTCTTAATCCAGTCTATCATTGATGGACATTTGGGTTGGTTCCAAGTCTATGCTATTGTGAATAGTGCCGCAGTAAACATACGTGTGCATGTGTCTTTATAGCAGCATGATTTATAATCCTTTGGGTATATACCCAGTAATGGGATGGCTGGGTCAAATGGTATTTCTAATTCTAGATCCTTGAGGAATCACCACACTGTCTTCCACAATGGTTGAACTAGTGTTCCTATTTCTCCACATCCTCTCCAGCACCTGTTGTTTCCTGACTTTTTAACGATCGCCATTCTGACTGGTGTGGAGATGGTATCTCATTGTGATTTTGATTTGCATTTCTCTGATGGCCAGTGATGATGAGCATTTTTTCATATGTCTCTTGGCTGCATAAATGTCTTCTTTTGAGAAGTGTCTGTTCCTATCCTTCACCCACTTTTTGATGGGGTTGTTTTTTTCTTGTAAGTTTGTTTGAGTTCTTTGTAGATTCTGGATATTAGCCCTTTGTCAGATGAGTAGATTCTTTTACTCATACCCTAGCAGCAATGGAGGACAGAGATTGCTGCCCTTCCCTAGTGGTTTAAAGTTGTTGTTGGCCGTTCACCGTGGCTCACGCCTGTAATCCCAGCATTTTGAGAGGCCACGCTGGGTGGATCATTTGAGATCAGGAGTTCAAGACCAGCCTGGCCAACATAGTGAAACCCTGTTTCTACTAGAAAAAAAAAACAAAAAATATCTGGGCGTAGTGGCGGGTGCCTGTAATCCCAGCTGCTTGGGAGGCTGAGGCAGGAGAATTGCTTGAACCTGAGAGGCAGAGGTTGCAGTGAGCCAAGATCGCACCACTGCCCTCCAGTCTGGGCAATAGAACGAGACTCCGTCTCAAAAAATAAAATAAAAATAAAGTTGTTGCTTTTTTTTTTTCTACTAGGAGAAGTGTTGAGGAAGGGTTTCATTCATTTCCCTTGTTGGCAGTCAGTCCGTTTCACAACTGAACTGGGAATGACACTCCAGCTTTCTATACCCTGTAGAAGTGGAACTCCTACAAGTGGTGCATTTCTAAAATTAACTTTTTATAGCTGTTTACTGTAGTGACTTTTGTATCTTGATGTTATAGCTGTCTGTCTTAATCTGTTCCTGCTGCTATAACAAAATACCTAAGACTGGGTAATTTATAAAGAAAATAAATTTATTTTTCACAATTCTAGAGCCTGGATGTTCCAAATCAAGGTGCCAGTGGGTTTAGTGTTTGGTGAGGGCTGCTGTCTGCTTCCAATATGGCACCTGTTGCTTGTCTTTACACAGCAGAAAATGAAAGAGCGAAAAGGGCTAAGTAGTTTCCCCCAGCCTTTTATAAGGTACTAGTCCATTCATGAGGGCAGAGCCCTATGACTTCATCACTTTTCAAAAGACCCCACCTTTTAATACCACCGCAATGTGGATTAAGAATTTTGGAAGATGGCACAAACATTCAAACCATAGCACTGACAATATCACTAAATTTTCTTATATGTCTCAATTTTTTCTTTTATATTTCTTTTCACTTTCTTTAGTAGACTTTTAGTTTTACTTTTTACAGATTCCTAGTTTCATTGGTATCGGTTATTTTCCTCTTTCTCCCCCACCCCCACCCCCACCCCTGCCTTTTTTTTTTTTTTCTTTTTTTGGTCTTGCGATGGTTAGAACTTTACATGTTAGGCCGGGTGCGGTGCTCATCCCCGTAATCCTAGCACTTTGGGAGGTCGAGGCAGGTGGATCACGAGGTCAGGAGTTCAAGACTAGCCTGACCAACATGGTGAAACCCCGTCTCTACTAAAAATACAAAATTTAGCGGGACGTGGTGGCGCATGCCTGTAATCCCAGCTATTCAGGAGGCTGAGGCAGGAGAATTGCTTGAACCTGGAAGGCAGAGGTTGCAGTGAGCCGAGATCACGCCACTGCACTCTAGCCTGGGCCACAGAGTGAGACTCTGTCTCAAAAAAAAAAAAAAAAAAAAAAGAACTTTACATGTTAAGTAGAAGTAATGATTGGTATTTTAAGAAGAAAATGATGCTGACATTTCACCATTCAGTATAATTTTGCCGTACCTTTTGGACTGATTAGTTTTATAAGGCTTAGTAAATTATTTTCCATTTTTGGTTTCTTGAGAGTTCTTTTAAACTTTAATGAATGTTGAATTTCATTGAATGCTTTTTCTCCATCCACTGAAGTGTTTACTAATGAAAATAGAAGTAATCATATCTAATGATGAGTCTTTTGCAGTAGACTCAGTATATACTGTTTTCAAATATATTGCTGTAATGGCTTGCTAATATCTCAGACTTTTTCTTTCTTTATCACTGGAGTTGACATCTAATTTTTTATTTTTGTAACCTGTCTGCTTGTCTGGCCATTTCTTTTTTTTTCTTTTTTTTTTTTTTGAGATAGAGTTTCGCTCTTCTTGCCCAAGCTGGAGTGCAGTGGTGCATTCTCGGCTCACTGCAATCTCTGCCTCCCGGGTTCAAGTGATTCTCCTGCCTCAGCCTCCCGAGTAGCTGGGATTACAGGCATGTGCCTCCACACCCAGCTAATTTTTTGTATTTTTAGTAGAAATGGGGTTTCACCACGTTAGTCAGGCTGGTCTTGAACTCCTGACCTCATGTGATCTGCTGGCCTCGGCCTCCCAAAGTGCTGGGATTACAGGCATGAGCCTTGTCTGGCTAGTTCATGAAGATTTTACTCTGCTCTTAAAATGAGCTACATGTCTTTAAAACAAGCTTATGAAATCCTTTTCTATTCTCTGGACAAACAGGTTTAGCACTGGAATTATCTATTTGTATATTTGGATAGAAATTTCTATTAAGACCTGTGGGCCTATTGTTTTCCTTGTGGGAAGATTTTTATTCCCTCCCCCGAAGTCAGGGCCTTACTCTGTCACCCAGGCTGGAGGGCAGTGGCACAATCACGGCTTACTTCAGCCTCCATCTCCCAGGCTCACGTGACCTCCCACCTCAGCCTCGCATGTAGCTGGGACTACAGCACACGCCACCATGCCCGTCTAATTTTTATATTTTTTATAGAGATGGGTTTTCACCATGTTGCTCAGGCTGGTCTTGAGCTCCTGGGCTCAAACTATCCACCTTCTTCATCCCAAAGTGCTGGAATTGCAGGCATGAGCCACTGGGCCCAGCCTAGTGCTGTCCTTTTAAGTTATATTTTTATTTTGTTAATTCTTGTCAACGTTATTTCTCATGTATGTTACACTTTTTATTGTGAGTTCATATTCTTTGAAATTTTACATGTGAGAATTCTGACCTGGGTTGAGAGTGAGGTGACTTTCAACTGGGAGGAATTAGCTTTGCTTCTGCCGGGTACTTGGAACACTGCTCCCTAAGACTTAACAATATTCTGACTTTCTGGCTTGTTGGCTCATACAGATAGTATGAATTGCAGCCACAAATCTAATGAGGTTGAGTTGTGGCTTTGAATTGTTAGGCGAGATATTCCTCCTCTTTTCTACTATTCACCCCCTACCCAGAGTTAAGACATTTTTATTTGCTTTGAGTTGTGAGGTTTAAAAAAAAATTTTTATCTGCCATACTGTTAGAAACAGAAATTGAGAAGTTGAATTTTCATGAGATCT
Source organism: Homo sapiens (assembly GCF_000001405.40). Classification (NCBI taxonomy): domain Eukaryota; kingdom Metazoa; phylum Chordata; class Mammalia; order Primates; family Hominidae; genus Homo; species Homo sapiens. The sequence goes on along the minus strand of NC_000005.10, from coordinate 109,394,798 downwards.
TGTTTTATATATGTGTTTCTTATTCTCTAATGTTTATCTGTGTGGTTAGAAGAAGGATCTCATGTCCTAGGTTTCCCAGGATAATTCCACTTCACACCTTATATTTTTGTCTAATAATTAATTGCATGTTTTTGCATTCTGAAGTGTCTTAGACAGCCTAGTTTTCAGTGGTCCATAAAAACCTGTTGCTAACACAGTGATTAAACATTTTTCTGCCAATTACAAAAGGAGCACAAGTGTGTGAAAGAAAAGTTGGAAAACAAAAAATGGAAGGCATAAAAATCACTCACAGACCCAAAATGAAATACAACTTTAACACTTGAATATATTTTCTTCCAGTGACTATTTAAAGCTTTTTATTGCACTGTGCTTATAAAAATGGGTGTAACTTCAGTAAATTAGCACAGGCTGAAGTCAATATAAACACCAGCCAAGTCGAGAACTAGCATGTGGCTGGGCATGGCGGCTCACACCTGTAATCCCAGCACTTTGAGAGGCGGAGGCGGGTGGATCACTTAAGGTCAGGAGTTTGAGATCAGCCTGGCCAACATGGTGAAACCCCATCTCTACTAAAAATACAAAAATTATCCAGGCATGGTGGCGGGTACCTATAATCCCAGCTACTCGGGAGGCTGAGGCAGGAGATTTGCTTAAACCCAGGAGGCGGATGTTGCAGTGAGCCAAGATTGCGCTACTGCACACCAGCTTGGGCAACAGAGTAAGACTCTGTCTCCAAAAAAAAAAAAAAAAAAAAAAAAAGAGAATTAGAATGTTACTAGCACATCCTTCTGCTATAATACCTTATTCTTTTTGTCTTCAGCATTTTGTCATCCTCCTCTCCAGAAAAGGTGATTATTCTCTCTTGGTATGTAACACCACAGATTAATTTTGCTTGTTTTTGAACTTTTATAAAAATGGAACATACAGCATGAATTTTTTTGTATTTGGCTGTTTTTCATTTCATTCATTTTTGTGAGATCCATTTGTGTTTGTAATACTCCTGTTGTGGGTAGCTATGGTTCATTTTTGTTGTGTAGTATTCTGCCTACAAATATATTCTGTTATATTCACCCATTTTGCTGTTGAACATTTGGGTTGTTTACAGTTTGGAATTATTATGGACATTGCTTCTATGAACATTTTTTTTAATTTCTTTATTTTTTTAGAGATGGGGTCTGGCTTTGTTGCCCAGGCCAGAATGCAGTGCTAGGATGATAGCTCACTGCAGCCTCGAACTCCTGGGCTAGGGCAGTCACCCTCAACAGCCTGCCATATAAGTGGGACTGTAGCTGAACATTTTTATATGTCTTGGTATGCATTTGTAAGATGGACTGCTTAACCATATCATATGCATATGTTCAGGTTTACTAGGTGCTTCCAAAAAGTTTTCTGAGATGAATGCAGAGATGTATATTTACAGCTGTAATATGAAAATTGCCTAACATCCAGTTGCTTAACATCCACACCAACATTTGATATGGTTAATATTTTAATTTTTATCTCCGGTGTGTAATGATAACTTGTTCTAATTTATGACTTCAGCCAGTTTATGAAATTGATACCTTTTCATATGTTTCTTAGCCATTTGGGTAACCTTTTCTGGAGTGCGTCTCAGCAGGTTATCACATTTCTTTTGGATTATCTTATTCTTTTTTATATTTAGGAGTATGTTATATATCCTATATGTGAGCACTTTGATACTTGTATGTAATGTACATTTCTTTTCTCATTTGTGGATTTCCTTTTCAGTCTCTGAATGGTATCTTTTTATGAATGGAAATTTTAAATTCCATTTTGCAGTTCATTGGCCCCTTATTTAGGAAATTTTAGTTTTTGTTGCCTGCTTTAAAAAAATCTTTCTTTACTCCAACATTGTAAAGATTTCTCCTTTCTTTGGATTTACTGTTTTGCCTTGTACATTTAGATCTACATTGCTTTTGGAATTGAGTTTTGCATTTTGTGGGAAACAGGCCGGATTTCGTTTCTGCATCAGTATCCAATTAATGTAGTGTGTTCAGTGAAAAAACGTATCTTGTCCCTAGAGCTCTGTAATGTAGCATTGTCATAAGTCAATTGTATGTAATGTGTATCAGTTTCAGGACTCTGTTCCTGTGTTGGTCCTATATGGTACTAGCCACATGTGGCTGTTGAAGATTAAAATTAATATAGGCTTGAACACTGCAGAATTTCATCATCACATAAAGTTCTATTGTTTGACACTTTTTTTTTTTTTTTTTTGAGATGGAGTCTTGCTCTGTTGCCCAGGCTGGAGTGCATTGGGGCAGTCTTGGCTCACTGCAACCTCCACCTCCTGGGTTCAAGTGATTCTCCTGCCTCAGCCTCCCGAGTAGCTGGGACTACAGGTGTGCACCACCATGCGCGGCAAATTTTTGTATTTTTAGTAGAGACAGGGTTTCACCATATTGGCCAGGCTGGTCTCCACCTCCTGGCCTCCAGTGATCCACCCGCCTCGGCTTCCCAAACTGCTGAGATTTCAGGCAAGAGCCACCATGCCCGGTCTGTTTGACACTTTTTCTATCCTATTCCATTGATACATTTGTCTGCCTATTCCCTAACAAGCCTCTTATTATCATAAGTTTTTAAGGTTTGTCTTCTGAAAGAGTTACCTCTTTGTACCTTGTTCTTTTTAGTGATAACTTTGGTTATTCTTGGCCATTTACACTCCTATTTACATTTTAGAATCACCTTGTCAATTTTCCCCCAAAAAAATGCCTGCTGGGATTTTATTAGGATTACATTTAACCCATAGATTATTTAAGGAGAATTGAAATTCATAAAACTGAATCTTCCAAGCCAATGAGTATGGGATTTTTCTTCACGTAGTTATGTCTTCTAAAATTTCTGTGAGTAATATTCTGCATCTTTCATTGGGTTTCTTTCTAGGGATTTGATGTTTATAGTTGCTCTTGTAAACGATATCCTTTCAAGGTAATATTAGTAATAAATTTAGTTTTCTTGCTATGTGTTGGAATGTGATAATACATTTTTATATTGACTTTGTATCTGTCAACCATCTAAAAGTTATCACTATAGAACTTTACTTGTAGGTACTTTCTTCCTTTTTTTTCATATATAATCATGTTATCTGTGAATAATGAGATTTTTCTTTCCTTTCCAATTCTTAAACTTTTTATTTTCTCTCATTTTTAATTCACTGACAAGCACACTCACTTGGTAGGTGTTTGAGTATATGTATTCAGCTCAGATGACATGGACTTCTTAATGGAAACTGTGGAAGCCAGGAAACAATAGGGGTACATCTTTATAGTGCTCCAAAAAAGAAAAAAAAAAGGTGTCTAATGTAGAATACTATTCTCATTTGAATATCCTTCAAAAACAAAGACAATTTTAGACAGACAGAAGCAGAGAGGGAAGTTGTCACCAGCAGACTCATAACAAACATTAAAATATGTTATTTAGGCTAAAGGAACATCAGACAGATGGAGGCATGGAAATGGAATAAGTAGACATTTTCAGAAAGGGATATTGAAGATTATTGGGTGTTTGAAACAGTCTTGATAATGTTTGGTGGGGCTTACATGTAGGGTGAGCTATATGAAGATAACAACCATGGACATGGAGGAGTTAAACTGTTATGTGAGTTTCTTTCATTTTTTGGGGACCTGGTAAAAGAACTACAGACAGTGCTCAACTGGTTTCGTTTATGATTTTTCAACTTTACAATGGGTTTAGTAGGGTCTTTAATGCATTTTCAACTTAATAATATTTTCATTTTACAGTGGATTTGTCAGGGCGTAACCCCATTTTAAGTCCAGGAGCATCTGTAGTTTGAAGTAGACAGTAAGAGTGTAGGTTACACTTTGATATAAGGACAAGCTGAAATGGACTTGCCCAAACATAAACCAAAACCAGACTTCTGTGATGTTAAGACAATCTACTTGCAATATAATTGCCTGCCAAAAGAAAACTTAAAATACTCATTAGAGAAAGGTAAGTTATTTAGAGCTTCTAGGAAATATCATCCAGCATACATCAAGGATACATTTTGTAATTTCTAGGAAAACCACTAAGATAATGATATTTTAAAGGATGTATCAAAAAAGCTAGCAGATGAAATGGAATAATAAAAAAAAATTACCAAGGAATTCAAGAACGGAGGAATAAAGGAACAAAGGACAGGTGAGATGATTGAAAATAATAGCAAGATGGTAGATTTAAACCAGACTACATTGGTAATTATGTTAAATGTGAATGGATTAAATATTCTAACAAAAAGAGAAAGATTATCAGACATTATATATAAGTGAGTAAGACCTACCTATATTCTATTTATAAGAAAAGCACTTTACAAGTAAAGGCACAGGTAAAATGAAAAGATGGAATCAGTATTGTTGCAAATACCAAAAGAAAGCTGATGTGGCTATATTAATACCAGACAAAATAGATTTAAGGAGAGAAGTGTTATGAGAGATAAGAGAAAAAAAAATCATGATGAGTGGGCCAATTTATCAAGAAGACATAATTCTAAATATGTTTTCACATAGTAACACAGCTTCCAAATATGTAAGACAGAAGCTAAAATAGCTAAAAAGAAAGGTAGATCTGTATTCCTAGCTGGAGATTTTAAATACATTCAAAGTAACTGGTAGAACAATAAGATTTAAAAAAGTTTTAGTAAAGGAATAAGAAATTTGAATGGTATGATTAATCAACTTAACCTAATTGACATTTATAGAACATTATATTCAACAACTGAAGGCTTTACATTATTTTTAAGTGCATATGGGACATGTGCAAAAATATTCTGGGTCATAAAGTAGTATCATTAATCTTCAAAGAATTTAAATCATACAATGCATGTTTTCTGATCACTATAGAATTATATTACAACCCAATAACAAAAAAAAAAAAATAGACTGCAAATATTTGGAAATTAAGCAAGACACTTCTGAGTAGCCTGTGGATGAAAAACAAAGTCACTGTGGAAATTAGAAAACATTTTAATCTGAAAAATAATAAAAATAATACGTATCAGAACTTTTGGAATACAGCTGAAGCAATGCTTAGAGGTAACTTTATGCTTTAGATGTATAAATTAGTAAAGAACAAAGGTTTACAATCAGTAGTCTAAGCTCCTATCTCAAGGGAGCAATGAATTAAACCCAAGGAAGTAGAAAGAAGGAAATAGTATAAAAGTAGAAATCAATGAAACAGGAAAGTTTTACAGTCAGTTAGTTAAGAAAACTTTTAAAAAATGAAAACCTGTAATGACCTGATTAAGAAAAATGAGAGAAAACACAAATTACTAGTAACAGGGATGAAAAAAAGAGACTTCACTACAGATCCTCTCTATATTAAATTGTTAATGAAAGGGAATTATGTACAACTTGATAATACATTTGACAACTTGAATGAAAGGTCATAATCCCTGAAAAACACAGTTTAGTCAGCTGACATATAAAGAAATAGAAAATCTGAGTTGTTCTGTGTCTATTAAGGTAGTTGAATTTATCAAAAACCTTTCCACAAAGAAAATCCTAGACCTGATGGCTTCACTGACAAATCTGCCTTACATTTAAGTAAGATATAATCCTGGGTTTACACAGACTCTTCTAGAGAACAAGAAGAAGATAGAAAGATTTATTTGCATATTTTATGACTTTAGTATAATCTTGATAGGAAAACCTGACAAAAGCATGACGAGACTATTTTAAGCCAATATTTCTCATGAACATAGGTAAAAGAATAATCCAGTGAGATATAAAAGGGTTAATGTATTGTGACCAACATGGATTTGTTTGGGGAATGTAAAATAGCTTTCTAATAACATTTGTCATAGTTTGTCATAAATGCATTTTGTCATAAAGTTTGTAGTTCTTAATTTATATCTCAGTTGTGATAATAGGTGTAAATTATCAAAATTCCGTGTGTCTAAGGAATTCATTCACTAAAAGGAAATGCAGGGTAAGTTAATTATACAAGACTGATTTAAGAGGAATTTTAAATGTTTTTAGGGCATTTTGGAGGCATATATGTAAATATAAATATGAGAGAATAAAAAATATTCTAATGGACTTGGAAGAGTAACCAAGACTTTTCCTTCAAGTAAGGATCAAATTGTATTTGATTCTCAACCTTTTTTTTCTAGAAAAGATACTTTAAAAGTGAGTTATTTCTGGCTCCCAGCAGATGAGTCATAAGGGTGTAGATCCACGCTATCAGTTGAAACCCTTCTTCTGGAAGTTTAGCTGATTTTTGTCTCCCTGTGCCTAAATCTTCATTTTAATTTACATTGTTTGTATTTGTTACCTGTTGCAGGATAAGAGAGTAGAGTAACTTGTTGTCCTGCAGTGGACATAGCAACTCAGACATTTATCATCACATAGTCCCAGTGGGTTCGAAATTCAGGAGCAGCCTGGTTGCTGATTTTGGTTCAAGTCTCTCAAGAGGTTGCAGTCAAATGTAGGCTGGGACTGCAGTCATCTGAAGGGTAATGCACTAGGGCATTACCCTTTCCAGGTTGCTCATCCATGTGGCTGTTGCCGGAAGACCTTAGTTTTTGTGGATTTTGTCAGGAACGGTCAGTATTTCACCATGTGGGCTTTCTGTGGGTCTACTTGAGTGATATCATGATGTGGCAGCTGGTTTCTTCCAGAAAGAGTGAGCAGAGAAATTAAGGAAGCCACAATCCTTTTATTACCCTATTCTTGCACATCACACACAGTCACATCCATCACACTGTCTTCATTAGAAACAAGTCACAAGAGAGGGCTCTAATACTGAGAGCAGTTTATTAACTTGCCTAAATGAAGTTTGAATCCATGTGTGCCCAAATACTTAGCCCTCTTTTTCCATTATGTGACCACATTTCCATCAGAGAAAGGAGCACAGAATTATCTCATTCATTCATTCGTTTGTTCAGTAACTGTTTAAATATACTGTCAGACAATGTACTAGACAAAGTGTATGTAAATAAAAAATAAACAGGCCTTTGTCTTTAAATTCACTAGTTTACTGTGAGAAGTGTACCTTACATGTCCATGTTCTTCCTTGCATTCTTTAAAGATGATTCCTATTGTCTGTCCAGATCTGTTGGCATAATATCCTGGTTGAAATGATAAAGTGATTACTTCTAGGTTAATAATTCAGAGATCCAGAAATTAATACGTCCTTGATTGAGTCCTTTAATTCTTAGCAACACGTTTATATATTTGTTTTAGTATTAGTAAGAAGTATGTAAAAACCCCGAATTGTTTGAAGTGACTAATTGTCACAAGTAGAGAGCAGTCTGTTATAAACATGTTAGGTGAATAGTACCTGGAGGAAACAACTAATCAGCAAAGGAAATGTCTATTTAGAGAAAAACTAGGTGTTCCCAATTTACCTTAGCTACAAATTTGGACTGATTAATCATTTTAATCTTGACCCTAGCTATGGTCTTTATTCCCTACTTATCTCTTCCCTGTTTTGCTTTTTTTCTTATTTTTTATACTTAGAGATAGAAAGTGGTAGACGGAATATAGAGGTCTCGGATTAAGTAGAAATAATTAGTATCTACAGAGAGATTCTAGTCTATATTCATAACACAAGAACTACTATTAAATAATAATCACAGAATAAGAAAGTATGAGAAATTAAAAAGATTGTTACAGAGAGTAATGACAGGCTAAGAGAATAAGGAAAGGCTAAGGGAAAGAAGTAAAAATGAGTGAAATCTCCCAGTCTGTAGAGTGAAAATATGAAAGAAAAGTTTAGAGACAAATGATTAACCCATTTGGGCCAAATAAAGAAAAAGTAGTGAGGAAAAAGATGTATTTGAGACGTGTACAAGAGTCTCTAAATTAAAATAGCTCTTCCAGTGCTGTGTAGGAAAAATTTAAACATGGCCTGCCCCAAACAAGTCTTTGTGAAATTATAGAATACCAGCTATTTAGATAGACCCTAAATATTCCAGACAGAAAAATTTGGTGTTTCTACAAAATGAGGATAAATAGGTAGACAGGTAGGACACAGTGCCTTTCAGAGTTTAGAAAAAATGATTTTGTCTTGAACTGTACTAAAGTATGAGGGAGATAGTATTTTCAGATGTCCAAGGACTCAGTGTTTGCCTCCAACATATACTTGTTGAAACCATTATTTGAGGATCTTCCAGTAAAGGGAAAAAAAAAATGATAAAAACATGGAATTCAAAGTAGGGTACTTAACCTGAGCGGGTAGTACAATCAAAAGATTTCCACAGAAGTAGCTGATTAATAGCCCTTGAAAACACGTAGACTAAATTTAGATCAGGATGTTAGACGGCTCCGAAGAGTATCTTTAAGAAGAAAAGTGGAATCACATTAAAGAAAAGTTTAAGAAACAGGGTGATTTCCATGATTTCTGTACTGTTTCCAATTCCTTTCCTCTCTTTAGTAGCATTCCTATCAGGCATTTGCACCAACCATGCTACCAAAGGTGCCGCCATTCGCCATTATCCTCCATGTTGCTAAGTGGTCAGTGATAGGCCTTCATCATACTTTAACTTTTGGCACGATCAGTTCTGCCTAAAACACTTTCTTCACTTGGTGTTCACACTTCAGTATTTTTCTTTTCTCTCACTGCCCTCTGTTGTTTTTTCTGCTATAGGTTAAGCATCCCTAATTCAAAAATTTAACATTTGAAAAATGTTCCAAAATCTGAAACTTTTTTTTTTTTTTGAGACAGAGTCTCACTGACCTCAGGTGATTGCTTGCCTTGGCCTTCCAAAGTGCTGGGATTACAGGTGTGAGCAACTGCACCTGGCCCCAAAATCTGAAACATTTTTACTGCCAATATGGCACCATAATTTTAACATTCCACACATCAGTACTTAACAGAAGCTTTATTTCATGCACACAATTATTAAAAGTATTGTATAAAATTACTTTCAGACTGTGTGTGTAAGATGTGTAGGAAACAAGTGAATTTTCTGTTTAGACTTGGATGTCATCCCCACGATATCTCATTATGTATATGCAAATATTCAAAGATTTGAAAAAATCCCAAATCCGCACTTCTGGTTCCAAGCATTTTGGAAAAGGGATACTCAATCTCTGCTTCTTTTTCCCTGGCCTCTTCATATTTGATTTTCTCAGGGCTTAACTTCACTTCTCCATGTACACCTAGAGATCTCATCCAAGTTCATACCTGTTTTGGTATAATCTATACACTGACAACTCCCAAATTATACTAACAGCTCATAATTCTTCAGTCAACACCAGACTCCTATTTAATATTTCCATTTGAATGTCTAATAGATATCTCAAACTTAACTCATCCAAAACTGAACTGAATATATTTTCTTCAAATCTGGCTCTTCCACAATTTTTCCTACATTAATTGAAATTTACTCCATTTTTCCCATTGCCCAGCCTGTAAAACCTGGAGTCAACCTCGACCTTCTTTCATATCCTATATTAGTAAATTTTGTTGATTGTATTTTTACAATATGTCCAGAATCTGGTCATTTCTTACCATCTTTATTTTAACCCTGGTCCAAACCACTATGATCTCTTACCAGTATTATTTTGATAGCTTTTTAACAGTGCTCCCTGCTTTAGACCTCATTCCTCTTCATGCTATTCAATACAGTAGCCAGAGCATTCTTCTTAAAACAGAAGTCAAATATCTCTTCTGTGGTCAGAACTTTGATGGTTTTCCATCTCAGAATAAAACGCACATTTCAGCCAGGCACTGTGGCTCATGCCTGTAATCCCAGCACTTTGGGTGGCCAAGGCAGGTGGATCACGTGGTCAGGAGTTTGAGACCAGCCTGACCAATATGGTGAAACCCTGTCTCTACTAAAAATACAAAAATTAGCCGGGCATGGTGGCACACGCCTACAGTCCCAGCTACTGGGAGGCTGAGGCAGGAGAATCACTTGAACCCGTGAGGTGGAAGTTGCAGTGAGCCGAGATCAAGCCCCTGCACTCCAGCCTGGGCGACAGAGCAAGACTCGCCCTCAAAAAAAAAAAAGTTAAAACACTGTTAATTAGCACCTATGTTTTTGCCAGTATGTTAAGATTATTATTATTTTTATATTCCTTTTCTCTTTAGCTGTTGCTAACAGCCTCTTTTGATTCAGATACTTTAAAGGATCATAACTTGTTACTGAATTTATAAATTATATGGGTGAATGTGGGTTTGTACTCTTACGTATGTTAATATATATCTGTCTGTGATTAGACAGGTAACATATAAATTAAACTCATTTGCAGAGCTATTGCATTAATGATGAGCAATTAGCAGTAGCTCAAGTGTTTAAATAAATAAGGTGTTTAAATAAAAACTTAACCAAACTTTCAAAAAAACCACAGGTTGCAACTTCTCAAATAGTACTTTTCAAATAGTAAATAAATGCATTAATTTCAAAACAGAAGTTCTTTTTGTATTTGTTCCATGATAAATTGTAGTTTTTCCTGATTGAAAATAGGTTCTTATTTGGGATTAAATTATCTGATCAACTGACTATTGCAAAGAATAAATACATCATTATTTACACACATTAATTATTGTTATAAGCCATTACACATTTTTAAAAAATGAAGTTTGTATTCTTACAGTTACCTTTTAGCAATTCCAGGGCTAAAGGAACTTTACTGCTTGACAGAGAAGCAATGATAGCACAGTGTAGTAGACTCCCAAATAGTTTGGTTACATACCTGAGTCAGTACTTCTGATATTTTTGTTTGTTTACTTACAAATTATGTATGTGTTGTTGTCATTGACAGTCTTAAGGATGATATATACTTAGGCAAGGTTTATCAAGAGCAGATGTAAATCTGTATTTCACATAGCCATTTTGGTATTTCTGAGAGTTTTTGATTGGCTTGTCAAATTGTGTTGTATTTTTCTTGTTTTTATTTATTTTTGGGACGGGATCTCACTTTGTCACCCAGGCCTGGAGTGCAGTGGCATGATCTCGGCTCACTGCAGCCTCCACCTCCTGGGCTCAAGCAATCCTCCCACCACAGCCTCCTGAGGGACTAGAGGTGTGCACCACCACGCCTGGCTAATTTTTGTATTTCTTGCAGAGACAGACTTTCACCATGTTGGCCAGGTTGTTCTCGAATTCCTGAGCTCAAACTGATTTGCTCGCCTTGGCCTGCCAAAGTGCTGTAATCTAAGGCGGATCACAGGCATTTGCCACCATGCTGGCTACATCACATTGTATTTTTCTAAGTTTTATTATAAGACTTCACTAGGAGGAGCAGAAGTATCAGTTTTGCTATTTTTGTGCTTTTATTAATATATTGTTCAATTCATTGTTTCTTTGTAGGAATCTTCTGCGGCTTGTCCATAGTGTGAATAAAAACTAAATCACATCTATAATTCTACTGAACTGGTCACACAGACGCTGCCATATATGTCACAGTACACTGAAAAGGAGCCAGCAGGTAAGGAAAGTCAGTTCTTCTACATTGAGTACTTCTTGTTTTTTCCTCTGGGTACCTTGAGTACCAGTAAGTGACATATGATCATCTGACCTGTGGTCTTACTAAAAGGCTGGTTTTGATCCATATATTGAATATTTGTAAAGCTTAGTTTCTAATTTTTGATAGGTAAAAATAGAAATTCTGGTATTTTCTTTCCATACCCATTTAGCTTGGAAAGCTTTATGCTTTCCACTTCGGAGACTATTCTTTTGGTAGAATTGTTAAGGGCATTGGTTCTGGAGTCATACTTTTGGATTATTAGACAAGTTATCCAACACTTAATTTTAACTTTAATTTTTCAATTTTTAAAATAGAATACAATATCCACCTCAAGATTACTGATGGGATTAAATAAGTGTAACACTTGATATTATTTATACTCGATATGTGCGTGTATTATAAATACATGTTTGTTTCTGTTTCCTTCTTGGAAGTGATTATATTTCTTATTTTAATACAACTAAGAAATTATGTAACTGTTTCATTCATTCATTTATTCATTTTTTTTTTTTTTTTGAGATGGAGTTTCGAACTGTCACCCAAGCTGGAGTGCAGTGGCACAGTCTTGGCTCACTGCAACCTCCGCCTCCTGGGTTCAAGTGATTCTCATGCCTCAGCTTCCTGAGTAGCTGGAATTATGGGCATGTGCCACCACGTCTGGCTAATTTTTGTATTTTTAGTAGAGACGGGGTTTCGCCATGTTGGCTAGGCTGATCTCGAACTCCTGGCCTCAAGTGATCCGACTGCCTCATCCTCCCAAAGTACCGGGATTACAGGCATGAGCCACCATGCCCAGCAACTGTTGCATTTATTGACTATACCATATGCTGTGAGAAAATATTTTGTTTAGTTGCTGTGTAGTACATGTAATGTATAATTGACTAAGCAGACTTACACTTAATATATATATGTGTGTGTATAATAATGTACTACTTAGTGAAAGTTGCTGCTGTTTACTACTGTATACCCCTCAGTCAACAAAACTTAATTGTCAAGTCATGTAAATGTTGATGGCTTTTCTTACCATAACATATACCATTTATTGGTAGTTTTGAAGGCAGGGTAGTATGTGTTTGACCTGGCTCATTGCTGTTTTCTTTTGGATAGTTTTATCTGACGTTAATCTTTGGAACATATTTATTGTGATCTAGTTGATTCTTCATGGTACAGATACCATTTAAAGAGGTTACTTGTTATCTTTGACATAAATGTTTTCATTCTTAAAGTAATTGAAACCATCATATCATAATGCTAGTAATTGATTCATCAAATATGTATTGAGCACTTATATTAATATAATATATAAGGTACTTAATTTGGAAGATCTCCCATAAAGAGCTTTGGCAGTATAATAATTTGGCATATGAAAAATATTTTTTGATAGGTTTCATTATAAAAATCTGAAATACCTTAAAGAAACCAAATTTTAAAACATATTTTTTGAAGGGAAAAGGCCACTAACTCTTATTATATAGTACTTCATATTTAATTTTCTAGTGTGTGAAGAATAATGTTTTATAGTACTAGTAAGGTACACTTCATGTTCAGAAGCATATGATTTGATAAATAATAAAATATAAACTGAAGTAGTTTTCCCCAACAGGTTGCAAGAATAAAGCTCATTGCTGTTCCTGTTTTAATTTTTTAACTTTTTTTTCAGCAATGGACCAAGAATCTGGTAAGGCTGTCTGGCCCAAACCAGCAGGAGGGTATCAGACAATTACAGGCAGGAGATATGGAAGAAGACATGCTTATGTCAGTTTTAAACCATGTATGACCAGACATGAAAGAAGCTTAGGTCGGGCTGGTGATGACTATGAAGTGTTGGAACTAGATGATGTTCCAAAGGAAAATTCCTCAGGTGTGTAACATTTAATTATTTAAAGGTTATTAATAGTTATATAGGAATTGATCTTATAATTAAATTTTTGGGTGGGTATTATGCATGTCTGTGAGTGTAAATGCAGCACACTTCCTATCAAGAAATTCTATTTTGAAATTCTTATTGAATTTAATATTAATGGTGTATATATTTAAACATTGTAGAAGAAAATAGAATACAGCCAATCATTAAAATATAACCACACTCTCATAGTAGTGATTACGTTGTCATAACCTCCAGCCAAAGGAAATCATCTTTGAATCAAAAAGATATATTTTGAAATTTTTAAAAATGTGGATCAAGTAGAGATATTTTTTCCCTGCATATAATATTTAAATAACTTTTCTTCTTCTTCTTTTTTTTTTTTTGAGATGGAGTCACGTTCTGTTGCCCAGGATGGACTGCAGTAGTGCATCTTGGCTGACTGCAACCTCCATCTCCCAGGTTCAAACAATTCTTGTGCCTCAGCCTCCTTAGTAGCTGGGATTACAGGTGTTTGTCACTGCACCCAGCTAATTTTTGTATTTTTAGTAGAGACAGGGTTTCACCACGTTGGCCAGGCTGATCTCAAACTCCTGACCTCTCAAGTGATCCACCTGTCTTGGCTGGCTTCCCAAAGTGCTGGGATTACAGGTGTGAGTCACCATGCCTGGCGTTCTTTTTTTTTTTTTTTTTTTGAGATGGAATCTTACTTTGTCATCCAGGCTGGTGTGCAGTGACGTGATCTGGGCTCCCTGCAGCCTCCACCTCCTGGGTTCAAGTGGTTCTCCTGCCTCAGCCTCCCAAGTAGCTGGGACTACAGGCATGCGCCTCCACGCCTAATTTTTGTATTTTTTGGTAGAGATGGGGTTTTGCCATGTTGCCCAGGCTGGTCTCGAACTCCTGACCTCAAGTGGTCCGTCCAACTCAGCCTCCCAAAGTGCTGGGATTACAGACATGGGCCATTGTGCCCGGCCAACTTTTCTTCTTTTAATTTTATCCTAAATTTAACTTGGCTTGTTTATTTTTTCATCATTTTACAAAATCCAAAGGACAAGGAAGGCTTATTCAATTAAAATTTCTTAGTTATTCAATGGTTTTGAAAAAGTATTTTGCAGCTATCCATGTACCATAATTGCACATTTTTGGACTGGATTTGTCTTCTTCCTCTTGTTCTAAGCAAACTTGACAAGACATTTCTAGATTATTTTTGCTGTCATATGTAAGAATCTGAATTACTAGCTAGGGTCATCCCATTGAAGAACCCTTCGTTCCCAGCTACTTGGGAGGCTGAGGCAGGAGAATGGTGTGAACCTGGGAGGCGGAGCTTGCAGTGAGCCGAGATCATGCCACTGCACTCCAGCCTGGGCCACAGAGCAAGACTCCGTCTCAAAAAAAAAAAAAAAAAAAAAAAAAGAACCCTTCGTACCATATATCAAAGAACCCTTCGTACCATATATCATGGCCGAACTTCAGTTATTTTACAATTCATGAATTTTTATTCCAGCAAATCTCAAATGTCTTCATTTTTTTTATTAGTGGTGATGCAAGATAGTTATGCTTAAAGTAATTTATAGATATGATTTTACTCATGTTTCAGAATTCTCACAATTATGACAAGAATCAACATATTGATCTCTTTGTTGTTTTTCAGTCATAACTATAACACATCTAAAGTAAACTTATTACAAATGTATTACAACAATTCAATTTATAATCTGTCGAGATACTGAGATATAATTTTGTGAATTGCCAACAAAACACAATAGGGTCTAATTTCTCTTAAATCTGTAACTATAGTTATTATATCTGTCATAAGTACTTTTGAAGGTTTTTTGTTTTGTTGTTGTTTTTACCTGCATATAATAAAGAAGGTAAGTTTGGAAATCACTGGGAAGCAGATTGGTTACCCTAGACTCCACTTACGAGAGGCTTCCCATTGTATAACCTCTCAAGAGCTTCTCCTTTATATGTCTTGCAGAAGGCATTAGATATTAGGATTTAGATAGAAAACTGCCAAAGCCATGTGAGGGAGATGATAGTGAAAGGCTGTACATTGACATAAATGAACTCATAGAGTAATCAGTCTGCATTCTCAGTTAAGGAGCATAGAAGTGCTTGGTAAATAAATTTACTCATGTATTCAAGTAGTAATAATTGGTATGATTTCCACTTAAGTGATAGTTATTACATAAAATTTTATCTAAGTTAATCCTTTAAAATATGTTTTCTTTTGTTTTTTATGAAGGTTCCAGTCCTTTGGATCAAGTTGATTCTTCTTTACCCAGTGAACCTATATTTGAAAAAAGTGAAACAGAAATTCCCACTTGTGGTTCAGCATTGAATCAAACCACTGAGAGCAGTCAATCCTTTGTTGCAGTACATCACAGTGAGGAAGGCAGGGATACCTTAGGAAGCAGTACAAATCTTCATAATCACTCTGAGGGAGAGTATATTCCAGGAGCTTGTAGTGCTTCAAGTGTCCAAAATGGAATTGCATTGGTTCATACAGACTCTTATGATCCAGATGGCAAACATGGAGAAGATAATGACCATCTTCAACTTTCTGCAGAAGTCGTGGAAGGTAGTAGATACCAGGAATCATTAGGCAATACAGTATTTGAGTTGGAAAACAGAGAGGCAGAGGCATACACTGGTCTTTCACCACCAGTTCCCTCATTTAACTGTGAAGTAAGAGATGAGTTTGAAGAGTTAGATTCTGTACCATTAGTGAAAAGTTCTGCTGGTGATACTGAGTTTGTCCATCAGAATAGCCAGGAAATTCAGAGGTCTTCTCAAGATGAAATGGTTAGTACGAAACAACAAAATAATACTAGCCAGGAAAGACAGACAGAACATTCACCTGAAGATGCAGCCTGTGGTCCAGGGCATATTTGTAGTGAACAAAATACCAATGATAGGGAAAAGAACCATGGAAGTTCTCCTGAACAGGTAGTGAGGCCAAAAGTTAGAAAACTGATAAGTTCAAGCCAGGTGGACCAAGAAACAGGTTTTAATAGGCATGAGGCGAAACAAAGAAGTGTTCAAAGATGGAGAGAGGCTTTGGAAGTTGAGGAAAGTGGCTCAGATGACCTCTTAATAAAATGTGAAGAATATGATGGAGAGCATGACTGTATGTTCTTGGATCCACCATACTCAAGAGTTATTACACAAAGGGAAACAGAAAATAACCAAATGACATCAGAAAGTGGAGCCACAGCAGGAAGGCAAGAGGTGGATAACACCTTTTGGAATGGCTGTGGAGATTATTACCAACTCTATGACAAAGATGAAGATAGGTAAGGTCACATCCAGTACTTTTTCCGATTGTGTAGTAAATGAAGTGGTTTCTTTCTAGAACCATGTTTGATGGCTGGGCTATTTGATATGATCAGGGAATTAGACATTTTGACTTACCAAATATTTTTATTTACTGAATGCTAACCATACATGCAAACTACTCATTAGAATTTTTCACAAAAAAATGTTTTTGAGGTTTTTAGTAGTTTACAGAAGTAAGTTCAGATAATGATTATTATTATAAAGGGATAGAGATGCTAGTTCATGGTATTTCAATTAATAAAATGTAAAATAAACATTTGTTGTATTTTTTAAAAACCTACATTAAGCCAGTCTGGGTTTAAAAAGTGATTAATATCACAAATTATTGATTGGTAATACTTCATTAACATTGCCAGTAGTGACTAATATCACTTGTTTCCCTCTTTATCTGTTCTTCCTGTGGCTCTTCCTATCACTAAGTTTATTTTTTACTTATTTTTTCTTAGCATTCAATTCTCATTAACAACTCTGTGTGGTAGATTCCATTATTTCCCTCATTTGTAAATAAGGAAACTGAGGCACAGAGCATTATATAACTTCCTAAGGTCACAGAGCAACTTAATGGTAGAGCTGGACTTTGAGTACCTAACTGGGTATTCCAGAGACTGTTCACCACTATTCTTTGCTATTTTCAACAGAACATAAAACTTATAATAAGCATTCTGATTGCTCTTACAAACCCGTATCTTTTTTTTCCAAACCATAAGACAACAGAAAAAGAAAAAAATGGAGAATTTCTTTGTTCAGTTGCTGAATTTCCATTACCCCAGTGTCCAGATTTTCATGAGTCCTTGTAAGCTAGTTGCATCCCTGACAGTGCTCAATTACAGTGCAATTGCAAGATTTTATTAGCTAGTGGAAATAATTGTGTGGTTTTTTTTTAGTTAGAAAGTACTATAAAGGAAGAAATTTACCATTTTGAATATGAATGCATTTTAATTCATGTCATAAAACAATTCATTTGATTTTCTTTGGACATATGAATTAAGCTACTATAATACAGATTGTGTAATTTATTATAGAAAATATTTAAAATATAATTTCTGCTGCTCTGTCAAAGTCTGTAAACTTTAAGGGTTAGTAAGTAATTTTTGTATGATATACTGTTTTTAAGCTAAAGGTAAAGTTTTTTTCAGTTCAAGCCCACAGTGTTTTATTCAGTATCCACACTTCTAAAAACAGAAATTGGCCACAAAGCCTGACCTGATGTTAACTTCCTGGATAAGCAGATCTGGATCTGAATTGAAATGAGGGTATTTTTTCAAATATTTGTATATTTTACTGCAGAAATATAGTTATGTTTGATTACTGTGTGTGGCCTGGACCATGTTGGGGTTTGTTAAGTAGTAGTTCTAAATCTGGGAAATATATATCAAAATTCCAAAACACATTTAGCCCTAAGATTTTGAAATAGATTGCAAGTCTCTAATATTATACCTCTAGGTTACTATTTTTAAAAAAAGACAAAACTTACAGTCTTTGATAATTTATTTTTTTGAAAGTGTAAGGTGCTTGTATTTTTTTTCCCCCAGTTACACTTTTTCTTCTTTAAGGAGAATCATTTAATTTGGCTATACCTTTGTCATTTTGGGCAAAATAAATACTTCTCTTCTGCTTGCTTTTTATAGTCAGTTATAATGTCTTATGATGAAGTTGATGAAATTGTTACATTGTTTGCCAACCCCTAGAGAAAGGTAGTCTTCCTGGCTCCTTGATTTTAAATTGATTTTCTTTGTTTTGGGGGTGGTCAGTGGTGGAAGTGTATTCTTTGCCTTGAAGGACCCTGGACTTTTCATAGTTATAAGGTATTTTCTTAGTTATTTGTAATTCTTATTCTTATTTTTAATTTTTTTCTTAAGTGATGTCAATATTCTGAACAATGATAGTTTTTTTTTTTTTTTTTTACAAACAATATATAGATGGGAAAAAACATTTACAGTTAATAGAAACTGTCCTTTTAAATTGCTAGTAATGTATTGACTACAGAGCCTGTGGTTAGGGTATGCCAAAATGATGGAACTACTTTAGGATCATTGTTTAAGACACATTGAAATGCTTAAAAGTTTCTTGTTTCGTTTTGTTTTAAAGAATCATAGAATAAATTCTAAAGGATAATGGTTCTGCCTAGGACTGTACTTATATTTTTATCCATAGCCTTAAGATATGTTTTACGATCTCAAAGTGTCTGTACAGTTTTCTGTACAGATTATTCTATTTCTGAACAGAAACTCTGTTTCTATGCTGCTGTGTCCTGTTCCTCTACCCTAATTCCCTGCAAAGGATTATAGTTGCCAGGGTGCCTTTTTAATATGGTGCCAGCTAAAGGTTGGAATTTAATAGCTGTACACTCCTATTTAGTTTCATTTTGCCCTTGTTCATCTCCCTGATGTTTCATTGTCATCCTCCCTAGTTCTTGTATTTGTAGATTGGAGAGATGGTGATGCTAGTCTTCTCAGGTTTTGGATGGAAAGTATAAGAGCTGCTGCTTAATTTGGGCCTGTGAACTTTGAGTTTTTTTGTAAAGCTTAAAAAGTTGATATACTTGAAAAGTTTTTTTTTGTCATGCTTATAATAGCCAAAGTAGAACTCATCAAGAATATAACTAAAGTTCATTGTGGCATTTTTATTTTTTTATTTTTTATTTATTTATTTCGAGACAGAGTTTCTCTCTGTTGCCCAGGCTGGAGTGCAGTGGCGTGATCTCGGCTCGCTGCAACCTCTGCCTCCTAGGTTCAAGTGATTCTTCTGCCTCAGCCTTCTGAATAACTGGGACCACAGGCATGCCATCATGCCCAGCTAATTTTTGTATTTTTAGTAGAGATGGGGTTTCACCATGTTGGTCATGCTGGTCTTGAACCTGTGACCTCAAGTGATCC
This sequence comes from Homo sapiens, assembly GCF_000001405.40. Classification (NCBI taxonomy): domain Eukaryota; kingdom Metazoa; phylum Chordata; class Mammalia; order Primates; family Hominidae; genus Homo; species Homo sapiens. Next base: position 109,375,284 of record NC_000005.10, on the reverse strand, counting down.
ACCCGCCTCAGCCTCCCAGAGTGTCAAGATTACAGGCGTGAGCCACTGCACCCGGCCAGCATTTTTAGATATAGGAATTTTGGCTACTTTTTAAAAATATGAATTATATATTCTTTTTAAGTAGAAAAGTATTTTAATGAATTCATGATTGCCTTCTTCCCTGAAAAATTCTAAATGATCATTTAATCACATCTGAAATGTTACACTCTGTGGGATAAACATTGCAGCCAGTAGCATTGCTCTGAGCTGTTTGACAGGTACTGAGCACCACCTTATTAAATTAGGATTCCAAGGGGAATTTTAATAGGCAGCATATAATTACCAGACTTAGAATTAGACCAAAGAGCTAAGGTTAATACCCTGCTCTTTTGAAATATACCCTGAGAAGTTTAGTAACTGTTTGAGGACAAGATCTTGAGTTTAAAAAAAACCTTTCAGCAATACTAGCATATCTTAACCTTGGGCCTAACTGCTCTGAAGAGAGGCATGCCATCTACTGTCTGTTCCTTACTTATAGCATTTGAGGTTTCTTGCAGAATTTTTGTGGCCTTAGGACTTAACTTTGCTTAAAATTTAAAAACCTTACTTAAGGTAAAATGTTGGGACAACTTACTTTGTTGATGATGTTGGGAAATAAAATGATTGTTAGCCATTTAGTTGACTTCAATATGATATATTAAAGGATTTGTTGAAATCTTAAGTGCCAGACTTTGTTCCAGGTGCCCTGTTAATACAAATCATAATGGTCCCTGTTCCCACAAGGTTCACTAGCTTTATGAAGAAGACAAAATATACGTATTTATTATTGTGAGGCTGAATTAAGCGCCTTTCCTGTTCCGTGTAGGTTACCTGAGAGCCACAAAGAAAGAGTTTGTCTGAGAACTTGGTACTACCCCCAACAAATAAAACATCTATATGCAGCCAAGGCACAGATCTTAAAGCATATGTGCTGACATTTTAGCAAACCTTTTTATCTTGTTTTCAAGTTCATAGAAGTTTGGAAGGAGCACATTAGGTATAAATGTGTTTGTTCTGCAGATATGCTAGGGAGTTCATGGGATTACAATAACCTGATACTAAGGAAAAAGACCAGAAAGTGACAAAAAGCAGGCACAATGCAAAAATCATAGCCATCTTAATGAAATTAAGCAGACTTATATATTTGGACATAATCCATTCATATCACTGTATTACATTACAGTTCAGTGTTAATAGTGGTAAAAAGTTCCAGAATGTTTAGATTATGTCAGATAACAAAATATTTAAAATTTCACTTTTTCCTAGGCTCCTGTAGTTGAGTTTCTTGTGGCTGTGATAAATGCCAGGAAGAACAAAGTAACAAGTACCTTGGGGAATTATGGAATGAGAGATTACTTTTGGTTGGTTTTATGTTTCCATAGCTTATTTCTGCCTAGGATTTGTACATAAATTTTGTCTATAATTTCATTCTGTATATCAAGTTTTTTTAGTTCACAATTGAATGTGTAGAGTGTAACATTTGAGTAAATTATAGTTGTCTGCTTTTTAAATACAACTCTTAGGTGCTAAAAGGGATCAGTACCAGTGAAGGATCATATGAAGATCAAAGTAGTACTTAATTTAGTTTTTACTTTGAGAACTTTTAAATGTGTCATTCACCCGCTTTTAAAATCTAGAACAAATGGATCTTCACTGTTCCATGATCATTTTTGTGTCCTATTTGTTCTGTTGCTTACTCCTTAAAAAGTGATTTTTAAATCTTTTCCCTTTTTTCCTTCCATGTACTCCTGTCACTCCTAATGGTTAGCTTCGTTTCTTATTTTCCTGTAGAAGTTAAAAATATGTAAATGTGAATTTTCTTATTTTCCTCTTCTCCATATTAGGGGATAGTAGTATTTATTTGTATTTTTAATTTCCTCTTCAATGAAGAGAGGTAGCCCCTCTCATTCTGTGCCTCTAGTTATTTCTGACACTTCATCTAATTGTCCTTACTCACAGGTTGCTTCCCTCTGTCTCTCAACCTTGAGTTTTTCTCAATCTTGAAGAAAACCTTTACTTTTTCTTGCTCTGTTATTTGCCTGTTTGTGTTTTCTTTTCTACTGCTGAATTTTAAGAAAAAGTTTTCCATACCCACTGTCTCTATTCTGTCACTATCCACTCTTCTTACTGCCTTGAAATCTAATTCCTAATATTATTTCTGTATTCTTTTTTATTGAGACAGTCTCGCTTTGTCACCTAGGCTGGAGTGCAGCGGTGCAATCTCAGCTCACTGCAACCTCCACCTCCTGGGTTCAAGCAATTCTCCTGCCTCAGCCTCCTGAGTAGCTGGGACTACAGGTGTGCACCACCATGCCTGGCTAATTTTTTTTTCTTTCTTTCTTTTTTTTTTTTTTTTTTTTTGAGACGGAGTGTTGCTCTAGTTGCCAAGGCTGGAGTGCAATGGTACCATCTTGGCTCACCACAACCTCCACCTCCCAGGTTCAAGCGATTCTCCTGCCTCAGCCTCCTGAGTAGCTGGGATTACAGGCATGCGCCACCACACCCAGCTAATTTTGTATTTTTAGTAGAGACCAGTTTTCTCCATGTTGCTTAGGCTGGTCTCGAGCTCCCGACCTCAGGTGATTCACCTGCCTCAACCTCCCAAAGTGCTGGGATTACAGGCATGAGCCACTGCACCCGGCCCTATATTCTTTAATGTCAGTGGTGACCTCCTGATTTCCACATCCATTTGTCTTTTCTCAGTACCCATTTTCTTTGATTTCTCTGCACTATTATGAAAAATAATTGCAATGTTAAAGAAGCAGCTGTGTTGTAGTGAGCTGCACTGAGTAAACAAGAAGTCTAGTTCATGAAATAATTGAAAAACAAAAGAAGCGATTTTATACAGGAAGGTCTTGAAAGAAATAGAGTCTGATCTGTGTTTGGAAGTGGGGAAAAGGTGAAGTGATTATAAAGATATTCCTGATGGCAAGAATGCCCACTTTGAGGACACTGTTTGAAATAGAGCATTCTTGAGTTGGATGCAAGAAAGTACTGGGATCAGATAGCAGTAAATTATAAGTGTTATTCAAAGACATTTAACTTTTTATTCTATAGGTCACTATTTCCAAAGTGGGTAAAATATATTAAGTGGTACACAATGTTTTTAATTTAATCATTATGTATTTATGTTAATGGAAATTAAGAAAATATAGGTAGCACATCAAATTCAGGACTTAATGGCTATTGCTTATCCTAACTAAATGTATTTGAGTTTAAAAAAATGTTAAAAAAAGACTCGCTAACAGTTATTGATGGCTCATTATTTATCAGGCATTGTGAAAATGTTTTATATATATTAACTCACTTACCCTTTACATGAACCCAGTGAACTATTAAATACTGTTGTTGTATTCACCTGATATGTGAGGCTAAAAAGGCATAGAGAGGTTTTCATAGCTAATAAGTGGTGGGTTTAACTCCAGGCAAGCTGACCAGGACCTGTATTCTCAACTATCGTACCTTAAGACAGAGGGTTAATGTGCAACTGCAGCAAAAATTGTGAGAGTGATAGGCAAATGGCTTGTTTGTGAAACTAAAGCAGTAGCATTAGAAAAAAGAGCTGTTGAAGGTTTTTTGGAGTAATACTATAAACATACTGTTTGATATGTAAATTGAAGTGATGGTAGTATTCAGAATGCATTTTGAGGGAGTGGAATTAAATTTAGGAACACCAATTAATAATTGACTATATAGGTCTAATTTGGAGAAAAGCATTTGAACTAGGGTTTTACATTTTAGGAGAAACGGAGAAAAAGGAGCTAAGACTACAAGAGCCATTGTGCAGAGAAAGAATGGAAAGTAAGAAAGGATTTGAATGTGGGGAGTTTGTGAAGAGTCAAAAAATAAGTGTTTGCAGAATGAGAGCATGGTGATAGCATTAAAAGATAACAAATCAAGATAGGGATTCATCTGACAGATTAATTTTATAATAGAATTTTTGACAAGGAAGGTGAAAAATCTTAAAATGCTTAGAGGGTAGTTAGTGATTGCGAAAGCTTAGTGTGATGGTTGGGGCTGGCTGGGGATATGCATTTAAAAGTTGTCTCCTTAGCATTGAGGGTTAGGTATCATGAGTAATAATGATATAGGCGTGGGGTCTGCAAACCTTTTCTTAAAGGAGCTGATGGTAAATATTTTAGGCTTTGGTGACTAAGAGGCAAAATTAAAGATAAACATGTAAAAACCATTTTTAGCTCACACACCATTAAAAAACAGGCAGCAGAGTCAGGTTTGAACCCAAGCCTGTAGTAGTTTGCCAATCCATAACATAGGCTTCTTGATTATTGATCATAGACATTCCTCTTGTATTGAAGTTTAGAGATATTCCATGAGTTATTTGATTAATATGGAAAAGTGAGGACTTTTTAATGTTATCTCTTTGGACAGGATCATATTCTGAGTGAAAATTTTTTTTTAAAAACTGAGCTTCTCTTTTATATATGTTAAGAATTGCCACAAATTTATATAGAAATCTTACCCTAATTGTTAAAGACATTAAAATAGGAGTTGGTAATTTAGCTTTGAATTTTAGAAGGTTCTTACTCAAGGAAACTTAGGTCAATAAGCTCCTTTAAAACTACTTTCTGTGTTGGATTTTAATACTTATATAAGTCTAGAAATTGTTTATATTAGATTATTCTTTGGGTCACAGAAAATTGTACAGCATACAAGGAACTTTGGCTTAGACCCAGCTGAAAGAACACCTTTTAGTTGCTGTGCCTAGGGTTTATAGCTTTCCTTCTCCGGGATGTTAATGCCCTGCCATCCATTGCTTACTGGAAATTGGCAGTTGATTTTATATCTTTGCTTCTAGTAAACTTCTCAGAGCTTAGATTAGTGCTACTGTTTGTTAATATCATCTTGATCTTTTGAGTGCATCTGTTAATAAAGGAAATCACTAACTGCGTATTGACATAATAATCATCATTAAAAAATGTAATTTCCTACCAATTATCACTTCCTTTCAAAAATGTAAACTAAAATTGTTATTTTTGATTTTCCAAGTCTAGTGAACGTAGAGAGATCTTTGAGGAGATTCTTAACCAAAATGGTTGATATGGTTGGAGGGGGCATTTAAGACTTATTTTCAACATTGATAAGTAATATTTTAGCCTTTGGTAGCATAAGAGGACTAATTCTTTAAAAACTAAGAGTAGTTAATTGTAACCAAGTTGGCTAAATGTAATCAAAAGTAATTTTCTGTGCTGCTTTTTTTTTTTTTTTTTTTTTTTGAGAGGGAGTTTCACTCCTGTTGCCCAGGCTGGAGTGCGATGGCACAATCTCTGCTCACTGCAACCTCCACCTCCCAAGTTCAAGCTGAACTCCTGCCTCAGCCTCCCAAGTAGCTGGGATTACAGGCGTGCAGCGCCACGCCCAGCTAATTTTGTATTTTTAGTAGAGATGGAGTTTCTCTATGTTGGTCAGGCTGCTCTCGAACTCCCGACCTCAGGTGATCTGCCCACCTCAGCCTCCCAAAGTGCTGGGATTTATAGGTGTGAGCCACCATGCCCGGCCTGAACTGAAATTTATTTTGTATTCACAGTGCTACCTAAGGACAGTAAAGTTTTGCCAGTACTGCTTTTTATGCATTTGAATGTCACTTCTTGAAAAGTTCTTTGGGAAAAAGGAAGGAAAAAGACAGTTAACTTTTTATTACATGGTAATAGTAGAAATTTATTCATAGAAAATATGTCATTAGTTGTCAGTATATAATTTGAAAGTTGTTTTAGTCATGTTAGATATGCAGTAAGTCTACTTACATTTATTCCAGGTAGCATTTAAGATTACCAAATTGTATTTAAAAATTTATTTAGAAATGTGTCTAAAATATGACAAGCCCCTATCTAGGTACCATGGATGTAGTGTAAGAAAAAGTAAAGTGATATATTCCATAACTTGCCATATGCCATATTCTTTTCAAAGAGTCACACTCTACTGCATGCATTTATTTGTTTAATAGTCTGAAGATTGAATTAGCACCTGACAAAGCATATGTGGCATCGACACTCCACTCTATACTATGATGTCTGGTGTATTAGTTCATCCTTGCATTGCTATAAACAAACACCTGAGACTGGGTAATTTATAAAGAAAAGAGGTTTAATTGGTTCATAGTTCAGCAGGCTGTACAGGAAGCATAGTGGCTTCTGCTTCTTGGGGGTGCCTCAGGAAGCTTCCAATCATGGTGGAATGCAGAGCAGGAACAAGGCTTCTCACTTGGCAGGAGCAGGTGTAAGAAAGAATGAGGGGGGAGGTGCCACACACTTTTAAACAACCAGATCTGGTGAAAACTCAGTATCACAAGAACAGTACCAAGGGGATAATGCTAAACTCTTATGAAGGATACACCCCCATGATGCAGTCACCTCCCACCAGGCCCCATCTCCAACATTTTGGATTACAGTTCAACATGAGATTTGGTGGGGACACAGATCCAAACCATATCATCTAGTTAACACCCCAAATGATAAAAATAACTGAACACATTATGATAGTTTATTTCTCTTCTGATTTGCAGTTCTGAATGCAGTGATGGGGAATGGTCTGCTTCTTTGCCTCATCGATTTTCTGGTACAGAAAAAGATCAATCCTCAAGTGATGAAAGCTGGGAGACTCTGCCAGGAAAAGATGAGAATGAACCTGAGCTACAAAGTGATAGCAGTGGCCCTGAAGAAGAAAACCAAGAATTATCTCTTCAGGAAGGGTATGTTCAACAGTGAGATTTATTTTTCTGTATATTGTACAAGAGTGGTATATTTTACATTCAAATGTTGGATATGCCATTAATTGTATTTATAAGCCTTATGTAGAACCAGTAGGCCCCCCTGATTTTTTCATTATGCTTTTGGTATTTTAAAAAGAACAATTAAGTTGAAAATACTGATAATTTCAGTATCGTTTATGGAGATACAATATATGTCTCCACTTGGCTTTAATAAGAAAAGTTGGGCACCTAAAATGTCATTTTGGTTAAGTTAGGAATGGGTGAATTAGCACTGTCATTGCTCAAGGGAGAAAGGACAGCCTCAAGAGGGAAATCAGTGATTCATTCACAGAAATGGAGACAGTTAGTTGCAAAAGCTAGTGTTCATATTCTTGTCTAATTGCATTGGATGAGATCTCCAAAATATCAGTGATTGATGATAAACATTTTTGTTCTTTCCTCATTTTAATGGGAAAGCTCTAGTACTGTAAGGGTTGTCAAACATACCATGAAGGGCTAGATAATAAATATTTATGGCTTTGTGTCCAGTCTTTGTTGCAGCTACTCACCTCTACTGTTGCAGTATAAAAGTAGCCATAGACAAGATGTAAATGAATGGGTATAGCTGTCTTCCAACCTTTTACTATTTTATGGGTTTCTAGCAAGAATGTTTGTTGAATTTTATGAAAGTCTTTTCAGCATCAATGGAAGTGATCATGATGGTTTTTTACTTTTGCCCTGATCATGAAGAATTGTTCTATAATTAGATTTGCTAATATTCAACTTCCCTTGCTCCTTGAAATAAACCAAATCTGATCACAGTCATGGTTTATTGTTATTTTAATGGGCTGCTGGATTCTAATATTTTACATGGGATTTTTATAATGAGATTCCTAGATGCAAATTGTCTTTTAGTTTTTTGTTTCAATATCAGTTTGGTACTTGCTTTGCTAAAAAGATGTGTATTCTTTTTCTTTTTTTGTCCTTGCATCTGTTGCTTAAATAGCTTATTTATTCCTTTAAAGTTTGTTAGTATTCCCTTGTGAAACCATCTAGGCCTCTTGTTTTATTGTAGAATATCTTTTTGATAATTTAATTTTTTTCTATGATAATTGGTTCTAATTCTTAGTCTCATGGGAACTATTTTGGTAAATTATGTTTTTTTTTAGGAAAAGAACTTTTTCAGTGTAGACTAATATTAAAACTTGTACTTCTCAAAGCATATACATTTTCAGCTTGAGATTAATCCTATAAGAAAATCTAGGAATAAAATATATAGAAAAATCTATAAAGAAAGAAATTCACAAACATAATTGGTTTCAACAGTGGTAGGTTGAGGTGGCATTTTTTTCCTCTTCATGAGAGAGATATATATATCATAAATATACATCATAGATATATATATATATATATATATTTTTTTTTTTGAGACGGAGTCTTGCTCTCTGTTGCCCAGGCTGGAGTGCAGTGGTACGATCTCGGCTCACTGAAACCTCCATCTCCCAGGTTCAAGTGATTCTCCTGCCTCAGCCTCCTGAGTAGCGGGGAGTACAGGTACCCACCACCATGCCTGGCTAATTTTTGTATATTTAGTAGAGATGGGGTTTCACCATGTTAGCCAGGTTGGTCTTGAACTCCTGACCTCTGGTGATCTGCCTGCCTTGGCCTCCCAAAGTGCTGGGATTACAGGCATGAGCCAGCACGCCTGGCCTCATGATTTTATATTTGATTGCCTTTAATCACTGTTAGTTTAGTTTACTAAGTATAAATTATTCATATGTCATTTGTGTTAGCAGTTATTCACTCAGCAAATATTTATTGAGCATTTACTTTGTGCCAGGCATTGTGTTGGATATTGGCGTTATATCAGTAAACAAAGACAAATAACATTCCTTCATGAAGCTTACATTGTAGTAGGAAAGGCAGATGATAACCAAGATACAAACCCAGTACATTACACATGTGATGATTACTGTGAAGGGAATAAAACAGTGATGTGAAAGAAGGTAAATGATGAAGATATTAAAGTGGTCAGGGATGACGTCTCTTTAGAATTGACTTTTGAGCTGAGTTCTTAAAGATGAGAATTAGGGTTCAGAAAGAACTTTCTAAGCAAAAGAAAAAGCAAGAGCAGAGATATTGAATGTTGGTAATTTAAGAAGCCCAGTTTTTCAAAAATTAGTCTTTTACATTACTGTAGTGCCAAATTATGGTTTTGCTCACACATTTTTCATCCTTAGACTTGCTCTTAGAGCTAGCAGCCTTGTTTTGATGAATCTATGATTACATATTTATTTTCTCTAACCTGGATTTTATTTTCTAACAGTGATTCAGACTATTTAGTAAGGTAGTTTTTGTATTACCATGATGTGTGTAGATCACAAGTCTCTTTCCAATTAATATATTTTGCATTCAGAATGATGTATTTCATTCAGAATGATGTAGTACACCAAATGTCAATTGCATAATTATGACAACCTAATTAAATCTAGCCCAAAAAAAGTTCTAATATCTGGGATGGAACAGAAAGAAGAATAAAAAATGGGAATAAATTAGTACATTTTCAAAAGCTTGAGTTGTCTAGATAGACACCAATAGAGCTTTGACCAAAGGGAGAAAATAACCTGTACTTTGGTTGAAATTGAGAAAACCTTCAAGGTTTTAAAATTTGTTAAGCATCTGCTAAACATCTGTTAGTTTTAGCTATCTTTAGGCTAAATATACAAACAACTGTGTGACTCCTTAATAATTGGTCACATGACTCATGAAACTAAAAAAATTCTTTTCACTATTGTACTTTGCATAATTAAAGGGATGGTTTCTGAAATACCAGTAAGAGTGAATACAGATTTAATGACACAAGTTTGAGTGCTTTGGAAATATTTAATGAATTGCTAACAGTTTATTGCTTGGGTAGCTATTTCTGGTTGAACTTCTCTTGATAAACAGATGAAATTACAGTTGTTTTAAAAAAAAAAGGATTCATACAACAATAAAAAGTGAGTTTAGACAGTATGGAAAGACCAATTAAAAACCATTATAACCAGCTTCCTTTTTGAACTTCTAAAGATCTTCCGTACACATAAAAGCATATATGTGTACACGTTCCATTTCATTTTTTATGCAACCGGTAGCACATTGTGTAGACATATGTGTACACCTTGGTTTCGTTATTTGTTTTGTTTATAGATCTGTTTTTTAGATTGTTCCATATTCATATAGATTTCCTTTATTCATTTTAAGTCTGCATAGTTCTACCTTGTTTTGCTTAAAGTCACATATTCTAAGAAGCTCGTATAAAGTTAAGTCAGAACTTACTGTATACTACTACATGAGTATACCAGTTTCATTTGGTGGACAGTTTTGGCTATTGTGAGTAATGCTGAAGAAAAAATAAAAAACACATTGTACATGTTTAGGAGAAATAACTGGAAGCCGAACCACTAGGTCAGTGAGTGTGCATAAACCTAATCTATAGCTTTTGCCGGGTTTCTCTACAAAGAACTTAAATTAGTCACTTTCTTACCAACACTATATGAATTGCCTTTCTTCAAAGCTTTCTTCAGAGCTTCACCAACACACAGGGTATTATCAGAATTTTTTATTTTTGCTAATAGTTGAAACATATTTCAGTTGTTTTAATTTGCATTTTGCTTATTATAAATGAGGCAGAGCATCTCTTTATATATTTAAGGGCTATTTGAATTTCCTTTTCTGCTAATTATTATATCCTTTGCCTCCTTTCTGTTGATATATATTGATGTTTTTCTTACAGTTTTTTTTTTACATTTTAAGCTTCTATTGATTAAGGAAAAGCCCTTTGTCTCTCTTGTATTGTAGTTCACGTTTCTCAGTTTGAGTTTTGTGTCCAAATTTTGTGACTTCAGGGTTTTATATCATGCTTAGAATGACACTGAAATTTTTTTTTTTTTTTTTTTGAGACAGAGTCTCGCTCTGTCGCCCAGGCTGGAGTGCAGTGGCGGGATCTCGGCTCACTGCAAGCTCCGCCTCCCGGGTTCACGCCATTCTCCTGCCTCAGCCTCCCAAGTAGCTGGGACTACAGGCGCCCGCCACTACGCCCGGCTAATTTTTTGTATTTTTAGTAGAGACGGGGTTTCACCGTTTTAGCCGGGATGGTCTCGATCTCCTGACCTCGTGATCCGCCCGCCTCGGCCTCCCAAAGTGCTGGGATTACAGGCGTGAGCCACCGCGCCCGGCCGACACTGAAATTTTTATAAAATTTCCTCATGACTATTCTCGTACTCATTGTTTAAGTGAGGTGGGGGGTGCATATACACATGTACTTCAAAAAAGTATAGCTAAAGTTTATTTAAGGGATTTAACCTCCCTCCCTGCGGGCGAATACCCAGTTGTCCCAGTACATTTTGTTGATGAGTCCTTTTTTGTTTTTGTTTTTTGAGACACAGTCTCGCTTTGTTGCCCAGGCTGGAGTGCAGTGGTGTGATCTCAGCTCACTGCAACCTCTGCCTCCTGAGTTCAAGCGATTCTCATGCCTCAGCTTCCTGAGTAGATGGAATTAGGCATGCACCCAGCTAATTTTTTGTAGTTTTAGTAGAGACAGCGTTTCACTATGTTGTCCAGGCTGGTCTCAAACTCCTGGCCTCAAGTGATCTGCCTGACTCGGACTCCCAAAGTGCTGGGATTATAGGGGTGAGCCACTGCACCTAGCCTAATGAGTCCTTTTTTTTCTTCCTGTTTTGAAATGCTTCCTTTATCTCCTCCTTATTTTCTTGATCTGTACCATTGATTTGTGTGTCTCTGTTCCTGTTTAGTTAGTTTCTAGTAGGAGTAGACTGACAGTAAACAAATAAGAAAATGTTAAACAAAAATAAATTTTATAGTTTAAATAAGCAGAGTTATGTGGTAGTCAGTAACTGGAGAGCTATTTAAACTGAATGTTCAAGACAGGCCTCCCTGAGATGGTGACTTATGAATCTGACATGAACATCAAGAAGAAAGTAGCAAAGTAAAAATTCAGTGCAAGAACATTTTAGGTAGAGGAAGTGGCCCCAAGGTAGAAATGATCTCCATGTGTTTCAAAAGTAGGAAGAACAGTAGGAGCATAGTAGCTGGGGAAGAGTGATGAGAGATGCTGTTGGAGAAGTGGGCTGAGCAGAAAGCATGTGTTATGTAGGGATTTGAAGGCCAGGTTGAGGAATTCAGATTTAAACTGTGAAGGGAAAGTACTCAAGAGCATTGTTTCAAAATTCAAGTAGTCAGGGTTGGATTTTTCTTACGTTTCTCCTACAGAAGGAGAAAACAGCATAGATAATTTGTAAATCAAATAAATATGTTCCTATGTAATTAGGAACTATTTCTGTATACATATGACCCTATAACTGATTTCTTTCCTTTTTTTACATAATTCTGCAGTTAAGGAAGACAGTTTTTTAGAATTATAAAAGTACCAAGAGCTTAGAACTCAACAGAATCCACTTGCATGGAATAGAATTAAAGACAGTGTTATGGTATGTTTTAAAATAATATTTTTTTCTTCCTTTAAAATGTTTGTACTAGGGAACAGACATCCTTGGAAGAGGGAGAAATTCCTTGGTTACAGTACAATGAAGTCAATGAAAGCAGCAGTGATGAGGGAAATGAACCTGCCAATGAATTTGCACAGCCAGCTTTCATGTTGGATGGTAACAATAACCTGGAGGATGACTCCAGTGTGAGTGAAGACTTAGATGTGGATTGGAGGTATGTAGCACGATTTTATTAGGATGCTTAATTAGGCTCTGAGTTCATGATTCTAATTTATGAAAATTAAATCTCTGCTAGCTGAGAAATATTATAATTTTCCCATCTGTTAGTCCTCCTCTTCTTCAAAGCTCATTTCAAATGTTCCTTCCTACTTGGACCCTTTCCTACTTCCTCCAGTCAGTGACCTCTTCCTTTGACCTTTAGCTCTCTTGAAGCTCACCTTACATCCTAGTTACTTACATACTTTTTTTTAGTTTTGGATTTCTGACGTTTAAAATTTTGCTTTATATGCCCTCTATCACTTAGCATAATTCTTTCAAAAATAGCTTCTTAATGAATACCACTTCAATTTTAAAACCTATGGTTGAATCAGAAAACAATAAGAATAGTTCTCCTTCCCTATTCTTCCTTTTCCTTCTCTATGTAAAATATGGAAGATAAAATTTTACTTTCCAGGAGATGTTGAAAGCATTTAATTTACTTTATGCTTGACAAAGAATAGTCAGCTTCAAATGAAAGTAACATGTAAGTGAAGTGTGTTGTGGAATTGTTACTTCTTACGATACAATGCTCAGAATTTAACTGTTTTGGTTTATAGTATCTTTAAAGTGTATAGTAGCCCACTGAAAGCAGGTAACTATTGAGATATAGAAAGGATGTCCTCCTAACTGATCCCTTTTTTTACTTTTTCTGGGGCAAAAAAGATATCTTGGTGTATTTACACTTGTTTCTTTCTCTGTACAAATATATTTTTAAGAATTTGTGTTGTTTTTCCAGTTAAAATTCCTTTACAGAAAATTCAGAAAAATAAATAAGAAAAAACTCATTTATATCTCCTGATATCTCTTCAGGTTTCCAGAACATATGTTTTAAGTCCTCTTTTGTGTCTTTAATTTCTCTTTCTGTGTGTGCTAGCTACTTCTCTGTACTTCTCCAGACTGTTCCAGATGGGAAACTGAACATCTTCTTGAGATCTTCCTTGCCTTTTCCTATTCTTACTCCCCAAGGGGGAAAAAAATGTGTGGAGAACAGACTTTTATCACCATTTTGGGGAAGTAGAAATGGGATTTCATTACAGCCATGCAATTTGTATTTCTACCTTAAACATTCTCATACTCTAAAACACATTTTCTGGTTTCCCATGCATTATGGAGAATAAGTGGCTTTACCTAGTCCCAGTCTTGCTGATCTTGATACGTCTCTCTTTTCCTCCGTTTCTGTGTCTCCCCATTACCTTTTTACTGCACTCCTTATTAATTCAGAAGTCTTCTGTCTCCATTATGCAAAGTAATTCCTCAAAGTGTTCAGCAGTTGAAAGAATCATCTGTTTAGCATCATCTATGCATGTTGGGAGGCAATTACGGTTACATATGAAGGAATGTTTTCTGTTACACATTTTCAAGACTCTAAAAATAATTTTTTACAGCTCCATTGTGAAGATGCTCCTTCCTATAGGGGCACTAAGATTTAACAGATTATTGACTCATTGAAATAGTGCAGTGAACTTTTTCTTCCCCATCCTCCATAAAACTTGTTCTATACTTCTGGTTTTTCCTTTAGGACAAATAATTGGAGGGGACATTACTGAGATATGTAGTATTTTTCAAGGTATGGATACCTATTTCCAAATACTTCCAAAAGGGTTGTTTTACCTAAATATTTGAAGGAATAATGGAAGTCTTTACTGAATATAATTTGTTTGTTTGTTTGAGATGGAGTCTCGTTCTGTTGCCCAGGCTGGAGTGCAGTGGTGTGATCTCGGCTCACTGCAACTTCTGCCTCCCGGGTTCAAGTGATTTTCCTGCCCCAGCCTCCCAAGTAGCTGGGATTACAGGCGCCTGCCACCACACCTGGCTAATTTGTGTATTTTCAGTACAGACAGGGTTTCACCATGTTGCCCGGGCTGGTCTCGAATTCCTGACCTCAAGTGATCCACCCTCCTCGGCCTCCCAAAGTGCTGGGATTACAGGTGTGAGCCACCATGCCCAGCCTCTGAATATAATTTGAACTTAAATTTGAGAAACTGTTACTTTAGGTTCTAATTCACTGATGATCTTTCTAGATATGGCTGTTGTGTTAAGGTTTTAGAAACCTTACTAGTGGTCCCGAAATGTCCAGAGCTTCAAATAGTTTTTTTTAAATTATAGAAAACATTTTAGCATTAATTTTAAGACACAAATTTTGAAGGTTGCTCTATGTCAACACCTCATTATTTGCTTATGTGGTACTATATTAATTTATGTGGCAGCGTCTAAAGGTTGATAAGGTGAAAATGTGGTTTCATTTCCATATTAAAATAGCATGCTATGGGGAAAGCTATGGCAAAGAGCAGCAGTTCTTGTCTCTAAAGTCAAACTTTGGCACATTTTTTTTTGTTTTGCCACTGCTTAGAAAAAAGTGAAGCCTTTTGGTTCCTTAATTTAGTTTAAAGGAAAATGGAAAAAGTCCTCTATCAAGTTTGTTTACTTGTTTTCATTGAAGTTGCATTAGTGTTCAAAATACTCAAGAGTACCTGATAGCTTGGTGTGGTAGGAAGTGACACAGAGAGATCATCGTTTTAGACACAGACAAATCCCAACTCTACCATTTGTTTATTCTTTGATAACTCCTTAACTCCTCTGTCTTCCTGTAAGAAATTGAGTTTTTATTAATCTAATAAGATTGTGAGAAGTTAATTCTGTGTGGATATAACTGTGGCTTAATAGAATTTAAAAATAATTTTGATATAATTTTATACTTACAGAAAAATGGCAAAAATAGTACAAAAATCCTCATGTATCCTTCACTAAGATTTCCTAAATGTTAACATTTTAAAACCACGTTTGTGTTACCATTCTGTCTTTCCTTTCTTTATACTTATAGTAAGGTTTTTTTCTGACCCACTTATGAGTAAGTTGCAGGCATGATGTCCCTTTCTTTACTTGTAATTATTCTAGAATGAATTTCCGACATCCAAGACCATTTTGTTATATAACACAGTAAAATTGTCAAAGTCAGCAAATTAATGCTGATACAATATTATATAATCTACAAACCTTATTTAGATGTTTGTAGTTGTTCCACCAGTGCTGTTAGAGAAATTTTTTTCTGGTCTAATCTTTGTATTAGATCTTTCATTGTATTTAGTTAACAAGTTTCTTTAGTCTCTTTTAATGTGGACGTTTCCTCAGTCTTTGTTTTTCATAACCCTGACATTTTTAAAAAGTACAGGTCATTTATTTTTTAGAATGTCCCTTAGGTTGTATTTGTCTGTCATGAATAGATTTGAGTTGTGAATTTTTAGCAGAAACACCCTGGAAGTGGTGTTTTGTCCTTTGCAGTACATATCAGAAAACACATGGTGTCAAACCAACCCATTACTGGTGATATAAAATTTGATTTGGTTATGGTGTTATCTTTCAGATTTCTTTACAGTTGTCATTTATCCTTTAATACAGCTGACTCTTGAACAACACGGGTTAGGGGTGCTGATCCCTGTGCACTAGAAAATCCAAGCGTAACTTTTGACTCTTCAGAAGGTTAACTACTGATAGCCCACTGTTGACCAGAAGCCTTGTAATAAAATAAACAGTTGATTGCCACATATTTTGTATGTGATATGTATTATATACTGTATTCTTACAACAAAGCAAGCTGGAGAAAAGAAAATGTTAAGAAAATCATAAAAAGAGAAAATATATTTATTCTTCATTAAGTGGAAGTAGATCATCATAAAGATCTTCATCCTTGCTGTCTTCATATTGAGTAGTAAGCTGAGGAGGAAGAGGAGGGATTGGTCTTGCTATCTCAGAGGTGGCAGAGGTGGAAAAAAAACTGAGTTTAAGGGTACCCACCTACCCAGCTCAAGCCCCTGTTCAAGGGTCAGCTATAGTCAGTAGGCTTCTAGCGTGAAGATACTTTGAGACTGTAAATAACCTGTTTCTTTTTAAACTATCAAACTTCCATCCACTAGTTTTAGCATCTATTAGTGGTTCTTGTCTGAAACAATTTTTTGTTTTTTGTTTTATGTTTTTTTTGAGACAGAGTCTCATTCTGTCACCCTGGCTGGAGTGCAGTGGCGCAAACTTGACTCACTGCAACCTCTGCTTCCCAGGCTCAAGTGATTGTCCAGCCTCAGCCTCCCAAGTAGCTGGGACTACAAGCATGAGCTACCAATGCCTGGCTAATATTTGTATTTTTTGTAGATACGGGCTTTCACCGTGTTGCCCAGGCTGGTCTTGAACTCCTGAGCTCAAAGTGATCCGCCCACCTCGGCCTCCCAAAGTGCTGGGATTTGCTGAGACCCGCTTGGCTGGGGAGACCCTAACCCAGTGGCGCTAGAGCAATTAAAGACACACACACAGAAATATAGAGGTGTGAAATGGGAAATCAGGGGTCTCACAGCCTTCAGAGCTGAGAGCCCCAAACAAAGATTTACCCACATATTTATTGACAGCAAGCCAGTCATTAGCATTGTTTCTGTAAATCATAGATTAACTAAAAGTATCCCTTATGGGAAACGAAGGGATGGGCCAAAATAAAGGGATAGGTTGGGCCAGTTATCTGCAGCAGAAGCATGTCCTTAAGGCACGTGCTATTGTTTGTGGTTTAAGAACACCTTTAAGCGGTTTCCCTCCCTGGGCGGGCCAGGTGTTCCTTGCCCTCATTCCTGTAAACGGTAAACCCACAACCTTCTAGCATGGGCATTATGGCCATCATGGCCATCATGAACATGTCATAGTGCTGCAGAGATTTTGTTTATGGCCAGTTTTGGGGCCAGTTTATGGCCAGATTTTGGGAGGGCCTGTTCCCAACAGGGATTACAGCCACCACACCCAGCCTGAAACAGTTATTACCATGGTGACTGCCAAGTACATGATCTTAGAATTTTTAAATGATTATTTGTAGTGGCCAAATTACAACTTGATATTATGCTTTGAGTGTCTAGATTTGCTCAGCCTGGAGAAGAAAAGAATCATTGGGAGATAGTTGTCTTCAATCGTTTGAAGAGTTTTTTTGCAAAGAGAAGGAAGACACAATTTATGTTGTTTGAGCAGGCAGAATTACAGCAACAGAGCAAAAGTTACAAGTAGGAATACTTCATATGTTTTAAACTTCTAGTAGTGCTCTCCCGCACTGGTACATACCACCTTAGAAAGCAGTGTATTTTCTGCATGGAAGGAATGTTTCTTCTGTTACTTGAATGTCTACTGTGGTGCCATCTCTGTGCCAGGCACCTTTGCACACCTACTTATTTAATTTGTTTTATAGATGAAGGAAGAGTCAGTTACAGGCTCTTTCTCTTTGTACTACATCTTACTGCTAGATGAGGGAGTTTCAGTATTTCAAGGGTGGATGGATTCAGTAATTCTTAATATTAATTCCAAAATCTGTGATTATATGTGCATGTCTGTTGCTTTGTATCATGTGATACTTGATTTCCAGATACTGCTAAACTATAACATTACTCTTTTCAAGAACCATTTCTGTGTCTCTTGGCAACAGATGGGTAATTTTAATTACGGCACATGGGTTGACATCAAAACTATTTTTGAGCTAGGTTGTTTGTGGATGTTTAGGACTATGATATTCAAATAGGATATGGAAGTCAACAAGTTTAGTTTGTCTTTAGACAAAATAAGCTCAGTTTTGGATCTCTTGGACTTAAGAGGTGGTAGGAGTACATCTACTCAGGGTGCCCCCAGACAACTAGAAATGTAGGTCAAGAGCTTCGGGGGAAGTTTAGGAATTAGGTAGAGATTTAGGAATTACCTGCAGAGAGGATAATTGAAGAAAATGGGCTTGAATATATTAATAATTTCCAAGGGAGCAAGATTAGAGAAAAGAGGACCAAGGACATACTTAACGGTTTTCAATTTTTGAAATACATAGTATTTCCAAGACTAGAGGAAAAGGAGGAATCTCGATATGTTCAGGGGTGGAGGAAGGAGAGTAGGACCAAAGTGAGACATGTTTTTCTTCTAGGAGCTTAATGGTTTTTTAGAGAAAATTATAATTAAAAATGAGCAGTTAGGAGCTATTTTTCAAGCTGTATAATAATGGAGGTGGCCTAATCTTAGAAGAAGACAGATTAATGAGAAAGGCTTGAAATAATAAAATATTTTAAAATCCAGAGTTATTAAGCATTACAAAATGAGAAAAGAAAAAAGCCGTGAGTAATGATAGAATTAAAATAAATATGGTTATTTTCTTTATCATATTCTCACCTACATGCGGATTGGAAACTGAAAAACAGGAGAAATATGTGGGAAATAATCGGGTGGGGAAATGTACTATATCCCTCACCTGAAATGTTTGGTACCAGAAGTGTTTGGGATTTGGGATTCTTTTCCTAGATTTTGGAATATTTACATATACTTCCAGTTGAGCATCCCAAATTTGAAAATTCAACATCTAAAATGGTTCAAAATCTGAAACTTTTTGAGTGCCAGTATGATGTACAAAGGAAATACTCATTGGCACATTTTGGATTTCAGATTTTCAGATTTGGGATGCTCAACCTGTACCTTTAAGCAGTCTCTAGAGTTAGAGCTAGAAACACAAAAGAGAATTTTTCTACAAATTTTGTGCATTGAGTTTGGCAGCCTGTTGGATGAGGTAGTGGTATCTTAACTACTCATCTTTAGCACCTCACTTTTCTGTTGGGTCCCTCCTGCCCCTAACCCTACAAGTTGGTATTAAAATATTTTAAGGTCTTCTGTTCACAGCATGTTTATCGGCTTGTCAGTATGCTAATATAATTATGTCCTCAGCATAAGATTTCCCAAATCATAGTGGTGAGTTTTTTCTGTTATTTTTTTTTTTTTTCAGCCTATTTGATGGCTTTGCAGATGGACTAGGAGTTGCTGAAGCTATTTCATATGTGGATCCTCAGTTCCTTACCTACATGGCACTAGAAGAACGCTTAGCCCAGGCTATGGAGGTATGTTCATAACTCTGATCTCCATATATAAGTTGATGGGATACAAAATGATAAAGGTTTAAAGGGATTTTTAGACTACTCTTAAGAAAAGGTGAATCTTTTTCCCATCAGTTTAGTAACAGTTATTGAATAATAATTGTCACCAGTATGTGCATACAAATTATACTTGATGTCCTGCTAGTTTGCCTTAAATTTCAGTATTTCTCAGTTTTTACTGCAGAATGGAAAATGTTTTGCTTACATTTAGAAAATATACTTTTTTCTCTATTGAATTATACAAGTATGAGAGTGAATATCTTATATACACACGCACAGGTGTATTTGTGAAATGCAGTTGAAGCTAAGGATATATTACAAATCTCTTTTTTTCTCATGGCTTCTAAATACTATCTGGCTGCCTAATGCAGTTAGGAAATTTGCTCCTCCTTATCCCAGCAAACATATACACACTTTAATAAGTGGGGCATATTTGCTGCCTCAGCTTCTCTTGCCTTCTTTTCATTATTTAACTAAAACAGAAAAACCTGTTCTTAAATGTATTTGCCTAAGTTCAAAGCCCAAGTATTTTCATGTTTGGGAACTACTACTGTACCAGTGGATTTCATTAAAAGAAGTCCTTTCAAATCACTATTTCCAAAGTGATTTCCAAAATATAGGTACAGAAATGACTGGTGAATGAGCCACAGGTGAGAGAACAAAAAATTGGCAAGAACTTTTAGGAGCATTATAATATATTTTGTCTTTAAATTTTCTGAGATTAGAAAGTCCAGTTTGTATATTTATTTATTTTTGAGACGAGATCTCACTCTGTCACCCAAGCTGGAGTGCAGTGGTGCAGTCATAGCTTACTACAGCCCTGAACTCCTGGGCTCAAGCAATCAGCCCACCTTAGCCTGTCCCAGGTAGTGGGGACTACACATACGGGCCATCAGACCTGGTTTTGGTTTTTTGTGGGGTTTTTTGGTAGAGATAGGGTCCAATTATGTTACCCAGGCTGGTCTCAAACTCCTGCCCTGAAGCAGTCCTCCCACTCTGGCCTCCCATGGCACTGGGATTATAGACATGAGTCACCATGCCCAGCCAGAAAGTCTAGTTTAGATTGACAAGTTAGATAGCAGGTACCTATCTAATATTGATATATTTAATAATATATTTATATATCTAATATATTACCTCTCTCTAATATATAATATATATTAGATATATCTATTAGATAAATTTGTCTTTAAATGATCTCTAATATATTGTATATTATATATTAGATATATAACATATATCTAATATATCTAATATCGATAGATATTAGATATCGATATGTAATATCGATATAGATATCTATAGATATTATAGATATCTAATATCGATATAGATATCTATAGATATTATAGATATCTAATATCGATATAGATATCTATGATATTATAGATATCTAATCTATAGATATCTCTAGATATCATAGATATCTAATCTATAGACATCTCTAGATATCATAGATATCTAATCTATAGATATCTCTAGATATCAGAGATATCTAATCTATAGATATCTCTAGATATAGATATCCAATCTATAGATATCTCTAGATATCATAGATATCTAATCTATAGATATCTCTAGATATCATAGATATCTAATCTATAGATATCTCTAGACATCATAGATATCTAATCTATAGAAATCTCTAGACATCATAGATATCTAATCTATAGATATCTCTAGATATCATAGATATCTAATCTATAGACATCTCTAGATATCATAGATATCTAATCTATAGACAGCTCTAGATACCATAGATATCTAATCTATAGATATCTCTAGATATAGATATCTAATCTATAGATATCTCTAGATATCATAGATATCTAATCTATAGATATCTCTAGATATCATAGATATCTAATCTATAGATATCTCTAGATATCTATCTAATCTATAGATATCTCTAGATATCATAGACATCTAATCTATAGATATCTCTAGATATCATAGACATCTAATCTATAGATATCTCTAGATATCATAGACATCTAATCTATAGATATCTCTAGATATCATAGACATCTAATCTATAGATATCTCTAGATATCATAGACATCTAATCTATAGATATCTCTAGATATCATAGACATCTAATCTATAGATATCTCTAGATATCATAGATATCTAATCTAGATATCTAGATATAGGTATCTAATATATAGATGTCTGTAGATATAATAGGTATCTAATATATAGATGTCTGTAGATATAATAGGTATCTAATATATAGATATCTATGATATAGGTATCTAATATATAGATGTCTATGATATTATAGATATCTAATATATAGATGTCTATGATATTATAGATATCTAATATATAGATATCTATGATATTATAGATATCTAATATATAGATATCTATAGATATTATAGATATCTAATATATTAGATATCTATAGATATAGGTATCTAATATATAGATATCTATATATAGGTATCTAATATATAGATGTCTATAGATATAGGTATCTAATATATAGATGTCTATAGATATAATAGGTATCTAATATATAGATGTCTATGATATTATAGGTATCTAATATATAGATATCTATAGATATTATAGATATCTAATATATAGATGTCTATGATATTATAGGTATCTAATATATAGATATCTATAGATATTATAGGTATCTAATATATAGATATCTATAGATATTATAGGTATCTAATATATAGATATCTATAGATATTATAGATATCTAATATATAGATATCTAGATATAGGTATCTAATATATAGATGTCTATAGATATAGGTATCTAATATATAGATGTCTATAGATATAATAGGTATCTAATATATAGATGTCTATGATATAGGTATCTAATATATAGATATCTATAGATATAGGTATCTAATATATAGATATCTATAGATATAGGTATCTAATATATAGATGTCTATAGATATAATAGGTATCTAATACATAGATGTCTATGATATTATAGGTATCTAATATATAGATGTCTATAGATATAGATATCTAATATATAGATGTCTATGATATTGTAGATATCTAATATATAGATGTCTATAGATATTATAGATATCTAATATATACATATCTAATATAGATATCTATAGATATTAGATATCTGTCCATCTGTGCACACACATGCATGCATATACATGTTCACATACATTTATGCTAGCTCTGCTTTGTCATCACTTTTTTTACATATATAACTGTCCATGGAGATTGCTTTCAATTACGCTTTATGGTGAGTGTTTTTCTCAAAGTAACCATAGCAGAAATACTCTATACTAGGAAAAAAGTCAGAAAGAACATCATGAGATAGGATACAATTAGGATTTTTGCCAAATTATTTAACCTGCCTTGGCAAATTCTGACACATAAGAAATAATGGTATAGCATGGTAACTTGCATCAGAAATACATAAAGATTAAGGATCACTCATTTCGTTGTGCTAAATAACTCTTTGAGTGATCTGTTCTAGGGTCTGATTTCACAACATTTAGTCTTTCATTTTATGCTAGTGGTTTATGATTTCCTACAATATGGAGATAACTTTAAAAAGAAGTGTTGAGAATAAAATGTTTTAGTATTTATTACTAGTGGGGAATGTGACATTTGGCATCTTGAAAGAAGAGCCAGAGAGACTGGTCTTGAGAGGTCATGCTAAGTAAAGGCACTAGCAGTGAACTAAGACAAAAGGCAAGCAAGAGCTTGCAGTCTCAAACATTGTTGGCTTCTACCAATAGTGAACTCAGTGGCATTATTCCTACCAGTCTATACTTCTGCCTGTGTTTAATGGCTTTAAGCATCTCTCTCCTCTAAAGCTTATCAGCTTCTTCACATTTTAGTGCTCTGATTTAATTTATTTGAATTTGATTGAGATGTTTCACTCCTAGAAAATCAATACAGTTGTCTTCCTGTCACTCTTCAGAAATCTGTTTTTCTGTGTTCAGTATGCATTTATTTAATCATTTTTTAAAATGAAACAAAAATAATTTATGATTATTTCTTTTATATTTAACACTAACACTCTTTAAATGAAACAAAAACAAAACAAACTGCTTGTTTTTGTTTGTTTGTTTCTCAAGCAGCCCTATAACTTTTTGGAAGTAGTTGCTTTCATTTCTGTTATTTTCCCAATACTAGATTGGTCATTGTTTTCAGGTAGTGGCTTTTGGTGAAAATACTGGCAGTATGTATTTGTCTCCTTATATCTGTGTCTCTAATTTGAGTGAGGAGAGGGTAAAACCTTAAACATCTTTAACCTTTTGAAACTTTTCTACTTTTCAAAATGGATTTTGAAAAAATCCCCTTGCACATTTATGTTGACATCTAAAATTTTTCAGCATAAATCTAGGTAGTATTAGTTATTTTATCATACTTCTTCGCTAGAAAAATGTTTAAAATTTTTAATATAAAAAGTGGTTAAATTGAGTTACAATTAATAGTATCCAAATAATCAAAAATAAATTATGAATTTTGGTAAGTGTTTTGTAGGAAGTGAATCTAATGAGATGGAGGCATTTTCCTTTCCCAGTTATGAGTGAATTTTATTTATTACCGGAATGAGACATATTTCAGCATAAATTTACTTCTGATTTTCATCTTATGAATGTAAGGTTGAAAAACGTTGTTCACCTAAATAAATTAATAGGAATGGAAGGAGTTTATTATGGCATTGTCACTGAATTCTTTTGAGATATTTGCCCAGAATCACATCAACTTGTCTAGATATTCTTTAGATTCCTTCCGTTTTTTTTTTTTTTTTAAGCAAAGGATTGGAAGCCACCCAAAAGATTTGTTACTTAGTCATTAGAGTTCAGTTCTACCTCAGTACTTCAGATTGTCCCTGTGAATGGGTAAGAAGTATGCTTTTATTTATAAAGTGGAAGAAAGGCAAGTATAAACAGAATGTTAGAACAGAGAACCAGCATGATATACTGCAGGTGCATTCTTATGTGGATCAGTTCGAAGAAAGATTTTACCTATGAAAGCTTATTGAAACTGATTATCTTAAGACTGTCCATACCCACGGGCCCCTTGTAAAGTCTTTACATACTCACAATAGCACCTGTATACACCCAGGTATAGGCACTAGGAAGGCTGTAATGTGGAGGTTTAGAAGGTGGGCTTTTGTGTTAAAGAGTTTGGCTGTGTGACCTTGGACAATTCACTTAACTTCTCTGAGCTTTAGCGTCTTCATTTACAAAATGGGAATAATAAAATCTACCTGATGGGTTATTGTGAGATTGTGTTAAAGCCTTTAGCAAAATACCTGGTTGTATTGGGAATCTCTCAGTAAATAGTATATTCATATAGGTTTATTCAAATCAATAGTCAACTAACTGGTGTAATCAGTGAACAAATCTGGATTCAGTGGTGATCATTCAGAATCGGTATTACTATCTTCGTTCTTTAAAAACTGAATTGTATTTTATTCTTTAGAACAAAATTTTATGCTGATAAAGGATTATGCTACTTTAAACCTACATGTATTCTAGATAGGGTGATTTAGGCTAGTTGTCTTTCTGCCTCTTCGACTAACTATTGTAAATACATTGTACTGCCTAAAGGTATAGATAGTTTTTTTTTTTTTAATTTTTATAGATTTTCATACTAGTGGCTTAAAAGGCTATCTTTTGCTTGTGTTGCTTATAAGTGATCCTGGATCATCTTAAATATATGACAGTACCAAGGCAATAAATTATTTTTACATATATGAAATTTCAGGTGTTACTAGCACTGCAAATATGCAGATAATCATTAGAAAGAGATAATGAACCCATTGAGACAAACATATATCAAAGCATAATTAGCCTGGAATAACCTCCCCAAATGAAAGTTACTATAAATAACATCCCTTATTTCTGTTTATGTGTAGCACAAATGAGTTCTTGCAAGCAGGTTCTATCTTGAGTAGTACATATGGGGAATTGGAGGAGATTCATAATTATAGCTATGTGAGAAGGAAAGGGACTGATAACAGGATCTTACCTTCCATTTCCTATCTTGCAATGGGAAAGTTCAATATAAGGAATTCTAAACTAGAACAAAGAAGTAGAGTAACAAGGGATTGGCTAGGAGGAAATAAAGATAATTACACAGAATATGGGAAAAGCGCATATAAGGAGCAGCCACCACCTGTCTGGCAAAGCTAGGACAACCCAAGGAAGAGTCCCTAGTCCATCTCAGGGCTGAGGTCACCTTGATGGAAATGGCACAGCTGTGGCTTGCTGTATGAGAGAGAAGTCACTTGGGTATGTGCTGGTGAAACTTGCTGGAAGTCAGCTCTCTTAGGGTGCTGAGGAAAGCTATTCATAGGAAGGTTTCTAACTGGAAGTGCTGTACTGCAGAACTGTCCAACATGGATGCTGGGGGAGGCTGCCACCTACTAAGTGCATTACAGGAACTGGCTGCTAGAGAAGCTGTGTGCACTGAGTCTAGTGCTAGAGAAAGCCACGAACATCACTCTAGTCCCAGTGTGCTCTGTCAAGCAAGCACACTGGGACAGAAGGAAGGCCCTTTCCTCCAGCAGTGTTCTTCAACATCCTCTGTGAACAAAGCTTAGCATCATGCCAGCTGTTAGGAGGGAAAGTATTTAAACAGCCCAGATTTTCACAGAGCCGACACAATAGTGAATATGGATTTGTGGAGCAATAATTCCATAAATGGAACATTCCAGCACTTTGATAACTTGGCTTCCATATATACCTTTCAATGCACATTTAAATTTCCATCCATCAATAGAATTGTATTTCCACCCAACAAAATACAGCTATTACTACAAATGAAGTTTCACCCATTTCCCAGAATGAGCAGATGGCTAGTTCCAAGAGGCATTGTATCCATCGCTAGTTATGCATTACTCCACACATTCATAGTAACACTGAATATTCTCTTATATAAAGACTAAATTGCAAATTTAACTTCCAACAACTGGCATATTGAAATAGAAATGGGAAAGAGGAAAAGTAAACTGTTAACATATATAAATAAGCAGATACATAAAACAAGCACATAAAATATGCAGAATTACTAATCCTTGTTCTGTATTTGCTCATGAGACTGAATGATAGCTATAACTTCTTTCTTCCATGACCCAGTCATATTTTCCCTGCCCTCAGCCAGAAGCTCACTCAGCTGGTTAGGATTCTTTACTTGGTAGAATAACCCAGACCTACACTGTTTATATCTTCAGTTCTTTCTTTTTTTGTCTGCTGTAGTTCTGGTAACTTTACTGTTGGGCATGAAAGCAGTAAGAGATTCACACTCCAGGTGAGATTATCACAGGGTTTTCAAGCAGAGGAAGCCTAGTCTGTGGAGGGCACACTGTTTCTACTGGTAACAGGAGGCTCAGAGTGACTTGGGGATTCAAAGTTATCAGTTTCCTCAGAGTTCAGTCAGATGTCTTCATTCCAGGTTTCAGAATCTTATTCCTTAACCAATCAATGGTAAAACTTTTGAGAAATTTGATGAGACTAAGAAGTCAACTCTAATTTTCATTTAGCAATCCACACAATTACATTTTGCGTTTGATTTTTAGGAGCAAGAGCATCTTTTAGGGCTGTCGTGGATGCTTTCTGGCTCTCATACCCTATTGTGAGGTTTAAGAGACCTGAGTTTGTAATTTTTTTCTGTAAGTGCACAAGGGCACTCTTAATAATCCATCTCACATCACGATTTTTACAGTTAGATCACTGTTGCCGTAAGATCAAGTATAGGAGCTATCTGGGCTTTCAAGACACATGCTTCAGTTGGATCTTCATCACTGTCAACCACAGTGATACCTTGATTAATTGTGATGCCACTACAGACTATGGATTAATAGCATCCCATTCTCATTGGCAAGGAGCTCAACACTGAGCTCAAGCTCAACAGGTGTAACCAAACCAACCCCCAAATCCTTTTCTTGCCAGTTCTGTGTCCCGGGACCACTCTTAATATGAATTCTGTACCAGTCTGAGTTCAGTCCCAAGAGAGAGAAATACAGTAATTTGAACAGGGAAAATTTACTGTAAATATTAACTGCAACAGAAGTTTAGAATACCAAGGGATTGGCTAGTAGGAAGTAAAGCAAACTCTAAAGAATATAGGATTAGCAGATTTAAGAAACAGCTTTAGGGCTGAGATGGAGCACTCTACTTCCCTCCTGTCTAAGGCTGAGAGCCAGACCTTATTGGGAAGGACACAGCCATGGCTTATGGAGGAGTATTTATGGTACTGTGCTGGCAGAACTTGCTGGAAATTTGCCTTCTGGAACATGGCAAAAATCTGCCCTCTGGGGCAAGAGAAACTTCACAGTGATGTGACCAAGCCCCTAGGTACTCTGCTGCAGAACCACCTAAGATGAGTACAAGGAGAAGCTGCTGGCAACCTTGTCCTGTAATTACCAGTTACTGGATAAGCAGCATGTGCTTCAAGAGCCAGGCACTGGAGAAGCCACCCACACTGGAGGAGTCTGATGCTGGAGAAGCCATCTGTGCACAGGGAAGCCTGGCACACTGCAGGGGCAAGCCCAAGGGAACCATGAAGCAAAGTCCTTTCCTTGTGTCTCTCCAGCACCTTCTGCTGACAAAACTTAAAATCATGTCAGCTAACAAAAGGAAAAATATTTAAAAGGCCCAAATCTGTTTTCAAAGGGCAGAAATGAAAGGTGTATTTGGAGCTGAGAAGCAATAATTCAATTACTGGAACAGTGTTTCTTTCTTTTTGCAGTGTTTCTCTGCATATCCAGAGTCAAATTTAGTGTTCAATAATATTAACTATGTTTATTAACTCTTTGTGAACCGTTTTGCTTTTTCCTTTTTTAGTCCTGATTTTGCTTTGGGCTTGGCCCAAGGCAAGTTGTAATCCCTATTATAAGTCATCTCAAATTCTTTTTGGGAATATCTATGGTAGGACCTTAGGCATGTATAAATATTATGTTTGCCATCCAGAAGAATAGAGTGTTAGCTAAGCTATCAGGCAGAATTCTTCTTCTATATGGGAAACCTGGCTTGTTCATTTTTTTTTATTATGGTAAAATAAACATAATATAAAATTTACTATTGCTACAGTTTTTTAAAGTGTACAGTTCAGTGTAATCAAGTGTATTCACATTGCTGTAAACAGTAACTCCCCATTTTCCCATCTTTCCAGCCCCTGGCAACCACCATTCTGTTTTCTGTCTCAATGAATTTGACTACTTTAGGTATCTCATGTAAGAATCATACAGTACTTATCTTTCTGTGACTGGCTTATTTCATTTAGCATAATGTCTTCAAGGTTCATCCATGTCGTGGCATGTGTTAGAATTTCCTTCCTTTTCAAGGCGGAGTAATATTTCACTGTATGTGTATATCACATTTTGCATATTCATCCATCCACCAATGAACAGTTGATTTGCTTCCACCTTTTGGCTCTTGTGAATAATGCTGCAGTGAACATGGGTGTACAGATACTTGTTTTAGTCCCTGTTTTCAGTTCTTTTTGGGTGTATACCCAGAACTAGAATTGCTGGATTATGTGATAATTCTGTTTTTAATTTTGAGGAATTGTTGGGCTGTTTTCTCTAGCAGCTGTAATATTCTGCACTCCAACCAGGAGGGGAGGCCCAGTTTTGATAGTTGTCAAATTTCCTTCAGGTTTTTCATCCCTAAAAAGAAGCCAAGGTCTTTCATAGCTCCATGATCTTATGATGCTGTAATTAGGATATAATACTAACAAGTAATAATTAAACGGTGTAATACCAATTCTTTGAATACAGTAGCAGTTCAGAAGGATACTCGTGCAGTCTAGGACCACTGACATAGGCCTCATGGAAGAGACAGGACTTATGCAGTCCCAGAGGGAGTGATAGGACTTAAAGGATGGACAGAAAGCACCAGGCAGGGGAAGCAGCATGTGCACCAAGAGCAAGTAATTGTACAGGTTGCAGACAAAAAGACAAAAGTCTCAACTGCCATTCTAGTCTAATTAGAGCCAGAAAGGATGAGGATGACGCATCCCAGATGATCACATGATCTGATGTTCTTTCCATCCTTCTTAGAACAGTAATTTGACACAGATATTTGAACCTGTAAATGAAATTCACAACCCAGATAACCTAGTAATACTTGTGAGCTGGTAATGTGGGTGCGCCAAATCCATGCCAGTAGTAGATGTAGCCATTCAGGAGTGCATTATTTGCTTCCATACCTGGAGCTTCTAGTAGCCTCAGCCACATTTTATCTTTCATGAAGTGAACCTTTCCAAAATGTTTATTATTTTCTTTCATGTTATTGATCTCACATAGGAACCAATAGTTGGAAAAAGTAACCACTCCTTCAAAATATAAATACGGAGAAGTAGATGATTATTGAGACAAGGTAGTTTTTTTTTTTTTTTTTTTTTGAGACAGAGTCTCGCTCTGTCACCCAGGCTGGAGTGCATGGTGATCTCAGCTCACTGCAACCTCTGCCTCCCAGGATCAAGCGATTCTCCTGCCTCAGTCTCCCCAGTAGCTGGGATTATAGGCACACACTACCACGACCTGCTTTTTTTTTTTTTTGAGATGGAGTTTCGTTCTTGTTGCTCAGGCTGGAGTGCAATGGCTTGATCTCGGCTCATTACAACCTCTACCTCCTGGGTTCAAGCAATTCTCCTGCCTCAGCCTCCCAAGTAGCTGGGATTACAGGCATGTGCCACCACACCCTGCTAATTTTGTTTTTTTTTTTTTTTTTTTTTACTAGAGACGGGATTTCACCATGTTGGTCAGGCTGTCTTGAACTCCTGACCTCAAGTGACCCACCCCGCCTCGGCCTCCCAAAGTGCTGGGATTACAGGCATGAGCCATTGCGCCCGGCCGAGACAAGGTATATTTTTATTTCACATGTAGAAAGTTGGGCTCTGCGTGTATATTTAATGTTTTGGTTTGTTGGTGATGGTGGTAGTTCCTTCTGAAGAGGCAAAAGGAGCAAAGGACTAAAGCAAAAGAAACTAACAAAAAGAGAATAATGGTGATATAATTTTGGAGATACCCTAAAAATAGTTTTCTGTTACTGTTTTAAAGTATTTCTAACAAAGAACTGTACCTTTTGTTTTTCAGACTGCTCTGGCCCATTTAGAGTCTCTTGCAGTGGATGTTGAGGTGGCCAATCCACCAGCTAGTAAGGAAAGCATTGATGGTCTTCCAGAGACCCTTGTTCTTGAAGATCACACTGGTAAGGGCAAAGTTGATCTCAAATGTTGAAGAACACATTGTACATTTAAGTATATTATCAATATACCTAGATAATTAAATACTTGATTATTAGAAACTTTCACTAGATTTTTTTTATAGAAACCAGATGCTCACAAACTTTCACCTAGTACAAGAATATTTTTAATTTTCAAGCGATAGGCTGAGACAAATGTTCCTCTGTCAGCTTTTTTACAAAGCAGTATTTATTAGATTCCAAATTGCCAAGTATTAGACAGAAATGCCTGCCAATTAACTGGTCAAAGACTGGCTCTTTCGTCTTTCAGAGGTATCTTCTATGAGTATAATATGTTGCTTTTCAGTTTTACTAAAATTGAACTACGTGTGATTGACCTGAATTATTTGTTGTTTTCAGCTATTGGTCAGGAACAATGCTGTCCAATCTGTTGCAGTGAGTATATTAAGGATGATATAGCAACAGAGTTGCCCTGTCACCATTTCTTTCACAAACCTTGTGTCTCAATTTGGCTACAAAAGGTGAGTGATAGAATAATTAAAAATTTAAAAATACTTTAATAGTGTCTTCTGCAAGTGAATAATAGTATCTTTTTTTTTTTTTTTTTTTTGGTGAGACAAAGTTTCGCTCTTGTCACCTAGGCTGGAGTGCAGTGGTTCGATCTCGGCTCACTGCAACCTCTGCCTCCAGGGTTCAAGCGATTCTCCTGCCTCAGCCTCCCAAGTAGCTGGGATTACAGGCACCCACCACCAAGCTCAGCTAATTTTTTGTATTTTTAGTAGAGACAGAGTTTCGCCATGTTGGTCAGGCTGGTCTCGAACTCCTGACCTCAGGTGATCCGCCTGCCTCAGCCTCCCAAAGTGCTGGGATTTCAGGCATGAGCCACCACGCCCAGCCAATAGTAGTATCTTTTAAACCTGTTTTATTTAGCCGCAAATTTGTAGTACTTTTTAATTCATTGTTAAAAACCTGATTGCATTTAATGATTACAGATCAGGGATAATATGGAAATATTTTATTTTACTAACATTGTCTAAAAATATAGACAATAATAACAACATGTTTTTAATCATTTTAGGAAGTGATTAAATATCTGAAAACTCATTTTAGAATAAAGCTGATTAGAATTTTAATCATAACCCTGAAATTTGGTGTTTTCAAAAGTATCTAAAGCAGAGAAGCCTTTGGCACTACTCAAAGTACTATAACAATATACAGCTATTCTGCTAATACAGGTTGGTGTTTCTGAAATGTATATGAGAGATACTTAATAACCTACCAAGTAGCTCCTATTCCAGTTTTTATATATTGTCTTCAAATATTTACCCAATAAATCTTTTTTTTTTTTTTTTTTTTTTTTATGGTACATTATCTCTCTTTATTTACATATTTTCTTTTTTTCTTTCTTTCTTTCTTTCTTTTTTTTTTTTTTTTTTTGCACCGCCCTTAATCCATTTAATCCTGAGTGGACACAGCACATGTTTCAGAGAGCACAGGGTTGGGGGTAAGGTCACAGATCAACAGGATCCCAAGAGAGAGGAATTTTTCTTAGTGCAGAACAAAATGAAAAGTCTCCCATGTCTACTTCTTTCTACACAGACACGGCAACCATCCGATTTCTCAATCTTTTCCCCACCTTTCCCGCCTTTCTATTCCACAAAGCCGCCATTGTCATCCTGGCCCGTTCTCAATGAGCTGTTGGGCACACCTCCCAGACGGGGTGGTGGCCGGGCAGAGGGGCTCCTCACCTCCCAGTAGGGGTGGCCGGGCAGAGGCGCCCCTCACCTCCCGGACGGGGCGGCTGGCCGGGCAGGGGGGCTGACCCCCCCCCCACCTCCCTCCCGGACGGGGCGGCTGGCCGGGCGGGGGGCTGACCCCCCAACCTCCCTCCCGGACGGGGCGGCTGGCCGGGCAGAGGGGCTCCTCACTTCCCAGTAGGGGCGGCCGGGCAGAGGCGCCCCTCACCTCCCGGACGGGGCGGCTGGCCGGGCGGGGGGGCTGACTCCCCCCACCTCCCTCCCGGACGGGGCGGCTGGCCAGGCGGGGGGCTGACACCCCCACCTCCCTCCCGGACGGGGCGGCTGGCCGGGCAGAGGGGCTCCTCACTTCCCAGTAGGGGCGGCCGGGCAGAGGCGCCCCTCACCTCCCGGACGGGGCGGCTGGCCGGGTGGGGGAGCTGACCCCCCCCACCTCCCTCCCGGACGGGGTGGCTGGCCGGGCGGGGGGCTGACCCCCCCACCTCCCTCCCGGACGGGGCGGCTGGCCGGGCGGGGGGCCGACATCCCCACCTCCCTCCCGGACCGGGCGGCTGGCCGGGCAGGGGGCCGACCCCCCCACCTCCCTCCCGGACGGGGCGGCTGGCCGGGCGGGGGGCCGATCCCCCCACCTCCCTCCCGGACAGGGCGGCTGGCCGGGCAGAGGGGCTCCTCACTTCCCAGTAGGGGCGGCCGGGCAGAGGCGCCCCTCACCTCCTGGACAGGGCGGCTGGCCGGGCGGGGGGGCTGACCCCCCCCCACCTCCCTCCCGGACGGGGCGGCTGGCCGGGCGGGGGGCTGACCCCCCCACCTCCCTCCCGGACGGGGCGGCTGGCCGGGCGGGGGGCCGACATCCCCACCTCCCTCCCGGACGGGGCGGCTGGCCGGGCGGAGGGCTGACCCCCCCACCTCCCTCCCGGACGGGGCGGCTGGCCCGGCGGGGGGCCGACCCCCCCACCTCCCTCCCGGACGGGGCGGCTGGCCGGGCAGAGGGGCTCCTCACTTCCCAGTAGGGGCGGCCGGGCAGAGGCGCCCCTCACCTCCCAGACGGGGCGGCTGGCCGGGCGGAGGGCTCACCCCCCCACCTCCCTCCCGGACGGGGCGGCTGGCCAGGCGGGGGGCTGACCCCCCCACCTCCCTCCCGGACGGGGCGGCTGGCCGGGCGGGGGGCCGACCCCCCCACCTCCCTCCCGGACGGGGCGGCTGGCCGGGCAGAGGGGCTCCTCACTTCCCAGTAGGGGCGGCCAGGCAGAGGCGCCCCTCACCTCCCAGACGGGGCGGCTGGCCGGGCGGAGGGCTCACCCCCCCACCTCCCTCCCGGACGGGGCGGCTGGCCAGGCGGGGGGCTGACCCCCCCACCTCCCTCCCGGACGGGGCGGCTGGCCGGGCGGGGGGCTGACCCCCCCCCACCTCCCTCCCGGACGGGGTGGCTGCCGGGCGGAGACGCTCCTCACTTCCCAGATGGGGTGGCTGCCGGGCGGAGAGGCTCCTCACTTCTCAGACGGGGCAGCTGCCGGGCGGAGGGGCTCCTCACTTCTCAGACGGGGTGGTTGCCCGGCAGAGGGTCTCCTCACTTCTCAGACGGGGCGGCCGGGCAGAGATGCTCCTCACCTCCCAGACGGGGTCTCGGCCGGGCAGAGGCGCTCCTCACATCCCAGATGGGGCGGCGGGGCAGAGGCGCTCCCCACATCTCAGAGGATGGGCGGCCGGGCAGAGATGCTCCTCACTTCCTAGATGTGATGGCGGCTGGGAAGAGGCGCTCCTCACTTCCTAGATGGGATGGCGGCCGGGCGGAGACGCTCCTCACTTTCCAGACTGGGCAGCCAGGCAGAGGGGCTCCTCACATCCCAGACGATGGGTGGCCAGGCAGAGACGCTCCTCACTTCCCAGACGGGGTGGCAGCCGGGCAGAGGCTGCAATCTTGGCACTTTGGGAGGCCAAGGCAGGCGGCTGGGAGGTGTAGGTTGTAGTGAGCCGAGATCACGCCACTGCACTCCAGCCTGGGCACCATTGAGCACTGAGTGAACGAGACTCCGTCTGCAATCCCGGCACCTCGGGAGGTCGAGGTTGGCGGATCACTCGCGGTTAGGGGCTGGAGACCGGCCCGGCCAACACAGCGAAACCCCATCTCCACCAAAACCAGTCAGGTGTGGCGGCGCGAGCCTGCAATCGCAGGCACTGGGCAGGCTGAGGCAGGAGAATCAGGCAGGGAGGTTGCAGTGAGCCGAGATGGCAGCAGTACAGTCCAGCTGCGGCTCCGCATGAGAGGGAGACCGTGGGGAGAGGGAGGGGGAGGGGGAGGGGGAGGGGGAGGGGGAGGGGGAGGGGGAGGGGGAGGGACCCAATAAATCTTAAGCATATTTGAATTATTTAAATAAAGGAAGTGTTTTATTTCAGTCTTCTCTGTGAACTCTGTTTTTGCATAAAGGATATTTACCATCCAGTTCACTAGGAATTCCCAAGTCACTTTCCCAAATTATCTACTTAGGAATACAACTCCCTTTCTTCCCTATAAACCAGTGCTTTTTTTCTCCTTCCCTTTTCCCATTCCTTTCCTTCCTTCCGTCTTTCCTTTTCCTTTCTTTGCTGTTCCTCTATTTCTATTTGCCACTTTGTTCTTCTCAAAATTCCACTTAAAATCTCTGAAATCCAGTTTAGAAATGTTCACTGTTCTTTTATAAAATATCTCTGTATGAGATAACCCATAGTGCCTGTCAGGTAGTAAGTGCCCAGTAAATATTTTACAAATCATATCAGATGAAAGCTATTATTAGAAATTAGAGGTGTTTTTATTTTATTAACAACAAAATCACAAATAAAAACTTATGGTGCAAGTTACAAAGACCAGCTAGCAGTCTTCAGTAAACAGCACGTGCTAATGTGTATTATTTGAGGAGTATTGTCTGCATAGAGATAATGTGTGTCTCAAGTCTCATGAGACTTCCTGGTATTCTGGATTGAGGTATAATGCTGGATTCTGAATTAGTTTTAAAATACTGCTTTCCTTGCTCTCTCCCTTCTCCCAGAACAAAATTTGGGAAATAATATTTTAGGTGATTTTTCTTAATCTGTTTATCTGGCATTTTGTTAATACAGCCTAGATGGCTGTGCTGTACAATATACCAACCTCTAGTGTTTTTATAAGAGTTGAAGTAGGTAATCCATGATGAATTTAATATAGTGTTTGGCACATAGTAAACATATAGGAAAAGTAATGGTAAACTTATTACTAATGAAAGTTAGAATTCAGTAGAAAATGACTTTTTCAGTGTCTGTACATGATGGTGGTAGTAGTGGAAGTAGGTGTTATTAAAATTATTGGGGAAGCAGAAAATGCAGAGCCACCAACTCTTAAAATTTTCGAGCATGGCTGAGTCTGTGAGGTCCATTCCCTCATTTCATTTCTACTCCCATACATTAGACCTTCAACCCTTGTTGTCTTAACTACTATTGTAGTGACCTACTTTATTTCCTTACTTCCTTTAGAGGTACTTTCTTTTCATTTCTTTTTTATTTGCATAAATCTGTGGGGTACATGTGCAACTTTGTTACATGCATAGGTTATGTAGTGGTCAAGTCAGGGCTTTTAGGATATCCCATCACCTGGATAACATACATTATACCCATTAACTAATTTCTCATCATCTTCGCCTCTTCCTATCCCCTCACTCTTCCAAATCTTCATTATCTATCATGCCATCATTAAAGGCATTTTCTGAAATGTAGTTCTGATAATGTACTTCCCTTCTCATAAAAGAAAGAGAGGGACCTCCAGTCACCTGTGGAATAATCTGAAGTTTTAATCTTGACATTCAAGGCCTTCTGTGATTTAGACCCCCAACTTGTTTCTTCAGATTTACTTTTCTGTACACTTGCTCATGTTTCTATGCATTTGCTCCTGAAGTCTGGCATGATTTTTCCCTATACCATCTGTAAGATTAGATGATATAGGTAGGTGCAGTTTAAATTCCACCTTTTCTGTCCTTAATAAATGCCGTCTTTAAATTCCCATGATAGCTTCAGAGACTTAAGAAGCAGTGTTTTGTGTGCCTGCTGTGTGTCAGTCACTGTTAGATGATTCCTCTTTAATGATTCATGATTTCTCCTTTAATCCTCACAGTACTTTAGGACTTATTGTTATCTTTATTCCCGTTTTCTAATGATTGTTACTTGTCTAAGTTTAAATAGCTAGTATGTAGTTCATCAAGACCACACTCATCTATTTGACTCTAAAATGTTATTGTTGGGGCCCAATCTGTATGGCAAGTACACAATAAATGTTTGCTGAAATGAAATTTTTTTTTTTTTTTTTTTTTTTTTGAGACGGAGTTTCACTCTGTTGCCCAGGCTGGAGTGCAATGGTGCTGTCTCAGCTCACTGCAACCTCCGCCTCCCGGGTTCAAGCAATTCTGCCTCAGCCTCCCGAGTAGCTGGGACTAAAGGCGCATGCTGCAACGCTCAGCTAATTTTTTGTATTTTAGTACAGACGGGGTTTCACCATGTTGCCCAGGCTGGTTGCGAACTCCTGAGCTCAGGCAATCTGTCCACCTCGGACTCCCAAAGTGCTGGGATTACAGGCATGAGCCACCGTGCCTGGCCTGAAATGGATTCTTAAACGGTAAACGTAATATATGTTGTACAGCCTTGAATTGTACTTGAGACTTTGCTGTAACACAAAGTAACAGTCTCTTCAGTCTTTCTCCTGTCAGGAAATACCTTAGTGTGAAGCCTTTCCTGCTTTTTTTCTGGGGAGAATGTTCCCAAGATACAGTTCTTTGTTGCCTTCGACAGCATGATCTCTTCAGCCTCCCTTCCAGCAGGGAGTTCTCTTTGGGAAAAAGACCAGATTTGCAAGGGGATAATCTGTTATCAGATAACGTAGCTCTATAATCGTCCATTGGTCCTAGAATGTTGTGCTCCTAGTATAACTGCTTTCTCCTTCCCACCTTCTCTCCAAGGTCTGTGGTTGATTGTTTTGTCATTTAGAAGGCACCTAACACTCTTATCTCTTTTTGGAAAGAAATGTCATGGCTTAGAAAGAAAGTCTGAAGTCCATCTGCTTTGACATATCTGTGCTACCCTAAAATGAGGCTTTAATTTGCCATCGACCTACGTTAATTCATCGTAGACCTTCTTTAATTCACACCAAATCATAAATGATTTGGTGTGAATTAAAGTAGGTCTGTGGTTTCTCTAGTAAACGCATAATAGACTAAATAATGATAATTCAGATTATTGTTGAGCTAAACTCTGACCTCCATGTGGACATGTGCCATGATTCTTTGCTCACCCTCTGCCATTGCATCACTGCTGAGTTTAGCAGCTCTTAATTAAAACTCACTAAATTAAGGAGGATGAATGACCTTAAAGATACGAACATGAATAAGAGACATCATTTACCCTCAAAGAAACTAGAGTCTGATTGGGCAGGGAGGAAAAGGTATTAAAATTATGTCTTTCTGCATTGTGTGGATTTGAAGTTTGTTTTTTGTTGTTAAGAGTCTTATTATTAGGATAATGACACTGTTTTTTCTTTATTAAGTTACTTGTGTGGCAGTTAAGATGATTCTGGTGGCTCTTAACATTTTTTTTTTCTCCAGTCGGGAACATGCCCTGTGTGCCGCCGTCATTTCCCACCTGCGGTTATTGAAGCATCTGCAGCTCCTTCCTCTGAGCCTGATCCTGATGCCCCACCTTCAAATGACAGTATTGCAGAAGCACCCTAAACCTTGACAGTTGAAATGAGATCAGTGTATCAAAGTAAATCTGCAAATTCCTTCTAAATTTCATGTGCAAATAATTATATATAAATATATTTAAAAATGCTATATATAGTATATGCCATAGTTTAGAAAGAATATTAACCTTTCTAAACTAAATTTAGGTTTGCAGAAAGTATTAAACATTTTTAAGCTGAATGTTGAGACAGTGCATCCATTTTCTTTAGTTGAATATGTTTGTATTAATTGTAAAGCCAAGCTTATCAGTTGACTCTCTCCAGAATAAATAATCATCTGTGTGGCATACGTTATTGGCTTTGTCTGTAATACTGCCACTAAGTGATTATAATTAAGCTGTCCTGTTTGCATCAAATGTAAAGACTGTGTTCACAACCGTAGTAAAATTTGGTTTCATTGGAAATGAAACAAATTCTAAAGTATGCTTTTTCACTAGTCCCTTTGATTTTGCTATATCATAACCTCTTGGTTCATATGCTGAGAAATTTTTCAGAAAGTCCATTTTTGTTTAAAATTAGAACTTTTCAGAATGCCAAATGAAGGCTAAAATTTTGGCCAGAACATTACAAAAGTTTTAAATCGTAGACGTAACTCCCCCTGAAATAAAGTTAGGTAGTAAAATCCTTAATGAAACCAGTGGATGTGCTTAACGTAAGGTTAGTAAAGCATACAAAGAATCTAGTGTGCTCAGGGCTTGGTACAATGAGCTGAATTAGATGGCCTTATGAAACTCTTTCTAACCTCTTACCCAACCTGTTTCTCCTTGGTTAAAATTATACTTGAAGGCCCAGAACACTCATGGCACATTTGTTTAATATTGCTTATAGTTAGTTTAAGGTAATTTTGCTTCTACAGTATTTTGGAAGGTCTGAAAACTTGCACAGGGTCATCTTTGTAATTATATAACCCCAAACTAAGATGCACAATGTCTCCTTCAGGTGATCACACACAGTGGACGAGTATGTGCAAACATGGACATAATAGTTCACTTACAAATGTGATTTGATGTTAACACTAGAGAATGATGACTGTAGAACATTTGAGCAAGTAAAATAGTAAAGCACATAGTGAGTGTATGTCCGTCTAACTGGTACATTGATAATTTAGTTTGGGCACATAAAAGGAATATTTATATGGCTTCCCAAATGCAGAGTTACATCTTATTCGTGTATTTCTCTGAGTATTTATATCCCGTCTCCTTTTTTCATTCTTAAAAATAAATGAATTTTCACTGTTGGCACATATGAGGCTTAAATATAAGGAACATAACACTTGCATTCTAATTTTTGCATATATTGTAAATGTGTCTGGTATTTACAGCAAAATACTGTGTATCCTTTTATGGGTAAAACAAAAGTGAACATTGCATGCATGTAATGTGATGAATTTGTAATTTAGGAGTTCTTTGGGGCTTCTGTGACTTGGGAAATGCTTACATTCAGGCCTTAATGTTGCATTAGCTAGCATGTTTTCCCTCTGATGTATATAGTCACTGTTGTATAAACTAATCTTTGCTTGTTTTCTACTCTGTGATCTTTCCATATCATATTTCATTAATGATCAGTTAGTGTCAAGGAGTCAAAACAGATTAAAATTAATTTCATGTGTATATGGTGGAAATTTGTGGCTAGTGTGATTTTTGTTTGTTTCCTTTTAAGTACTGTTGATCAGTTGTGACACTTACTGGTTAAACTTACGTTGCTAAAGATTTCTCTATAATAAGCCACACATTATATTTAGACTATATTAAGGGACCTTGGTTTTCTTCTAGATAGCAGCTGTCCCAAAGAAAATATTTCTTCTTTGTCTGTTAAGATTTAGCTATTATCTGCCAGTTGTTAAGAGGTTTTGGTTCCAAACTCAACCAGCAATGTTGAGAGCTGAACTTAAGATAGCTGTTGTACTTTTTGCTTTCCATCTGTTACTGTCCTTCATTCTTGGCTCCCTACTATCTATAAACAGCTGCTGTGAAGAAGAAAAGTTGAATAAGAGTTGGCTTAAATTTTAAAAAAGAAAAAGAAAATTGAGGTTTTAGGATTTTCATGGTAACAAGCTCTGGTATAAGCTAAGGCTGGCAAGTTCAGATACTAAAATATTATTTGATCATATCTTGGATCCTTTTGAAAAAGTTAAGACTATATGAAGGTAAATTAGAAATAAGTATGAATATTAATAAAATAGCATTTATCTTATTTCTCTATTTTATGTTGTGACTTAACCTAATTTTATTTTTTTAACATTTTCTTATTTCTTATAATATGAATGCTGATATTTAAAGGTAGATCTATGTGGTATTCTTTGTGTTTCTTAATTGTTTAACTCTTAAGATTATTTGTGATCTGGATTTATGTATTTGTTAGATACATACGAATTGTTAAAATGGAATGCAAGTTTTTCAAAAGCCCAGGTCTAAATGTAATGGTTGGTTTATTGTTCTATAACCCCAGCCCATCATTTTCTGTGTAAATCATAAACAATAAACAGAATATACTCGGTGGTCATTTCTAATATTTAATTGTGTAATTGTATCACTTCTATAATGTAACCCCTGAAGGATTTAGAGTTAATGACAGATAACACTACTGAGCATGTGATGTTAGAAGTCCTTGAACTATAATCTAAGAAAGCCCTAGAAAGAGCCAGACAGAAGTAGTTGATGGACTTCCTACTGCTGGAGGGTCTCTGAGTCCTTGCCCTCTCCTCCCTGACATCCTTAGCTATCCCGTAGGTTTCAGCAGAACCTGATTTCCACACTGACTCCGGACTGCAGAAACCCTTAATAAGGAAGGGAGCCCACCTCACATCAGTGGTTTTCTCCAAATCAGGCATGGAAATATTATTAAATCTAACTGTTTAGCAAGATTCCTTGTGGTTCTCAAACAGTTCAGAGAACTCAGTCATTTCAGAAGGGTCAATTGGGTGCTGATAAATTACGCAATTCAATTAGACAAAGACTAGCCAGGCATGGTGGTGTGCACCTATAATCCCAGCTATTCAGGAGGCTTGAGGCAGGAGGATTGGTTGAGACCAGGAGTTGAAGAGCAACCTGGGCAACATAGTGAGACCCTATCTCAAAAAAATTTACAAAGTTGGATAAAAACTAATCATTTTGTTTAGATGCTTAGAAAGTTTAGAATTCTGATTCTCCTCTAATAGATTAAATATGTACTAGAAAAATAGTCTCAGAGCTGGAAACATCAGTGGTATACCTCTACTGTTGATGTTTTTATAATTTCATCATCATTTTCATTCAGCCACTGCTGGATGGAGCCATTCAGCACCCCTGCAAGGGATGAATTTCATTGTTGGAAGATTGTCACCAAATTTCTCTATAAACAGCACACGTGAAATTAGAAAGTCCTGTTTCTCCTGTGTGGTCACCTCTTCATATCCTTCTTCAGGCTTCACGCTTTCTGAAATCTTACATGGTATCTATTCCAGACCAGCCTAGAGTTGGCTCTTTCACTCCTTCTCTTAAAGTATGTTGCTCAGAATTAAACACAGTTCTGTGGTCGAACTAGGGCAGGGTTCAGGAGCACTGTTGCCACCTTCAGAGTGATTCTCCTGTGGCTGTTATGGTTGGTATATGTTATTATTACCACCATCATTATTAGCCAGGCTGTCATACTGTTTGCTGTCTCTTGCTGAGCTTCACAGGTATTGCTGGTAAGCCAAGTCCCCGCCTAATCTTTACTTAAACAATCTCTTATTAACCTAATTGAAGGACAGCATTCATCCTTACTGAATTTGATTTGTGAAGGTTCTTGTGAATTCAGGTTTTTCGTCTTAGCCTTGCATCCATTCCAATTTTGATAAAGCATACCTTTGGTATGTAGTGGCTTTGTCTAAGTTGTTGATACATGTTGAATTGAATGGGAT
Organism: Homo sapiens; assembly: GCF_000001405.40. NCBI lineage: Eukaryota > Metazoa > Chordata > Mammalia > Primates > Hominidae > Homo > Homo sapiens. The sequence continues at coordinate 109,333,339 of NC_000005.10, read as the reverse complement.
GCAGTACAGACCCTCTTTAGAATGCCACTATACACTGCACTTAAGGTGAGTGATCCGTTAATTAGTAATTTGGTTACAGTTGTTGCGGTAACTACCAGTCACTTCATATGCCCGTTTCTTCATCTTTCCTAAAAAGGACACTAAAAATTTTAGTGTGTTTGGCAGACAGATGCACTATGCACTGTCTTTGGAAGTAGCCTAATGTACTAGTATATTAAAGAAAGGAAATGAAGTCAGCTGGTAACGCCTCATTCTTAATGAAACCATACTGCCTCTTTTTCTAACTCCTTACGTGACATCTGTTTAATAATCTGCCTTAGAATTTGTTAAGTGATCAATGTCAAGCTCATTTTAATAATTTTTGGAGTCCGCCTTTTCCCATCTCAAAATTGTGGTGTTTGAAATAACATGACCTTGACAAAGTCACGTAATCACCCTGCTTCTGTTTTCTCTATAAAGTAATGAATCTAAATTATAGGTTCAGTACTACCACTATTTGTGCATGAATAAGGGTTTGAAAAAAATGTTTTTCATTGATGTGCAAAGTCATAGGGAAATATGTTATACTTGGTTTCCATCATTGTTTATAGCACCACTTTTTGGAGAATGATGAACATTTCAGATAAAACACTCTTAAAAACATATTAATTACCTTTCAAGAGTTGAGAATTTGACGGGAACCTTATTAAGTCAAAATAAAGTGTAATTTTCATAATATTAATTATGAAACCTAACACTAATATAGTTGGTAATTTATTGCATCTTATATTATTAGTATATAATCAATATACAGTTTTTATAGTGAACATTGACAGGGAGGAGGTCTTTATTTTTTTAGAAAGATACTTCTTACTGTCAGTAATTTCCTTAGATTATAACAATGTTTCTTCTTACGAAGATTCATTTTTAAATGCATTTTTACATTATAATAATAGTTTCTATTTATGAAACACTAAATATTAGGCATAGTGTAGGCTTTCTATCTTATCTCATCTTCATAATAAGTCTGCAGGGTTGATTTATTGTCTCAACTTTACAAATTAAAAAAAAAAAATGAGCCCCAGACATGGTCAAAGAGCCCTGGTTCTTAAAGGAGATGCTGTCGGTTCTGTCCACTTCATGCTGCCTTCCTGAGTAGGAACAGCTTACCTGATCAGTGTTATCAGTGTTATTATTTAAGTACATTGCTTGAGATGCAGTCTGTTTTGTTTTTTTTGTTTTGTTTTATCAGAAAAAATTAGGATCTGTTCAGAATTTTGAGAAATATTTTTTCCTTGCTATATTATTTTGCTAACATGTTAAGATATTTGTGTACTGATGACCAAGATTCTAATGTGGCCCTGATTAGTGAAGTTTCTTAGTCACCAGTAAGATCTAATGAGAACTTCCTACCTTTGCCTGGTAATCTGGGATTCTTAAACTGTTCTGCAGAGACTGTCCCAGGCCTGAAAGGTGTATAGCATCCTGTTGTCTCTTAGCCATCAAGAGCTAACTATCCAGACATCTTTCTACAAGCAATTTGTGCTACCCTTTCCAAAGGTCTGGATTTCAGTTCCTCTAGAAGCCATGGACATCTGCCCTCCACAACTGCAAATACTCCAAAGAGTACAGAACCTACTCCCAAGTTGTTTTATTCGTAGGAAGAGACACTTGACAGGGGCTTTCCTTTTGATTTCAATCCTTAATAAATGCCATTTTAAATTCTTTTTTAAAGAATTCTTTAAAAAATCCAGCCGTTTACATTGTGCCCTAGTTCTGTTAGTCTAGTCCCAATGACTTGTGAAGAGAACCCAACTGTTACAGACAGCTGTTAAAAGGGGCTTCTCTACATGCCATCATACCGACTAGCTTTTGGCCCCAACAAATAATTCTTCCTCCTTACCTGGACCAAGGATCCCCCAACCCTGGTATTGCAGTATTCTAGGTTTGGTGCCATTCTAGAGTGTTAGACTTTTTATTTCCGTTTAAATTGACCTTTAAAGCGGATGAAGATAGGGATGAGGAGCTTACAAGATCAGCCTTGTCTGGGAAGCAAGCTCAGCCTCAATTGGATGACGAAGCTATTCACAAGTGAGCACCTTGGTTACAACCCACATCTAAATGAGTAAATACTACCTGAAAGAAAATGTTTAAAAATTTTCAAATTAGGGAGCTTATGAAAATAGTATATTAGGACATATAAAATGGGAATACTTTCTCAATCCACTGAAAAACACCTTCATTAAACCCAACAAATTAAATATTTGTATAACCTGAGCTGCTGTCCATTTAATGTTTACAAAGTGCCTACTCTCACAAACCTGTGAACAAAATAGACAAGATCCCTGGCCTCCTGAAGTGTCCATTGTAATGAAGAGACTGTTAGCGTGCCCACCCCCAGCACAGCTGGATTCACTCAGTAGAGAGGATTTCATCTTAGCTTGGGGAATGCCTGACACACAGAGCCTTAGTGTCTCTTCTGTGATTACCAAAGCTAGAAACAAAAGCAAGGAAAGAATGAGCCCCCTAAGGTGACTTTAGCTACCAGCACCTACTCTCAAGCCCAAAGGATCTATAGCTATATTGAGATAGTTATAGGTTGAAGGGTTGAACCCATCTCCTAAGAGGTCGTATGCCCTATGGACCACAGCAGGCCATGATGACTTACAACCAGGGAAATTTGAAAAGAATTTTTCTTTTTTTTTTTTTTGAGATGCAGTCTCACCCAGGCTGGAGTGCCATGGTGCGATCTCGACTCACTGCAACCTCTGCCTCCCCGGATCAAGCGATTCTCCTGCCTCAGCCTCCTGAGTAGATGGGATTACAGACATGTGCCACCATGCCCCCCCTAATTTTTGTATTTTTAGTAGAGATGGGGTTTCACCATGTTGGTCAGGCTGGTCTCAAACCCCTGACCTCAGGTGATCCACCTGCCTCAAGCCTCCCAAAGTGCTGGGATTACAGGCATGAGCCACCAGCGCCAGCCAAGAGTTTATTTTCTGGAGATGGGGGTGAGTTGAATAGAATAACCAAAACTCCAGTGTTTGACCTTATATCCTGTGCTTTATTTTTGCTTGTTTTCTCCCTGTGCTACAGCATTCACACATATGCATCCAGTGTGGTTTTATCCAGAAAATAGAACATAAAGCAGGCAATTCTGAAGCACGGCTTTTCTGCTGGTCATGTAGGCTCTGATACAAAATATTGTATAATTTTTTTTGTAACTATGCTGGCGTACCAGCACTAACACAATGAACCCTGCAAACTGTCTTACTAAGGGCTTAATAAGGAGTAAGCATCATTGTAAAATTGGCAGACTTGCTGTATTATGACTCACAGAAGCTGAATGGGCCAAGTTAAAGTGCACTGGACATTAAGGGAAATAAATGCTATGCAGATGCACAGCCATGTTAAGACAGTCCCCCCTCTCAACTTAGCAGCAGCACTATGATATAGCAGAGGTGCCAAATCTGAGCATAACCGAGGTTCACTCAGGGAGGACAGAAATGTTGCACAATCCTTTGGGTTCTTCTTTCCCCAACCCCCATTACTGTATAATGCATTTTCTCCCAAAACTAAGGCCCTGAAGAACTGCCTAAAGCTTAATTTATATGTAGGTGAAACTCAGTAGAAGGGGAAGCAGAACAGAATGCTGCATTGGATGAATTTACCACAGTGCCTGCAAGGACCATTCTACCTGAAGGAGAATATCCCTTCTCATTGTCAAGGACTGCAACGGATTCAGGGTTTTTCCCTGCTTGCAAGCTAACAAATTTCCTAGGTCCCAGGAGTATATACAAGACCCCTGGATCAGAGACAAAGGACTTCATTTCTCATAGCACAGTGGACAGCATGAGTTTCATAATTACATCAGTTTGCCTTCCCCCCAATGTCCCTCAGGAGTGCTGCACACACACAGTGTGAGTTTAGTGTCACAGCTGAGGAAATTTGAGCTTAGGAAACCCCAATCTTAGGGAACTGCTAGAAATCTGCCCCAGGACAAGACATTATCCTCATTTTGCCCAGGAAACAAATCTGTCCTCTGACCTGGGAGGAGAGTAGGGGACAATATATCTGTCTCCTAAGACTATTTGCTATACAAACATCTTTGAAAAGGCAGGACAGAACAAAGCTGTTCATGCTTCTTGCTCAGAAGATGTGCAGAAATACGAGAAATCGAGGAAGAATTGTCTCTCAACACCATAGCCCCTGCTAAAGGGATGGGACAACATAGGCCTCAAAACCCCACTCCTCCCAGCCACAGGTGATTGGACTGTTGGGCACCTGACTCAAGGCTCCTGCATTCAGAGGTTGACCAGCGACCCGGTGCTGGAGATAAGGCAGGTCTGTCAGCTTCTCTCACTAATTTATGTTGGGAAATAGGGAATTCTTAACAGGAAATGGGGAGGTGAAGCAAAAGGGTTGCAAGAGGAGGGATATTAAAGTCGTAAGGAGTCATGACATGCTTAAGTGATGAGGAAGCAGAAACTAAGAACAGTTAAAAACTGAATGGGAGAAAATACTTAAGAGTGGATTGAAGAGGAAGCCAACTGCAGTGGGAGAGAAGGAAGCTGAGCCTCATGACCAGTGGAACACCAGAATGAAGTAGTCATAGCTCCTTCCTTTCCTCAGGCATCTTTTTACTTCCTATCCCAATCTGCCACCCACATCAAACATGGATATCCTTATAACAACACATACAAGCCAGTACTGGAGAGAATTTGAGTGAGCCTCTGTTTTAGTTAAGTAAGCTCTTTGGTTATAAAGAACGGAAGAGATACAAAATAATGTTGCAGCACAGTGACAGTAAACTAGTTAATGTTTATTGAGTGCATACTATGTGCTGGGAATATTTTTGGGTCATTTTACATGCAACATCTTAGTTAATCCTTATATAATCCTAATAAAACTTAGAAGTAAACACTATTATAATTCCCCAAAGACATCAAAAGATTAAGTAGCTGCCAAGGCTCACATAGCGAGTAAGTAAGGGAGTCAGGATTCCAACCCAATGCCCTTAACTGCTTTGTTATATTGCTTACTGCATAGGTGAGTGAGTTAATACTCAAGGTAAGTACAAACAAAATAAATTTTAGTGACATGACTAATAATTCTTGCAGACTAACCTTGTGAACTCAATAACCCTTTAAACATTATTTCATCGGAGATGAAAACACTAAACATTTGGATCAAAAAACTTAGAAGTTGGTAATTATCTGTATTAACAATCACAGAGAATAATCCTGAAGAGGTTAAGGAGAGGAGCCTGAACATGAAATTGATTTACTCTCTTACCTGGAAAAAAAACCTGATCTCAGCAGATGCAATTTATGTTACTTTTATATCCACTGCAGACAGAATTCTGCCTCCATCATTTTTTTTCTTGCCAGCCCCTATGGTGTCCACAGTGTCAGTGACCACTGTCCGCACCTGTAAATAGGTAAGAACAATGATGTGGTCAAAGGAAGCCTGTTGTATTTCTAAAGCCTGGTAAGGGCTGGGTAGAAAGCAAGTTGTGATTGACCAGGGATAAACATCGGGTCCCTGTTGTGTCTCACACTAAATCCACTCTACATGATCTTGTTCTGTCCTAATTGGTCTCTATCCCAGATGGTTAATCCCTTTGGTTAATGAATACCCATAGCCTCATCATCTCTAGGAACAGGCGCCTAACAGGAGCCTGAGAGAATGTTGCCAAAGCAACTTGGTGAAAGATGCTTGTCTGTTCATTGACTGCTTTGTGCTGAGAATCAATAAAAAATTAATGATCTAAATAACCACTATATTAGCTCCCTTAAGGAAGAAACAGTGGCTTGCCCAAGATCATACACAGCCAACCAGTGTTGGAGCTAGGACTTGAATTTAGTTCTTCTGACTACTAACAGTTTTCTCTACTATGCCAAATACTGTTCCTGCTTTCCTTTCACCTGTACTCACTGTAATTCTCTGGTGAGTCAAGGCAGCAGCTACGGTGAGGTCAGAAAAAATGGCCTTCATTGAATAGGTAGCATTTGCCTACAACCTGCTTTGTCCCAGATACTCTTCCACCAGCAAAGTGGGAAAATAATGACTTAAATAAGCAGAGCAAGCCTTCTGTTTGTGAGTTTCTGTTTCTCTGCTTCGGTTTTGGGTCAGTTTTAAGACCTAAAACTTGGCGTGGGGAAGCAGGGACATTTCTGAGAGCTTGCTCTGCAGCCAGCACTTTATGAAAATAGAAGTACAGGATGAAATTTTGAGCTCTTTAAGGATGACAACACTGATTGATGATCACTAGGAGCCGGTAATTGCCTCCTGGTCTTAAAGTAGGAAATCTGCTGGGTAAAAAAATAAAGACAATGAAGGGAACATTTTGTCTTATAAATTGAGTAACAGCGTTCTCTGGCAACTTGTTAATGTCAGAGATGATCTCTACAAAAGTGAAGATAAGCTTGATTGCACCTAAAACGAATATTTTTTCCTATCAAATGGGAATACAAATTTAGGTTGTTCTGGGCAAACTTTCTTGAGTTTAAAAAGAGGGAAGCTGAGGCAATATTTATTTACAGACTCCAAGTTGGAAGGAACTAAACAATCCTGCCAGTTGCTCTAGAGGTGACAGGCACTTGCCTTTTCTCACTTTTCTTTTTCCCTTCTTCCCTCTCTCCTGTCTCTCCTTCATTCCTTCTTTCCTTCATCAGCCAGGCTGACTGAGCTTAAATCCTAGTCCTACCACGTTCTAGCTGTGAAGTCTTGAGCAGCTTACTCAACCTCCATGTACCTGTTGCCTCATCTATAAAACATGAACAGATGGTTTTCTATCTAGGGTTATTATGAGTGAGTTCACATATGTAAAGTACTTAGGATCTGGCACATAGTCAGTGTTGGGTAGGAACACGTTTTCCCCATTCCTGATGTTTCCTTCCACATGGAAGGACTTCTTCATTCATTATTTGATCTAAATCTTCATTGACAAATCACAGTATCACACATGGGCTCATGAATTTTGTAATATATTTTTAAGTCAAATTGTTTATGTAGACAGGAACCCAACAAAAATATTTGCCCAGGACCTTGCGCGCCCTAGAAGTGGCTCTGGAGAAAAGCATTTGCCTACAGAAATAAACCATTTCCTTCCTCAGCCTATATCAGTAACAAAGGTGCAGCTTTGGCCACTATCTGCCACTCCTTTCTCTTATTCCTCTGTTTGTTTAGAAGCGGATCAGGAAAGAGGGACACCATTTCCTCAGATCCCTCAAAGTCCCCAAAAAAGAACTCAATAAGCATTAGCTGTTATCATTTTTCAAGCTTTCAGGTTGTGTTTTATTTTCCGTTTTTCTCCTTTCCTTTCATTCCAAAAAGCCTCCTTTCTTTAATTCTATAAGCTCTTCTTTGGTCCCTGAGAGATTCTTGTTTGTTTATTTTTGTTTGTTTTTTTACAATTATTCCAGAGATCTGGACAATCTCTAGCACAGAAAAAAAAAATTCCCTTCCTTCTTAGCATCCTTCAGTAGTTGGACTCGGTGAAAATTCCACTGCCCCCAGCCCTTTGCAGCACTGCTCTCAAGGCCAGTAGGCTGTACCTGGGCCCTGACTTGAGAGGAAGATCACAAGAGAAGAGCATTCAGTGGGTTAAAAAAAACAGATCCGAAGGATGAAGGGAATCTACCTTCAGATTGGAACCGAAGGTCAAAGGTTCTAGGAATGAAGGTATTCAACATGGCAACGCTGGAAGCAAAGTAAACGTTCAACAGCTGGATGATGATAAAGTAAGTGACCTTGAAACCAATAGGACAACATGGAGCTCATTACGATTATGTTTAGGGAGACCAGGAGGAGACATGGAATAGGGCTTATGTGCAATAAAACAGAGAGGAAAGGAGGAGGCAATTTATAAATGCATGTCCTCTGATTGTGTAAAATTAGGCATCTGTTAAAAAGACGGGAATGAGGTAATAATAGAGTTAACATGTTAGAGTAATTGGATAATAGTATTAGTTGTTTCTTTTCTCTAACTGAATATAATATATTACTTTTATAATTTAGTAAATTTGTTCTTTTCAAAGGAGGTACACCCATGCCTTTCTCCTGGCTATCTGCAGCTCAACAATGAGGGACTTGGGCTCCCCAGGCCTCCATCACACTAAACAGTCCTGGCCGACTATGATACCCTTCCTCTTTTCTCCCTAATTTGTTGTCTATTACAGTTTGCTCCGTGGACGTGTGAAGCAATCTCTGGGGGTGGAGCTGAGGAATCTGCATTATTAACAGTTTCCTGGGAGATTCTTACACACACTAAAGTTTGGACAAAGATTGCTTATTTTTTCTGCCAAAAATCTTAACCACACAGGGACTTGCACGATCTATGTTATTTCTTGAAGCAAAGTTAATCCACCGATATTATGCCTTGTGTGTATGTGTTTTAAGTGCCCAGTGAACACAGTTCCATTTATCCTCAAATATTTTTGTGTAGAAATTTTCGATTATAATTTATTCATGGTTTTTGCTTAGAAAGCCACCTTATAAGCAAGGTATCCTGTCATAGGATCACTACTTTCTTTCCCTCTGTTTTGAGTCCTGCCATAATTAGGGCTGAGTGACTTTTCGGGACACACTTTACTTTGTTTCTTTGATCACAACAGAGAACACAGGACTCTCGGGTCCTGAGGCTGGCTGAAGGGTTTCAGTTTTCCTTAATTGTCTATCATTATAGGACCTGGAAATACCCACTCATGATCCCACTGCTTCCAGCCCTCAAACTAAGAATGGAGTCTCTAGTCGTGCACATTCCTGGGCCTCAGGGCTCACAAGGCAGTGAGGCTGAGGTGGGGCGGCCTGTCTGCGTCTGCGTCCCAGCAGAGCCTCACAGGTCCTCGCTGGCACTGCAGGAAGGAGGCCCCTCTGAGGCGAGGAGTGTTCTGACCTACAAGGCTGTCCAATCTTTTGGCTTCCCTGGGCAACATTGGAAGGAGGAAAATTGTCTTAGGCCACACATAAAATACACTAATGATAGCTGATGAGCTTTAAAAAAAAATGCAAACAAATTTCATAATGTTTCAAGAAAATTTATGAATTTGTGTTGGGCCACATTCAAAGCTATCCTGGGCTGCATGCAGCCTGTGGGCCATGGGTTGGAGAATCTTGCTTTATGATTTTACTCAAGACAGAAACTAAGTGCTAACATTTCCCCCAATCACAATTCTATTTTACCTTTTTAAAAACTCTAAAGGGCAAGAATTTTGCTAATCTTTTCTAGAAATATAAAAACAAGCAAATATGTTTTCTAAAACAAACCAAGGCTTTTCTCCTGGGGAATTTGCAGGCATAGCACGAACTCCTTCCTCACTGCTATTTCTTGAGAGGGGCTGTTAGGCTGTGCTGTGCTCTGCTTAAGGACGAGAGGCCAGGTACACAGCCTGAGAGGCCAGTCATTGTGCCATGTTGTTGTCAGGAGTTCCCAGTGTCCATCTTGATAAGGCTTTGCTAAAACATACTAATACAAACTTCCATTACCTCCTGTGTTTCTAAATAAACATACCAAGTTATTTTAAGACTCATGTTTTCCTTTATAATCATTTGAAATTTCTGCCTAGTGTGAAACAACCATCTAGATTCTCACAGAATTCATGAATAATACTGAAATCCACTCTCCTAAACAGCAGCAGTTTCAAGTAAGTCGTGCAGTAAACACAATGTCCAAATTTATTTTTAAAGCTTTGAAGATAAATGATGAAGCCTCCTATGAGATTATCTTTTATGTAGCGGAAGAAAAGAATCCTTGAGGGTCAAGTTGCTAGGGCAGTCACAGAAGCCAGAGCCATGGGCCAGGAGGTCCTGAGGCCTCTCTGAAGGATGTGCGTGGTCATCCACTATGGGTGCAGCTGGTGTTGAGAAACTAAGCTGATGCACCACCTCTGTTGTTCCAAGGCTAGACCAACAGTGGGCATTCTCTAGATCTATTGTCTCCTTTACGTATTAGGGGGAAAACCACTTCTACTGTGCAGGGATCTGCCCCTTTAAACACATAAATACCACTTAATCCACTGCCCTCAACAGAGGAAATGACCACTGGCCTGGAGGCCTCCAAAATTCCTTCTCTTTTTCTTTCTTTCAAGTCAAAGGTCATGGTTCATTTCGAGTTCCAATGCTATTTTCTAAATTTTGTTTTAATCCAGATCTCATGACTTATTTCTCATTCTCTTTCCTTCCTGAACAATTCAGTGCTAAAACCATTAGGTAGGGCAGAGCGAAGACTGTATGGGCGCCAGGGTGAAGGAAACCACAGTGGCACAGAGTGCAGTGCCTGCATCAGGACAGGGTCAGGAGGCAGTCCTGCAGAGGGGCAGCTCAGCATGGTGTGTTCAAGTCCTACAGAGTATTGGAGCCCAAGTAAGTATGGACAGTGTCCCTGAAGAGAATGGCCCAGCACAGAGAATCGAACCCCAAGCTGAGGATGCCAGGCAGTGGGAGGGAGAGGGTGGAAGTCGGGGGGGCTGCTGCAGGGTGTCAGAGCCACACTGGGTGAGGAAGGCATCCCCGTAGGGGCAGCTCAGTTATAGAGAGCTAGGACCCACAAGAGGTGAGTACAGGGGAGCACATGGCGATGGGTCAGTGGGAGGTTGGTTACATCCAGGGGATTTGATAAAATACAAAATATATTAATCATATGGAATTGAGATTTTTCACCATTAGTGAAGGGAGTTACAAATGTGGAGAGGGAGAAAATGAGATGGAAGCCACGGTGTTGAATGGGAATTTAATGTATCAGTGTGAATCCATGGTTTTCCGTATCCATAGATGTATAAATGTAGCTCTAAATGTGTGTGTGTAGACAGATGTTAGGGGTGGCAGGTATCCAAGTTACCCCCAAGTTACCAGCGGCAAATCTCAATTCTTGCCTCCTCAGAAAAAAGAATTTGACTGAGGGGCATAAGGTAGAAGGAGAGACCAAGGCAAGTTTCAAAGCAGGAGTAAAACTTTATTAAAAAGCTTTAGAACAGGGAGGAAAGGAAAGTACAGCTTGGAAGAGGGCCAAGCGAGCAACTTGAGAAACCAAATGTGCAGCCTGACCTGTTGACCTAGGGTTTTATATGTTGGCATACTTCCGGGATCTTGCTTTACTTCACCCCACTCCTGAGATCTTATTGGGAAGCTGCTGACCAGTTTCAGATGTTTTCTATCTATTAGGAGACTACCTCTCCCTGCCGCTGGCTGTGACCAATTATTCAGAGAAACAGTTAACAACCGCCTGACCATCACCTGCTGGTTGCCTGACACTCCTGGTGTGTGTTGAGGGGGAGCCCTCCACCGCCCTGCTCATGCCTGCCTAGCTACCTACTGTAACACAGATCCAGTGCCTACCTCTGTCGGCTGAGATGCCTAGGAGTAGTGATAATCCTAATACCCGGATCTCGATCTCTAAAAATCACCTTCCACTAAAAGAAACCAGGGCTTATTGGAGAAATAGCTGATTTCAGGGTTGGGAAAAGAAAAGATGAGCCTAGGACATCTTGAGCCAGAAAAGGAAGTGATCAAAGAATGATGGAAACATATCACAAAGACTAGAAGCTGGCTAGAAAGGGCCCTTACTGGCCAAACGGGACAATTTGTGCAACAAACTAAACAATAATGAAAGGTTATAACCCGTTGAACAAAATAGGAAATGTAAATCCACTCAGATATAAGTAAAGAAGTGAATAAAATAAAGTTTGATAAATGGGATACTTACATAATTTCAAACGATTTCTCCACCAACACCTGTTAATTACAGAGGAGAAAAGTAACTTTACAATGGGAATGGCTGGCAGACATCACCTGACTCAAGTGTCAAAGTGAAGAAACATCATCAATGATGTTTCCATTAAATGGAAATCCTGTGCCACCTGACAAGAGGCATTTAGGACTTCTGTGATATTCCCTCTAAAGATGCATCACCTGAATCTGACTATGAAGAAACATCAGAAAAACTCAAATTGAGGAACACTCTGCAAGGTAACTAGCCTGTAATCCTCACAGATTCAAGGTCAGAAAAGACAAAAATGAGAAACTGTTTCAGACTAAAGTTGACCTAAGGGACGTGACAAATGCAGTGCATGATTCAGAACTGGAGCCTTTTGCCATAAAAGACACGTAGGAGACAATTGGCTAAAATGGAAGGAAGGCTGAGGTTTAGATGGCAACAATATGTAAGGGTTACTTTTCTGATTTTGATAGTTACATCATGTTTCTACAGGAGAATGTCCTTGTTTGTAGGAAATACATACTAAAGTATTTAGAGGTGATGGGAATCAGGTTGGTGAATTACAAATAGATCCAGGAAAAAGGAGTTATTTGTCACATACTTATAACATTTCTGTAAGTTTGTGATTATTTCAAAATAAAACAATTAACTTAGAAGCACATTACACTTGTTCCCATCCTACATTGAGCCATTTTGAACCTGGGCCATGTCGATAACTAGGAGAGGAAATGTTACCTGCTCATAGAAGTCATCTGCCAGAATTTTCTTATTATTGACTTGTGTAAAATTAGGTTGACAACTTAATCTGGGAAAAAACATCACAGCCACCTTTTCTTGTAATGCTTTCCTGAGTGTTGGCTAAATACAATGAAGTTAATACAACTTAGAAAAGCAAAACCCCCTTCTAAGAAGGACTCAAGGGATAAATTTTCACCACGATGTTCAGCATGAGATTATCTTCCATAAGCGTGCATCCCTCCCCTAATTAGCTTCCTGACCTTCTTTCTAGTTCCCTCAAAACCCTGGCAATGGCAACTAAAAAGATGGCTTTTGTGAGAAGAGCGATTGGTGTCCACACCTGCTGGTGCTGAGCACAAGACAATGCACATGTGTTCTCTTGAAGGAAGAAACTTTAGAAACGTCATCTTCAAGGTGTCAATGACTTGTCTACTATAGCTGCTGCCTCAGCGTCCACTTTTAGACCCGGCATCAGCTGTGTGAAACCCAGTCGCACCCTGCCACCTTTGGTCTAGGTGTGACTTCTCTTCCTTAGAGGGGCATGATAGAGCTCGTGTGTTTCTTTTCTTTTTTTTCTTTTTGTTTTTGAGATGGAGTCTTGTTCTGTCACCCAGGCTGGAGTGCAGTGGCACCATCTTGGCTCACTGTAACCTCTGCCTCCCAGTTCAAGCAATTCTCCTGCCTCAGCCTCCCAAGTAGCTGGGACTACAGGCATGAACCACCACGCCTAGCTAATTTTTGTATTTTTAGCAGAGATGGGGTTTTACCATGTTGGCCAGGCTGGTCTCAAACTCCTGACCTCAAGTGATCCACTTGCCTCAGCCTCCCAAAGTGCTGGGATTACAGGCATGAACCACCATGCCTGGAGGAGCCCATGTGTTTCTCATCTCACCAACCCAAAGCCCAACTCACTCCACAGCTGCTGACCATGAGGAAACCTAAGGTCAACACCGGAGTCAGGCAAATAAGCCACCCCCCCACCCCCACCCGCATACACACTTGTTTTATTTAAACTGGCCAATCCACAACTGCCAGAGGAAAGCCCGTGGGCCTTCATGGAGGCCTAGTCTCAAGCCCTCACTCTCCCTTCCCACCTGCCGGTCGAGTGCCCTGCTGTCTCTGGACTTCCCATCGGCCCTCAGGGACGTGTAAGTAATAAAATGCTTCTCTCATTTCATATATTTTGTTTTGTGGCCCCCTCTGTGTCTCACCTGACCAACATACCTGAATCTAATTCTCCCGCTCAGGGTTTTCCCAGAGAGTGACTATCCTGGTAGGAATAAACTAGACCCAGGCCAGAAAAGAGCCACAAGGGCTTCTGCCAGTGTTTCCTGTGAGAGGGACACCTGGTCATGGGTCACACTTAGGCATTAGGCCGTCCACGAGGATAAAGAAGTATCCTGGCTGGGTGCAGTGGCTCGTGCCTGTAATCCAGTACTTTGGGAGGCTGAGGCAGGTGGATTGCCTGAGCCCAGGAATTCGAGACCAGCCTGGACAGCGTGACAAAACTTCCCCACTACAAAAAATTAGCCAGGAGTGGTGGCGCATGCCTGTAGTCCCAGCTACTTGGAAGGCTGAGGTGGGGGGATTGCTTGAGCCCAGGAGGGGGAGGTTTCAGTGAGCCAAGATCATGCCACTGCACGACCACTTCCCCTGGAGCCTCCTCAGGACAGGGCTAGAGTTTACAGACACTCTCCAGAGCAGCCTCAAGACCAAATCAGAGGAAAATCACAACATAAGGGTAGATAAGGTGCTGAAAGCGATGGCGGTGGTAATTAGCTCTGAGGAGGAAGGTGGAAATGAAGAGCTTATTTTGGTAACTGCTCCTACATGCTGATGGCTTAACCTAAGGTAATCTGTGCCTTCCAGTTTTAGGATCTCATCCAGAGTCATTATAATATGGGCGGGGGTACACTGACTTTGGGTTCGGTCCAAGGTTCAAATTCTGGCTTTATTTATTTTGCTGACTGTCTACATTTAGTATCCTACTTAATCTGTCATCAGCTGTGCTAGGTACTGCTAGTACCTCCACTCTCCATTCACCACTTCTTTCTTACTTCAGTCTTGTTCAGGTGATGCTATATCTAGCCTTTCTGCCTCTGTGCTGGTTACATGAGAAAATAAACACTTTTCTTGTAGAAAGCCACTGTAGTTATATCTCACTGTGAAACACAAACATAACTGATGGGTTGCATAACTGATGAGTTATCTATAAAAATGGGGTTAATGCGGGAGGCGGAGGTTGCTGTGAGCCGAGATTGCGCCACTGCACTTCAGCCTGGGCAACAAGAGCAAAACTCTGTCTCAAAAAAAAAAGTGGGGGCGGTTAATGATGCCTACCTCAAAGGGCTGAATGAAAGGTTAGATCAAATAACGTGTAAGTGCCTCTAAGTGGTAGAAGAGAAAGTTGAATACATGCTGCTTTCTCGATTCCTTCCCTCAACCAATTTAATCCTGTCCAAAGAGGGACATGCTTTCCGTTGATATCCTATTTCCACTTTCCCCAGTTCCATGCTTGATTCAGCAAGCTGGCTAAAGTAACCACATTCAAGTTTGGCTGGCTAGGAACCTGCAGGTGTTCAACAACACAAAGGGAACTCTAAGTGATGTCATTTTAGGGGATTATGGGGAGGACATTTTGTGGTAGTAGTTGGGGACTCGGAGAAAGCTGTTGAAGGTTCTAGGAGTCCTCAGCCATCCATTTGAGCCACCAGTCATCCTGTAACTGGCATGATGATGGGGAAGACCTTGCCACCCAGCTTTGTAAACTCTTCTGAAGAAGCCTGTGCTTCCAATGAGTTTTCTCAACTTAGCAGTTAGGATTAAATCTGTGAGATTTTTATGGGGAGGACATATCTCTTAGAAATTCAGCCAGGTGCGATGGCTCGCACCTGTAATCCCAGCACTTTGGGAGGCCGAGGGGGCAGATCACTTGAGGTCAGGAGTTTAATACCAGCCTGGCCAACATGGTGAAACTCCATCTCTACCCAAAAAAAAAAAAAAAAAAAAAAAAAGGCTGGTCATGGTGGCACGCACCTGTAAACCCAGCTACTCCAGAGGCTGAGGCATGAGAATCACTTGAACCTGGCGGGGCAGAGGGTGCAGTGAGCTGAGATCATGCCACTGCACTCCAGCCTGGGTGACAGAGCAAGACCCTGTCTCAAAAAAAAAAAAAAAAAGTCTGTCATTACTATTGTCTACCTTCAGCATTTTGTAAGGCAAAGCTATCCATATTAAAGTAGTGGGCCAATGACCTAAAGTTCATATTTTTACTACATATAATAAGACAGGTCTCACAGTTTCATAAAAATATACTTACAGGTTTCATGCTGGTTGTTTAGTTTTGATTAAGTGAAAATATTAATACTTAGCTTACAAAATATTCTTGAACTGTAAGATCTTTTTCAGGCAGGATACACCTCAATTCTAATCCCAGGTTTAGTTCATTGGTTGTTCTCCCATTTTACTTTAGTGGCTTTTTTGGAAGATAGATTTCTCAGAGCCTCATTGACCAGAATTAGATTCCAGAGAACTGGGGTTCATACCTTCTTGCACCTTCCTTAGGATTTGGGGAATCTCTTTGTTGGGTAGTCTCTGAACAGCACCCCTGGAGTCATGCAACACAAGCACCAGTTGTAGTTATTCTCAGCAGTTTTTGAAATTTGGTCAACTAAGAAACAGTTGCCTGATATGCTCATCCTGAAATATATTCAAAACTCAAGGGCAAGTACATTTAATCGCGATTATTTTGTTCTAAGTGATAGAAACTGAGTCTAAGCTGGAACTAAGCAGGGAATTTATTGCCTCACAGAGCTGAAGAGTCAGGGGTCACCTGGCATTCAGCATGGCTGGGTTCGGGGCTTAAATGGGGCCTCTAGGATTCAGTTTCTCTTCAATGTCTGACTGTCTTCATCCTCAGTCTTCTCCAGATGATGCCTGAAATCTCCCTGTTCTGCTTTCAAGGTAGTAAAGCAGCTACATCCTCACACCCTCCTAGGTTTGGCTCTAGAAAGTTTCTTCAGTAGCCTCCCAGAAAGTCCAGCGACTCACCATCCACTCTGGTCACACCCATTAGTCTTTGAGTCACTGTAACCAAAAGGAGATGGTGTCATGATTGGCGTGATTAAATCCAGAGTCACGTGTTTGAGCAGAGTCCACCCCATGGAGCCTTGGATGGTGTCCCACAGGCCGATAATGGAGAAGGGATGGATCCCAATGAAAAATGGGAGCTACTACTAAAAAGGGAGAAATAAATGCTGGGGAAGCAAGTAACAAAAATGTCCATCCTTACATAGCCATTAGAACCTCCAGATGTCTTCTGAGACTGTTAATTTACTTTCACTTCAGTGTAATTTTTGAAAATCTGATTTTAATCTCATGGCAGTTCAATAGAAAGTAATTCCTATTGTCAGTTACTTTATGTTCAGTTTTAATCTAAATACTGGCACATACTTGAATTGGTAAACGATACCCCCCACCCCACCTTTTTTTTTTTTTTTTTTGAGATGGTCTCACTTTGTTGCCCAAGCTGGAGTGCACTGGCATGATCTCGGCTCACTGCACCCGCTGTCTCCCAGGTAAAAGCAATTCTCGTGCCTCAGTCTCCTGAGTAGCTGGGATTACAGGTGTGTGCCACCACGCCTAGCTAATTTTTGTAGTTTTAGTAGAGACAGGGTTTTACCATGTTGGCCAGGCTGGTCTAGAACTCCTGGCTTCAAGTGATCTGCCCTCCTCCACCTCCCAAAGTGCTGGGATTACAGGCGTGAGCCACCGTGCCCAGCCTGCTCATTGTTCTTCTATACAGCTTCAATCATTCACATGTCTCTTACCATCTGTTACGAAGTATGGTCTGCTCAGGAGCCCAACAAACTTGATCTCCTGGAGTCCTTTAAAATTCCAAAAATTTCTGAGAAATCAGCTCAGTAAATTGCTTTAACAAGTTTCCATGTCCTAGCCTCTGATTCTATTTGAATTAACAGTCTCCATAACCTGCTTCAAGTTTTTACATAAAGTTCTCAAACCCCACACTGACAGACAGGTTCTATTTGGCTAAGAGTGCTAAATAAAAAATAACTTCCTAAAACCCTTGGCTTTAGCCCATCCACCACTGAACCTTGTCACTCAAGCTTTCATGAGTTCAGCCATACACTAATGTAGAACTATCATGCCAGATTTCCCTGAGTCCCTCCATTCCTGATGAGCAGATGATGAATAAATGCAACTCAAATCTTCTAAGTCCATCAAAGGAGATTCTAAAGAGCCTTGAAAGTGGAGCTGGTCCATCAAAACAATTTATTTCTTCTATTTGCTATTACAAGAATATCACATTGAGGTTTTCTTAGTTTACTGTTTAGTCTTTAATAAAGTTACAGCTATGATGATGCCAAGGTTTGGAATAATTGTATAAGAGGCCAAGTTACTGTTCTCAGAAAGCCGACTCACTCTACCCATATTAAATAGTACATGCTATTTTTGTTTTCCTAGCCTGATGAGTACAATGATATTTTAGTCATCATTACTTATATAGGATAGTAGTTAGTGATGTTTTAAGTCCTTAAAAATAGATTCAGCTGAGTGCCCAGTATTTCTAATGATTTGCAATTGTATATACATCATTAAGTATTCCATACAGCATCCTGACTCCCCTGAAACCATAAACTCAAAAAATCTTTTTTCTTTTTTCTTTTCTATTTTTTCTTTCTGTTTTTTCTTTTCTGTTTTTTTTTTCTATTTTTTCCTTTTCCATTTTTTCCTCTTCCATTTTTTCCTTTTCCATTTTTTTCTTTTCTTTTTTTCTTTTTGATACAGAGTATTGCTCTTGTTGCCCAGGCTGTAGTACAATGGCGCCATCTCGGCTCACAGCAACCTCCACCTCCCGGGTTCAAGCGATTCTCCTGCCTCAGCCTCCCAAGTAGCTGGGATTACAGGCATGTGCCGCCACACCCAGCTAATTTTGTATTTTTAGTAGAGACAGGATTTCTCCCTGTTGGTCGGGCTGCTCTCAAACTCCCAACCTCAGGTGATCCACCTGCCTCAGCCTCCCAAAGTGCTGGGACTTTGGGAGCCACTGCACCCAGCCTCTGTATTTCTGTAAAATAAGTTTCAAGGAGTTTCTGGAGAGTAGATTGTGTGTTAGAATAGATGGATTACCTACCTACGTTTCAACACTGACGACAGGTAACAGTTCAAAGACTTCCCCCTGCACCGCCCACCCCCCGCTGCACCCCGCATTTAATCTAATCTTCTACTTTTATTCCCCACTGAGAATTCAATCAGAAACCAGAGAATGTGAGTGCTGGGAGCAACTTTAGGAACCATGTGAAAGACCTTAGATTCGAGGTTTGGACTCTTGAATTGAAGGAAATGTATGAGCACACGTCCTCAGAACATGTCCATTAAAGCATTTATACAGAACCCCTTGGATCCCACAAAAATCTGGTTTTCTTGGGCTTGGAGGACAAAGTGACTTGTTCAAGACCAGAGTGCAAGCTGGAGTTAGGACTCAAGCCTAAAGTATAGGGTGTCCTCGATAAGTCCAGAGTTCATTACTTACAGCCTTGCTGCTGTTGCTCGTTGACATGAGGGACTTGAAAGATATTATCTAATAGACCGAACAGTCATGAAATTATTCCCTGTTCAAATATTCTCCATTTCGTGTTGATTCCCACCAATCATATCAGTGTCTTTATTTAGGTTCCAGTATGATTCGTGGTCTGGAATATTCAACAATGCACTGTTAACACAATGTCAATTGATCTGCAAAATAAAAATGTAAATCTTGTGAAATATTCAGGATTTCATAGAAGTAATGTCTGATGGAAGTGAATGGAACTGCTCAAAATTGCACATGCTGAGGCTTTCAAAAGTGAGGCTAAGTCATCCTCTTTGTGGTCATGTTGCAAAAAATCAAGCATTAAGTAAAATATGGTATATGCTGAACTACAATTTTGTTGGAAAGTTATACAAAAATGTAGTTTTTTAGTTCTATCAAACCTTTGTTTTCATCACGTACTATGAAATTCTGGTTGCTATTGTGAGTGAATTCACCTTAAGTAGCTTTTATTCTTTTACCCATTCTTAGATAATGAATATTTCCTGTGTTTCATTCCAACTTCAAGAAGCAGACCTTTTTATGTGTTGATCTTTAGCTACATCTTTCTTACTCCAAAGTTCCTTGAGAACTCATTTTACAAATCTCCAGGATTTTTTATCAGGTTCTTAGATATGGAGTGGTGGTGATGACCCCTGGGAAATAAAATTGTTGTGCTACAAATTGAGTACATTTTGATTAACTCAGAACATTTCTGAAATTCCATGTGCAGTGTCACTCAGTATTCTGAAAAGTGTCATTGAAACCAAAGGGCATAGACGGGAAATAGATGAATTCTAGGTTACTTATTAAATGTGTCTTACAGATTTTTATAAAGTCTTATGTAGTTTGGATAATTTGTGACTATGCATGCTTCTGTTTCTAGATATTTTAATCATTAATTTACAGTATAAAACAAAGACATGCTGTTTGATAATCTAAGAACAGATAACAAAATTACCTTTATAACTAGATTGTTTGGGTTTACCCAGCAGAATGGAATTTCCACTAATTTGAACCAGGAAATAACTAGCAATTTCTCACTGGGACTTCACAATGGCAATCAAATCCACAGACTTGAATTAAGGCATGTCAGGCATCTCTCTTGCTTAGCTGTTCAACATTTCCAAAGTGTTTTTGCCCCAAAACATTTAAGCCTGAGTGTCAGCGGTAACATAGGCCTATCGGTAGGGTACATTATAATTTATTTAAACTGGTGCAGTTTTGAGAGGGGCATTCTTAATTACACTGTGACAACAGCTGTAAACAAGGACTGTCCCAGCAAACAAGAACTTGTGACTACTCTACCTACTGATGACCTGTTTGTTGCTCAGCAACCAGAGAACCTGACTCTCATTATTTACAAAGCCCCCAATGTACACTCAACCCCATCTGCTTGAGACCCGAGTCCTACCTTATTTGGGTATACAGCCTTTGAAGGCAGTCTCCCCAGGAGCCCAGTATACAGAAGGAGGCAAGCTATGCTGTCAAAGGGTCAGACAGCGTCCCAGCCCTCTGGGCTCTCACCTCTGCTTACTTCCTTGTCCATTTTGATTGAAACACTTCTAAGAGTGTTTTAATCACTCTTAAACTTCTAAGAGATCAAGGCTGAATGATGTAGCAGGATTAAAATTGGCTAATCTCATCTGAGCACAGAACATGAAGTGGTATCTGTGTGTGAAATGATGAAATGGGGAACTAAAGTGGAATATTATGATTTCTGCTATTTCACTAATGGTGAAAACCATTTCATTAAGGCTGGCCAATGGTGAACTTCTTTGAGCCCCTGTTTCTCCTATGTAAAATGGTTACGGTGATAACCTGTATCATCTGATGGCTTGTGACAAGGTCTCAGACTGCTCATTGCCCCCTACATCTACTCTCCTCTTCCTTCTCGTAACAAAACTCGCCAAGTTTTAATTGGGCATACATTCCCCAAACTAGCTTCTCCTATATCTCTTGTGAAGGCGGTGTGTGCAACTTCCCCATCATGTCTTCCTAAGGAAGCTTTGGGCTGTCCACTCCCTCTTTCCCCCTTTCAACTGGCTAGGAAATGCCAACAACTGGGACAGCCAACTTGGATCCAGGGATGGACATCACTTTCTGACTGACAGACACTGAATTCTGTAATAACATGTGAGAGAAAAATGTTTATTTAAGCTACTGTACTTGTGGGGGTTGGGAGCTTCCCAATCACAGCCATAAAACATATAAGCAGCAATAGTGGATTTGTAAAGCCAATGACTTAGCTTCAAGAGGTGTATGTTATAGTCCTGTTGCTTGCATATCCTTGGACATCTTTAAGTTCTGGGATACATGTGCAGAACGTGCAGGTTTGTTACGTAGGTATACATATGCCATGGTGGTGTGCTGCACCTATCAATACATCACGTAGGTTTTAAGCCCCGAATGCATTAGATACTTGTCCTAATGCTCTCCCTCCCCTTGCCCCTTGCCCTACCCCCTCACGCCCCCCGCCAGGCCCTGGTGTGTGATGTTCCCTTCCCTGTGTCCACATATTCTCATTGTTCAAATCCCACTTATGAGTGTGAACATGTGGTGTTTGGTTTTATGTTCCTGTGTTAGTTTGCTGAGAATGATGGTTTGCAGCTTTGTGGTGATTCCTCAAGGATCCAGAACTAGAAATACCATTTGACCCAGCAATCCCATTACTGGGTATATACGAAAGAATTATAAATCTTTCTATAAAGACACATCCACACATAGGTTTATTGCAGCACTATTTACAATAGCAAAGACTTGGAGCCAACACAAATGCCCATCCTTGGACATCTTTAAACTTCACGTTGCTCATCTTCAAATATAAGTACAAATAACACTTGACACATGGGCAAGTATAAAATAATGAATATACCCTACTGTTACTACTTTTCAGAGCCAGGTTTCATCTCCATGAATTCATTCATTTGGAAAACATTTAAGGATCCAGATACTACTTGAGGCACAGTTATCTAGCATTGCCTAAGATAGCAAAAGTTTCCAGCCCTCATGTGGACAGAGTAAACCAATAACAAATATCAGACAGTGATGAATCTTACAGTGACAATAAGACAAGGTGGTGATTCAGAGATTGAATGGGGAACCATGATGGGGCATGATCAGAAAAAGGACTCGGACATTTCTGTTGAGTGAATAACAGGAACCAATCCGTAAAGATCTACAGGGAGAAGATTCCAGATGGAATACCTAGGGCAAAGAACCTATGGGGGAAAGAATGTAACTTGTCAAAGAAAAAGCCAGTGTGGCTGGGGCTGAGTGAGAACATGGTGGATAGTAGAAAATCTTATCAGAGGAAGAAGGAGGCCATTGTCTGTCTACACAGTTCATGGATTCAGGGCAAATGAGAAATCATTAGGGGACTTTAAACAGAGATAATACAGAGACAGCAGCCCATGCAGACTTCCTCAGATGTGAATACTACATACACCTAAGTGCAGGCAGCTCATGTGGAAACCAATTTTATAAGTCAGACAGCTTCTTAAAATGGGGACCAGGTTCTAGGTGCCAGGCATCTGAGAGCACATGAGGATATCGGAAAAATGTTTCAACCCAGGGCTGATACTGTTGCTAATTGTCCTTTATCCTTAAGGAGGTTAGTAGCTTGGAATTTGATGTCAGAAACAACTGGCTTTGAATCCAAGCTGCTGTACCACTAGATGTGACCTTAGATAAAACACCCTGCCTCTGAGAGTTTCACTTGTCCTCATCCATAAAATGTGGGAAATAACATCCATCAAAGCAGTGCTGTAAGGCCTTGACAAAAGATTATGGTAAATCGCCTGGCACATTGTAAATACTCAGTAAAAAGGTATATGTAGTTAAAGTTTTTCTACAGTCTTAGAACTCATTAAAAAATCATGAGGCCAGTCCCTCACTCCACAGAAGTGCTGAGGCAGGAACTGAAGAGTTCAGGACTCTCCTGCCACCCCGCCTGGGACCTGTTAAAATCCTCTTACGCTCCCACCTGCACCCACCTTCCTCCAGAGCCCACACTGCCTTCTCCCGCCTGCGAACTCCTGTCCCACCGATGAGCTCTGCAGTGCTCTGCCTGGCAGCTTAGCGCTTATTTTGGCATTCTGTGTGGGGATCCCTAGTCTTCCCAATCAATTAAGGGCACCCTGAAAGAAGGGACCATTTACCATGCTTCACCTGTGTCTTCCAAGGTGCTTTCACTTATAGAAGGTGTTTAGCAAGTAACATGTCTGAACGAAGGAATGAACACAGATGAATGGGAGCATTCAGTGGATCACCCCTGTCTCCCTCCATCCTTGTCACTTGCTGCATATCTTCCACTTGCCTTGGGATCCTGTGGCCAACCTGCTCTGTGCCCCTGGAGGCTACCTCAGCGGGCTCCCTTGCCTTCTGGCTTCTGATGGGGTTTGGCTGACAGGAGCTGCTGGCAGGAGACTGGAGAGTGGGCAGAGGGCGAGCTCTGGGCTAGGCCAGCTCCACTTGCAGCTGTTCTTCCTGGGATGGTGTAACTGTTCCATCCCCCCTCTGACCAAGAGTAGTGACTCCCTGCTGTTGCTAGCCCTGGAAATTTCCTTCTAGTTCCTAACACCGTGCCCACATCACTGTGAGTAGTTTTTAAAACTCTTCAAATTACCCAGCTTAGCTCTGCCATCTTTTCCCCCCCGCCAAAGAAAATGATACATCCCACACATTATGTCAGGCAAATATACCACACCAGGTAGAACTAAATGTACTCTAGTCTAGAGGAGGATTTGGACTTTTATTCTAGGAGAACAGATGCCACTGCTTCCCTTGGTAAACCAAGGGACACCCACCAGGTGTCTGTGAGCCTGCTATGACTGAGACAAACAAATTCAGATGAAGCTGTTCATTGTCTTGAACTGAGTTGTTCGTGGGAATTGCAGAACTTAGCAGACATGAACCATTGCTGACAGTTAAATGGTTTTTACAAGAATAAAATAAGTCACTTCATGGAATAAACTAAAAATACTCTTGAAAGCGTATATTGTGCGTGAGTTTTTCTACTCCAAGTTGCCAGGCTGTGGGTGTTAAACACTTTAGAAGATTTGGTCTGTCATGTTTAGACAGTGGGTGGCAAAAAATTCTAAGTTAAAAAAAAAAAACCAAGATACCCACTCCATTGTCTCCTAAGTGTAAATTGTAAAAGATTGTTTACAAAGACATTTTTGCTGGGCATGGTCGAGACTAGCTGACCACTCCCAAGGGAGGACAGGTTACCTGTGGAATAGATCTTCAAACCATCCCCATCCTGGCACTCCAGTCTCTACCTCGATCACTCTTGCAACTGATTGCCATGAAGACAGGGCATTCTCTGTCAAATACAATCTTAGAAAGGGCCAAGGAAGGTCCAGTGAATTTGGATTTCTACAGGGAAAATAGCTGCTTTTCATTTGTAACATTGATCTGTCAGAAGATGAGAGTGTTATTAGAGATCAATGAGAAGCAAAAGGAGGAAGAGAAGACAAGCAGGCTTTTGATCAATTAGCCCAGGAAGTCACATTGCACTGACACCGGCTTAATAAATATCTCTCTTTGGTTCCCTGACTTGACAGCACGGAGCTCTGGACACTGCATGGAGTACCTACTTGCTGTGTAGTGAAGAGCCCTACCCCACCTGGCACTGGCCCACCATCCGCTCTTCCCTACCACCTTCCCAGCTTCCTCATATGGATGATATGCAGTTGCCTGTGACTCAGTTTGAGGCTGACCCAAGTGACCTCTCCACAAGGCGAGCACAGCTCGCAGACCACCAGCTCTTCTTGGTGCTCATTGCTCTGGTGGGGAGGGGAGGGGACCTTATGCTGGGTCAGGTGCTGCATTCACTCCACATTCCAAGTCTCGTGAGAAGCAGCCACGGGCTAGTCACATATTTCCCTTCTCTTCCCAGCTTTAAAGCCAGTTATTTTCTATTTATTCGATGAAAGTTCTAGGCATTGGGGAGTATATCCTTGACCCAATCAAATTAGTTCTGTCTCATTCCAGGCAGGGGAGTTAGGTAATAAATGAACAAAACAACTATGAAGTCCAATCACTTCCCTCTTCCCTGATTTCAAAGAAAGACAAAAACAATTTTTTATATGTGAAAATTAAAGCCAGGCCCTTGGCCACCACTACAACAATCTCTGCTGCCAGACACAGCCACACCCTATCCTAGAGAGACACTGAAGTCAGACCTGAGGAAGCAGTCTAAATTGCAGATGCATTTGGGGGCCGAAAGTTAATATAGAATCTAGTGCCGTCGGAGCATCTGACCTGTAGGCAGGACTTAGCCCTCTTCAGCATGGAGAAACCCATATAGTTTCCAGAGATTCCTGGAAGGGAATATTTGTGTCTGTCCTCAGTAACATAGTTGAAGTTAGATGACCTTCAGTGACGAGGTACTTGTCTTTGTGTCTAAACCCAACTCATTTTATCTTGTGCTGTTCTCAGGAGGAAATGAGACCAGCTGCTCCCTTTCTGTAAGGAAGCAAACTTTCATATAATTGTGGGTTAATAGCACATAATCCCCTAAATTTCTTCCTAGTTTCATGCATCTATATTATGCAAAACATAAGATTTTGGCAAATGAGTATTACTTGGAAGGGACTAGCCTGGAGCTGTTAGTTGTCGGTTTACCACCCCTTGGAGAGAGTCTGGCTGAAAGTAAAGCCAAGACCAAGGAAAGCAAAGCTCAGGCACGGAAAAAGAAACAGATCTGACGATGAAGGTATTACTGTTACTGTCGTAGGCATCTGGAGCAGAAATTCTGTCTGGAATGAGAGCTTAGAGTTCAGTGCTATGGGTGGTTCCCAATGCTGGTTGCCCATCTGAATTGCCTGGGGAGTTTATAAATGACATATATTTAGAGCTCCCATCTTGGATATTCTGATTATGAAGTCTGATGTGGGGCCCAGAAATCTTCAGTTCATAGAAATTCAAGTGATTCCGAAGTACAGCCAGCTTCAAGAACCATTGCTCTGGGCCAATTTCATCCTCCAATACAGAAGAACATCTGCGACACCCCACGGAAACATCAGTGCCATGGAGTTCCCAAGGTCATTCGTCCCACTAGTGGGCAACTCCAGGTACAAATTGCATCCTATTATAATGCTAAAATCAATCCCTTTGTACCTCTCCACTTTAATACTAACTCTGTGCCCAGGAACAATATGGGATCAGTTTTTTCCCCCTCTTTTTAAAAATCGTTTTTGTTTTGCAGCTGGGGTGGGCAGGAGGAAAGGCCCCTCAGCTCTTTCCTCATTGGCAGTGTTTCTGGACATTGTCCAGAATGGTAATGAGTGTTTGAAATATGCTCTATGAAGCCATGTTTGTGGGGTAACTTAGATACTATTTGGATAATATTCCTAGTAACACCCACAATTCAGAACAGCCCATGCTCCTTAGGTCCTCTTCTCCTGTGCCCCAAGCCCCTGTTTCTCCTTGAATATCAACATTAATATTTCCATCTTCTCCAGAGCACACCTTTGATTAGATTTATTGTGCCACAGGAGTGGCCATTCAAGTCCTGTTGCAGAAAGGTATTCAGCAAATGTATAAAAGATCGGACAAGGTGAAGGAGAAGCAGGAGAACTGTCACATGTAACTGCAGGACACATTATGCTCACCAAAGGTGTTTATGCTAAAAAGTATGATTACATGTAAACAGAGGGCCTTCAGTGTAAGCTAATAAATACACTAATGCTGCATTTTAAACCCGAATCCAATAATGTGATAGAAAATATATCCTATACATTGTGGAAGAGCAGAGTTGTCAAAACAGGTCTATAAATAGACACCAATATTCTCACCAATAGACACATACTGTGCTGCTAACTGTATTGAAATGATAAAGCTTATTAGCATTGCTTTTGAAGTATAAACACTCCAAAGAGTACAAAAAGACAGAGATGTGTGTGAGTGGATTAAGTGGAGTTACTGAAACAAATGTAGAGATTGATTGCTGTCAAACTCAAATTGGATTTACTTCAAGTACTGGGATGGTTCTGTACTTTAGTTAAAAATCTTTAAGGAAAAATGCAATTTCAACATCCTGTTGGTTGTGTGTGTGCACACATGTGTACATCTACACATGATATTTTGAGTTAAGAATGAAGTATTTCTGGATACATGGCAGTTTACCAAAACATACATTTTAAAAGCACATAAAATGTCTGTTAAGGCTGAGTACAGTGGCTCATGCTTGTAATCCCAGCACTTTGGGAGGCCAAGGCAGGGGGATCACTTGAGCCCCCGGGCATTTGAGATCAGCCTGGGCAACATAGCAAGACCCTGTCTCTATAAAAGTAAAAATTAGCTGGGCATGGTGGCACATGCCTGTAGTCCCAGCTCCTCAGGAGGCTGAGGTGGGAGGATGGCTTGAGCCCAAGAGTTTGAGGCTGCAATGTGCTATGACTGCACCACTCACTCCGGTGGGGGTGACAGAGGGTGTCTCAAAAATAGAATGTTTAAGGCCAGAGTTGCCTATTACAGAAGAGAGAACAAAGAAGTCTGAGGAAGCCAGGCAGGGCTGCTATACCCTCTTGGTTTTAAATACAGCTCCACAGCCAGTCCCTTCAGGTAACATAAAAAGCCGTGGGCTGGTACTAGGCTTTGGCTACTTAGAGGAGCATAAGTCTACAATAGTTGTTCAATATGAGGCAATATAATCATGGAATATCTAAATACAATCTGCTACATGTTTCCAAAGGCAGCAGAAATGGGAGCATCTGCCACCCTGTCTGTTATTAATACATGATGTACATTGAGGTATGTAGGTGCATGGAAGGAACAGGGAAATGTTGGTGTTAAGGCCAGGAAACAGATGGCATCTTCATTCAAACATGTTTTCTTGTCAACTTTGATAGAACAAATGCTCTTGCTGTACTTCATTTTGTAAAGTACGTATTTGTTTTAAAGGCAGGGATGTCTACCACATAAGGAAAAAAACTTAATAGCAGTTCAGTGTTTCTTAAAAATGATTTATCTTTCACGAAGTACTTTCTGAGCCAAATAACCAATTTTATATGGAAATTGAAAAATGACAGAGGATTATTTTTAAAGCAATTTCTCTATTCATGCCCTGTAACCTCTGAAGAAGTCAGGCTTATGAGGACATACACAGACAGCAAAGAAGTTGTCATCATCTATATTTATTTTTTGAAGTGGACCATCCAATCAGATATTAGATAATGCCTTTATGACCACAATTCTCAAGTAGACGTGTTTCATCTCAACACTTTGATTTATGATTTACAGCTCCCTTCTGCTTATTTTTCACTCATTGTGTCTATTAGCTTTCCTTTTAAAGATTTTTTTTTAATTTGACTAAACACAAAACCAGAAAAAATATTTTGGAAGCTGGCAGAAAAAATATGAGGTAGAAAATCTCATGAAGGAACATAAATTTCAGATACACGACTGCTGTTTCTCCTGGGCTGTGATGTACTTTCTTCATCTCTATGGCCTGTAGCCACCAGCCTCAGAAGTCCAGAGAGGCCAGGCATGACCCAGAACTTGGAGCTGAGGGAGCAGCCTCCTGGGCTTCGGTAAACAGTCAACTTCACCTTCTGTTTTCAGTCTCTCATGGTAGCTGGACCTGAGGGGCATTCAGATCTGTGCACCCTCCTTCCATAAATGGGCTCCTCTTACTCCTCAGTTCTCAATATCTAAGGGACAACTGTACTGAGCCATTTATATGCTTGCTCATAAACATCCAATGACTTACCATAGCTGCTAGAGAAAAGCTGCCCAGAGCCCTGAGACTGGCCTTCAGGGTTCTCCCCTACTGAACCTGACTTTCCTTTGTCTTTATCTCCCTCTGCTGCTCCTGAAGTGTGTCATGTGTTTTACTGAATGGAAAATCCACCATATTTTTCTTTCCCAGTATCTCTAAGTCTTTGCCCCTGCTGCCCCCTGCCAGGAATTAATTTCCCACATCCTACTAAGATCCTGCCTAGTCTCCTATATTGGCTTAACCTCCACCTCCTCCAAATAGAATTACTGTCTTTACTGGAAGTTGTATTGGCTGTCTGCATACACACCTGTCTTCTCCCTAAACCAGAAGCTCCTTGTGGATGGATCACCATGTCAACTGTTCTGACATCTCACATCCTGTAACACAGAGAAGCTGCTCCAAGAAGCTTGGCTCAATCTGCTGCCCCTGATACCTATTTTAGAAAGTTGAGAGTGAGGAGTTCTAACCCAGAGAATGCTAAGGGGAAAGGACAACCTTGGATACGTCCATTGTCAATACTATAACATAAGCTCATCTCCTGCAGGCACCATAGTGTCGCCAGCCACGCAACCTTGATGCAATCACAGGTTCCTGCCATTTTTCTTAGTTTCATCTTCCCTAAGGTCATCTGGTCTCTGGACCTAGACAGTTTACAAGGTATCCTGGTCTTCTTGCTCTGGCTCTCTCAGCACAATTGAAGTCCAACACAACTCAAACTAAATGCATCCGCAGCAACAACCACCTTCCCTGCTTGGAACTCTGTCAAGCATTCTGAATTAGTTACTGCCTTGTGTCCAGCTGTTCAGTAGATCTGTGTGCAGTTCTGCTTCTTCCCCCTTCACCATTATCTCCTGAATCTATCCCCATCCAACTGATTTTTCCAGCTGGGCTTCCAACTCCTCCTTTCCAAACCCACCCTACCCCATCATGTGATCTTCTGTCAAAATTTTGGTTTCTGGAAATTGAACGTCTTTGGTCACTTCGTGCAAGGGTCAATTTTTCGCTGAGATGCGAAAACACACGAAGAGTGTAGGTAGAGCTGGAGGTGTTTTATTAGGAAAAGACAACCTGTCAAAATTTACTTTTTAATGCATTTTTACTTCCTTATATCTACCTCCCTTTCATTCATTTATGCATACAATAATGAATAAATTGAATACCTGCCATGTACCTGACATTTGCTCAGCACTTGGGATAAATATTGGAGAGATGCAGATTCCCGTCCTCATGGTGAGGCATTGGAGATGGACACTAAGCAAATAAACTTAGTAAATAAGTTATATAATTTGCTATGTGCGAAAGGATAGAGTCAGAATCTGGGCCATGGGGAATTCTGGGGCAGAATGTGCAGGTCGCTGGGGCAGAGGGGAAGTTTAAGCCAACTTGACGGAGGTGCAGAATGAGCCCGGGGGAAGGGAGAAGAAGAGCAGTGCAGGCAGAGGGACAGGGATTTTGGCGTGTCTGAGAACAGTAGGCAGGCTGGGGTGGCTCCCTAGCCCAAGAGCGGGAGAACAGTACAGGAGGTTTGTGCAGAACAATAACAGGAATAGGGCCTTATAAGCAGTTGTAAAGACTCCAGGGTTTGTCTTTTTAAAATAAGAACAATGGAAAGGAGAAAGAAAGGGGTGTTTTGAGGTGGCTGCCCTAAATGGAGACATGGAATCAGTCTTCACTCACTCTAGAGAGTGCCATGTAAAACATACCATGCTCTCACAGAACGCACAGGTATTTTTTTGGTAATCCTAGAAAGCAGACTCGGGGAAAAAAATGCAAGTTATTGGAGTGGGGACAGGTTTGGGATTCAAATAAAATATTTACTAAGCACCACAGTGTACAAGAAGGGCTTTCTAGCAGAGAAGACTGTTCGATAATAGTGGGCTGGGCAGTAGAAGGAGAATAGGCATTAGGAAAGAAGGCAAATTGCAAAAATGACTACCTATGTGCTTAGGAGAAAATGAGAAGGTCACACAGAATGATGCTCATGGTCTCATATAACTACACGCCAGAAGCTGTCTAGGGAAACAAAGCACACTGTAAAGCGAGCAAATTGATGACTGCAATTCTATAGGTGCCACAGAATGCTAGCTGGATTAGAGGCCATGGCTATAGCATGGTGCAGACAAATACGTTGGCAAGGGTAAAGGCAAAGTCTATAAATCAGAAGTTATGGCTAATTAAAGAAATTCATTAGGCTGGCCAGGGGTATGATGTGGAGGAGGGATATTTGACTGAAGATAAAGAGGGGGAAACAAATGATAGCTAATCCTGCCTAGTTCCATCAGCTAAGATGTTTGCTAACAATTTAGCATGTTATGTTTGATACACTTAGCATAAACTCATCTGGGAGGATGATGCCCTTATTTTTGCCTGTTGCCTGGAAACTGTTGTCCTATCCTTACTCCAACGGGAGAATTTTAACAAGGAGAAAGGCGATAAAAAATACATGCTGCAAAGCTAGTCTTGGTTTTTCCTTCCCTCAACACACAGCATAGGGTGTCCCAGTGGGATTTCTAGCACCAGCATGGGCAGAATTGTGAGAGGGTGATGTGTGTTTCATGACTCTAAATCCTTATAGCCTCCTAGGACCCACCTTGTATAATCTCCCTCAGTCAGAGGGAGCTGCTGCCTTGACCTGCCAGCTTCTGCCTCATCCTAGTGAAATCCCAGGTTGATCAAAAACACCCAGAGTTGCCAAGAGGTCGAGTGAGATTCAGACTGAAAGGTGTCTATTGGATTCAAAAACAAAGAGACTGTTTGTGATCTGCGCAAGAGCGGTTTTCATGGAGCGGCAGGTCAGGCTGCATCTGGGTTAAAGAGTGAATGAGAAGTGAGGAATTAAAGCCAGCGATTGTTGAATCCAACTGTGAAAAGACAGAAGAGCCTTGAGCATGGCATGTTTAAATGTTCAAAGTTAATGGAAATGAGCTATTTGCAAGGAGCAGGTTGATGATGTGGGACAGGTGGCAATAAACAGCATGAGGTCCTTGGCATGGCTGGGATTTTAGTACACGATGAGAAGTGATTTTGGCCTGGCCTTTTGACCTGTTGCTGAGATCCAGCAAAGAAGTCCAGGGAATCATTTCTAGCTATTCCATTACATTTAAGAAGCTCAAGCACCACCATTAAATAGGATCCTGAGTATTGGAGCCATTTAATAAGTCTAAGGGAAATGACAGGTCATCTGCATCTAAAGTTATATGGTCAAGAAAAGACTCCCTGTACTCTAATACATGTGTAACATTTGCTTAATGTCCTCTGAGGTCTGATTTGTATCATGATAAACCACTCAAACCATTTCTGAAAGCCATTTCCACATGCTAATATTATCCAATTGATTTTCATTACCCTGGGAACTTTTTTTTTTTATGAAGATCTATTACATTAGCTCTGCCTTTAATTGTTTTAAAAACAAGCATCATCTCAAAGCAAGATCTTTACAGAGGCACAAATTAGTTTGACCCAAACTCAGAACTCAAGATTTCAAGAGGGCTCAGCCCTGACAAAGACCTGGGCCAAAGAGATACACTGGTCAGCACTGTTATTTAGTTATCTCAACATTAATGAATTCATTGCCAACGAGAATCCCGCAGATAGTGCGATGGAAAAGAATCACTGAGCCATCCAAAATTGAGACTGTAATTAGTCCCAGATTTCATATTCCAGTAGCTTTTCTTTAAATTTGTGAGCTTTGAATACTACTCACCTCTCACCTGAAAGTGAGTATGGATAATTTTAAAGTAAAACTGTCTCATGATGGCAGCATGGGTGGCTTCATGAGGACACAGACATAGGGCCAATCTGTCCCACGGTGCAGTAGATATGCTGTTCCCGGCTGTAACCAGCAGCCAGTGAGTTGTAGGGCACAGTGATGGAAAGCAGAGTACTCTTCACAGTCTAGCAGAGATTCTGTCATCATGAACACTGAACTGAAGAAGCTGAGAATTTTCTGCAAGTGAATGAGGAGCCTCAGAATGAACAGGGATAATGAGCACATTTGACAGCTGTGGGACATCCACAGAGCTTGACAACAAGAGACTCCTGGTCCCACCCAGAAGAGGTGTGAGTCCCCAGTCACAGTGGACCAAATGTTCTCAATAATTCCTCAGTGATAATGTATGAGATGCTAATATATGAATGGCGAGGACAGTTATTGATGCTAATGCATGTCACATATGGTTCTCATTGCAATGTGGATCCAGCATTCCTCTTTCTTTCTTCTAGTAAGAATCTTCTTCAGCTATTAGTAATAGCAATTGCTGGATTGAATGCACTCAAGCTTGTTTCAGGCAAGACTGTTTTGTATAGAATTTGCCTTATTTCTAAGAGTGCTACCTGCTATGCTAGACATTGATTTCCATTTTTCAAGAGACTTTCCTACTAAAGCTCAGTGAAGCATTTATAATTCTTTCCAGAGCACCATGTTTTTATATCTACAAATAATGTCAAAGCTGGGTCATGTTGCATTATGGATTCAACATGATACAGGCCAGTAAAGAAGGAAATTTTACTGTGTTAAAAGTGGACTGAGACTCATGAAGTGTATATGTTAGAATTTGTTTGATACTAGACTGACCCTTGCTGTGAGAATCTTGTCTGACTTTCTCAAGGCATTCTGCCAGTCTGTTAGATAAATATTCTTGTCTATTTTACTTGGGAGAGTACCTAGGTGAATGTTGCATATGTGAACAATTGCTTTGGTTTGCACTTTGGTGAAGGTCCCTGAAAATTTTGTCCAACGTGTAGTGTGCTATAGCCACTCAACGGCAGACTCAGATGCTGCTTGGCTTTGTGCGAAGCCGTCATGCCAGACCCAGTGAATTCCCTTGGGTGCTGCTACATTTGGCTCTGAATTTTAGAAACAACCAGACCTGGAACCGACTGTGGAAGCACCCTGTGGAGAGCAGCCCAGAGTGCCCTGAGAGGATGGCTAACATAATTCCAGCAAAGCCTGACACCAGGTGCCACAACAAGTCCTCCTGCCTCTGTTGGCACCGACCAGAGCTTTCTCAGAAAAGTGTTCAGGATTTGGCTTTTGTTTTAGACACAGGGAAAGACCATCCAAAAGAATGCAAAGCAAATTGTCTTGATGTGGGTTCTTCCAGGAACCAACCCTGAGATAAGTATTTAAGTACAAGTAGTTTATTTGGAGGCTGACCCCAGAAAACCCTGATAAGGAAGCAGAAGAGTAAGAAAGGGAGAAGGAAGACGATAAGGGGCCTGTACAGCCTGTTACTGCTGTGAGAAATTGGGGCTCAGTACCGCCAGAGATCTCTGGGAGATGATGTAGAACGCACCTCAGAGTTAGCACACCCTTGAGAGGGAGTTGTCTAAAAGGCAGAGATACTGATCCACCAGCTCCCCATCCATAGTTTGTCAACAAACGATGGGCTGCCTCCATGAGCATTAACTCATTGGCACTTGCCACTTAGTTGGCGCACAGGCTCTTGCAGCAAGGAAAATGTTTAGGCAGAGTGGCAGGCATTGGCAGTAAGCAGCCTTGATGTGCAGAGGTGGTGCTGGGGGGGAACCTGCCTCACCTGGAAAAAGCTAAGGAAATGGTAATCTCTTTTCCTTCTCTCTCTCTTTCTCTCTCTCCCCCTCTCCCCCTTCCCCTCCCACCTAACTCACACACATATGCATAGTTGCTGGCGCATTCTCCATGGCACCAGCACAATGAAGGGGAAAATCTTTAAACACAGAATTTGATTCGACAAAATATAAACAATTATTGAGCGCTTATATGCAGGGCACTGTTACAATAAGAAACCATTTTTCCCCTCTCTCAAGGAGCTGGACATTAAGCAGGAGAGATAAAACATTAAAAGCAACTTTTCAGGATGCCCAAGTTCTCTATTAGAGGTAGTGGTGCATGTTAAGAGATCAGTGTTTTCTAGAGATTGCAGAGAAAAGACAGCCAGTGAGAGAGAGTGAGCACAAGCTCTAGAAAGTGTGCCCAGTGGCCTTTGGAATGGGTCAGGGGGTGGAGGGAGGTAAGGGTGGGCTTCACAGAGAAAATGAGGTTTAAATTTGGGCCTGAAGGGACAGTGGGATTTAGATGAGGGAGAGGGCATCACAGCAGAGTGGTGGTGGTGGTGGGCGGGGGGGATGACTTTTTCCGATATAAGAAATAAATTGACATTTTTTGGAGGATTAACCACCAAAACAGACATACCATGAAACAAATGAAATAGTGGGATCTCTGCCTCCAGACAACGTTCAGTATTCTCCTGACATCCTTTGGTCTTGTTGCTGATGTGTGTGGCTGTATCAGAACTGAGGTGCTGGCTGGGACAGGGTGAGACATAGAATGGGCAGCCAAGATACACATTCAGAACTAAGTCAAAACCCCAAAGTAAACGCACTGGCCCATCCATGTCAGTGAGGGTAAGGGCCATGTGAAAACCGTCCAGGCTACTGCCCAGGTGCAGGGGGCAGGGGATTGCCATCAGGGAGGCTGCCAGCCGGTCCTACAGACTGTGCTCTGAGGAAGAGGGCAAAGGACAGAAAGCTCAAACCGGGGCCAGGGCTTCATGGACCAGAAAGTGTCAGAAGCATCATGAACCCTGCACGGAGCTGCGACGCTACTCTCCGGAACCGGTGGTTTCACACTCTGCCTCTTGCCTCCAGCAGACCTTGAGTCCCAGGGTGCTTCAAGAGAAAACTGTGGCAACTCAATAACAAAATTAGCCACCCAGTAAAAAGGCACAAAAGAGAGAGAGAGAGAAAAAAAGGCACAAAAGATTTGTTGTTGTTTTAATTTTTGTGGGTACATAGGTGTATATATTTGTGGGGTACACGAGAGAATTTGATATAGGCATTTGATTCGTAGTAATCACATGATGAAAAATGGGGTATTTATCCCCTCAAGAGTTTATCCTTTGTGTTACAAACCAGTTATGTTCTTTTAGTTATTTTGAAATGTACAATTAAAATATTTTGACTATAGCTACGCCGTTGTGCTATCAAATACTAGGTATTATTAGGTATTATTCATTCTTACTATTTTTTTTTTTACCCATTAGCATCCCCCTCACCCCCGCCCCCATCCCCGCCCCCGCCCCTGCCACTACCCTTTCCAGCCTCTGGTAACCATCCTTCTACTCTATATCTCGATGGGTTCAATCATTTTGATTTTTGCATCTCACAAATAAGTGAGACCATGTGATGCTTGTCTTTCTGTGCCTGGCTTATTTCACTTAACATAATGATCTCCAGTTCCATCCATTGTTGCAAATGACAGGATCTCATTCTTTATGCTGAATAGTACTCCATTGTGTATATGTACCACATTTTCTTTTTCCTTAATTTTTTAAGATTTCAGTGCTTTGGGGGTACAAGTGGTTTTTGGTTACATAGATGAATTGTATAGTGGTGAAGTTCAACATTTTAGTGCACCCATCACTCGAGTGGTGTATGTTGCACCCAATATGTAGGTTTTTATTCCTTACTCCCCCTCCTATCTCCCCCTTCTGAGTCTCCATATTTCATTATATCACTCTAGGCTTTGTGTACCCATAGCTTAGCTCCCCCTTGTAAGTGAGAATGTGCAGTATTTGATGTTCCATTCCTTAGTTACTTCACTTAGAATAATGGCTTCCAGCTCCAACCAAGTTCCTGCAAAAGACATTATTCCATTCTTTTTTATGACTGAGTAGTGTTACATAGTGTATATATACATTTTCTTTTTTAAGTTCAGGGGTATATGTGCAGGTTTGTTACATAGGTACATTTGTGTCTTGGCAGTTTGTTTACAGATTATTTCATCATCCAGGTATTAAGCGTAGTATTCATTAGTTGTTTTTCCTGATCCTTTCCCTCCTCCCACCCTCCAAGGATCCCCAGTGTCTGTTCTCCTCTGTGTGTCTCTGTGTTCTCATCATTTAGCTCCCACTTACAAGTGAGAACATGCAGTATTTGGTTTTCTGTTCTGTATTTGCTAAGTATGAGGGCCTCCAGCTCCATCCATGTCCCTGCAAAGGACATGATCTCATTGATTTGTTATGGCTGTGTAGTATTCCAGGATGTATATGTAACACATTATCTTTATCCAGTCTATCATTGATGGGCATTTAGGTTTGTTCCACATATTTGCTACTCTGAATAATGCTGCAATGAACATACATGTGCATGTGTTTTTATAATATTATTTATATTCTTTTGGGCATATACCTAGCAATGGGATTGCTGGGTTGAATGGTAGTTCTATCTTTAGGTCTTTGAAGAATTGCCATGCTGTCTTCCACAATGGTTGAACTAACTTACACTTTCACCAGTAGTGTATGAGCATTCCTTTTTCTCCACCATCTTACCAGCATCTGTTATTTTTGACTTTTTAATAATCATTCTGACTGATATGAGATGGTACCTCATTGTGGTTTTGATTTGCATTTCCCTAATGATCAGAAATATTGAGCTTTTTAAAATAATTGTTGGTTGCATGTATGTCATGTTTTGGAAAATGTCTGTTCATGCTCTTTGACCACTTTTTAATGGGATTGTTAGGGTTTTTTTTTTTTTTCTTGTCAATTTAAGTTCCTTTTAGATGCTGGATATTAGACCTTTGTCAGATGCATAGTGTGCAAAAATTTTCTCCCACTCTGTATGTTGTGTATTTCCTCTCATAGTTTATTTTGCTGTGCTAGAAGTCCTTTAGTTTAATTAGATCCCATTTGTCAGTTTTTGTTTTTGTTGCAATTGCATTTTTTTTATTTTTTATTTTATTTTATTTTATTTATTTTAGACGGAGAGTCTCGCTGTGTCACCGAAGCTGGAGTGCAGTGGCGTGATCTTGGCTCACTGCAACCTCCGCCTCCTGGGTTCAAGTGATTCTCCTGCCTCAGCCTCCCAAGTAGCTGGGACTACAGGCACGTGCCACATTGCCCAGCTAATTTTTTGTATTTTTAGTAGAGACAGGGTTTCACCATGTTAGCCAGGGTGGTCTCGATTTCCTGACCTCGGCATCTTCATCATGAAATATTTGACTGTACTTGTGTCCTGAGTGGTATTGCCTAGGTTGTCTTCCAGGGTTTTTATAGTTCTGGGTTTTACATTTAAGTTTTTAATCTATCTTGAGTTAATTTTTGTGTATGGTATAAGGATTGGGTCTAGTTTCAATCTTCATATGACTAGCCAGTTAT
The DNA here is from genome assembly GCF_000001405.40 of Homo sapiens. Lineage (NCBI taxonomy): Eukaryota > Metazoa > Chordata > Mammalia > Primates > Hominidae > Homo > Homo sapiens. The sequence goes on along the minus strand of NC_000005.10, from coordinate 109,295,453 downwards.
CTCAGCACCACTTGTTGAATAGGCAATCCTTTTCCCATTGCTTGTTTTTGTCAGGCTTATCAAAGATCAGATGGTTGTAGGTGTGTGGTGTTATTTCTGGATTCTCTATTCCATTGGCCTTTGTGTCTGTTTTTGTACCAGTACCATACTATTTTGGTTATGGTAGCTCTGTGGTATAGTTTGAAGTCAGGTAGTTTGATGCCTCCAACTTTGTTCTTTTTGCTTAGGATTTCCTTGACTATTGGGGTTCCTTTTTGGCTCCATATGCATTTTAAAATAGTTTTTTCTAATTCTGTGAAGAATGTCAATGGTAGTTTAATGGGAATAGCATTGACTCTATAAATTACTTTGGTCAGTATGACCATTTTCATGACATTGATTCTTCCTTTTCATGAGCATGGAATGTTTTTCCATTTGTTTGTGTCACTGCTTTTTTGAGCAGTGGTTTGTAGTTCTCTTTGTAGTTATCTTTTCACCTCCCTAGTTAGCTATATTCCTAGGTAATTTATTCTTTTTGTGGCAGTTGTGAATAGGAGTTTGTTCCTGACTTGGCTCTTGGCTTGCCTGTTGTTGGTGTATAGGAATGCTAGTGACTTTTGCACATTGACTTTTGTATCCTGAGACTTGGTTGAAGTTATCAGCTTTAGGTTTTGAGGGCTGAGGCTATGGGGTTTTCTAGATACCGGATCATGTCATTTGCAAACAGGGATAGTTTGACTTCCTCTCTTCCTATTTGGATGCCCTGTGTCTTTTTCTCTTGCCTGATTGCCCTGGCCGGGACTTCCAATACTATGTTGACTTCCAATACTGTGTTGAATAGGAGTGGTGAGAGAGGGCATTCCTGTCTTGTGCCAGTTTTTAAGGGGAATGCTTCCAGCTTTTGTCCATTCAGTAAGATGTTCACCGTGGGTTTGTCATATATGGCTGTTATTATTTTGAGGCATGTTCCTTTAGTACCTAGTTTATTGAGAATTTTTAACATGTAGGGATGTTGAATTTTATTGAAAGCCTTTTCTGCATCTATTGAGATAATCATGTGTTTTTTGTCCTCTCTTTACATGATGTCACATTTATTGAATTGTGTATGTTGAATCACCTTGCATTCCAGGGATATAAGCCTACTTGATCATGGTGGATAAGCTTTTTGATGTGCTGCTGGATTTGGCTTGCCAGTATTTTGTTGAGGATTTTTGCATCAATGTTCATCATGAATATTGGCCTGAAGCTTTTTTTGTTGTATCTTTGCCAGGTTTTGGTAACAGGATGATGCTGGCCTCATAGGATGAGTTCAGAAGGAGTCCTTCTTCCTCAATTTTTTGCAAAACTTTCTGTAGGAATGGTACCAGCTCTTCTTTGTACCTCTGGTAGAATTCAGCTGTGAATCTGCCTGGTCCCGGGCTTTTTTTTTTTTTTTTTTTTGGTAGGCTATTTATTACTGCCTCAATTTCAGAGCTCTTTACTGATCTGTTCATGGATTCAGCTTCTTCCTGGTTTGGTTTTGGGAGGATGTATACGTCCAGGAATTTATGTATTTCTTCTAGTTTTTCTAGTTTATGTGTGTAGAGGTGTTTATAATATTCTCTGATGGTTGTATTTCTGTGGGGTCAGTGGAAACATCCTGCTTGTCATTTCTGATCATGTTTATTTGAATCTTTCTGCTTTGCTCCTTTATTAGTCTAGCTAGTGGTCTATTTTATTTTTTTCCAAAAACCAGCTCCTGGATTCACTGATTTTTCTTTTTTGAATGGCTTTTCCTATCTCTTATTCAGTTCAGCTCTGATTTTGGTTATTTCTTGTCCTCTGCTAGCTTTGGGATTTGATTGCTCTTGGTTCTCTAGTTCTTTTAGATGTGATGTTAGGTTGTTAGCTTGATCTTTCTACTTTTTGATGTGGGCACTTAGTGCTATAAGTTTCCCTCTTAGTATTGCTTTAGCTGTGTCCCAGAGATTCTGGTATGTTGTATTTTTATTCTTATTAGTTTCAAAGAACTTCTTGACTTCTGCCTTAATTTCATTATTTACCTAAAAGTCATTCAGGAGCAAGTTATTCACTTTTCATGTAATTGTATGGTTTTCAGTAAATTTCTTAGTCCTGATTTCTAATTTGAGTGTGCTGTGATCTGAGAGACTTAGGATTTCAGTCCTTTTGCATTTGGTGAGGAGTGTTTTACTTCTGATTATGTAATCACCTTTAGGGTATGTGCCATGTGGCAATGAGAAGAATGCATATTCTGTTGTTTTGGGGTGAAGAATTCTGTAGATATCTTCTATCAGGCCCATTTGATCTAGTGCTCAGTTCAGGTCCTGAATATCTTTGTTAATTTTCTGTGTTGATCTGTCTAATATTGTCAGTGGGGTGTTAGACTCCCACATGGTAATAGTGGGAGACTTTAAGTCTCTTTGAAGGTCTCTAAGAACTTGCTTTATGAATCTGGGTGCTCCTGTGTTGGGTACATAAAACCCTTTATCACTATATAATGCCCTTCTTTGTCTTTTTTTGATCTTTGTTGGTATAAAGTCTATTTTGTCAGAAACTAGGATTGTAACCCATGCTCTTTTTTTTTCCATTTGCTTGGTAGATTTTCCTTCATCCCTTTATTTTGAGCCTATGTATGTCATTGCATGTGAGATGGGTCACTTGAAGCCAGCATAGCAATGGGTGTTGTTTCTTTACCAAGCTTGCCACTCTGTGTCTTTCAATCAGGGCATTTAGCCCATTTACATTTAAGATTAGTATTAATATGTGTGGATTTGATCCTGTCATCATGTTAGCTGGTTATTTTGCAGACTTGTTTATGTGGTTTCTTCACAGTGTCACTGGTCTGTGTACTTCAGTGTGTTTTTGTAGTGGCTGGTAAAAGTCTTTCCATATTTAGTGCTTCCTTCTAATAGAAAAAAAGAGCTCTAATAAGGCAAGTCTGGTGCCTTACAAATTCCCTCAGCATTTGGTTGTCTGAAAAGGATCTTATTTCTCCTTTGCTTGTGAAGCTTAGTTTGGCTGGATATGAAATTCTGGGTTGGAATTTCTTTGAATGTTGGCCCCCAATCTCTTCTGGCTTATAGAGTTTCATCTGAGAGGTCTGCATTAGTCTGATGGGCTGCCCTTTGTATGTGACCTGACCTTTCTCTCTAACTACCTTTAACAGAATTTCTTTCATTTCAACCTTGGATAATCTGATTATGTGTCGTGGGGGTGATCTTCTTGTGAAGTATCTTACTGGGGTTCTCTGCATTTCCTGAATTTGAATGTTGGCTTCTCTGTCTAGGTTGGGGAACTTCTCATGGATGATATCCTGAAATGTTTTCCAAGTGGTTATCATTCTCCCCATCTCTTTCAGGTACACCAATCAGTTGTAGGCTTGGTCTCTTTACATAATCCCATATTTCCCAGAGGTTTTGTTCCTTTTCATTCTTTTTTTATTTATTCTTGTCTGCCTGTCTTATTTCAGAAAGCCATTCTCCAGGCTCTGAGATTCTTTCCTCCACTTGGTCTATTCTGCTATTAATACTTGTGATTGCATTATGAAATCCTTGTGTGCTTTTCAGCTCTATCAGGTCAGTTATGTTCTTCTCTATACTGGCTATTTTGTCTGCCAGCTTCTGCAATGTTTTATCGTGATTTTTAGCTTCCTTGGATTGGGTTACAACATACTCCTCTTGCTCAATGAACTTTGTACCTATCCATATTCTGAATTCTACTTCTGTCATTTCAGCCATCTCAGCCTCAGCCTCGTTCTGAACACTTGCCGGAGAGGTGATACAGTCATTTAAAGAAAAGAAGGTACTCTGGCTTTTTGAGTTTTCTGTGTTCTTATGCTGACTCTTTCTCATCTTTGTGGTCTATCTACCTTCAATCTTTGAGGTTGCTGACATTTGGATGGGTTTATCTTTTATCCTATTTGACCTTGAGGGTTTGATTGTGGTATAGGGTGGATTCAGCCAACTGGCTTTGTTTCTGGGAGATTTTAGGAGGCCAATGCTCAGCTCCCAACTCTGGACAGCATGCTCTAACTTTGGCGGACTAGTGTTGGGCCCCAACTTTGTTCTCTGGCTCAAGGTTTGGAGTCCACTGCACTGGGCAGGGGGTGCGAAGTGTGGCGGCTTTAGCAGAGTGCTAGCGCATGCGAGGGTGCTTGCCTCCCTGCAGGCATTCACCATAGTGGTGGCAGAGGCAGGGAGCAGGGGGCCCCTGCTGGAGACTGTTTACTGTTGCACTGGAGGTGGTGTTGGCTTCGGGCATGGGACTGGCCAGCACAGGTCTGGCTGCCTTATCTATGCCCCTCAAGCAGGAGTGATCACTCAGGGTGTGGGAGGATCCCATTTTCTGTGCAACATCAGCACAAGGGCAGGGTGCTGGCAGAGGTGGGGCTTGCTGACTGTGCCCACCAAGGCTTCATCTGCAATGGTGGTTGCTGGGGGTAGCGGCATACAGCACCGTTACATGCTGGCAGGGCAAGTGAAGCAAAATCCACCTATGCAGACACACACCAGCAAAGTGATGTGGGGACTTACTGTGGGCTTGTGGGAAGCTAGAGTATGGGGAGGGAATGTGAGGGCTGCTGCATGGCCACAGGAACCACCTCACTGGAGCTCTCCACTGGTCAGGCATGGTCCACTGACACAGAAACCTCAATGTGGGCCCCCTGGACACCCAAGACTACCCTGTGAGCAGGCATGGTCAGGCTGGGGCCCCAGGAGAGGCCAGCAGACCAAGGAGTGCTCAGGTCATACCAGCCCAGACTGATGACCAAGACCGCCCTGCAGAGATCAGGCTCAACCATTCCCCTAGGGTCAAAGTTTCTTATGAGAGCAAGTTGAGCCTAAATTGATTACTGTCCCTGGCCATGCTCCACTACAGATGCTCCTGCACCAAACCCTTTGGGCTCCACATCAGCTGGCTTGCTGCTTTACCACTTTGCTTGCCTCCTGGGGGCTCTACCCCAGAGAGATGTGGGTCAGCAACCACTCGGGACAATGGACCCGGGATGGAGGGTCTGTGCTGTGGGCCCAAGCCAGGGGTTCCCTATCTGATGACAAGCAGTAGGGGGTGTGTGGGACCCATAGGAGATGCACTGGCCCCCTCTGCTTGGGCCAACTGCAGCTTGTTGAAGGTGTGGATAAGGCACTTAGGGTATTTGCTCCTTATTAGTCCAAGGGTTGCAAGGATGGTTCCACTGCAGAGGCAGTGGCAGAGAGGCTTTCAGTTGCCCCTGGAGGCTCTGTCCAGGGAATTTCCAAGTTGCTACTGGCCTAGTAGCTCTGGCAGAGGGTGCCTGGAGGCTCAGGCCTGGAGGACCTCCCCAGTGAGGAGATATGGGAACAGGTACCCATGTAAGAGACTGGACACTTTTCCATAGGGCTGCTGTGATATGCTGAACACCCACTCCAGTCCCACTATAGTTGCCTTGGATTTTCCAGTACCTGGAGGTATCACCAGTGAAGGCTGTGAAACAGTAAAGATGGCAGCCTGCCTTGACCTCTGAGAGCTCCCTCCCAGGGAGATACAGACCTGTTGCTAGCCCGAATGCACCTGTAGGAAGTCACTGGAGACCCCAGTTAGGAGGTCTTGCCCAGTGAAGAGGAATGGATAGCTGTGCTGCTCTGCTGTGCTGTGCTGGGGGATCCCTTCTGCCCCTGGTTGGCTTGGACTCTGTAAAGCCAGAAGGCTGGAATGCCAATTTGCCCAAACAGCAAAGATGGTAGCCTGCCCCTCTCCCCAGAAACTCCCACCCAAGGAAGCACAAGGCTGCCACCAGTAGCTGACTGGAATTCCAAGCTAGTGGTATTATCCTGTAAGATGCCATGAAAGTGGGGCCCTGCAGACTGTCACTGCTTGGCCCCCTGTATTCAGCCTCTTTCCTAGTGGTATGTACAGGGGTCTAACCTCCTGCTTTGCTAGACCCTTGTGGTTACTTTTGCTGGGAAGCCCTGAACCTGAGTATCTAAGGCTCCTACATCTCCAGGTGTGCCCGAGCAGCTGCTCTACCAAGACTCCACATCACTGTGTGTCAGACAGAAGGCCCTGTGGAATGGATTCACGAAGGTATCTCCTGACCAGAAGGTTGCAAAGATCCATGGGAGAAGCCTGGGTTCTCAGAGTCGCCCGTTCAATCATCACTTTCCTGGGTGGGGGAGGTACCCTTGGCTCTGTTGCTCCTGGATAGGCTGTTGTCTAGCCTTGCTTTTCTCCATTCTCTGTGGGTCGAGTTGTTTCCTTCGTTATTCCCAATGTGAGTAGCTCTGATGTGTGGGCACTGCCTAGCTGCTGCTGGTACCTATAAGGTGGAATGATGAGGCTGGCTCTGGCAAACTAGAAAAAAAATTAAGGCTGAAGTGAGATACTGCTACTGGGCCTCTCTGACAGAACAGCAAAAGCGACTGCATTTTCTTTATCCACTCGCTGGTCGCCAGGCACTTGGTTTCATATCTTTGCAATTTTGAATTGTGCTGCAATAAACATGTGTGCAGGTGTTTTTTTGATATACTGACTTATTTTCCTTTGGTAGATAGCCAGTAGTGGGACTGCTCGATTGAATGGCAGATCTTTTAGTTCTTTAAGAAATCTCCATATTGTCTTCCATAAGACGTTGAACTAATTTACATTCTCACCAGCAGTGTATAAGTATTCTGTTTTCACCACTTCCATGCCAACATCTATTGTTTTTTTGACTTTCAGTAATGGCCATTCTTGTAGGAGTAAGGTGGTATCTCATTGTGGTTTTAATTTGCATTTCCCTGATGATTAGTGACATTGAACAGTTTTTCATATGTTTGGTCATTTGTATATCTACTTTTGAGAAATGTCTGTTTGTCATTTGCCCACTTTTTGATGGGATTATTTTCTTGCTGGTTTGAGTTCCTTGTAGATTCTGAATATTAGTCCTTTGTCAGATGGATAATTTGCAAATATTTTTTCCCAATCTGTGGGTTTCTGTTTACTCTGATTATTTCTTCTGCTGTACAGAAGCTTTTTACTTTAATTGGGTCCCATTTTTTGTTTTTGTTGCATTTGCTTTTCGGGTCTTACAAATTCTTTGCCTAGGCCAAGGTGCAGAAGAATTTTTCCTAGGTTATCTTCTAAAATTTCTATGGCTTCAGGTCTTAGATTTAAATCTTGGATCCATCTTGAGTTGATTTTTTTAATAATATGAAAGATGGGGATCCAATTTTATTTTTCTAAATATGGCTAACCAGTTTTCCCAGTATTTATGAAATAGGGTGTCCTTTCCTCAATTTATATTTTTGTTATGCTTTGTCAAAGGTCAGAAGGCTGTAGATATTTGGCTTTATTTTTAGATTCTGTATTCTGTTGCATTGGTCTATGTGTCTGCTTTTATACCAGTACCATGCTGTTTTGGTAACTATAGCCTTGTAGTATAATTTGAAGTCCAGTGATGTGTTGCCTCCAGATTTGTTCTTTATGCTTATAATTGGCTTTGGCTGTTTGTGTTTTTAGGTTCCATATGAATGTTACAATTGTTTTTTCTAATTCTGTGAAAAATGTTGGTATTTTAATAGGAATTGCATTAAATCTGTAGATTGATTTAGGCAGTATGGTCACTTTAAAGATATTGATTTTTTTTCCCAATTCATGAGCATGGGATGTATTTCCATTTGTTTGTGTCACCTAGGATTTCTTTCAGCAATGTTTTGTAATTCTTCTTGTATAGATCTTTCACCTCCTTGGTTAAATATATCTCTAGGTATTTTTAGTTTTTTGCAGCTGTTAAAGGGATTGCATTTTTTTTTTTTTATTTTTGAGACAGAGTCTTGTTCTGTCACCCAGGTGGGAGGGCAATGGCGCGATATCGGCTCGCTGCAACCTCTTCCTCCTGGGTTCAAGCGATTCTTCTGCCTCAGGCTCCTGAGTAGCTGGGATTACAGGTATACACCACCACGCCCGGCTAATTTTTTATATTTTAGTAGAGACGGGGTTTTGCCATGTTGGTCATGCTGGTCTTGAACTCCTGACCTTCTGATCCGCCCACCTCGGCCTCCCAAAGTGCTAGGATTACAGGTGTGAGCCACCACACCTGGCCGGGATTGTATTCCTAATTTGATTCTCAGCTTGGTTGTTGGTGTATAGCAGTGCTACTGATTTGTGTAGATTGACTTCATAACCTGAATTCTGTTGTGGGAAGTCAGGGATCCCAAATGGAGGGACCAGCTGGAGCCACAGCAGAGGAACATAAATTGTGAAGATTTCATGGACATTTACCAGTTCCCAAACACTTTCATAATTTCTTATGCCTGTCTTACTTTAATCTCTTAATCCTGTTATCCTCATAAGCTGAGGATGTACGTCACCTCAGGGCCACTACGATAATCGTGTTAACTGTACAAATTGATTGTAAAACATGTGTGTTTGAACAATATGAAATCAGTGCACCTTGAAAAAGAACAGAATAACAGTGATTTTAGGGAACAAGGGAAGACAACCATAAGGTCTGACTGCCTGCGGGGTCAGGCAAAAAGAGCCATATTTTTCTTCTTGCAGAGAGCCTATAAATGGACGTACAAGTAGGGAAGATATCGCTAAATTCTTTTCCTAGCAAGGAATTTAATAATTAATACCCTGGGGAAGGAATGCATTCCTAGGGGGAGGTCTATAAATAGCTGCTCTGGGAGTGTCTGTCTTATGTGGTTGAGATAAGGACTGAAATACACCCTGGTCTCCTGCAGTACCCTCAGGCTTACTAGGATTGGGAAATTCTACCCTGGTAAATTTGAAGTCAGACCAGTTCTCTGCTTTCGAACCCTGTTTTCTGTTAAGATGTTTATCAAGACAATACATGCACTGCTGAACATAGACCCCATTAGGAGTTTCTGATTTTGCCCTGGTCCTGTTTCCTCAGAAACACGTGATCTTTGTTCTCCTTTTTGCCCTTTGAAGCATGTGATCTTTGTGACCTACTCCCTGTTTTTACACCCCCTCCCCTTTTGAAATCCTTAATAAAAACCTACTGGTTTTGCAGCTCAGGTGGGCATCACAGTCCTACTGATACGTGATGTCACCCCTGGAGGCCCAGCTGTAAAATTCCTCTCTTTATACTCTCTTTATTTCTCAGCCGGCTGACACTTATGGAAAATAGAAAGAACTTACATTGAAATATTGGGGGTGGGTTCCCGCGATAGAATTCATTTGTCAAATCTAGGAGTCTTTTGAGAGGAGTCTTTAGGGTTTTCTAGGTATAGTGTTATATCACTGGTGAACAGCAATAGTTTGACTTCCTCTTTGCCAATTTGGATGCCCTTTATATCTTTCTCTTGCTCTATTGCTCTGGCTAGGACTTTTAGTACTATATTGAAGGAAAGTAGTGAAAGTAGGCATCCTTGTCTTGTTCCACTTCTTGGGGAATGGTTTCAACTCTTTCCCATTCAGTATGATGTTAGCTGTGGGTTTGTCATATGACTTTTCTTATTTTGAGGTAAGTCCCTTCTATGTCTAGTTTGTTGAGTGTTTTTATCAAAAATGTTTGCTGGATTTTATCAATCCTTTTTCTGCATATATTGAAATGGTTTTACAGTTTTTGTTTTTAATCCTGTTTGTGATGTATCACAATTATTTTTGACTCACATGTTAAACCGTCTCTGCATTCCTGGGATGAAACCCACTTGATCATGGTGTATTGTCTTCTTGATATGCTGTTGGATTCAGTTATTTTGTTGAGGATTTTTGCATCTATGCTCATCAGGGATATTTGTAATTTTCTTTTTTGATGTGTCCTTTCCTGTTTTCGGTATCAGGATGATACTGGCTTCATACAATGAGTTAGGGAGAATGCCCTCTTTTGCAATCTTTTGTTATAGTTTCGATAGGATTGGCACTAATTCTTCAAATGTCCGGTAGAAGTCAGCTGTTAATCCATATGGCTCTTGGCTTTTTTTTTTTGTTGGCACTTTAAAAAAATTACTGATTCAGTCTCACTCCTTGCTATTTGTCTGTTCAGGGTTTCTATTTCTTCCTGGTTTAATTTAGGAGGGTTGTATGTTTCCAGGAGTTTATCCATTTTTTTTTTCTAGATTTTTGAGTTTATGTGCATAGAGGTGTTCATACTAGTCTCAAATCATCTTTTGTACTTCTGTGGTGTCAGTTGTAATGTCTCCAGTTTTATTTCTCATTGAGTTTATTTGAATCTTCTCCCTTCTTTTATTGGTTAATCTAGCTAATGATCTATTAATTTTATCTCCTCAACCAAAGAACCAACTTTTTGTTTCGTTGATCCTTTGTATTTTTTTGTTTTAATTTTACTCAGTTCTACTCTGATCTTTATTTCTTTCCTTCCACTAGCTTTGAATTTAGGTCTTGTTGCTCTAGTTCCTTGAGGTGTGTGACATTAGATTTTCAACTTGTGATCTTTCAGACTTTTTGATGTAGGCATTTAGTGGTGTAAACTTTCCTTCTAGCACTGCTTTTTGCTGTATCTCAGGGGTTTTGATAACTTGTGTCACTAGTATCATTCATTTCAAGGAGTTTTTAAATTTCCACCTTTATCATTGTTAACCCAAAAATCATGCAGGAGCAGATTGTTTAATTTCCATATATTTGTATCATTTTGATGATGCCTTTTCTAGTTGATTTCATTTATTCCACTGTGGTCTGAGAAGATACTTGATACAATTATTTTTTAAATTTATTGAGACTTGTTTTGTGGCCTGTCCTATGGTCTGTCTTGGAGATAGATGTGCTGTTGAGAAGACTGTATATTCTGAAGTTGTTGGGTAGAATGTTCTGTAATAACTGTTAGGTCCATTTGTTCTAGAGTGTAGTTTAATTCCATTGTTTCTTTGACTTTCTGTCTCTGATCATCTAGTGATGTCAGTGGAGTGTTAAAGTCCTCCACTATTGTGTTGCTATGTATCTCATTTCTAGTAGCAAATGTTTTATGAATCTAGGAGATCCAGTGTTAGGTGCATATAAATTTAGGATTGTAATATCTTCTTGTTGGATTGATTTTATTATAATTACTGTCTTTTTCTTTTTTTTAAACTGTTGAAGTCTGTTTTATCTGATAAAAAATAACTACTCTCATTTGGTTTTGGTTTCCATTTGCATGAAATGTTTTTCTACCCCTTTACCTTGAGTTTATATGAATTCTTACATGTTAGGTAAGTCTCTGGAAGCCCACAGATATTTGGTTTGTGATTTTTTTTAAATTCTGCTAATGTGTGTCTTGTAAGTGGAGAATTTGGGCCATTTACATTCAGTGTTAATATTGCTGTGAGATACTGTTCTAGTCATCATGTTAGTTGTTAGCTAGATACTTTGTTTTCTTCATTGTGTTGTTTTATAGGCCCTCTGAGTTTTATGCTTTCATGAGATTTTATTCTGGTGCGTATTGACCTTCTGTTTCAGGGTTTAGAACTCCTTTTAGCATTTCTTTTAGGGCTGGCCTGGTAGTGACAATTCCCTCAGCATTTGTTTGTCTGAAAATGTCTTTATTTCTCTTTCATTTATGAAACTTATATTTGCTTGATTTAAAAAATTCTTGGCTGACAGTTATTCTGTTTTAGGGGGCTAATGATGGGACCCCAATCTCTTCTGGCTTTTAAGGTTTCTAGTGAGAAGTCTGCTGTAAGTCTGATAAGTTTTCCATTTTAGGTTACCTGGTGCTTTTATCTTACTGCTCTCAGAATTCTTTCCTTCATGTTGACTTAAATGGCTTGATGACTATATGCCTTAGTGAAGTCCTTTTTGTAATGAATCTCCCAGGAATTCTTTGAGTGTCTTGTATTTGGATATCTAAATCTCTAGCAAGGCCAGTGTGATGGTTAATATTGAGTGTCAACTTGATTGGATTGAAGGATGCAAAGTATTGTTCCTGGGTGTTGCCATAGAGGATTAACATTTGAGACAGTGAACTGGGAGAGGAAAATCCACCCTCAATCTGGGTGGGCACCATCTAATCAGCTGCCAGCATGGCTAGAATAAAGCAGGCAGGAGAAGATGGAAGAGCAGACTTGCTGAGTCTTCTGGCCTTCATCTTTCTCTTGTGCTGGATGCTTCCTGCCCTCAAATATCAGACTCCAAGTTCCTCAGCTTTTGGACTGGTGTAGGCTGCACTGAGGCTGCACTGTTGGCTTCCCTACTTCTGAGGTTTTGGGACTTGGACTGATCCACTACTGGCTTCCTTGCTCCTCAACTTGCAGATGGCCTATCATGGGACTTGACTTTGTGACCATGTGAGTCAATTCTCCTTAATAAACTCCCTTTCATATGTACATATATCCTATTAGCTCTGTCCCTCTAGAGAGCCCTAATACAGAGATGAGCTTCTCGTATTTGGATATCTAAATCTCTAGCAAGGCCAGGGAAATTTTTCTCAATTATTCCCTCAAATAAGTTTTTCAAACCTTTAGACTTCTCTCTCAGGAACACCAGTTATTCTTAGATTTGGTCACTTTATATAATCCCATATTTCTTAGATATTTTATTTCTTTTGATTATTTATTTTTGTCTGCTTGGGTAAATTTGAAAGCCTTGTCTTCAAACTCTGAAATTCTTTCTGAATACTTATTCTAGTCTATTGTTAACTTTCCACTGCATTTTTTAATTCCTTAAATGTGCCTTTCATTTCCAGAAGTTCTGATTGGCTTTTCTTTAAAATATCTATCTCTTTAGAAAATTTTTCATTCAGATCCTGAATTGTTTTTAAATTTCTTTATGTTGGTTTTCACTTTTCTCTGGTATCTCCTTGAGTAGCTTTATAATAAACCGTTTGAATTTATCTGGTATTTCAAGGATTGCATCTTGGTTTGGATTCATTGCTAGAAAGTTACTGCGATCTCTTAGGGATGTTAAAGAATCCTGTTTTGTCATATTTCCAGAATTATTTTTTTGGTTCTTTATTTGGGTAAACTATTTCTCCTAATGATTCTTGAATTTGTTTTTGATTTTTAAAAAAATATTCCTTTCCCCCCCTTAAATATATGGCTTTAATGTTTATAGTTTTTTTGTAGCTGAATTCAGCTCTTGGTGCTTTCAGGGGAGAAGGGTGAAGACTCTGTATTTTATGAGTTCCTTGGTTATAGAGAGTCTCTGTATGATGGCTTTCTCAGGTAATTGTTGCAGTAGCAATGTGCTCACTGTGTGAGCAGGCTCACTGTTTCCTATGGGATCAGAATGACAGAGGTCTCTTGAAGCTTACCTCATTCCCCCATGGTGTGAACTTTTAATTTTTTCTCCAGTATTTAATTTACTGGGCTGAATAGTCCAGGCTTGAATAATTCACCTCCCAGTAAGAGGAGGTGTCCCTCTACCTCTCAGACACACTCCTGACCCAGTGTTCCAGCTATTCAGATCAGACAGGCACCTCTTTTCATATGCAGAAATGTTGATATTCCAAGTAGAGAGAAACTGTGACTGTACGTCTTATTCAAGCCTGAACCTGGAGGGCACTCCACCTGTGGAGATTCAGTCACCCTGAAGTGTTCCAAAAGGGTTGTCTATAGGTGTGCCCGTGCTGAGCTCCCATGAGAGAAGCCCCATTTGTTTCTGCTGTAGTGGTTGAGGTGGAAAATAAGTCTCCTCAAGATGCTTCTTGAGCAGCAGGGCTGCCATTAGCAGAGAGCTGCAGACTTTGCCTGCTGAGCCCAGCACTGCACTTGTACCTCTACTGAAAGAAACTTTTCACCAGTGGAAAGATCTGGGACTCAAAACCTGCCATCCAGATTCCTTTGTCTCAAAGGGTATTCCCTCGATATGTTTCCCTCTCTTCCTCCAGGAGTAGGAGTCCCTGAAGGCCAGACAATGTGAATGCTGCTGTTCCTCTGGGTCTAGCCACCCAGTAGGGCTGCCACACTCCAGGCTGGGGTGTATCTGAAAAGGAACCAGTGACGTGACCAGTCCTTAACTCTCCCAGCAGTGGGTACCAGCACCTTCTCTGATAGGGGCAGTAGGGGAGTGATGTAGACTCGATGAGATTCCTTGGTTGTAAATAGCCTTAGTGTGTTGGCTTTCTCAAATGCTGGTTGTATTGGTAATAAACTGGTTACATGGACAGACTCAGACCTCCTAGTTAGCCAGGGTGGTGCAGACAATGGTGACAGCTGAGGTCATGTACAAGTTTTCCCCTTCATGGGTGCAGTGTTGCGCTACCTGTAGAGGCTGTAATGGATCTGTCACTTGGCCTCCAGCCAGGAGGTGGTGTTTGCAAAAGAGCACCAGCTGTGGTAGAAGTGGTAGGATTTGTGCTTGCCTTATGTTACCCAGGGGAGGTATCCTGGTTTCTCAGGTGATGGGTGGGGCTACAGGGCTCCCAAAAGTTTCTGTTCTTTGTGTTAAGCTACCAGGGTGGGTAAAGGGGCAAAGCCAGGTGGGGGCTGGGTCAGGCAGGTCTGCTGGCTCTCCACATGCAGGGCAAGCAGAGGCCCCTGTGGGGGTTGAGAAGGCAGGAGGTTCTCTGGCCACTGGGGTAATGTTCCAGGAAGGAGTGTGGCTGCTTCTGCTGGACAGAAGAGTTCACGCAGGGAGTGGGGTATAGCAGGTGGCAGCAAGCCTCACCCAGCTCCCACACACTTGATAAGGCAGGTCTCTCACCAACAGTGTTTGCTAGCAGCAGCTTGCTAAATTTCCAGGCCATCTATGCTCAGAACTGAAATGGACAAGGCCGTAACGTAAGCCTTCCCGTTAGAGACAGCAACTGTGGCTTTCAGGCCATGCCCCTCCTCAGCTGCCTACAGAGCTGGGGTGCCCAGCTCCTGTGCCCATGGTTACAGCACACTACTTCCCACTCACTTGCCAGTTCTGGCCAAGGGAGTTCATCCCCACTTGAGATTATATTGTGAATTTCAGTTGGGAGCTTCTTTCAACCTGCAACCGCTGCCTGCGTTAGTTGGCAGACTTCTGTGAGATCCCCTGTGATGCAGAATCAGGAATGGCTTCCCTTGGTCCATCCTGGAGACTGGGAACGTGCACAAGACCATTCTCATTGCTCCTACTTTTGTATTCCTGACTGTTCCCTGTATCAATTCCAGCACTGGATAGGGTTAAGGCTTCCCCCATGGACTGGATTTCCAGGTTCCCTGGTGGGGGTGTATAACCTGGAGGCAGTCTCTCTCCCTCTCACACTCTAGGAACTTAGTTTTTCACCTGGCTCATGGTGTAGGCTGCAGCTTGCTGCTTCTTTCAAAGATTCTGGTTTCATTTATTTTTCCTAAGTTTCTGCATTTCTTCTTGGAAAAAAGTTCAGAGTGTGAATCTCTGCTCACTATTTTATCTTTCCAAATGGGAAAGGCATGCTAACACTACCTCTAATCTGCCATCTTTAAAATTGTTTTAGTAAATGAATCCCACGTTATTCATCTGTTGATGGATACTTAGGTTGCTTCCAAATCTTGGCTATTGTGAACAGTGCTGCGACAAACATAGGGGTGCAGATATTGTTTTGATACACTAATTTCTCTTCTTTTCGGTATATACCCAGCCGTGGGACTGCTGGATCATATGGTAGCAATGTGTTTTTAGTTTTTTTAAGAATATCCAAACTGTTCCCCATGGTAATTATACTACTTTATGTTCCCACCAACAGGGTAGAAGGGTTCTCTTTTCTCCACAACTTCACCAGCATTTCTTATTGCCTGTCTTTTGGATGAAAGCCATTTTAACTGAAGTGAGATGATATCTCATTGTAGTTTTGATTTGCATTTCTCTGATGTTCAGTGATGTTGAGAACCTTTTTACACACCTGTTTGTCATTTATGTCTTCTTTTGAGTAAATGTTTATTCAGATTTTTTGCCCATTTTTAAATTGGATATTTAGACTTTTTCCTATAGCATTGTTTGAGCTCTCCTTATACATTCTGGTTATTAATCCCTTGTGAGGTGAATAGTTTGCAAATATTTTCTCCCATTCTGTGGGTTACCTCTTTGTTTCCTTCGGTAACAAAGGCACAAAAGATTTGAACAGATACTTCACGAAAAAAGATTTATGGGTGGCAAATGAGCACATGAAAAGATATGGGAAAACTGACTGGGACACTCAAATATTCCCCTCTCATATTTCCAGCTATTTCCCCACCTTACCAGAGACTTCGACAGTGGCAAGTGCTCACAACGCTCCTGAGGCTGAGGTGCATTCACAAAGCTCTGATGGTCAGGCTGAGCCGGCTGGGGAGGCAGTCCTGCCACACAGTTGCCAGTCCCTTTACCCCCATAGCCTGTGTCCTATGACAATGTGCTCATCGCTTGGACCAGATGGCATGAGGTTAGGCTCTTCAAAGGTGATCCTAGGCTGGCTGTGGACACAGTGAGGATTAGCTTGCTTTGGTTTCTTTGTAGTGATTTCTATCTACTCATGGTTGTTTATGTCTCAGGAAAACCTGGAAAACTTAAAATGAATGGAGAGAAGGGGTCTCTGGTCAAGAGTAGAGGATCACGATGATTTTCAGGTTGCTGTCATCTAGAAAACTCAGCTAGAAATGTCAGTTTTGCATGGATATGTCACTCATTTCTAACCTGCCTCTGACCTGGACTTGAATCAAGGGAGGAAAACATAACATTCTGTGACAGTGAGCACCAACAGGGAAATGTCAAGAGAAAAGAACCCATGTAAATAGTGACACGATTTTCTCAAAGAAGGCAATTTGGGGGAAGTTAGTGGAATTCTGACAGAATGATTGGGTGTAAATGCACATATGGCTCCAACGTTGCGTTTCTCATTTGCACCTTTGTGCCATCTCCCAGAAACAGGGAGCATAACTGTAATCTCCTAATAAATACATGTTTTTCATGTATGGCAATCCTTCAGTTAGATGCTGCATCTTATCTGTTCAACCTGAATTCCATTTGCTGGTTATATTTGTAGGCAGCACACTACTGAAATGCAAAGAGGCTTTTCCAAATATAACCCTATGCAATTGCTTTCTTTTACCACTCAGGTTAATGGAAACTTATTTTGCTTTCTGTGGAACTTGGGGTTGATTTTGCTTTCTTTTACTTTGTCTTTCATGAAGGAAGCCAAGAAATTTTAAATGGTGCACATTCAAGACCCAAGATTACCAGTCTAGCAGCAGCTCTGCCTGATTCTCTGCGTTTTACACATTTGACAATTATCTCCCTTTATGGATTAGAGAAAGCACATCCTTCTCAGCAAGTGGTTCAGTGAAACTTCCATTAGTGAAAGAGGCACTTTGTCACAGAAGCAGAAGTGTTCTTGCCATAGTGGAAAGGAAAAGATGCATAACTTCTCATATTAAAACAGAGGCTTGCTTTAAATGGTAAGGAAAGAAGAGGATGTAGAGAAATTGGAACCCTTCTGAGCTGTTAGGAACGTAAAATGGTGCAGCCACTATGGAAAAGAGTATGGCAGTCTCTCAAAAAATAAAAAATAGAACTACCATGTGACCCAGCAATCCCACTTCTAGTATATATCCAAAAGAACTAAAAGAAGAAATATACATATCCTCCATGTTTATTGTGGCATTATTCATAATAGCCAAGAGGTGGAAACAATCCCATGTTTATCGACAGATGAACAGATAAACAAAATGTAGTGTACACACACAATTGAATATTATTCAGCCTTAAAAAGGAATTAAGTTTTGATACATGCTACAACATGGATAAATCTTGAGGACATATGCTAAGTGCAATAAGCCAGTCACAAAAAGGCAAATACTGTGTTATTCTATTTATAAGAGGTATATAAATTAGTTGAATTCATAGAGACAAGAAGTAGAATGGTGATTGCTGGAGACTTGTTTTGTAATGGGTAGAGAGTTTATTTGCAAGATTAAAAAGTTCTGGAGATCTATTTTAACAATACTGTGAATATACTTAATGCTGCTGAACCACACACTTTAAAATGATTAAGATAGTAAATTTTATGTTATACGTTTTGTGGAGTTTTTATTTCTAGAAGTTGAGGAAAAAAGAAATTGTTTGCTTGCATTTTGTTCTTCTCATATTGACAATCAATAGTCACTCACTCCATGAGTAACTTCAAAGAAACAGGTATCTCTGAGCCTACAGCTCCAAGCACCTAAAACTGTAAAGAATCCTTGAAGAAGATAAAACAGTTCTATGTTCTCCGAACAAAGCTTCCAACTTCTAGGGCATTGAGGGTGCTAAGTTTTATATACAACAGGCTTGTCTCATACAATTGTGTCATTGCATCTTTTTTTTTTTGTAATTGTCATTTTTTTATTATATTTTAAGCTTTAGGGTACATGTGCACAATGTGCAGGTTAGTTACATATGTATACATGTGCCATGTTGGTGTGCTGCACCCAGTAACTCGTCATTTAACATTAGGTATATCTCCAAATGCTATCCCTCCCCCCTCCTGCCACCCCACAACAGGCCCCAGTGTGTGATGTTCCCCTTCCTGTGTCCATATGTTCTCATTGTTCAGTTCCCACCTATGAGTGAGAACATGTGGTGTTTGGTTTTTTGTCCTTGCAATAGTTTGCTGAGAATGATGGTTTCCAGCTTCATCCATGTCCCTACAAAGGACATGAACTCATCCTTTTTTATGACTGCATAGTATTCCACGGTGTATATGTGCCACATTTTCGGATGCGGAGAAATAGGAACACTTTTACACTGTTGGTGGGACTGTAAACTAGTTCAACCATTGTGGAAGTCAGTGTGGCGATTCCTCAGGGATCTGGAACTAGAAATACCATTTGATCCAGCAATTCCATTACCTGGTATATACCCAAAGGATTATAAATCACACTGCTGTAAAGACACATGCACACGTATGTTTATTGTGGCACTATTCACAATAGCAAAGACTTGGAACCAACCCAAATGTCCAACAACGATAGACTGTAATAGTCTATTTTTGTTTCCACATTCCATTTGTATGTATTTGGTAGAGTTCCTTCCCTGGAGAAGAAGCTGAGTATCCCATAAATTTCCTGGTTACACTTATGTGACAAATCTTGCAGTTATTCTAAGTTTCAGCACAGTCTTTATTTATAAATTATAAGCCCAGTACCCTGTAATCAAAACTATGAAGTTGATTTAAAATTGAGGCATCCCCCAGTGCCAAGCTTGGGTCAGCTCCAAGTAGAAAGCAGAGGGGATAATGGTTGGTTTCTGTCTCCCCTCCTAGAGCTATTCTACTCATCTCACCTCAGCTGCTAAGCTCAGTTCATCATAGCTTCCTGGCTTGCTGTTGCTAATGTATAAGTAATTAAGCACTTTTTAATGAAAAAAAAAAAAAAAAAAACAAGCTAGGAGCAAGACAATGATTTATGTCACTTTGTAGCCTGGAGAGGCAGTGATGGATAAGACCCAAGATTTTGGAATTAGGGTGCTTCGCTTTGAATCCTGACTACAATTTAGCTATGTGATCTTGGACATATTAACTAATTTCTCCACATCCTCAGTTTTCCCATCTGTGGAATGGGCCTAATAACAATAGTACTATAGCCATTGGGTCCCACTAGAAAAGCAGAACCAGTAGCAAATATAGTTTTTAAAACATGTATTAATCAGAACTGGCTTATGCCATTGTGGCTGGCCAAGAAAGTGCAAAATCCATAGTTGCTGTCCTGTCCGTGGTTGGAATTCTGCCCCTAACCCCCATGTCTCTCTCTGAAGCCTGAGCCCTGCCCTTAAGGTCTATCCAGATGATCTAGGATATTTCCTTTACTTAAGGTCAACTAACTATGAACTTTAATTACATCTTAAAAAAATACTTTCAAGGCAACAGATTACTATTATATTCCTTTTTCTTTTTAAAATTTACCAATACAAATATATTAGGAACAACATGTTCTGAAATATGTACACGTTGTGGGATGGCTCAGCTGAGCTAATTGACATATGTATTACCTCACATTATTTATTGTTTTTGTGGTGAGAACACTTAAAATCTACTCTGATTGATTTTTAAAGAATGCATTGCTATTAACTGTAGTCACCATGCTGTACAATAGATCTCTTTAACTTACTTTTCTTTTGAAACTATCCTTTGACCAACACTCCCGAACTCTCTCCCTGTCCCCAGCCTCTGATGACCACCACTTTATTCTTCTACATAGATGAGTTCAATGTTTTTAGAATCCACATGTGAGATCATGTGATATTTGTCTTTCTGTGCCTGGATAATTTTAGTTTGTCTTCTAGTTTCATTCATATTGTTGCAAATTAAAGGATTTTTTTCTTTTTAAAGGTGGAATAGTATTCTATCTTGTATATATACCATATTTTCTTTATCCTTTCATCCATCGATGGGCACTTAGGTTGGGTCTATATCTTGGCTATTGTGAATCATGTTGCAATAAACATGGGAGTGCAGATATTTCTTTGACATACTGATTTTATTCCCTTTAGATATATACCCAGCAGTGGGATTGCTACTTCATAGAGTAGTTCTTGTTTTAATATTTGGAGAAACCTCCATACTGTTTTCCATAATGGCTGTGCTAATTTACATTCCCACCAACAGTATACACGAGTTCGCTTTTCTTCACAGCCTCACCAGTACTTTTGTTTTCTTGATAATAGCAGTTCTAACAGGTGTGAGGTAATCTTTGTGGTTTTAAAATGCATTTTCTGATGATTAGTGATGCTGAGTGATTTCTCACATAACCATTGGTCATTTGTATGTCTGTCTTTGACAAACGTCTATTTAGGTCCTTTGTACATTTTTAATAGGGTTATTCTCTTATAATTGAGGGTATTTTTTATTCCTTATATATTTTGGATATTTACTCCTTATCAGATGTATATTTTGTGAATATTTTCTTCCATTCTTTAGGTTGTCTCTTCACTTTTATTTCCTTTGATCTACAGGAGGTTTTTAGTTTGGCATAATCCCATTTGTCTACTTTTGCTTTAATTGCCTATGATTTTGGGGTTGTATCCAAAAGACTCAATGCCCAGGCCAATCTCATAGAGCTTTTCCTCTGTTTTCTCATAGTTTTCTATAGTTTCTAGGCCTTATGTTTAAGTCTTTAATTCATTTGCAGGTTTTTTTATATGCTATGAGATGAGGTCTAGTTTTCTTCTGCACATGGACATCTAGTTTTCCCAACACTATTTATTTCAGAGACTGTCCTTTCCCTATTATCTGTTCTTGGCAACTTTGTTTGAAAAAATTGACTATAAATGTGTGGGTTTATTTCTGGGTTCTCTATTCTGTTCTGTTGGTGTATGTACCTATTTTTATGCCAGTATCATGCTGTTTTGATCACTGTATGTCTACAGAATATTTTGAAGTTGGAGAGTGTGATGCCTCCAGCTTTGTTCTTTTTGCTCAAGATTGCCTTGGCTATTCAGGGTCTTTTGTGGTTCCATACAAATTTTAGGGTATTTTTTTCTACTTCTGTGAGAAATGTCATTGGAGTTCTGATAGCGATGGTGTTGAACCTGTATTTCACTTTAGGTAGTATGGACATTTTAATAATCTTCCAACCCATAAACACATATCTATTTCTTTTTCAATTTCTTTCATCAACATTTTATAGTGTTCAATGAGAGGTGTTTTACTTTCTCGAGTAAATTTATTCCTAAGTGGTTTTTTTTTTTTTTTGTAGATGTTGTATATTGGATTAGTTTCTTGATTTAATTTTTGAATAGTTGTTACTGTATAAAAAAGCTACTGATTTTTATATGTTGACTTTGTATCCTGAAACTTCACTGAATTTGTTCTAAAAGTTTTTTGGTGGAGTTAGGGTTTTCTATATGTAAGATGATGTCATCTATAAACAGGGACAGTCTGACTTGTTTTTTCTTAAGTTTTTTTGTAATGTTCTTGTCTGGTTTTAGTACCCACATAATGCTGCCCTCATAAAATACAGAAGTATTTCCTTTGATTCTTTGGAGAGTTAGAGGAGGATTTGTTTTTGTTCTTTAAATGTTTGGAAATGAAAAGTGAAGCCATCAGATTCTGAGCTTTTCTTTGATGGGAGACTTTTCATTACTGATTCAGTCTTCTTATTATTGATCTGTTCACATGTTCCATTTCTTTATAATTCAGTCCTGTAAGGTTTTATGTGTCTAGGAATGTATACGTTTCTTCTAGATTGTTTAATTTTTTTATTATACCTTAAGTTCTGGGATACATGTGCAGAACGTACAGGTTTGTTACATAGGTATACACGTGCCATGTGGTTTGCTGCACCCATCAACCCATCATCTACATTAGGTATTTCTCCTAATGCTATCCCTCCCCTAGCCCCCTGCACCCCAAAAGGCCCCAGTGTGTGATGTTTCTCTCCCTGTGTCCATGTGTTCTCATTGTTCAAGACCCACTTATGAGTGAGAACATGCGGTGTTTGGTTTTCTGTTCCTGTGTTAGTTTGCTGAGAATGATGGTTTCCAGCTTCATCTATGTCTCTGCAAAGACATGAACTCATTCTTTTTTATGGCTGCATAGTATTCCATGGTGTATATGTGCCACATTTTCTTTATGCAGTCTATCATTGATGGGCATTTTGGTTGGTTCCAAGTCTTTGCTATTGTGAATAGTGCTGCAATAAACACATATGTGCGTGTGTCTTTATAGTAGAATGATTTATAATCCTTTGTGTATATACCCAGTAATGGGCTTGCTGGGTCAAATGATATTTCTGGATCTAGATCCTTGAGGAATCACCACACTGTCTTCCTTCATGCTAAAAACTCTCAGTAAACTAGGTATTGATAGAACATATCTCAAAATAACAGCTATTTGTGACAAACCTACAGCCAATATCATACTGAATGGGCAAAAACTGGAAGCATTCCCTTTGAAAACCGGCACAAGACAAGGATGCCCTCTCTCACCACTCCTATTCAACGTAGTGTTGGAAGTTCTGGCCAGGGCAATCAGGCAGGAGAAATAAATAAAGGGTATTCAAATAGGAAGAGAGGAAGTCAAATTGTCTCTGTTTGCAGATGACATGATTGTATATTTAAAAAACCCCATCGTCTCAGCCTAAAATCTCTGAAAAGCAACTTCAGCAAAGTCTCAGGATACAAAATCAATGTGCAAAAATCACAAGCATTCCTATACACCAATAATAGACAAACAGCCAAGTCATGAGTGAACTCCCATTCACAATTGCTACAAAAATAATAAAATACCTAGGAATCCAACTTACAAGGGATGTGAAGGACCTCTTCAAGGAGAACTGCAAACCACTGCTCAAGGGAATAAGGACACAAACAGATGGAAAAACATTCCATGCTCATGGATAAGAAGAATCAATATTGTGAAAATGGCCATACTGCCCAAGGTAATTTATAGATTCAATGCTATCCCAATCAAGCTACCAATGACTTGCTTCACAGAATTAGAAAAAAACTCCTTTAAATTTCATATGGAACAAACAAAGAGCCCATATAGCCAAGACAATCCTAAGCAGAAAGAACAAAGCTGGAGGCATCACACTGCCTGACTTCAAACTATACTACAAGGCTACAGTAACCAAAACAGCATGGTACTGGTACCAAAACAGTTATATAGACCAATGAAACAGAACAGAGGACTCAGAAATAACGCCACACATCTACAACCATCTGATCTTTGCCAAACCTGACAAAAACAAGAAATGGGGAAAGGATTCCCTATTTAATAAATGGTGTTGGGAAAACTGGCTAGCCATATGCAGAAAACTGAAACTGGACCCCTTCCTTACACCTTATACAAAAATTAACTCAAGATGGATTCAAGACTTAAACATAAGACCTAAAACCATAAAAACCCTAGAAGAAAACATAGGCAGTACCATTCAGGACATAGGCATCGGCAAAGACTTCATGACTAAAACACCAAAAGCAATGGCAACAGAAGCCAAAATTGGCAAATGGGATCTAATTAAAGAGCTTCTTTACAGCAAAAGAAACTATCATCAGAGTGAACAGGCAACCTCTACAGAAAGGGAGAAAACTTTTGCAATCTATCCATCTGACAAAGGGCTAATATCCAGAATCTAAAGGAACTTAAACAAATTTACAAGAAAAAAACAACCCCACCAAAAAGTGGGTAAAAGATATAAACAGACACTTCTCCAAAGAAGACCTTTATGTGGCCAAAAAACATGAAAAAAAGCCATCACTGGTCGTTAGAGAAATGCAAATCAAAACCACAATGAGATACCATCTCACACCAGTTAGAATGGCGATCATTAAAAAGTCAGGAAACAACAGATGCTGGAGAGGATGTGCAGAAATACGAATGCTTTTACACAGTTGGTGGGAGTGTAAATTAGATTATTTAATTTATTGATGTGTGTTAGTATTCCCTTATTCCTATTTCTGTAGTATTGTAATTTCTCCTTTCATTTCTAGTTTGTTAATTTTGTTTTCATAAAACGAACTTAGTTTCCCTGGTCTTTTTATTGTTTTTCTAGGATCTATTTATTTCTTCTCTGATCTTCATTTCCTTATACCAACTTTGGGCTTAGCTTGTTCTTTGTCTAATTTCTTGAGGTGCAACTTTAGATTGTTCAAATAAAATCTTTTTTGATGTAGATGTTTATTGCTATAAACTTTCCTCTTGAAATTTCTATTGTTGCATCCTATAAGTTTTGGTATGTTGTGTTTCCATTTTTGTTTGTCTCAAGATATTTTAATTTCTTCATTGACCCATTGGTTGGTTGGAGTTTAATTTCCATGTATTTGTGAGTTTTCCAAAAATTTTCATGATATTGATTTCTAGTTTTATACCATTGTGATTGGAAAAATACTTGATATTTCAATCTTCTTTAAGACTTGTTTTGTGGCCTAACATGATCTATCCTAGAGAATGTATCATTTGCACTTGAGAAGAATGTGTTGGATGGAATGTTCTTGTTCATGTCTGTTAGTTCCATTTTTTCTAAAGTTTGATTTTTTTATTTCATTTGGATGACCTGTCCATTGCTGAAAGTGGAGTACTGAAGTCCCCTACAGTTGGATTATCATCTGTTTCCCTTAATAGCTATTAATATTTGTTTTATATATAGGTACTCTAATGTTAGATGCATATATATTTAAAATTGTTATATCCTCTGAATTGACTCCTAATCACCATAGAATGACCTTCTTTGTATTGCTTTATAGCTTTTAACTTTAGTCTATTTAATCTGATGTAACTATGTCTACCCTTGATCTCTTGGTTTCTATTTGCATGGAACATCTTTTTTCATCCCTTCACTTTTAGTATATGTATATCCTTAAGTGCGACATACATATACTTGTAGGCAGCATATAGTTGGGTCTTGTTTTTTATTCCATTCATCCACTCTTTCAATTGGAGAATGTAATCCATTTACAGTCAAGGTAATTGATAGGTAAGAACTTACTACTGGTTGTTTTATAGATTTTATTTATTTTTTTTTACTGCATCTTTTGCTGTCTTCTTTTGTGTTCAGGTGATTTTTCTCTAGCAGTATGCTTTGATTCCTTACTTTTTACCTTTTGTGTATCCACTATAGATTGTTGCTTTCTAGTTACCATGAGGCTTACATAAAACATCTTATGGTTATAACAGGCTATTTTAAGCTGATAACAACTTAACTTTGATTGCATAAAAAAACTCTACACTTTTACTTCCTCTCGCTCCACATTTTGCTGTCACAATTTACATCTTGTATTGTGCATCCCATACCAAATTATTGTATCTATTATTTTTAATGGTTTTCTTTTCATCTTCATACTAAAGATATTATTGATTTACACATTATCATTACAGTATTAGAGTACCAAGAATTTGACTATGTACTTTTACCAGTAAGTTTAATACTTTAACACATTTTCATGTTACTAGTGTCCTTTTAGCTTGAATTCCTTTTAGCATTTCTTGTAAGACATGTCTGGTGATGATAAATTCCTTCACCTTGTTCATCTGGGAAAGTCCTTATCTCTCTTTCATTTCTGAAGGACAACTTTGTTGCACTTTTGTGTTTTATAATATGTCTTAGTGTAATCTTGTTTGGATTGAATCTTCTTAGAGATCTTTGGCCTCCCTGTACCTGGATATTTACATTTTCTGCTTTTTTTTTTTAATCTTTCAACCTCTTTCTTCTTTTTGACCACCTACAACTTGAATATTAGCTTTTTTGATGGTGTTCATAAATTCCTTAAACTTTCCTCATTCCTTTTCATTTTCTTTCTTCTCTGGCTGTATATTTTCAAATAGGCTGTCTTTGAGTTCAGATTCTTTCTTACGTTGATCAATTCTGTGGTTAATGCTCTCTATTCCATTTTAAATTTCATTCACTATATTTTTCAGTTCTAGAGTGTGTTTTTTTAAAACATAATCTTACAGTTAAATGGATAATTTTGGTTTATTTTATTTCATTGAATTGTTTCTGTATATTTTCAAGTGTGCTAACTTTCTTAAAATTATTTTGAATTAGTTGCCAGGCAACTTATAAATCTCCATTTCTTTTGGGTCAGCCATTGGGAGATTGTTCTACTCTTCTGGTGCTGGTATATTTTCTTGGTTTTTCATGTTTCTTGTTGACTAAATTGATGTCCACACAATTGAAGAAATAAGAACTTACTGCAGTCTTTGCAGAATGGCTTTGTTTAAGAAAGCTCTTTACCACTCAGCCCATGCAGAGATTCTAGGTAGGCTATGTGGCATGGTCCACAGGCTGGTTTGCTGTTGGAGTCCTTTTTTTTTTTTTTTTAATTTTAAGTTCTAGGGTACATGTGCACAATGTGCAGGTTTGTTACATATGTATACATGTGCCATGTTGGTGTGCTGTACACATTAACTCATCATTTACATTAGGTATATCTTCTAATGCTATCCCTCCCCACTCCCCCCATCCCACAACAGTGCCCGGTGTGTGATGTTCCCCTTCCTGTGTCCAAGTGTTCTCATTGTTCAATTCCCACCTATGGGTGAGAACATGTGGTGTTTGGTTTTTTGTTCTTGCAATAGTTTGCTGAGAATGATGGTTTCCAGCTTCATCCACGTGCCTACAGAGGACATGAACTCATCCTTTTTTATGGCTACGTAGTATTCCATGGTGTATATGTGCCACATTTTCTTAATCCAGTCTATCATTGATGGACATTTGGGTTGTTCCAAGTCTTTGCTATTGTGAATAGTGCCGCAATAAACATAACGTGTGCATGTGTCTTTATAGCAGCATGATTTATAATCCTTTGTGTATATACCCAGTAATGGGATGGCTGGGTCAAATGGCATTTCTAGTTTTAGATCCTTGAGGAATCGCAACACTGTCTTCTGCAATGGTTGAACTAGTTTACAGTCCCACCATGCTGTTGGAGTCCTTAGGTCAGCTGTCCTGGTCCTTGGTCAGCAGGTGGGTGGGCCTGAAGCCTAGAACCATGGGGGTATATCTGCTAATTGGGTTTAAAGGAGTAGGCCTTGAGGCTGGGTCAACAAGTATGAGCCTGTATCCTATGTCTGGGGGAGCTGACCTGGATCCTGGGTCCATAATATCTGACCTGGTGCTGGGGTGGGCCTTGAACCTAAGTCTATAGGAGCCAGCCAGGTACTGGGACGGACCTCACACCTGGGCTCACTGGATTGGGCCTGGAGCCTGAGCCCATGGGGGCTATCCTGGCACTGGGACAGGCCTGAGTTTGAGGGGGTGGGTATAGGTGCTGGCTCTGTAGGAATGGGCCTGGAGCCTTAGTCTGTGGTGGCTGGCCTGGGACTATGGTCTACTGTGGTGGACCTAAACTCAGTCTGCTGGAGACCTGGACCCTGGGCTGCTAGAGTTTGAGGCTCCAGGGACTGGCCTGGCATTGGGCAGGCCTGGAGTCTGTGTCCGTGGGTGCCAGCCTGATGCCTAAGACCAGGAGCACAGACTTGGTATGGGGGCTCTAGTGGCTAACTTGACTCAAGGATAGTCTGGAAATGAGCTGGGCTGGAGCCTGGGGCTCTAGGGGTTGGCCTGGTGCTAGGTAAGCCTGGAACCTGTATCCACAGGGAGCCAACCTAGAGGCTGGGTCTGCAGGTGGTGGTCTGATGACTAGGACTTCAGGGGCTGGCTTGGTGCTGAGGTGGGCCAGCCTGGTTCTGGTGGTAGTCCAAAGTCTGGGGTCACTGGGGCCAGCTTGGCCCTGAGGTGGCACTACAGTCTGAGTCCATGGGGGGCTGGCTTGGCACTAGGGAAGGCCTAAAGTCTGGAACTGCTGGGACTGGCCTGGTGCTGGGGCCTAGGGTCACTGGGGTCAGCCTGGCAGTGGGACAGGCCCAGAGACTGCATCTACCAGGCAGGCCTGGCGATGCAGGATCAGATCTGGCACCAGGGTAATCCTGGAGGCTCAGTCCACAGATACTGGCCAAGAGTCTGGGGCTGTGGGGGTCAGCCTGTGGCTTTTAGGGTGGCCTGGAGCCTGAGTTTGTGGGGCTTGGCCTGGAACTAGGGTAGGCTTTTGAAGTTCAGGGATGTTGAGGTTGACCCAATGCTGAGGTTGGTTTGGAACCTGAGGCTGCCAAGGTCAGCCTGAAGGTGGGAAAGGCCTGGAGATGAAAATCACAGGGCAGGCCTGAAACTGTGGGATCCCCCATGGCAACTGGGGGGAACTTGGAAGCTCAGTCCATGGGTGCCAGTCTGAAGCCTGGGGCCATGGGGATCTGCCATGTCCCCATGTTGGTTTTTACTGAGGTGGGCCTGGTGTTGGAGTCAATGGCAAAGTCCAGTGCTCACCTCCCTCTTCTTCCCCAACACAGGAGGTTTCTGTCTACATGTTGTGCTGCCTGGGGTTGGGAGGAACGTGGTGAGGGTAATGTAAAACTGTTCTTCCTGCACTCTTCAATGCATCTTCTCTTATTTCTGTGTTACCCCCAGATGCTGTAATCTCTCTCCTGATTCCTTAGTTCTTGTGAAGGCATGTTTGTGCATGAGTAGTTGTTCGAATTGTGGGGGACAAGCACGAGAGAGTCCTATTCTGCCATCTTCCTGATGCCAGTCCTCCCAGAATAGCAACTTGATTGAATAATTGGAGACTGGGCTGGCCAAGTTGACATATCAAAACACCCATCACATATACCTACCTTTTTAGTCACTGAAAGGGTTGTGATATTTGTAAATCACTTTAGCAGTGTCTGGCACATAATAAATAATTTTTCACTTATTTACATAATCATAATTGTAATTACACTCATTTAATTATAAATTTTACCAGTTATATGATCTTAAGCCAATCATGTAACATGATTAATCTTCAATTTCTTCATCTGTGAAATGAGGGCATTGGAATACAAAGCTACTAGTACATCTTCATTCTCTTAAAGTCTATGGTTTTTTTGGCCATGTTTGAGGAATGAAGGCTAAACAAGCCAAAATTGGGAAGAGAAGTGAACTGGAGTGACACAGAGATAGAAAAAAAGGAAGCGGTCATGGCATAGATGGAAGAATGACAACAAAGAAACTTCTGAACTCCACAAAACACCTTGTGAATGCATAGATTGTTCCAGATGTCATCAAATAGAATAGCCTGTGTCTATGGTCCT
This sequence comes from Homo sapiens, assembly GCF_000001405.40. Classification (NCBI taxonomy): domain Eukaryota; kingdom Metazoa; phylum Chordata; class Mammalia; order Primates; family Hominidae; genus Homo; species Homo sapiens. The sequence continues at coordinate 109,266,091 of NC_000005.10, read as the reverse complement.
GACTCCTGGGTGCTCTGGTCCAGCACTGGACAATTCATGTCAGTGGTAACAAGAGCCCAACTTTCCTGCGGGTTAGACTTGTTCAGGTAACACTCAGCCAGCACCTACTCTGTGTCAGCCTGGGTTGATGGTGCTGTGATAAACTTGGGAGAAGTTGATTCTAATTCTTCATTAGCATGAAACACTTCCCTCTGATAAACTACTTTTATTCTTCCTTGGCATCATTTCCACAAAAAGTGTTCTTTCCAAGAAAGAGCCTCCAGGTTATATGCCAACCTGGGAGTCTGGGTACAATTAAGGCAAGCACGCAATGTTCCCAATTCCACCTTGAAGATATTATCAACCTTGAAAGATAGTGCCATTTAGATTTCAAAACAAAGGTCCTGACATTTCCCCAGTTATGACAAGAAGAAAGGATGCATCAGAAATCAATGGCTAAAAATGGGTCAAAAAGGGCTCAACCTGCCAAATTGTCCCCTGAGGAAAGTTGAAGTGCTGAGTTTGTAGTGATCTAAATCCTCAGCAATTCCTCATGTCACAAGGAAAGATGGAAGCTAAGGGAAAGGCGATGGTGGACAGCCTGGAGGAAGAAGGAAAAGGAGCTGCTTAGATATCTGATTGTTTGGAAAGTCACTACTCAAAAATAAAATGAGACACCATTCTTATTTCTTTTTTTTTTTTTTTTTATTATACTCTAAGTTTTAGGGTACATGTGCACATTGTGCAGGTTAGTTACATATGTATACATGTGCCATGCTGGTGCGCTGCACCCACTAATGTGTCATCTAGCATTAGGTATATCTCCCAATGCTATCCCTCCCCCCTCCCCCGACCCCACCACAGTCCCCAGAGTGTGATATTCCCCTTCCTGTGTCCATGTGATCTCATTGTTCAATTCCCACCTATGAGTGAGAATATGCGGTGTTTGGTTTTTTGTTCTTGCGATAGTTTACTGAGAATGATGGTTTCCAATTTCATCCATGTCCCTACAAAGGATATGAACTCATCATTTTTTATGGCTGCATAGTATTCCATGGTGTATATGTGCCACATTTTCTTAATCCAGTCTATCATTGTTGGACATTTGGGTTGGTTCCAAGTCTTTGCTATTGTGAATAGTGCCGCAATAAACATACGTGTGCATGTGTCTTTATAGCAGCATGATTTATACTCATTTGGGTATATACCCAGTAATGGGATGGCTGGGTCAAATGGTATTTCTAGTTCTAGGTCCCTGAGGAATCGCCACACTGACTTCCACAATGGTTGAACTAGTTTACAGTCCCACCAACAGTGTAAAAGTGTTCCTATTTCTCCGCATCCTCTCCAGCACCTGTTGTTTCCTGACTTTTTAATGATTGCCATTCTAACTGGTGTGAGATGATATCTCATAGTGGTTTTGATTTGCATTTCTCTGATGGCCAGTGATGATGAGCATTTCTTCATGTGTTTTTTGGCTGCATAAATGTCTTCTTTTGAGAAGTGTCTGTTCATGTCCTTCGCCCACTTTTTGATGGGGTTGTTTGTTTTTTTCTTGTAAATTTGTTTGAGTTCATTGTAGATTCTGGATATTAGCCCTTTGTCAGATGAGTAGGTTGCAAAAATTTTCTCCCATGTTGTAGGTTGCCTGTTCACTCTGATGGTAGTTTCTTTTGCTGTGCAGAAGCTCTTTAGTTTAATTAGATCCCATTTGTCAATTTTGTCTTTTGTTGCCATTGCTTTTGGTGTTTTGGACATGAAGTCCTTGCCCACGCCTATGTCCTGAATGGTAATGCCTAGGTTTTCTTCTAGGGTTTTTATGGTTTTAGGTTTAACGTTTAAATCTTTAATCCATCTTGAATTGATTTTTGTATAAGGTGTAAGGAAGGGATCCAGTTTCAGCTTTCTACATATGGCTAGCCAGTTTTCCCAGCACCATTTATTAAATAGGGAATCCTTTCCCCATTGCTTGTTTTTCTCAGGTTTGTCAAAGATCAGATAGTTGTAGATATGCGGCATTATTTCTGAGGGCTCTGTTCTGTTCCAGTGATCTATATCTCTGTTTTGGTACCAGTACCATGCTGTTTTGGTTACTGTAGCCTTGTAGTATAGTTTGAAGTCAGGTAGTGTGATGCCTCCAGCTTTGTTCTTTTGGCTTAGGATTGACTTGGCAATGCGGGCTCTTTTTTGGTTCCATATGAACTTTAAAGTAGTTTTTTCCAATTCTGTGAAGAAAGTCATTGGTAGCTTGATGGGGATGGCATTGAATCTGTAAATTACCTTGGGCAGTATGGCCATTTTCACGATATTGATTCTTCCTACCCATGAGCATGGAATGTTCTTCCATTTGTTTGTCTCCTCTTTTATTTCCTTGAGCAGTGGTTTGTAGTTCTCCTTGAAGAGGTCCTTCACATCCCTTGTAAGTTGGATTCCTAGGTATTTTATTCTCTTTGAAGCAATTGTGAATGGGAGTTCACCCATGATTTGGCTCTCTGTTTGTCTGTTGTTGGTGTATAAGAATGCTTGTGATTTTTGTACATTGATTTTGTATCCTGAGACTTTGCTGAAGTTGCTTATCAGCTTAAGGAGATTTTGGGCTGAGATGATGGGGTTTTCTAGATAAACAATCATGTCGTCTGCAAACAGGGACAATTTGACTTCCTCTTTTCCTAATTGAATACCCTTTATTTCCTTCTCCTGCCTGATTGCCCTGGCCAGAACTTCCAACACTATGTTGAATAGGAGGGGTGAGAGAGGGCATCCCTGTCTTGTGCCGGTTTTCAAAGGGAATGCTTCCAGTTTTTGCCCATTCAGTATGATATTGGCTGTGGGTTTGTCATAGATAGCTCTTATTATTTTGAGATACGTCCCATCAATACCTAATTTATTGAGAGTTTTTAGCATGAAGGGTTGTTGAATTTTGTCAAAGGCTTTTTCTGCATCTATTGAGATAATCATGTGGTTTTTGTCTTTGGCTCTGTTTATATGCTGGATTACATTTATTGATTTGCGTATATTGAACCAGCCTTGCATCCCAGGGATGAAGCCCACTTGATCATGGTGGATAAGCTTTTTGATGTGCTGCTGGATTCGGTTTGCCAGTATTTTATTGAGGATTTTTGCATCAATGTTCATCAAGGATATTGGTCTAAAATTCTCTTTTTTGGTTGTGTCTCTGCCCGGCTTTGGTATCAGAATGATGCTGGCCTCATAAAATGAGTTAGGGAGGATTCCCTCTTTTTCTATTGATTGGAATAGTTTCAGAAGGAATGGTACCAGTTCCTCCTTGTACCTCTGGTAGAATTCGGCTGTGAATCCATCTGGTCCTGGACTCTTTTTGGTTGGTAAACTATTGATTATTGCCACACTTTCAGAGCCTGTTATTGGTCGATTCAGAGATTCAACTTCTTCCTGGTTTAGTCTTGGGAGAGTGTATGTGTCGAGGAATGTATCCATTTCTTCTAGATTTTCTAGTTTATTTGCGTAGAGGTGTTTGTAGTATTCTCTGATGGTAGTTTGTATTTCTGTGGGATCGGTGGTGATATCCCCTTTATCATTTTTTATTGTGTCTATTTGATTCTTCTCTCTTTTTTTTTTTATTAGTCTTGCTAGCGGTCTATCAATTTTGTTGATCCTTTCAAAAAACCAGCTCCTGGATTCATTGATTTTTTGAAGGGTTTTTTGTGTCTCTATTTCCTTCAGTTCTGCTCTGATTTTAGTTATTTCTTGCCTTCTGCTAGCTTTTGAATGTGTTTGCTCTTGCTTTTCTAGTTCTTTTAATTGTGATGTTAGGGTGTCAATTTTGGATCTTTCCTGCTTTCTCTTGTAGGCATTTAGTGCTATAAATTTCCCTCTACACACTGCTTTGAATGCGTCCCAGAGATTCTGGTATGTGGTGTCTTTGTTCTCGTTGGTTTCAAAGAACATCTTTATTTCTGCCTTCATTTCGTTATGTACCCAGTAGTCATTCAGGAGCAGGTTGTTCAGTTTCCATGTAGTTGAGCGGCTTTGAGTGAGATTCTTAATCCTGAGTTCTAGTTTGATTGCACTGTGGTCTGAGAGATAGTTTGTTATAATTTCTGTTCTTTTACATTTGCTGAGGAGAGCTTTACTTCCAACTATGTGGTCAATTTTGGAATAGGTGTGGTGTGGTGCTGAAAAAAATGTATATTCTGTTGATTTGGGGTGGAGAGTTCTGTAGATGTCTATTAGGTCTGCTTGGTGCAGAGCTGAGTTCAATTCCTGGGTATCCTTGTTGACTTTCTGTCTCGTTGATCTGTCTAATGTTGACAGTGGGGTGTTAAAGTCTCCCATTATTAATGTGTGGGAGTCTAAGTCTCTTTGTAGGTCACTGAGGACTTGCTTTATGAATCTGGGTGCTCCTGTATTGGGTGCATAAATATTTAGGATAGTTAGCTCCTCTTGTTGAATTGATCCCTTTACCATTATGTAATGGCCTTCTTTGTCTCTTTTGATCTTTGTTGGTTTAAAGTCTGTTTTATCAGAGACTAGGATTGCAACCCCTGCCTTTTTTTGTTTTCCATTGGCTTGGTAGATCTTCCTCCATCCTTTTATTTTGAGCCTATGTGTGTCTCTGCACGTGAGATGGGTTTCCTGAATACAGCACACTGATGGGTCTTGACTCTTTATCCAACTTGCCAGTCTGTGTCTTTTAATTGCAGAATTTAGTCCATTTATATTTAAAGTTAATATTGTTATGTGTGAATTTGATCCTGTCATTATGATGTTAGCTGGTGATTTTGCTCATTAGTTGATGCAGTTTCTTCCTAGTCTCGATGGTCTTTACATTTTGGCATGATTTTGCAGCGGCTGGTACCGGTTGTTCCTTTCCATGTTTAGCGCTTCCTTCAGGAGCTCTTTTAGGGCAGGCCTGGTGGTGACAAAATCTCTCAACATTTGCTTGTCTATAAAGTATTTTATTTCTCCTTCACTTATGAAGCTTAGTTTGGCTGGATATGAAATTCTGGGTTGAAAATTCTTTTCTTTAAGAATGTTGAATATTGGCCCCCACTCTCTTCTGGCTTGTAGGGTTTCTGCCGAGAGATCCGCTGTTAGTCTGATGGGCTTTCCTTTGAGGGTAACCCGACCTTTCTCTCTGGCTGCCCTTAACATTTTTTCCTTCATTTCAACTTTGGTGAATCTGACAATTATGTGTCTTGGAGTTGCTCTTCTCGAGGAGTATCTTTGTGGCGTTCTCTGTATTTCCTGAATCTGAACGTTGGCCTGCCTTGCTAGATTGGGGAAGTTCTCCTGGATAATATCCTGCAGAGTGTTTTCCAACTTGGTTCCATTCTCCACATCACTTTCAGGTACACCAATCAGACGTAGATTTGGTCTTTTCACATAGTCCCATATTTCTTGGAGGCTTTGCTCATTTCTTTTTATTCTTTTTTCTCTAAACTTCCCTTCTCGCTTCATTTCATTCATTTCATCTTCCATTGCTGATACCCTTTCTTCCAGTTGATCGCATCGGCTCCTGAGGCTTCTGCATTCTTCACGTAGTTCTCGAGCCTTGGTTTTCAGCTCCATCAGCTCCTTTAAGCACTTCTCTGTATTGGTTATTCTAGTTATACATTCTTCTAAATTTTTTTCAAAGTTTTCAACTTCTTTGCCTTTGGTTTGAATGTCCTCCCGTAGCTCAGAGTAATTTGATCGTCTGAAGCCTTCTTCTCTCAGCTCGTCAAAATCATTCTCCATCCAGCTTTGTTCTGTTGCTGGTGAGGAACTGCGTTCCTTTGGAGGAGGAGAGGCGCTCTGCGTTTTAGAGTTTCCAGTTTTTCTGTTCTGTTTTTTCCCCATCTTTGTGGTTTTATCTACTTTTGGTCTTTGATGATGGTGATGTACAGATGGGTTTTCGGTGTAGATGTCCTTTCTGGTTGTTAGTTTTCCTTCTAACAGACAGGACCCTCAGCTGCAGGTCTGTTGGAATACCCTGCCGTGTGAGGTGTCAGTGTGCCCCTGCTGGGGGGTGCCTCCCAGTTAGGCTGCTCGGGGGTCAGGAGTCAGGGACCCACTTGAGGAGGCAGTCTGCCCGTTCTCAGATCTCCAGCTGCGTGCTGGGAGAACCACTGCTCTCTTCAAAGCTGTCAGACAGGGACACTTAAGTCTGCAGAGGTTACTGCTGTCTTTTTGTTTGTCTGTGCCCTGCCCCCAGAGGTGGAGCCTACAGAGGCAGGCAGGCCTCCTTGAGCTGTGGTGGGCTCCACCCAGTTCGAGCTTCCCGGCTGCTTTGTTTACCTAAGCAAGCCTGGGCAATGGCGGGCGCCCCTCCCCCAGCCTCGTTGCCGCCTTGCAGTTTGATCTCAGACTGCTGTGCTAGCAATCAGCGAGATTCCGTGGGCGTAGGACCCTCCGAGCCAGGTGTGGGATATAGTCTCGTGGTGCGCCGTTTCTTAAGCCGGTCTGAAAAGCGCAATATTCGGGTGGGAGTGACCCGATTTTCCAGGTGCGTCCGTCACCCCTTTCTTTGACTCGGAAAGGGAACTCCCTGACCCCTTGCGCTTCCCAGGTGAGGCAATGCCTCGCCCTGCTTCGGCTCGCGCACGGTGCGCACACACACTGGCCTGCGCCCACTGTCTGGCACTCCCTAGTGAGATGAACCCGGTACCTCAGATGGAAATGCAGAAATCACCGTCTTCTGCGTCGCTCACGCTGGGAGCTGTAGACCGGAGCTGTTCCTATTCGGCCATTTTGGCTCCTCCCTCCATTCTTATTTCTTAAAGAGAAATATTTTACTTGTGGAATTAAAACTCAAATTACAAAAACATGAACTACTCTGGGCTGGCTGACGTTCTGGCAGATGCTCTTATGTAAGCCTCCACTGCTCATGGCTCGAGGATTTCAGGAGAATGGGACCCCAGCTCTCTAGGTTGCCCAGTCTCAGCTTAGGTCATATTAACAAAAACTCACATTTCATAGGCCGTGGCTTCACCTTCACACATGGGCATGATCCCTCTTCCTTCTCACTCCTCTAGTTATTTCTGGGAGACTCCTAAGGGAATCAGTCATGTGCTTACGTCAAGATCAACAAGCCTTTTGAGTTTCCTTTGGCTTTCCATTCAGTGAGGTTTTTTTCCAAGAACTCTGTGACCATCCTCTAACAGATGCTGAATGCCAGCTCCCACAGCTCTGGTCTTGATATCCAGGTTCCACAAACCGCTCCCTCCCCATTTTCCTTCGGGCCAAAAGGCGGTAATAGCTTCTGCTCTTATAATCTCTGGGGAACCACACCATCCTTAAGAGTTTTCTACACTCAGCCCACACATTTGTAAGTAGTTCCTTATTAAACTCTTCTCAAAGCATTCCATATGAGCATGCCATCCATTTCTTCTGGGTCTCCGTGCAATATACCAGATGTGTCTGAATCTCAGTTTGAGCCTTAGGCTAAAGCCTCTGTTATGCCATGAAGACACTGCAGGTCCTATTGAACTGTTTGGTAAAAATGATTTAGAAGACTGAAAGATGATGCTTAAGACATTTTTACCGTTGAAATCAGAATCGTGGTGTTTGCCTCATGACCTCTGAAACTTAATCTATTGGGTAAAAAATTGTTAGCAGCACAGCAAGACCAATCATTTTTAAGTCCCCAAAGAAGTCATATGTTCAACAGGAAACACAGGTCCTCCCATGTCTGAGCACACAGAGGCAGTAGGATTGGCAGCTGCTGTAGGAGATGTTTTCAAAACACAGTGACCAGCTGGCCTGGCTCTAGCACAGCCAACACCACAAGGGATTGGATGGTAAAGCCATGACAGGCAGTGTCACTATCTGCTGCTGCTTAATTCCTGCAGATTCAGGGACCATAGATTCCAATTCTCCACCTCGATTCACCTCATCAGAAACCTGGAAAACCTCCACATTGTCTGTGTTGACATATTGACCTTACTCCAAGTGTATGGGTAGCATGTGTTTTAAAATCCACTGGACATAGAATTATAGGCTGACCATATGATTTTTAAATTTCTTTTATCATTTAAACATGTTTTTCTACTTCCTCCTGGCCTCTATATTTTCCTACAAGAAGTCAGCCATTCATCTGTTCATTGTTCCTCCACACATAGTTATCATTTTTCTCTTGCCCCTTTGAGATTTGCTCTTCATCTTTGGCTTTCAACAGTTTGAGGATGTGCCTCGGTGTGGACTGACTTATATTTATTCTCTGTTTTGTTGTATGTAAACAGAAATGGCTTTTGCTTCCAGGTATGATAGAAAAGATATTACTGAACAAAACATGCTACAGAAAACAACTATAAAACCTAGACATATTAAGCAAGCATGTAAAGGTCATGCAGGGTGAACAGAAGCAGACAAAGTGTAGAGGACAGAGTCACATATCCAGACTTACATACTCAATTAGAAAACTCAATTGTAAGAAGACAACTCATTGTTTAAAAATGAACAAAAGATTTGAACAGGTACCTCACTAAAGAAAATACACAAATGGCCAATACATACATGAAAGTATTCCATATCTCTAGTCAAAATTAGTAAACATATCACTAGTAAAATCATCACTAATAAATAGAAATTAAAACCGTAATGAGATGGTTTTATATACCTACTAGAATGGCTAAGGTTAAAAAGACTGACAACACAAAATGTTGACAGGGATGTAAACGACTAGAACTCTTACCCCCTGCTGGTATGAATGTATGATGGTAAACCACTTTGGAAAACAGGATGGCAGTATATTTATAAAGTTAGACATACACTTAACATACAACTCAGCAAGTCCACTCTGGGTAATTTTTCAAGAGAAACAACATATATCCGTACAAAGACAAGAGCATATTCATAAAAGCATCATTCACAATATTCCAAACTGGAAGGAATCTAGATACCATCAAATGGTAAATAGAGACACTGTGTGACATACTGATACTATGAAACCCTACACAGCCATAAAAAGGTGCAAAATATTAATACATGTAACAACACGAATGCATCTCAAACATGCTAAGTGAAAGAAGTCAAACACAGCTACGTACTTATGAGTTCACTTATGCGGAATTCTAGATAAGGCATTACTATTATGACAGAATCAGATCAGTGTTTGCCTGGGGTAGAGGATGGGGGTTTGGGTCCAAAGGCAACTTTTCAGGAGTGAACTGTCCTATATCTTGATTGTCTGGCTACATGATTGTATACAATGACCAAAATTCATCAGACTGTACACTCAAATAGGTGAATTTTATATGTAAATAGTCTTTATAAATTTCCACCTTAAAAAATATACATTATCCCTGCACCCCACCCCCAAAAAAAGATCCTGCTGCTTTTTCCATGGAGTCAAAAGAACATCAACTTGACTCTGGATTCCCAGGGTCTGATTGCTAGCTCAGGCAGTTTCTAGTTTCCTCCACTTCCTGTGCTTTGTCTCACCCATAAGATAAAGACAGTATTACTAACCTCACTGGGTTGCTGGGAGGATTAAATGAGGCGATAAACACATGCTCTGCATTAGCTATCACTGCAGTATTTTTTCTTAAGAAGAATATATTTCTAGAGCTCCCTCTGGGACCCTGGAGTGGTATCCAGTGCTTCAGTTGGGCAGTTCCACCCAATAAGGAACTTCACGCTGTGACCTACAAAATTGCAAGCCCTCTGGATCCCGCTGAACCCAACAGGATGGAGTTGGGTTTTGGTATCTGGGATTTAGCCAGAAAAGTGTGGCCCTCGGCTATCTAAATTTCCTACTTCTCTTCCTATTTCATGGAACTCCAGGCACCAATGTCAGCTGTTTTTTAGGGTCATCTTCTCAGGTCAGTAGGACTGATTTAAAAAGGTAAAATCTGAAAATTCCATGACATACAGTTCTTTTATCTGTTGTCCTCATATTTGCCTCTATTTTGTGGTATAATGCAGACTTTTACAGCAAGGAAATAGCCATCTGATTTTTTTTTTTGTAAATAGCCCTTTATTATGGTTGCATTTATCTTATAGTTATTGTTTCCACTTTCAGATGGGGAAGCTAAGGCATTTCATCTAACTATAACTCTAATATCACTATATTAAACAATAGTATAAAGATTATAAGCAAGGTTTAAACGAGACTATAAAGCATGGTTTCCATATGGGCTTTTTTCTCTCCTCTTCCATACTTTCAAGCACAGATTTTGGGCTTGGGCTCCCTTTGTACGGCTGCCTTGGATGATTTATGTGGAGTCCAGGCAGGAACCCCAACTCCCATGGCCTCTGAGGCATCTTACAGCGAGTTACCTTGTTCCTTGTTTGCATTACACTGGACAAGGAGTTTGGTCCTCTGTTGCATATATAATGTAACTTATTTATAGTTTATATTTATGTCACACTTCTACATTATAAAATATCAGACCCTCTTAAGTTTTCTACTTACAATTTCAGAATTGTTATTGCAAATGAATTAACTTGCATTTTCTCCTTTTGCAAGGCTGAGGTGAAAGCTGATGACGTAGATAACAGATTTTTTTTCCCTTGGTGATTAGAAAGGTTTTAGCTTCATTATTTAATCCCCAAGGACAGGGTAAGTGATTCCACTGTATGAATGACTTGCAGTCTACAGTTCCATTTCAATTAAATTTGTTTTCACAATATGGTTTGTCAAATATCAACAACATGAGTGCTTGAGGACAAATTGTTTTTAAGATTTCTATAAGATTATTACCCTATCACACTGATTCTCAGGAAATTTATTAAATTTACAATGGGAGCATTATTTCCCATAGTTATATTTTGGTGATATTTATGTTCTCATCTGTTTTGTTCTGCAACAAATGGAATTGTTATACGTGTTAAGGAACTGCCCCTTTGCTCCAGGAATTCCATTTCTAAGAATTCATCTCAAGGAGGCAGGAACCTGGAATTAGACGTTTATGGGGCAAGTGTATCCCACTGTCCACTTAGAAGTCTCTGAGAACTGATGAATGGAGATCCGACTTAAATATCTCCCATGCTGGGCCTTGGCACATGTTGGGCTCTGTGTAACTTCCGAGGGCAATGTGAAGAGTGAGAAAATTACATCTGGCATTGGTTTCGGTGAGGCATTTTAAGCAAACGCAGGCCAGATTAAATCTATTCTGCAAGAGACTGGATGCCAATTTAGCTGTTACCTGAATCAATGAAACAAGCTGAATTTTTAAAGGTTGTGGAGACTGCGATTAGAAAGCAGGTAATTGGGTAAGTGTCTGTTAGCAGGACAAGCCAGATATATATTGATCAAGAAAGGAAAAAGTCTGACTTGATTAACAAACCTTCTCTGTGTCAATAAACTAATGGTTGGTTTTAAAACGTAATTTTGCTTCCATTCTTCAGTAAGGGGCCAAAAATAGCCCAGGGAGGGGCTGTGGAGAAAGTTAAAGTGTTTCTAAATAAGGAGGTTCCACTGATGTTTGGAGAAAACTGGTAATGGAAAAGGAACAGATAGAGTATCTGTCTCAGGAAGAGGCTTTTCAATCCCTCCAATGGCATAAAACAGAATTCAACCAAGTTTTACACTGAAGGCTACAGCATTAGATTTGTGGCTCCACATTCAGCTCTAAAGTGATTTTTGCTGGAGGCAAATGTGTCAAGAAAGAGAAATCTTTCTCTCACAAAAAACCTCTTACACAACTGTATCCCTCCAGGGACTCTCAGAACAATCCCTGCATGGGGACCTGAGACACCAAGTCATGGCTTTTCCTTCTCTGGAAAGCAAATGGATTGATGTATGTACTGGGAATTCTCTCTCGTCCTGAAGCAAAACACACCCAGGTCCGTGAGCCCTCTTCCCAGATGAGGCTCCCTGTCTGTAGAATGGGAGAAGAATAGGTAGGCTCTGCAGATTCCCCACTCAGTGCCTCCGGGTTGGAAATTACGAGTACTGACTTCTTAGGTTTCTAGTAAACAATAGGAAAAACCTGCCCTTAGATGTCCCAAAGAAGTTAGAGTTTTGAAACTGGATATGGAACCCAGCCTGCAGCTTGGGACTTGAGGAAACTAGGAGGAGGTGTCTGGGCCCCGTGAGCCTCCAGTCTCTCCCTCCCACCACCCACTGCTGTAGAAGCAACACCATCAGGGCCAGTGCTGATTCGATGAGTAAAGAACCCCCCTCTTGGCAGGGAGCAAGAGCAGTGTGGGTGCTCCCTGGGCATTAAATTGTATTTGACAGCGAATGAAGAGCGTGGTGAGCTCTCTGCCCACATCTGTCTTTGTGACTTCTATCTCATCGCATGAAAACAGAATTGGTTTGACTGAGAGCAGAGGCTCTGAGTCTGATAAAACCTAAAACAATAACATTTTATTCCAATGGGAGAGTTGAGATGGAGAAAGTGGAAGAAAAGTAATAAAAAGAAGGTAAATCTGGGGGAATATGACTAAGTTGTTTTGTTGCCAACCACAACAAAACATATTGCAAGGATAATAATTGGCTCCACATAGGACTTTCTTATTTGAATGCAACTGGGAGAGAAGGCAGGAGAGGGGAGAGAACCTATAAAATTCCTAGACCAAAGCGTTCTGGGTGCTCATGAATCTTGAGTCAGTACTTACTGTTTTCCTTCCCCACACCATCATTTGTCCAATTTTTTTTTTTTTTAATCTCACAACGTGGTGATTTTGCCAGTAGTTAGGGAGATGTTCTCAGTATCCAGCCCTCTCCAGAGTGTGTGGTTGCACAATGCTGTGACAGCAGCCATGCCCCTACTTCTGCTTATCACAGCCACCACCGACGCCACCTCCAAAACTGCAGTGGTGCTCTTCACGGTCATCACCTTTCACCTTGAACAGCTTGGACATTAGCTCCTGAGATTTGTTGGGGTGTTTAGTGCCTCAGGAAGGAACCCTTGCTCTCTATGGGTCTGGCCTTCACACCATAAGGTATTTAATGAGAATGTCCCAGCATTGACAATAAATGGAAGCAAATGCCTTTTTCCTTTCTTTGGTGGTGGTGGTTTTGCTTTTGATGCATTCAGTATTCTAGAAGCATGGCACATAAAATTTCCTAGGAAAATGTTTTCAGGAAATGCTATGTGAAAATGGTTTGGAAGGCAGGAGGTTGATGACTGGTATGCACAAGCACTTTCACCCCAGCTCCCAATACTTCCTGCCGTTCCTCTCCTTAGGCTAACATTTTGGCACAAACATTCCCCTGTTTGCACAGACATTCCCCTCTCCCCAGAAAAAGAGGCCCAGGAATTTTTGCTAGCTATCTCAGAAGGCAATCAACTACATTATGCTCTGAGGTGGGCTAGGAGAGACTGGTCAGCTCTGTCACTTGGGGTGGCAGGAAGGGAATTGGATGGCCGATGGTAGCAGGGGAAAGCGTTAGGCAGAAACTGGCTCTGTGAGCCACATGTGTGGATAGGAACTGGCCTGAGGAAGGGGGCTTGTTCTTCTTGGAGGGTTGAGGAAGCCCATTTGGCCCAGGGCTGTGGGGTGAAGGGAGGCTCAGTCTCCTTGTCTCTGGTGGGCCATCAGGTCAAGGCTTAGAACAAAAAGTACTAACCAAGGAGAGCCCTTGGAGAGCTGGGTCTGGCTGCTGGGATATGGGGAACTGTGTCACAGTCTAGCGAGGAAGGGAGGCAGCCACAGGTGCCTGGGTGAGGGTGTGCAGCAAGGCAGAGCTGGGCTGGCTGTGACAATGGCCAAGTTCAGGATGATGAGACCTGGGAGAAGATCCCTTGTGGGGAGGGCATGGGCGCCTCATGCCTATGTGAACCTGGCTCAACTGTTCCCTCTATTCAAACGAGTCGCCTGGCTCCACACTGCCCTCCCACCCCCAGCAGAACAGAAGGCAGAATCCAAGCCACTTGTATCCCTGGCTGTGGAGCAGTGCAGCCTGCCTTATGGAAGTGCTAGAAGTCAGCACCAGCACAAGTTGCAGGAAAACAAGGACCGGTGCTTTGCTGTGTATCACCAGCAACCTGGGAACCTATTCTCAACTTTAGGAGCCTATCTTCTCCAGGGCATGCTTGTTCAGGTGGCCTAGCAGAGCTGCAGGAATGGCTGGGTGGTGGCCCTCAGGCCAGTGACCCATCCTCTTCCCCTCATACCCCTGACTTTGAAAGCAATTTCATTGGAAATGATCCCTAGGGAGTTTTCATTTCGGGATGGGGATGACTTATCCTGCCCATAAGGAGGAGATGGTCCATAGAGGAGGCTGGTTAAATTATCTGGGAGGCGGCACATTCTGTATGATTTTTTATAATTTAAATAATGCAGATAAAAGAACCTTCTTCCTTCTATAGAACTATATAACTGGGGTGGAAAACACCTTAGGCTTGGAGTCAGGACACCTGTGTTTAACTTCTGGCTGTGTTAATTGCCGACTTTGGGTCCCTGAGTTAAAGACTTCACATCTTTAAGCCTTTGGGCCTCAGTCCTTCCATCTATAAGATGGGCATAATCAGGCCTAATCTTCCTCTCTTAACAGGTTTAATCAAATAATGATAATGATGCTGTTGTTGATGCTGATGATTTGTATCACTTACACAGTGCTCCCATGTTTCAGGTACACCACATCTATTCATTTAATCCTCTTACCAATTCTGTGAGATAGTTACCCATACAATCCTTGTTTTACAGAAGAAAAAACTGAGGATAGCAACTTACTTGCCCGAGGCTGAACAGCTGGCCAGCGGTGGCAGAGGCAAAACTGAATCCTGGGCAGCCTGGCCCTAGGGCTATGCTCCCCGCCTCACACTGCGTCTTCTCCAACACAATAGATGTGAAACTGTCTTGGAAATCTCCTGCCCCCAGAAAGGAGGTGTTCAGCACATTGTATAAAGAATCGGAGACTAAATGAATACCTAAAGTACTAAACACATATGGAGATTTCATTTTTATTATGACTAGAAATTGGGCAGTTGTGACCCCTCTACAATAAACCCAAATGTGAATTCTGCTCAGTGACCAAATGCCATCTGGTGGGAGATGAGTCCTTGGCCGCAGGCGGCACCAGACCAGGAACAGGTTGGTGTGTGGGAGGGGAAAGGGTGGGGCTCTGAAGGGCAGACAGCCCAGCGCCGGGCCTGGGAGCATGCTGGTGGCTGCCCCAGGATGAAGAGGGAGTGCTCAGGCCTGAAACCTTTTTCTTCAGCTGGCTGGGAAGGGGAATCTTTCATTCCAACAGACCATTATTCTGATTGATGAAGAGTGTAGCTTCTTTTAGGAGACGCTGACAAAGGCCATTTACAAAGAGGCTAGAGGAGGAGGAATTGAGCCGTGCGCTGACACGGCAGAAGGTGGCCACGCGCAGTCCCTGGGGGCCTCGGCGCCGCATTGCAGACACATGTCAGCCCGCAATGTAAATGCGGCGGCAAGGGTTGTTTTACTCTTCGGCTATGACTGGGATCAATGGCCAGCCGCGCAGAAGCCATCCATCACCCCGGGAGCAGGCTATGAGATATGAGGCTGAAATTCCAGCACTGATCCTGCCGACAGCCACCTTTGCAGAGTGGGTGATGCATGTGTGGGCCAGTCAGCACCCCAGACTAGGGGACGACCCAGGAGGGAACTGGGTCAAAGGCCAGTCCTGAGGCCTTGCTCAATGCCTAGGAGCAGTCAACCCTGTTTTTGAAGGACAGGAGATACCGCGGAGGAGCCAGGCTGCAGAGAGTCCCCTTGGGGAAGCACCATGTTTCCCAAGGACCCTCTATCCCCATACCACATATAACCTCTGCCTATTAGCCTATCCACAATTATGAAGGGATCTTAATCCCCCCCTCCCTATCCAGTAGTTTCTGTGCCTACCTCAGTGAATGCAGCCACCACGTTGGGGGACCCTGAGATCTGGGAGCCACTCCTGGACTTCCTTCAGTCCTCACATCCCATCAGCCATCAGGTGCAATAGAGCTCCCTCCGCATCAGCAGCTTTGAAATCCTTCCGTGACCCACAGGGAGAAGTTTGATGTTGTGACCCTTTATACCATAAAACACGTGCAGATACACACATACCTGAAACAAATACTGTATGAAGCAATACTTACCCTTCCCACATGTGGTGCCTTCTCAGGTTTTATTTCATTCTATTTCACTAAAATTCTAGTCACAACTGAGTAAACTTCATGCCTACTAATGTGGCAAGACCCACAGTTTGAAAAAGATCATCCTTTCAGTCTCTTGGATCTAATGCCTTCTCTCCCTCTCCACTGACAGCTCCCTGTGTCAATACCCATCATCTCCTGTCTGGGTGACCCTGACAGCCTCCAGACTGCTTTCCCCTTGATCATTCTTGCTCTCCTTCAATTCACTCCCAATCTTGACTCGCAGTGAATGAAACTACTGAAGATGAGGTATAATCATGTTGTTTCCATGGTTGGAACCCTTGACTGGCTCCCTGTGCTTCTGTATAAAGTCTGACCCCCTTACCATCCTCCAGCCCCTGTATGATATGGCCTCCACTTCTCGAGCCTTATCTTTGCCCATTCCCCCGTCCCTCTCTTCAAGCTGGTCATGCCGAATGTCTTCCAGGTCCTTGAACTTGCCATGCGGTGTTGGATCTGAGTCTTTGTACAGTCCTGGTTTCCTCTTTCTGGAACACTTCCTCCTCTCCTCTTCTTTGGGCATAGTGGTCTACAGTAAGCAACAATGAGATGATACATATGCCTTGGTGTAATGCAGGGGGAGACTCCAAAGACTTAGGATATGGGAAAGAATATTGGAGTCACATTATCACATGCTCCCAGCTCATGTGCTTCTGTGTCCCTTGAAGGAACCAGAGTCCACTCCTTCACCACAGCATGGAGCATGAGTAAGGGATGCAGCTCTCTTTTACCACAGCATGCAGCATGGGTAAGGGAATGTTCCCATGGTGGATACTGCTGGTGCTGTGCCAAGATTCCCCTCATGAGGCGGGAGCTTCTATTGCCCAGCTGTTTTGAGTGCTATTGCCTTCTCCACAGAATCCCCTTCCACCAAACAGGAGCCATTCACCAGAGATCATGCCACTCCAATCATGTTTCTAGGCAACCAGAGGCCAAAGACTGTCCCAAGGTCTCTAACCTGGCCCCCTTGCCTCAAAGTGGTACCAGCTCTGTGGCACAATTCACATTCCAGCACTCTGGGGACCAGGTAGGAATGAGTGTCCAGCTCCCCCCTGCACTGTCCTGCTTCCCTCACTCCCCTTCTCCCATGAGCAGGCCCCAGTAAGTGATTTTCACAGATAAACCGTGTTCTGGCTCCATTTCCAGGGAACCTGAACTCTGACAGCCCACATCTTGGAAAAGCATAGAGATGGCTGTCCTCTGAGGGCCAGGACAAAGAAGGGAGATGCTGCCATTGAAAAAGCCTATTTAATGGTTTCAATGTGGATATTTAGATTCCTGAGTGGTAGAGGCCAAGGAGCAGCAATTATCTGCTAGATGCAAAGCTGGTGAGGTCTCTCATGAGTATGTGGCCAGGTGGCATATAGAATGTTTGACCTTCAGGGACCTTTGTTGGCAGCTGATAGGTCCCAGTATCCCTAGGACTAAGATGGATGGGAAGCCCGTGGAGGTGCTGCGTGGGTTGTGAAGCTGGAAAAGCTCTGTGCCTCACAAAGAGGAGCCAAGCTTATAGATCAAGGTCCCCCACCAGTGCCCGGGGCTCAGATGGGTCACAGATCCAGAGCTTCCTGAGCAGAGAGGTGTGACATACTCCTGAGCAAGGACCCAGTGATAAAAGGATCCTGTAGGTTTCCTTCCCACCCCCAGCCTTTTCCTCAAGGGCCTGTAGCCACTCACCAAGAGAACCATGCACTGGAAGAAGGAAATGTACAGCCATTCAGTGAATTACTGGTCTTTGACTCTTAGAAGGTCACTGTGGTCTACCAGTCAAAAGGTGGGGATCAACAAACAATGATGTTTTGGTCCAAGTTCTTGTTTTGATCAAGGCTCTTGGGTGTGTAGTAAGAAAAGACAAAATCAGCAGCAGGCAGAATCTCTCTATTGGCTGTCTGTCCTGTGCAGCAAGATTTATTTTTAGGTAAGGAGAATAGAAGCCCTTGGAATAGTTCCTCTTTCACCAAAATAGAAAACCAAAAGCAATACCCCATTTCTGGGAATCCCCAAGGGCCAGCTATTTACATGCATCCTCTTATTTAATGCATGTGGCCACCATGCAAGGCTGGTATCACTAACCTCATCTTGTAGATAAGAAACCTGAGTTACAGAGAAGTTGAAGGTGTTTCTGGAAAAATGTCCAGTTTTCCATTCCAGACCTTGGCAAGGCTGCAGGTGCTGTATGGCCCACTGTGGCCTGGAGTCAGTCTCTGCCCATGATGCTGTTTGGCCACAGCAACTGGCTGTTTGTCAGCCCCCTAACAGTTTGTCAAGTACTTTATTCCTGATTAGATTTCTAATAAGAGTGGTGCTGAGGACTCTTTCTTTAATAGATATTATCATGAGACATCATATTCCACACTTGCCTCCTGCTTGAAAACTGATTGTCGGGACTGCAACGAATTGTGGAATAATCTTCACTAATGCATAATTAATACATGCTGATTCAATTAGAGTCCCCCCTACTATTCTTGCTAAAAAAATTTATATTTATATTATAACATTGACAAGAATGTGAGAAGGGAATAAAACTCAGGCTCTTCTGATCCTCTTCTCTTTGTTCTATCAGATGTGTTTTCTCTCTGCTCCTTGTGTTTTATTACTTTAAAATGCTGCAGAAAGCTGGGTGACATTCTGGCCGCAGTACCGTGGCAACGGGCCACCCTCCCCAAATCTAGAATCAGCCAGTCCACTTAGATGCCCCTCTCCTCCTCCCCATGCGCAAGTAGCTTTTGCAGCATGCTTATTCTTCTTCCTACACACCTCTTCAGTGTGACATCTCTCCTCTAGCCTCACGGCCCTCTCCAGTTCATACCTGGACTTCACAAGACTCAAACCCATCTTTCTAGCTGCCATTTCCCCCATCCCATCCACTTTCTACACTCTTGACAGTGACCATCCTTCTAAAACCATCAGTTATACATCCCTTCAGTAGTTCCCTATAGAGTAAATATGTTTTTTGCCCCTCAGTTTCACTTTGAGGAATTATCTGCCACCCCCTTCCCAACTCAAGGGGTGGGCATCGTGACCAGGCCTGTCCCAGTTTACTCCATCCCCACTGGCTGGCTCAGGGATGCCCTGCCAACCCCACCAGGGTGAATCCAGTTTTTCTTCTGGGATTTTCACTGGAGCTATGAGTGATCCATCCCTTGAGGATCAACTGTCTGAGAAAGACCCCAAGACCAAGGAAATATGGGCTGAGGGAGAAGAAAGAAGGAGAGAAAGCGGGTGATGATTTTGCTGTTATCTGCAACCACAAAGTGCTAATGAACATATTCCCTAGAACTGATAGGACAAATTCTAAGTTTCCTTGTCCTAGATTGCAGGACCCTCTCTGAGATTTGGCCCTTTCTCCTTGTCCATCTCATTTCATGGCCTCCGCCCCATCAGGCCCCCATCACACACTCTGCTCAGTCTCCTGGGTGTGATATTTGATTTCAGGACTCTGTGTTTTTGCTGTGTTCCTCCTCTCAGGAACATGGTCTTCCAGTTTCTGCCCGGCTATCTCCCTCTTCTCCTTTCATACCCAGCTCAAATGTCACCTTGCAGCTCTGTAACTCTCTGCTATCACCATGGATTAAATAAAGACCCTCATCTGTGCTATAACACCATCATGACTATCTCTGTTATTAAATCATAATTTCTTAAATTCCATTGATCTGTTTCTTTTACAGCCATATGTTAAGTATATATTTGTAATTCAGTATTCCCAGGTCTACTTAATGTATTTATACTTGAGGCACAAATTACATACAGTAAGATCCACAGATACTAACTTTTCAATGAGTTTTGGAAACAGTATATAGCCATGTAACCACCATGTAAAATGAGATCTAGAACCCCTTAGAAAGTTGTCTGGGGCCTCTTGTTCTAGTCAATTCCTACCCCACCCCCCTGGCACATACACAGGCAACCACTTTATGGCTTCTATCCCCATAGATTAATTTTTCCTGTCATCTGACTTCATATAAATGAATTTATGCAATATGTACTTTTTGTGTCTTGCACGTTTTGCTCATTTTCATGTTGAAAATGTTTTTGAAATTCATCCATGCTGCTGCACATATCAGCAGTTGTTTCACTTTATTGCTGAGTAGTATTCAGTTTTATGAATATGCCACAATTGGTTTATCATGACTTGTTCATGGATATTGGAGTTGTTTTCAGATTTTGAATGTTAAGAATAGGTTGCCATGAACTTTCTTGTTGTGGACCCATGTTTTTGTTACAGGCTGGGTTCTCTGGAAGCAGATGCAGTTGGAGTTTGAGATACGAGATGTTTATTAAGCATCAATATCTGAAGAAAAGGAAAGGGGTCAGGAGCACAATTGGGCTGAGGAAGAAGTTGAACTCCCAGTGGATTAGGAAGGAATGCATGTAGAACCCACGTGATGCACTTGGGCCTCTCATCCTATTCCCTGGCCCCACTGTGTCATCTATCAGACTGTCCATGCTGGGCTGTAGGCAGGCCTCAGTACCCTTGCCTCATTCAGTTACTGGCTAAGAGCTACACAGGAGGAGGAGGATGTAACCTCTGGAGAGGTGGCCCCCTCTGTAGCTGCAGTAGATCTGGAAGACACAAACAGCTGGAGCTGTCTGCCTACTACAGTCCCCATGGCTTGGCAGCAGGTCCTTTCCTGATGGGAGCTCTGGTTGGCTCATCTCAATGTCTGCCACAGGCTACTCCTTGGGCCACCTGGGTTCACTCTATACAAATCCAGACAGCAGGACCCTAGTGGGCCTCTTTTCCTGAGGGAAAACAGGTTAGCTGAACAGATGTACCCTCACTGCTGCAGTTGGTCTTGGGGACACAATGTATACTCACCAATACTCTCTTCTGTTCAGAGTTCTTCACAATCTCAGATGTATACACCACCTCCACTGGCCTCAGGGCTTACAGGTGGGACAATTCCAATCTTCATGCTGGAAACCCTGCTCTTCTCAGGGGAGGGCTGCTCTACTTGTCCATTTGAACTCACAGTTGAATACAGTACAAAGAGGTGCCTGAGAGAATCACGTGGGATCCACAGGAATTTCTCTCTCCTGCCATATATTACAGGAACCCTGCTCTCCGCTGATAATAGGGTCAATTATCCCTGCCAAGACAGTGACTCTTTTTTGTGTGTGTGTGCTTGCTGGCCCCTGCATACAAGGAATACAAAATACCCAAGTGGCAGCTGTAGTTAATATTTCGATGGGACTCTTTTCATGCTCTCCAGACAAAGCATGCCCCTTTGGGGACTAGAACTTACTACCCTGCAGAACCCAGAATTGCAGGAAGGAGAAGTACAAATTTCCAAGTTATGAGGGGTGATGGTTGGTGGGAACATTCCTATTTCTACCTCTTGGTTCCTCAACCTATATAGTCTTGCTATTGGGGGCAGAGAACCATATAAAATCTTTGGTTCAATTCACATACTTCATGCTGGATGGACAGTACTGCATTCTGCAGAATATTGCCTTTGAGCAGGTATCTTGGGCAGGTAGCATGTTGATACAACCAGTAGCTGTTTCGGTTGTAGACCCTATGTGCGTTTTTCTATTGCCATCATAATGAATTAACACAAACACAATGGCTCAAAACAACACGAATTTATTACCTTACAGTTCTGGAAGTCAGAAGTCTACAATGACTCCTCATGGCTATTGTCCCTTCTGGAGGTTCCAGGGGAGAATCCTTGCTCTTTCCAGCCTGCAGGAGCTGCCTGCCTCACTTGGCTTGTGCTGTTCCTCCCTCTCCAAAGCTGGCAACATAGCATCTGCAGGACTGTTTCTCTCTGTCCTCTGCTTTCATCATCCCATTGCCATCCCTCTTATAAGGAGCCCTGTAGTTACACTGGGCCCACTGCATAATCCAGAATAATCTTCCCATCTCATAATCCTTAACTTAAGGTAACATATTACAGGCCCCAGGGATTAGGGTGTGGCCATGTTTGGGGGACCATTATTGAGCCTACCATAGCCCCAGCTGGTTTCCCTTTGCTATACAGCAGTGGTTCTCAACTGAGGGCAATTTTACCCCCCAGGGATGATCTGACAACGTCTGGAGACATTTTGGTTGTCACAGTGGAAGAGGTGCTCTTGGCCTCTAATGGGCTGAGGACAGGGTGGTGGTAAACATCCCACAATGTGTGGGACAGACTCCCACAACAAAGAACCATTGGGCCCAAAATGTCAATAATGCTAAGCTTAAGAAACTCTGCTGTCAAGTGAGTCTCTTGGATCTTAAGAAAAAAGAGTCAGACTGTTAGGTCAGTTTTCAGCACCAATGTTAGATGTGTCTTTACAAGACTGTCTTTAGAGTCCTGAGGAAAAATGAATTTAGTCCTAGAGTTTTATGCCCGGCCAAAGTATCAATCAAGAGTGTGTGTATATGAGCTGGATGGGAAGGTGTGCATGTTTTAACATGAAAGCACTTGTGAAGTCTACCCCTTCCCCCATGCAGTAATTTGAAAACACTATTTGAGGTGTTATCCCTCCCTCACAAAAAACACAAGAAGTCTAGAAGATTAATGGCATTGGAAACTAGATGGAGAGAGTGGAATATGAGGCAAGGCACGTGAAGAAAACTAGAGCAGGAAATCAAAACAAATCCACTGGGCCTTATGCACACAGAATCTTCAAGAGGATGATGTAAATTCAGGAGCCATCAGCTGTAGATATTTAAAGTCATATAAACATTGTTTAAAGTTATGATGAAAGGTCAATAGAGGAATAAGAACAGAAAGATAACACTGGGAAGAGATCATCTTATGCCCTACTCTATAATTAGTGGTTTTTAAAGTTGTCAGTGTATTATATAATAAAGACAGATTAGTTTAAAAATACCTGTTTAAAAAACAAAACTCTGAATCCCTATAATTCAAAATATACAATGAATCTTTATAAAGATGCCTATTGTTATCTCAAAGGAAGAGAACTGGATGCAACCTACGTTGCATCCAGTAACAGAGAACAGTTACATCAATTATGATATACTGGCTCCATTATGTTGTTATTAAATAATGGCCTCACTGAAAACTAATGTAGAAATATAAAAAATGTTAAGAAATAATGTCAAAGATATATGTATGTTTTATAAAATTATTCCCATTTGAAAAGATTTTCCTAGTGACAGGAGTACCTGTATCAGACTAATGGGCTTATAGATAATACATATTTCATATTTTTCTTTTAACCATTTTCCCCATGTTCTATCTATACTGTTACTTTTATGATTAAAAAGCAGTTTCCCTTAAAAAGAATAAGTCAGTACTGTTTTTAGACAGCCCAAATGTGTCACAAGGCACACAGCTCTGGTAATTCTTGTTTAGAGGAAGGCCCTCTGTCTCTTCTTAAACAAGAGATTGGAAAATGACTACCTTCTGGTTAAAAAAGAAAACCACAGGCATTCTAGCAACAAACCACATCTTTGGTTATATCTTTCTTTTTTCTTGAATGAATGAAAAGAAATTCAGGAGCCTGTGTGTGTGTATCTGCTATCTGAGTCAAGATATTATGAACTAGACTGCTAGTACTGTTATCTGATAAAGAAAAGCTAGTGGGTTTCAGTGGGAAATGCAATGCTAGACACTGGGGGAAATTTCAAGAGATTCTGATCCAATTTAGAAGCTTTGGAGTCTGTATGCAGCCTCTGGGATGGATTGGATTTGCGCACAATAATGATTAAAGATAATTTAATGTGATAATATAAAAACATGTATGTTGTGGGGAATGGAAGAAATGGTGTGTTGCAGACACTATTGAATGTTCTAAAAAATATCCGCTCATCCTTATTCTATAATAGAATTCCCTCCATACTTTTTTTTAAGCTAGGCAGAGGATTCCCCAGAAGAAAAGATTGTATTTCCCACCCTCTTGAAGCTGCTGTGGCCTTGTGACAAAGTTCCCCCACAGAGATGTGGGCAGAGGCATGAGGTGCACATCATTTCTGAGAAGCATCTTCACAGGAGAGGGCATTCACGATCCCCACGTTTCTTCCTTGGGACTGAAATGTGAACACGACAGCTTGATTGGTGGCCCTGGGGATGGAAGCCATACGTAGCAGAGTAGCAAGACAGAATGAGCCTTGGGCCCTACTTGGCTGAGACCCCCACACAAACTCTGGCTTACCTAATTCCAGACTTGTATGTGAGAAAGTAAACTTCTACCTTGTTTATGCCACCACATTTGCAGTTTCTGAAACCACGTCCTAGTCACACCAGGGAGGCGGCAGTGCAAGGTGGTTGCACTGTACTGCTTCAGAGTGATGATGGTCTGCCCAATGTCAAATTCACTCTTAGAACTCCCAAGAAAGGTTGCTTTACAAAACAAATGAGAAATAGCAGCATAGACTTTTTCCCAAGACCACAGACAGAAAACTGACACTGAGACTATGTGGTTTGGGGACTAGTATCCGTCCCTGGCAGGGGATACGGGGGTGGGAGGTGGGGAAGAGAGTCTCCACTGAAGTTAGTGCTTAAGACACTCAATGCATTTTGAGTTAGGATGCATTCTGCATTCGTGGGCACCTGAAGCAAAAACACATCATCCCAAGGCATTCTATGCTGGAACAGAGCACCTGGGGGAGACAGGCCATGGGTGTGAGGAGATGAATCTCCTGAGGGCTGAGTTTGCAAATCAACCTTACCAACTGATGGCGAACTATACCATCATTAGCAGCACTACAAGGGAAATGGAGGAGTAGAGGGGAGGAGAAGGAGAAATGAAGGGAAACTAAGCTATGTGTGGGGTCATTCACCCTGCAAAAGTCAAGAGGTACTGGTTGGCTATCATGTCTTCAGTGTTTACCCACAGACTCTTTATAGCATGCCTGGGGGATAATCTCATTGGCTCAGGTTGTAGTTATTTTGGGGACCAGAGTAGAATCAGTGGTACATCCTGAGTTTCAGAGCCGGGAGGTGTTCAAAGAAGGCCAGGTGTTCTGCAAGCCCAAAGTTTCATTCCCTCCACTCCTCCAGGAGTTCATATGCCATCTTACTGCTCAACTGTCTGCAGCCATTTCCAGGCATTTTGCAGATCACTTCCTGACTCCCAGTCTCTCCTAAATGGATGACTAAGACCTAATATTCTCAGTGCTCTTGCTTTTTATGACCTCTGTCCTTTCCCTCATCTGTTTGTACAGTCAAAAGTAGGAGAAGCCCTTGAAATTATTGCTTCAAACAAGCTTGGATTATTTGTGCATATCCTGAACAGTGTTTGGCTCTTACGGAGCAAAACCTTTTCCCATTCGCTGCTGCTTTATTTTCTGCTGATAGTGAGTGCACTGTCTCAGACAAGGTTCTTGTGGGAGCTGAGCAATAGATATTAAAAATCCATCTCCTGTGATGAATGGGACCATCCAGGGTCCTGGCAGAGCAACTTGAGTGTCTATGTTCCGCCTTAGATCTAACGCCTGTTTCCAGCTCTGCTGCAGGCCCCTTCTCATGGCAGCCTGTTCCCATGGCTTTCACACCCCTGGGAAGTAACGCAAGTGAGTCTCCCTTTATTGGAATCACTGTCTGCTTGGGTGAGGCAGGGGTTTGCAGCCACACAAATACCGGATGCCTTTCTGGGCTGAGACTGTCACATTGCCATTTCTCAGAGAACCAAAAGGAGGAGAATCAACAATCTCCCATGAATGTTTTGAGATCACTTTGGGTAAGAAGGCAGTGGTAATATTAAGGCAGCTCAACAATTCCAAAAGACTCTTCAACAGCAGCCATCCACCCCCAAAACAACGGGAATGGGCAGGAATATCTGAGGGCAGCATAAGTGTGAAGCCTCATGCTGTTGGAGAAGTTTTACACAGAAAACTAGATATGAATACACTGTTCTAGGGGTAAGTAAAGCACCTTAGAACAATATAACCAGCAAGGAAAAATCAAATTGTCAAGGAAGATGTTAACGTCTAATTGGAAGGTAGAAGCATCAAACTCAAAGCCAATAAACCAAAAAGCTGTAGTAACACTTGGGTTTCTATACCCGTAGAGGCATCTGAGAGGAAGGAGAAAGGTTTGAATAAGAAAGAAAATGGCCAGGTTGAGCTGAGTTGTTTCTCCCCTCTGGGTCAAGCAGACTGAAGAGGACTTCAGTTTCTAGCTGACACCAGCTGACTCAGGGTGCCTGCTGAACAAATCATTTTGGGGTGCTGGAATGCCAATACCAGCATCTGTGCAAGGCCTCAGGCAATGGAGCTACTCAGTCATGGTATGGTAGGCGTGCAGTTAGGGTTTCCAAATCTGTCTGGGCCAGGATTCACTTACACCCTTGGTTGGAGGCCCACGGCTCCAGCCACCATTCCTGAAAGCTGCCGTGGAAGAGGTAGCCGCTGAGGAGATTCTGCTGGGAGTGAGGGCAGGCAGAAGAGGATTGTGATGAATGCACTCTGGTGAGCTTGGCCAGCTCCCTCCATAGCCTCAGGAGCCTTTGAGCACATTTATCTCCACCCCATTGTGTTCCTGGAATGTGTCCCTTGGCTGTCAGGAGCCGAAGCAGGAGGGTCAGACCTGCTGCTGGGTGAGACCATCCTACAGCTGTTAGAAAGAATCCTGGCTTCTTTATCCTGTTTTTTCCATTGCTGACTCATAGCATGTGGCCAGGGTGAACTGTGAGGAGGGAGATAGGACATCGTCAATGGTTTCCTGAGGGCAGGTGGGTCAGGGGGTCACTCTGGCCAGGCTCCTGGCCCTCATGCTTTTGCCAGATGACTGGTCATCTCTGGAGAACATAAGGGGTCCTGAAAGGAACATCAAAAGATTTCAAGGCTGTACAGAGGGGCATGACCCAGCAACTACCACCTTCTCCCAGGTGCGGCCTGACAGGAGAAGGACAGGTTCCTTATTATCTTGGGATTAAGACCCAAGCTCTCAAATCCCATTAGGAACTTAACAGTGGCAGAGCTAAGGGCTCAGGCCCTGGCCCTGGCTCATAATTCTTTCTAGAGCTTTGTAGAAACTGTACAAATGTCAGAGTAAACACACAAAACAGCATATAGGGACCCCCCCTTATAAACAATAAAGCTCTGTGTATACTTGTTTCTAACCCACTTCAGTGTCTCATGGTGGTAACATGGGCTTTCTTCCGTGGAGATAAATGTTCAGACCCATTACTTCTGCTACCCTCCCACTCCTGCTGCTTGAAATGCTGCTGCTTGGGTGCCTGTCCACTTCATTAGCTAGGAAACCCATACTAGGCTTGAAGACCAAGTTGGAAGATTTGCTGAGTATAGAGCAATCCTTGAAGAATAATCTTCAAAGAAATTAATTTAGTCTTTCAAATTTAACCTGTGCTATGTATAAAATTCAGGTCTCAGTATTTCAGAATTCTGAAGAGGAAAGATTAGAGTCACAAATGAAGTCTTGAAGAAGTGGTACCCAGCCAGGGAAGCCCATGGCTTCCCACAGAACAAAACTGCAAGGACTGAGAACAGTTTTGTTCTCAGCTGAACAATTGGATTGTAACTGGGATCATTCATTCTGAGAGAAGCAAAATGACATTAACAGGTTGATGCCCTCTGCAAAGGCAATTGGGTTCGACTCATCTTGAGATTAGTATTCTTCCTTGGGGCTTTGTTCAGATTTATTCAGGGACCCACAAGAGAACTTGAGCCCAGGGTTCAGCAGTAATTATACAAGATGGATGGTTAAGTCAAAAAAGATGGCAATGGCACTGGGGCCCAGTGGAGAGAAGAATTTCCCAGCTGACCTGTATTCTTGTGTGAATCCTGTGCAGACTTCATGTGGGAGCCACCAGGCAGGACGGGAAGGAGGGAGGGGAAGCCCGCCGGAAGAGGAACCTAGGAGGGAAAGACAAACTGATGAGGAGAAACAAACAATGTTAGATCTAGAAAGAAATTCAGATGGGAAGGGGACCGGGGAGAAGCAGGAGCCTCAAGTCACCAGCACCAGCTGGATGCTAGCGTTGTGCCCTACAGGTTGGCAATTGTAGTGGGATTAATATCTTCAAGACATTGCTGATGTTTTTCCTCTCTCTCCACTCAGAAGTCTGCCTAGAGGAGAGTTGACACACCAAAAACAAAACTTCTGTTTCAAAAATCCAGTCCCTGAAGGCAATCGGGAAAAAGTGTGAAGAACAAGGGCAGAGCTTCCCAACTTTGAGCCTGAGTGGTGAAAGGAAGCAAGAAGAAAAGGGGTTTGTGGGTGCTCGGAGGAGCCCCACAACTATACCCCCATCCTCTCCAAGATCCACCAGAACAGATACCTACATAAACTAGAGGCATTTGAGAACGAAGGCCTCTTGCCCCCGAGGCAGCAGTAGCAGACTTGTATGGCCCACATGTATTAGTCTGTTCTCACACTATTAAGACATACCTAAGACTGGGTAATTTATAAAGGAAAGAAGTTGAATTGACTCACAGTTCAGAATGGCTTGGGAGGCCTCAGGAAAGTTACATCATGGTGGAAGTGGAAGCAAACAGGTCTTTCTTCACACGGTGGCAGCAAGAAGTGCCAAGCAAAAGGAGGAAAAGCCCCTTATAAAACCATCAGATCTCATGAGAACTCACTATCACGAGAACAGCATGAGGGTAAATGCTCCCATGATTACATTACCTCCCACCAGCTCCTTCCCACCACATGTAGGGATTATAGGAACTATAATTCAATATAAGATTTGGGGTGGGGACACAGCCAAACCATATCAGAGGATGAGCTAGGGGTGCACAGGGGGAGTAGGCTGTGAAGGACATGTAGTACCCACATCTCTAGGCCTGCAGGTGCCTTTCCGACAGGAACAAGAGGAACGTGGTAACATTCCAGTGTGGCCTGGCCAGCAGGCACAGCCAGGTAATGTATGGCGCAGCAGGCACCAATGTGGCAGGGGAGGGCCACGTGCTCCTGTGTCTACCCCAACACAAAGGTGCTTCTCCATAACCACTCCTACCCGCCTCCCCCAAAACTGGCTGAGTTTAAGTTTCTGCAAACTGGCAAAATGAGGGCTTGAAATAAAAATTGTCTGTGGACTAAATTTTATACACGCTACAATATATTATCTCATTTAATCCTAACATTGTCATTCAGAAAGGGTTATTGTTCCTATTTACAGGCAATATCAAACAAGACACAAACATTCCAAGTCATTTGATAATTCCTGTAATTCAAGCAATATATAATGAGTCCCTTGTAAATGCCGGATACTGGAATGACCAGTTGTAATAGTTTTCTATTGCCACATAAGGTTGACCACACTTTAACAGCTGAAAACAACACTCTTTTGCCAGTTCACAGTTCTGTTGATCTGATGTCTAGCACGGTGTGCCTGGGTTCTCTGCTCAGGGTGTCACAAGGCTTAAATCAAGTTGTTGAGCAACTGGGATGAGTCTTTTGTCTGGAGGCTCTGGGAAAGAATATGCTTCCACACTCATTGGCACAATTCAGATCCTTGTGGTTGTAGGACTGAGGTCCCCATTTCCTTGCTGGCCACCATCCAGAAGTCACTCTCAGAGCCTAGAAGCTGCTCCCATGCCTTGCCCTGTGGCTGCCTTCATTTTCAAGCTTTGACCCTCTTCTTCTTCATCTGCAACCAGCTGGAGAAAGCTCTCTGTCCTAAAGGGCTCCTGCAATTAGGTCAGGCCCCTGTTTTAGGGTCAATTAGTTTGGGACCTTTATTAAATCTGCAAAATTCCTTCACAGCAGCACCCAGATGGGTGTTTGCTTGAATAACTGGGAGGTGGTATGTGTGCATTGGGTGCTGGGTATCTGGGAGGACCACCTTAGAATTCTGTCTACCACGCTATTTTAGAGGACAATGGTGAACAAAGCAGATGAGGTGGGTTTTGCATTCCAACTGTGGAGACAGACTATAAACAAGCATACAAAGGAATAAGGTCATTCCAGGCCACGGCCAGTATGTTAGGCTGTCTTTGCATTGCTATAAAGAAATAGCTGAGACTGGGTAATTTATAAATAAAAGAGGTTTGATTGGTTCATGGTTATGCAGGCAGTACAAGCATGGCACTGACCCCGTTCGGCTTCTGGGGAAGCCTCAGGGAGCTTTTACTCATGGCGGAAGACAAAGTGGGAGCAGGCATGGTCATGGTGATCATGGTGAAAGCAGGAGCAAGAGAGAGTTGGGAGAGAGAGGTGCCACATACTTTTTAAACAAATGTTTATTTCAATAGTTTTTTGGGCAACAGGTAGTGTTTGCTTACATGAAATAAGCTCTTTAGTGGTGATTTCTGATATTTTGGTGCACCCATCACCCAAGGAGTGTACACTGTACCCAATGTGTAGTCTTTTTTTGTTGTTGTTTTTTTGAGATGGAGTCTCGCTGTCGCCCAGGTTGGAGTGCAGTGGCGCGATCTCGGCTCACTGCAGGCTCCGCCCCCCGAGGTTCACGCCATTCTCCTGCCTCAGCCTCCCGAGTAGCTGGGACTACAGGTGCCCGCCACCCCGCCCGGCTAATTTTTTGTATTTTTAGTAGAGATGAGGTTTCACCGTGTTAGCCAGGATGGTCTCAATCTCCTGACCTCGTGATCTGCCCGCCTCGGCCTCCCAAAGTGCTGGGATTACAGGCGTGAACCACCGCACCCGGCCCCATTGTGTAGTCTTATCCCTCATCCCCCCCCACCCCATTCCCCCAACTCCCCAAAGTCCAGTGTAACATTCTTATGCCTTTGCATCCTCATAGCTTAGCTCCCACATATGAGTGTGGACATACAATGTTTGGTGTTCCATTCCTGAATTACTTCACTTGGAAAAATCGTCTCCATTTCCATCCAGGTTGCTGTGAATGCCCATTATCTCATTTTTTTTTTTTTTTGAGAGATGCCACACACTTTTTAAAGACCAGATCTTCCCTATTGTGAAGCCAGCATCAAACCATGAGGGATCCGCCCCCATGACCCAAACACCTCCCACCAGGCCCCACCTCCAGCATTGAGGATTACAACTCAACATGAGATTTGGGTGGGGACAAATATCTAACCTATATCATTCTGCTCCTGGACCTCCCAGATCTCATATCCTTCTCACATTGCAAAATGCAATCATGCCTTCCCAATAACCCCAAAAGTCTTAACTCGTTCCAGCATTACCTCAATCCCAAGCCACATCTGGAGATGAGTTCCTTACACCTATAAGCCTGTAAAATCAAAACAAGTCGGGAATTACAATTCAATATGATATTTGGGTGGAGGACAGATATCCAAACTCTGCCAGCCAGTGCCATGAAGGCAATGCCATAGGTCTCCAGAAGGCATCAGCTACTTTTTCATAAAGGGGGAGAACCCACAGTAGATTGGTCCTTGCTCCTCCTACTCCTTGTCCCCTGGAAACAGGTGCTGGGACACACCAAGGTCATCCAGTGAGTTGAGGCTGCATTAAGACTAAAGTCTCCCAAGCCTGGGCATTTCTAGTGCTGCCCCCTGGGGCTGGGGCTCACCTGCACCCACCACCTGCTCCCACCACCTGCTCTCACAGGCAACCAGGCTCCTGCGAGAACTCAGGTCTCAGAGCAAGGACACTTGCTGTGCCACGTCTGACCCAGGCCAGAGGTGGCAAGCAGACAGGCTAGGAATGGGAGTACTCCATCATACCTGACAGGTAGACTTTAGGGCACCATGACCTAGGGGAATTCAATTTTGAGAGGAAAGCTATGCCCAGCAGCTGAGCCTTCAGTGGTTGTCAGCCTTCCCTGACCCCTGCCCTCCCTGTCGCTCCCCTCTAGGACCTCTGTGCCCCTCGCCACCCCAGACATTTTTGTGAGCCAGCTCCTGAACACACAAAGTTCCCAGGGTGTGAACAGTATTTCCACACCACCTTGGCACTGCTGCAGGGACAGGAGGTGTGAGCTCTTGTCACCCACCAAGGAGACAAGAGCAGGGCTTGCAAGGACAAGGTGTGGTTGGGATCAGAACAATGGCTCTGTCCTCTATTGGAACTCTCAAAGATTTTTTGGGAGAAAGTTATAGATGCACATATATGGTTCTGTCAGTGGGAGCACCAGACTTCTGAACAGATTTGACTTTTTGAATGAAGGTTGAGATGATAGCCATTATTTTAAAAGTCAAAGATCCATCAGCAAAGGAGCTTTGGGTCTCCTTGTGCCTACAGAACCCCCCTGGAACACTCTGCTTGCTACTGAGTGAGCAACTGTTGGGGAGGAGAAGAGAGTCCATGACCTCAAGGAGCTCTGGATATGTAGAAAGGGTTGAGCTGCAGCCTCTGAAATTATTAGAGACCAGTCATTCAGTCCTGTCAGCCACATCTTCAAAACCTATGCCAGTTCTGGCCTCCTCTGCACGTCCACTGCTACCCTCTTGACCTGAGCCACATCAGGTCCCACCTGAAGAAGCTTTCTGAATGAACTCTGTGCTCCTCTACCACTGAAGTATATGTTCTCCACACAGCAGCCATGAAATATATAAAACAGAGACATATCCGCACTTAAAGGCTTCTTATAGCTCCTTCCACACTTGGAATACAACCAACATTTGTTAAGTCTATTTGGGGAACATTGGCATCTTAGCCATATTGAGTTTTCCAATCCATGAGCATCGTATCTCTCTGTTTATTTAGGTATTTCCTTAATTGCTTCAGCAGTGTTCTTAGATATGTTGAGGTATTATTTACATGTAGTCAAATTCTTTCTTGTTAGGTATACAGTTTGAATTTTGACAAATGTATACGGTTATATAACCACCACGAGGCCTGGTTAACATGGTGAAAACCCATCTCTACTAAAAATACAAAAATTAGCCAGGCATGGTGGCGGGCACCTGTAGCCCCAGCTACCTAGGAGGCTGAGGCAGGAGAATCACTTGAACCTGGGAGGCGGATGTTGCAGTGAGCCAAGATTGTGCCACTGCACTCCAGCCTGGGTGACAGAGCATTATTTCAAAGTTTCCCCCCCTTTTTTAGTCCATCCTTTCCTCCCCTTTCAAATCCTATAGTTTTGCCTTTTTCTAGATGGCATATAAGTGGACTCATAGTGGGTAGCCTTCTGTGTTTTGCTGCGTTTGCTTTGTGTGATGCCGTTGATGCTTATCCATGCTTTCTATGTGCGAATAGTTAATTATTTTTTAGGGCTGAGTGGTATTCCATTGTAAGAATAGGTCACAATTTATTCATCTTTGGATTGACATTTCAGCTTTTTCCAGTTTTTAAGCTATTACACATACAAGTACATGATTTGAGTACAAGACTTGTGACAACAGGTGTTTTCATTTCTCCTGGGTAAATACCTAGAAGCGATATTGCTGGGTATGGTGGTAAGCGTATGTTTAACAATATGAAAATGTCTTCCAATGTGCTGTACTATTTTTTCATTATCACAAGCAATGTTTGTGAGTTCCAGTTGTTGAATATTCTTGCTGGCACTTTGTATTGTCCAGCTTTTGTTTTTTGTGATCCACTGCAGTAGGTGTGTTTTATACCTCATTTCCCTACAGACTGTTGATACTGAGCTGCTTTTTACATATCCCTTTATTGGGAAAGTGTCTCTTCAAATATTTTGTCTTTTGCCCATTTTTTAATGTACACTGTTTATCTTGTTATTGAATTATAAGTGTTCTTTTATGTATCTTGGATTAAGTCCTTTATCAGATATACATTCCACAAATATTTCTTCCGGTCTGTTTTTTTCTAGAATTTTTATAGTTTTAATTTTTATGGTTAGCTCTATCATCCATTTCAAGTTGATTTTTGTAAATGTGAGAAAAGAGTTAAGTTTGGTGAGGGGGGGTGGTTGGTTTTTGCAAATGGATGTCCAGTTGTTGCCAGCATCATTTATTGAATAGGCTATTCTTTTTCCAATGAATTGCCACAGCAGCTTCATTTAAAAAATCAATTGAGCATATATATGTGGACCTATTTCTGGTCTCTCTTCTGTTCCATTGATTTATATCTTTGTCTTCACACTCATGCCACATGGTCTTGATTGCTGTAGCTTTAAGGCAGGTCTTGAAACCTCATGGTAAGAATGCTCCAACTTTGTTCTTTTTCAAAATTATTTTGGCTGTTGTAGGTCCTTTGCAATTGCATATAAATTTTGTTCTCAACTTGTGAATCTCTACCAGAAACATCCTGTTGGGACTTTTATTGAAATTGTATTGAATCTGTAGTCCTGTATCTATTAAGTTGAACCTGTAGTTAAAAGCTTGCCCACAAACAAAAACTGTAGGTGAGCATAGATTCACTGATGAAATTTACCAAACATTAAAGAAGTCATACCAATTCTACACAAGCTCTTCTAGAATATAAAAGAGAATGGAACACTTCCCAGCTCGTTAAATGAGGGACAACATCCTGACTAAGCCTGAGACCAAAACATTATAAGAAAAAGAAAACAAAAGATTGATATCCCTCATCAGAGACAAAAATTCTTAACAAAATTTTAGCAGATGTCATCTTGTCCTAGCTCTAAGCTTTCCTTCCAAGATATTTTGAAAGAGCTACAGATTTATAGCAATACAAATTCCTTCAGTCTCCTGGGGCAGCTGGAGCCCCTAGGTCAGTTGCTTCCAACTGCCAGCAGTCCATTTACCTGGTGTGCCGCTAGGTGCAAAAGGTTAGGAAGCACTGCCTGGATCTCACGGTCTATCACTTCAGTGCCCCTGGCTTTTGTCCTAAACTGTCTTGCCCTCAACCCTCATAGTTTCCCTTGTGACTGCCCTCCAGTACCCCCAGCCCCTCTATTCACCTTCAGCTTGATGTCTCTGCTGCTTCCCACTACTGAGCACTGGTTAGGAAACCTTATTTATGTTTATATAGAGAGACAGACAAGGTCTTGCTCTGTTGCCCAGGCTGGAGTGCAGTAGCACAGTCCTAGCTCACTGCATCCTCAAACTCAAGCAATCCTCCCACCTCAGTCTCCCAAGTAGCTAGGATTACAGGCAGACCACCATGCGCAGCAGGGCATCACTTTTTATATGGGTCATAGTCACCAACCTTGACTAGCCCTTGGTGCTAGACAAGCTTTCCATGGGTCTCAGCCAATGACCCCTCACATTTTCCTCGGTTATTTTTCTATTCTCAATTGCTTTTTTAAAAGCCTCCTCTCCAACTGCAGCACCCTTTCTTCTCAGATAACCTTACTTGGTACTTTACTGAAAAGAAAAATGGAGGCCATCGGATAATAACATTCTTAGCTATTTTCTCAGCCAGCCACAAGTTCATCCGTGTTGGCATACATATGAGGAATGATTCTCCACGAATCCCTCAAGTCATTAGATGTCTAAGCACCAACAGCCAGTTAGATTTAGACTGTCTTCCCGAGAATGTTAGGATAAGCAAGGGCCTTGGAAAGATAGAAATGTCTCTTACATTACAAATTAGTAAAAATAGAGACATCTCCCTTGCCTCCTCAGGGCAGATTTGCTTATATTTCTGGGTAACAAAGATATCTCTTTCTGGAAAGGAAGATGGGTGACTTTCTCTTTCCGGAAACCCTTATAGGAGATCAGCTCTTCCTAGTCTCAGGCTCCTTCCCCACAGTGCAACCCTCCACATCTGCTGGCAACACTTAGCCCTGATCATGTTGCCCTGTAAGAATTGGGATTTGGGGAACTGGTGCCAGATGTTACTCTGCCTCCTACTGTTGCTGAGAGTAATCATCTGTTTTTTGCCTTCAACCCAGAAGCCTGTGTTTTCTGCCAATATTTACGAAATGTGGCAAGCTGTCTTGTTAACTTGCATATAGAACAGAATCTTAGACTCTCATAGCTCTGGACTTGGCATATACTCTTTGCACCTGCCCTTCAGTCTCAGGAGAGTTCTGGTCCCTCCTCCTTTACAAGGCTAGTCCCTTCTCTCGGCCTTTGGTTCCATCATTTCTCATCTCTTCATGGACTTGGTCCATTGATAGTCACTCCTGTCTGGCTTTCCCCCACCATCATGCTAAACATCATCAAGTCTCTCCCAATTAAAAACAAACATTTCCTCCCTCCAGCTACCATCCTTCCTGTCTTCTTACTAGCAAGCTTCTTGAAAGATAAGTCTCTTAATGTCATTTCCTACCTCCCATTCATTCTCCAGCTCACTGCAGTCTTATAAGTCTCCTTTACCTGGGTCTACCACAAAAACTTATCTCTATATTGCCTAATACAATCAACATTTTATGTGGTAATCCTACTTCTTAGTGACATTTGACGAACATACTTCTTGATTTGTCCCCTGGACATTGTGACATGTCTCTCAGTTTACCTCCTTTTCATTTTCTTTCATGGGTTCTCTTTTCTTTCTCACCTTAAGCATCCATAAGGCTTAGTACTTCACCCTCTGCCTCCTGCTCTTCTCACACCACACCCTTGCTCTCTGGAGACTCTCATCCAAACTTATCCAAATTCATAGCTACCCTTACCCTCAGGAAGCAGATAAATCCCAAATTTACATTTCCATTCCCAACTGCAGACCCATATACCCAACTGCCTCCTGATCATTCCCATTTGGATGCCCCAGATTGGACTCATTGCTTTTTCCCACACCTGTTCCTCGCTTGCCCTCATACCCATCTTAGTGATGCCCACAGCCCTGCCAGTCTTGAGACAAGGGACATCAGCATCATCTTCCATGCCCTCATTTCGCTTTTTCCCATACTTAATCCTGAAGATTTACCCTTCAGATGTGCCTTGAAGTCATGTCTTCCTCTCTGTCTGCACAGTCATACTTTAAGAGTTGGGTGCTAAATGCTCTGTTTCTTCCCCCCCAAAAAAATGTGGTCCTGTCCAGCACCGCTTCAAATTCTTCAAAGTTTGTTGGTGTGATGATTAATAGTATGTGTCAGCTTGAGTGGGTTACAGGTTGCCCAGATATTTAATTACACATTACTTCTGGATGAGTCTGTGAAGGTGTTTCTGGAAGAGAGTAACATTTGAATTGGTAGACTGAGTAAAGCAGACTGTCCTCCCCATTGTGGGTGGGCCTCATCCAAGCTGTTAAAGGCCTGAATGGAAGCCCTGAGTAAGGGAGAATTATTTCTGCCTATCTTTGAGCTGCAATATCAATCTTTTACTGCCTTTAGACTTGGACTCGAACTAGAACTTATACCATTAGCTCTCCTGGTTCTCAGGCCTTTGGACATAGCCTGAAACTATACCAGTGGCTCTCCTGGGTCTCCAGCTTGCCAATTGTTGATCTTGGACTTCTCAGCCTCCATAATCATATGAACCAATACCTTACAGTAAATCTCTCTAGATAAATAGATTGATAATCTTTCACCCTCTCTCCTTCTCCCCCTCTCCCCTTTCCTCTCCCCGCTGCTTCCCCTACCCCCATTGGTTCCATTTCTTTAGAGAACTCAGCCTGATACTAATACAGATGGACTTTCTATCCGTCCACACATTTCATATTAGCATGCAAAGCCCTTTGTGTGTGATCTCTCCAGCATCTTCCCTCTAGTCTCATTGCCTCCCCTTCACAAAGGGGAGAGAACTCAGCCTGATACTAATACAGATGGACTTTCTATCCATCCACACATTTCATATTAGCATGCAAAGCCCTTTGTGTGTGATCTCTCCAGCATCTTCCCTCTAGTCTCATTGCCTCCCCTTCACAAAGGCCCTCACCAGATCTATGGAACCCCTTCCAGCTACCCTGTGTGCCTGGCTTCTCTGCCACTGGATATGGTATTCTTTTTACTGGGGCTGCTCTTCATTCTTCCTTTACTACCTCCCACCCATACTTCAAATCTCAGGTCAGGAGCACACATTAAGTCTTTTTGAAACCTTCTGATCTATTGCCCCTCAGCAAAGTCCCAAAGTTCTTTGCCCTGCTCTGATATTTCTCATACTTGGTAATCATGGTTGATTCATTTTTGCCACTCTCAACACTGAAAGTTCCTTGATGATGTGAATTTTGTCTCAATTTTTTCTATCCCCTGCACCTAGAAAATTCTTGACTCATATCAAATGGTTTTAGTTATTGGTTTAATGAAAAAAATAGAAGTCACAGCCATGCCCAGAGCCAACCTGGAGCCCAGCAAAGGAGATAGGAAGAAGTAACACTGGTGTCCCTTCCTCTGGCTCCCTTACCCTTCAAATCCATCTTCCACACTGCCATGGGGTTGGTATTCATAAAAGGAAATGGGCATCTAAGTTGGCCCCTCTGAGTGGGCTCTACTAATTGGAGACCATTTGAATGACAGACTTGTGGAACCTGAAATCACTCCATCCTCTGGCACCAACTCATGACTCCTTAATCATCTGACTAGAGCCCCACTAGGGTTGCCCCACCAGTCCTGCCCCACCAGTGCTCTAATTATCCCTACATTTGCCTGAGTCTTTTAGGGGCCCAGTTTGAACTAGAACTGATGCCCAAATCCTACAGGAGATGCAGTGTGACCATCTGTGACCCCTGCCACATGCAGATAAGACACTGATGCTTGGGACACTGTGTCACTTGCTCATAGCGCTCCCACCCCTACCCCCAACAGCAAGCTATCTTTCTCCTGTGCTAGCCCACCTCCTCACCCGCTTTGCCCCCTCTGCCCCTACCTTCAACCAGCAAGGTGTGCCAAGTCCTCTGAGCAGCCCTTTGCCTTATAATCAATAATGAACAAAGTAGCCCAAGATGGCTGCCCTTGGGCTGACTAGATATTGAAATAGAAGCAGTTTATAGTGAAATATTTCTGTATTTCAACAGCATTACATTTCTGGCTCTGAATTACATTGCCAATATCTTTTCATATAGTTCAGTTTCAATGAGCAATACATTTCTTTTCCCCAGATGCCTTTTTAGATGAATTTTCTGGAAGGCTGCACCTCTTATCCCAAGTGTATTGCATGCACCTAAATAAATCTCAATTTATATAATCCCAACATCACAAAATAAATCTGTTGCAGAAAAAAGACTTTGAGACAGGCAGGGAAGCAAAGTCGAGCAGGGTTCCTGTGACTTCGAACCGGTGACCATACTTCCGGGATAGTCCTGTTGTCCCAGCTTGACTATGAAGAGTGTCCCCTTTCACTGTCAGTATTTTCCTGTAAACCTTTAAGGCCCCCTCCCAATCATCTTCCCAACATCCCTTCGTCATCTGTGGGCCACCCATCTGAAGACACGGCTTCACTTGTGGCCAGAAGGGAGGCTAATTCTTGTGGACTCCATCAGTTCATACCACCTCCTTGTAGATTCCCAAACAAGTGAGGTCCTTGAAAGTGTCTGTGCTGGAATTGTTTTGGACCAGTGAAACAATGGATAGGATAGGTCCTTGAAATTTAACTCAAGCTGCACTGGTGTAAAATATTCCAGTAACTGTTATTATTATGACTAGCATTAAAAAGCTGTAAAGTGCCTTCATAAGGCAAATATGTCCCAAAAAATTCCAACAGTGATGTAAATGAAAGGAAAGGTTCCCAAGAAAAAGTGCATCGGCCACCTCCTCCTCCAAATCCTTGGTTCTCTGTCTCCCAGGACTTACAGACTATTCATTCCCACTGTGAGCTGTGCTGCTCTCCTCCTCTCCTGGGCGTCCAGGCGCCCAGAGGGATGTGGCAAAACAGGAGCTGTGAGCCCAAGGGCTGATCACATTAGGCCAACAGACACTGAAAGCCGGAGCTGCTTCAGGGAGCTTAGAATTTAGGAAGCTGAAAGCAAATCCTAGAAGCATGGAGGTTAGAGGAAAAAAGATGGTGGAAGAAGTTTCCAGAATGACATTAAGTACTGGAAGGGTAAAAAGTATTCCACATCTTTCAGAGAACTGAGCCAGATGGCTTTCCTGTTACCAGTTCTATTTTTCTCAAACTTTAGCACATTTTGCTTTGCAATAAATAAGCAGATGTCAATTTGTCAACAAGCCATTAGCAATGCCTTTGCCTTTGTGCAATGCGAATCTCCCTCTTCTTATTCCCCAGGCTGAGGCCAAGTTCCAGATGACCAACCTTGAGCATCCCCTCTGCCCACCACGCCTGCCTCCCGGAGAGGTGCATATGATAATGAGGTAGCACAATCCCTCTGGACACATGAAATTGTGGCGTTGCTCTCCTGGACTTGCTGTGAGGCCCTTATTCATTTCCAGTCTCTTGGGGAACTCTAAGGCCAAAAGAAAGATTTGTTTTTTCACCTCATCATCTGAGTTGTTAAAAAGTATTTCCAAACTATTATAGATAGAAAATATCTCATCCATAAGAGATATAAAGTTACCAATTTCCTCCCTGTAAAAATATGCTTCAGAGGGATAGAGCCAGTGCAAATCAATCAAGAGAGCACAACATGGTTCCCTGCTCAGAGCCCGAGCATGCGCTGAGCTGGCAATGGGCCTGTGGATGTGCCCCAGACAGACCTCGTGTGTTTCTTTTATCTCCAGCGTCAAGACTCCAGGCTTATTTTGTACTTTTTCACTGTCAAATTCTTGCCAGGAAAAATTCTGAAAAAAGGTCTTTAAAGCAGGCATGGTAATGCGTCACCCAGAGGAGGCTCAGGGGTCACATCACGGCAACAATCAGTGGGTTTTGAGTGAAACAGCCTTGTGTTTGATTGTTAGTGAAAACAGTATCATTAGTTTTTAAGTCTCAAGACCAAACGTTCCTGACCACTGTCATGTTTTAGTCTGTAGTCTGACACTTGACGGCAACTCATAAGGATGAGAAACTCATGCTCATGTGAAGCTGATCAATCCAGCACATAGAAGTCGAGTGGCTGGAGAACCAGAGAGGCTGTTCTGAGCACCATTCTCCAAGCATGTCTAGGAGCCCTGTTTATTGTAGAAACTAAGAGTCACTGGAGTGGGTATGTGTGTGGCTCTCCTGAGGAAGAAAGTGGAATCCTACAGCATCACAGCATGTAGGGGTGAAGTGTCCTTGGGGGTAACAGCCAGGGTTCCCTAGATGCCGGTCATTTGTACTTGGCCCTGACAGTGCCCCTGTGGCCGCATATCACCTGGACTGGTGTTTATTTACTCCCAGAACAAAATTCATTTTGTTTATTATAAATGAAAATTATCCCTTAGGTTTGATGGGCTAGTTGCAATTTTTTATTACCACATATTAGAATAAATGCACACCTATAAAACTGATATACCACCTGAATCATCTCTAGGAATACCCAGTAGCTCACATACCACTTTGAAGAAATATCAGGTGTGCCTGGAAGGCTGCACCAATAGTACTGGGTGCCATCAGCTTTCTTCAATTCTTGATGTCTTCCCTTCAGCTGGATACAGCCTGGCTGGCTGTGCCAGGCCAAAGCATTCACTTCTCAGTGTCTGACTGAAAGATATCAACTCTAGTTTAATACTGCTGATTTCATGGGAAAATCAATTGACTGTTTTTTCATACATGATTTGGAAAGACACGCTATCAAAGTGTGTGTGTGCTGGGAGTAATATAAATGGGTTTTTAGTGGTGGAAGTTTAGTTCAGACAACACAGAATGGGTAGATGAAGAAACTAAGCTTTAGAGAACTCCAGGAACACACAAAGGGAGAGAGGCCTGAAGCACATGGGCTCTGATGCCTGGCCACACACACCCCTTTCCTCTGTGTCACTGGCTTCTGCCACTTCCCTCTCCCTCTCCCCAGGGCGAGTTGCTCCTGGCCACATCTGCATTAAATGGATGACCACAGCTTTTCCCAAGGAGCTGCAGTTCCCTGACCCAAAGGAGGTACAAGGCTGGGAAATGGGCTGTGTTGCACTGGAATGATTCAAATGCTGGCACCTGTACCCAGTGTGAGTGGTTAGGGAGCTCCATGCAGGGACCGTGAGGCTCTTTCTTACTCTTTGATCCCCATTCAGGGCCATATGAGGGCCTGGATGATAGAAATTGTTTGATAAAAATGTGTGAAATAAGTGAGTGGAAGAGTGAGTAAATTAAACAGAAAGCACCTCCCGTGTGTTGTCTACCCCTCCTCATGGGACCCATCTTCCCTAAACAACAAAGCTAGTGTTGCCCCCCATTTCTTCCCAGAGCAAATGTCTTCTGAGGCTGGCACAGAAGTAGAGCCAGGAGTTTTAACATTGCCACACAGGCCGCAGTTGACACACCTGGGCATATTTAGCATGGAGAAGAGAACTCTTGAAGGGGACATGCCACTTTTCCAGGCTGCAGCAGACATAAGCTAAGATGACCACCGTGAGTCGTGCCCCTGTCTGATAACCTTGTCTATAATGGTGTGGGTGGAACCTGCGACTGGCTTTTATTCAATGGAATATGGCAAAATTGATGGATGCCCCTCCCTTGATAGATTACTTCATCTGGCAAATGCCGCTCCTGTGATTGTATCTCACTCTGACACTGTCTTCTCAGACTAGAGAGAAACCTTGCTGCTGTCTCTGAAGGAGCAAGCTGCTGTCTGCCACGCAAACTGCTGTGGAGGGGGTCAGCATGACAGGAAACTGGGTGGTCCCTGGCCTACAGCCAGCAGTGAAACTGGACCT
Source organism: Homo sapiens (assembly GCF_000001405.40). NCBI lineage: Eukaryota > Metazoa > Chordata > Mammalia > Primates > Hominidae > Homo > Homo sapiens. Next base: position 109,223,795 of record NC_000005.10, on the reverse strand, counting down.
CAGTGCTACACTTGCAAGAAGACGAATTCTGCCCACAATGAGAGACTGTGTTTTGACCCTCTTATGACACTGCAGCCCTGCTGACACCGGCATTGCCGCCCGGTCAGCCCCTAGAGCGGAGGCCCCAGCTAAGCTGTGCCTCCTGCTGGAAACAATGTTTGGAACTTAGAAAAAACAAATATATGTTGTTTACTGCCTCTAGGTTTAAGGTGATTGTTACGGCAACAGAAAACTAATGTCAAGGCTTTCTCTCGGCCGCATCCTGTGGTAGACATTTAAAAATGGATCATCTCACTTAATTTTCACAAGAACCATAAGAAGTAGGCACCACAATTTCACTGGTTTTACCAATGTGGAAATCAGTGACAGATTTGAGCCGTGGTAAACTTCAGGTAACTAAAAACTTATGACTAGGCTGATGGTTCCCAAACTGTGCACTGAGCTTCCCACCAAACCCCCAGGGTGCCGCAGAAACTCACAGGCACCTCCATGGAACATTTTAAATTTTTGACGAAAACCTCTGTTGGGTATTGTTTGAATGACTAGCTCAATGTGGTTTAGTTTCAATATTAAATGATACTATATTCTATTTGATGAGATCATATCTTTGTAAAACTGGGTTTTCAGTGGTTGCTGCAATAAAAAGTATTGAAATTGGGGTGGTTAGTCCAATCCGATTCCAAAGTTTGAGAAGCCGTGCAGGGCCCAACATGCACACATCCCATTACTAAGTAATTGTGGTTATTTAGGAACAAAACCAAAATTTTTTTCCTTCAATTTATGAGTGTTTTTATATCAAACAGCTACTAAGCTGTTAGAAGATAAATTTCCACCGAGCCTCCATCCAGCCAATCCCTGAGAGTCTCCACTTAGAGCTCAGCTCTGGGACTCTCTGTTCTTCCCAGAGCCAGGCATTCCTAGGGAACCTGGAACTCGAGGATCTGGGCATTGGAGGTAGAATGTCCATATTAGCCCAGTGGTAGACTAATACGATGCCATAAAAAAAAAAAGAGGCCCCAACCACAGTAGATTTAACATGTTTCTCTTATTTAACTCCTTGAGAACACAGGACTGTAATCTAGGGTTGGAGGAGACCTCTCCACCATTTTCAACATGTGGTTTCCATCCCTGTCCCCTGTCCAAGGAAGCTTCTCTGCTTGTAGTCATCTCCCAGCCAGCAGGAGGGAGGCAAAGGGACACACGGAGTGCAAGTAGCTTCCACTTGAAAGGCAAGACCTGGAAGCTGCCATGCAGCTTCCGCTCACATCTCACATCCTGCTGGCTCCAACTTTGTTTTATGGCCCAACCCCACTGCAAGGAAGGCTGGGAAATTTAGTCTTTCATATGCTTAGCTATAACTAAAATAACTCTATTTCTAAAGTGAAGGAGAGAATGAATATTGTATTAGTGTGCTGGGGCTGCCATAACAAAATACTACAGGTTGAGTGGCTTAAACGATAGAAATTTATTTTCTCACAGTTCTGGAGGCTGGGAAGTCCAAGATCCAGGGGTCAGCAGGTTGGTTTCTTGAGAGGCCTCTTTTCTTGGCTGTCTTCATGTTCACATGGCATTCTTTTTCTATGCATGTCTGTGTCCAAATTTTCTCTTCTGAGAAGGACATCAGTCATATTGGATTAGGGTTTACTCTCATTACCTCTTTTTAACCAAATTGCCTCTTTTAAAACACTGTCTTCAAAAATAGTCACATTCTGTGGAATCAGAGGTTAGGACTTTAACATATGAATTTTGAAGGGGCATAATTCAGGTCATAACAGATATTGAAGGACAATTCTCAGTCTTCCACAAGTGTCAAGGCCCAGAAGCCTCAGAGATACCCAGGCTGTAGTGATCACAGCAGAAACTGAGAGGAGGAAATGAGAGGCAGGGAATATTCAAAGGCACCTGTGTCAATCCCTCAGCTAATTCTAGTATCAGGTAAAGGAGCTTAGAAAAATGAGCACTAGAGATTTAGAGATCAGGAAGCCCGTCTAAACTTATTCAAACTCAAAAATTTGAAAAACCTACTTGGAATACAATGTAACTATGGGTAGGATTTTGCCTGAAAGTCACCAAGGACAGAGCCTATGTCTGCCAGTTTTCCAGCCCTGACATTATGTGGTGTGATGGCCTTTGGAAGGGCTGATGATGTTATAGGTCTCAGGCTTTTTGGCTTCTCATGTAATGAAAATTAACATGGGGCCAAGCAGATGTCCCAGACAAGGCTTTTATTTCAGGGCCTGTGTCTGAGCACAAGGAAGACAGTGGAGGTGCAAGGATCCTCTGGCAGATTCTCAAAAAAAAAAGCTAGTAGGGATCTTTGATTAGGCAAAGTGTGGGAATTGACATGGGGGTCGGGTTGCAATGGTTATCTTAAGTAATGGACCACCTGATGGTCTGGCCAGGAGCACCAATGCTGTAAGGCAGTTGTTTAGCATTCCTTCCCTAGGTGAAACACTCCATGACTTTGTTTGATATTTGGATTTTCTAAGGCCAGTTTCTGGAATTCTTTTAGGTAAGAGGCATGGTTAAACATGGCATCAGTGAGGCAGTGGTGTGGGTTTTGTGATGAGTGGGGATGTGTGAAAGAATGTTCTAGCAGGGGTGACCTGAAGCCAAACTGCATCCTACCTTGTCTCAAAGATAACTCATCTGTTACTGATGGCTATGATTCCTTGAATAGAGATAAATGGATGATATTTACAAGCATTTTGAAGAGGAAATCTCTGGAAAAAGTTGAGGAAGGAGAGAGGAAACATTTATGGAGCACTTGTGGGTGATTGTTCCACTGGGCACCTTTACACACATTGCTGCTAATTAAAGCACATATCAATAGGATGGGTATTATCTTTATTTTGCTGATGGAGGATCCAAGACTCAAGAGATACTGCGTTCTTTTTTCAATGCTTCACGGTGTGTGGAAGAGCCAGGATTTGAACTCGGGTCCATTTGATGCTGAAGCTCATGTGCTTTTCATATTTAAATTTTTTATTTTTTGACCCCTTGCTCCTCCCCTTCATGTGCTTTTACCATGCCCTGCTGTTTCATTTATGTCGAGGTGAAAATAATTGAGAGCTGAATTTCCCTGATAGAAGACATTGCCAAGATAGACAAAGAGTCAGAGTGGCAGGCTTCAAAAGCCCTGGGAAGGGTTCAAGAGAATGAAAGAGTGGGAAGGTCTACTGCCTGCTTCTCCTGGCACAATTCTATTTTGCCCAGAGCTAGCACTGGGCATGCTGAGACTTGGCTGTGCTTTCTTTCTTTTTTATAAAGAAAATAGATATTTATTTCCTCATAAAAACATCAACATCTACAACAAAATCATTATATAGCTGGAGACTTGTAAAGAAATTGATAGGCTAAGAGAAAACATTCTTAACATAAGAAAAAGGTTTAATATTCTATATTCATCAGTACATATTAAATATGTATACTATATGTCAGGCACTGTTCTTAGTTGTGAGGATATTGAACTGAACAAAATTGATTAACTTTCCTGACTTCTATGCCTTTAAACATTAACAAATAGTTTCTTAAAATTAATTTTAAAAAAGAGAAAACCCAAAAGAAAAATGGCAAATCTCGGAAGAAGAAATGAATATGACTGAAGGTAAAGATATGAAAATGCAAACAAAATAAGGATATATCATTTCTTTTACATAGATTGGCAGAAATGAAAGGAATGATAATATCTAGTGTAGGCCAAAGCATAAGGCTTTAGGCTGCCACAGCTGTGCTTTCTTGAGAGCCAAGGCTTTCCCAACCTGGCTGAACAGGGAGGCTGGGACAGAATGGTGCATCTTCTGTAGCAGCTGTCCTCAAAATTTTTGACACCAGGGACTGGTTTCATGGAAGACAATTTTTCCATGGACAGGGTGTAAGGTAGAGGGATGGTTTTGGGATGATAATTCAAGTGCATTACGTTTACTGTATACTTTATTACTATTACATTGTAATATATATAAAGAAATAATTATACAACTCACCATAATGTAGAATCAGCGGGAACCCTGAGCTTGTTTTCCTGAAACTAAACAGTCCCTTCTGAAGGTGGTGGGAGATCATCAGACATTAGATTTTCATAAGGAGCGTGCAACCTAGATCCTTCACGTGCAACCTAGATCCTTCGCATGCACAGTTCACAATAGGGTTTGCCTGTCTATGAGATCTAACGCCACCACTGATCTGACAGGAGATGGTGCTCAGGTGGGAATGCGAGCAATGGGGGTAGCTATAAATACAGATGAAGCTGCCCTCACTCACCTGCCACTCACCTCCTGCTGTGTGGCCTAGTTCCTAACAGGCCACGGATCAGTACTGCTATGTGGCCCAGGGACTGGGGGACCTTTGCTCTACAGCAATCCACAGGCTGACAGAGAAGACCCAAATGTGGGACCCCTGCAGGGTGCAGGAGGACCCCCACCCCACCTGCAGTCTGGGTGCTGCAGAGAGCAGCTTTGTCCCACAGCACGTGGGGCAGCCCCATCATGTGTGTAGAACAATCTCCAGAGCAGCCGTCGTCATTTTTGTCCTCATTCTTTAATTCCTTTCCTTCCTTCCAGTGATTTCTCTTCCCCAGTCTTTCCCAAATGGGCACTGGCTCTCCCAGAGCCCAGGCTCAGCTCCAGGAAAGAGGAAGCAGAAGACTGGGGCTGGTTCCGGCAAGGCTCACTGATTAATTTCACACATCTCACCCCTCCCAAGATGCTCGTTTCTAAGTCCAGCCTCCTCTTAACATTCTTCCTATTTCTGTATTTTCCTGGCTGCCTTCCATGGAGATTCGGATTTCATTAGTGATGTGAGCTGATAAAGACAGACAGCACATCCACAATTTTAAATTCGCTGCTCTAATTTAATCTATCATTTGATGTTTCTGCTTTACAGGCAGGATAATCAGTTGGATTTTCTTGGCTGCTGTTCATAGCTCTAATGTTTAGCTCTGGGGTCAATGTCTTTGCCCTTCCTTGACCTTTCCTCAGAGTAATTGGTCTCAACAAGCATTCCATCCACCTGAGGAAAATACTTTCTCTCTCATCTTCTAGTCTCATAAATTCCTAATCTCTTGTTCCATTATATGCTGTGGGCATCTGGTAGAACAATGAGCCCTGACTGAGGCCGACTATGTCAACTGTGGTTGCCCTTGAGGTTGGTGCCTCACTGGTGTTCAAGCATTCTCTGGCAAATCTGGGCTGGCAGCTAGGCTGGGTGCTCACTTTTGAAGGGATGTGAAAATGTGTTGCATGATAGAGGTGAACATAATCATATCAATCTTAGGTTGCTGAGCTTTAGGAAAACTCCTGTACACGCTGGTGATGACTTCCCTTTCCAGTGTCATGTTGTCACTGCAGCTCCACCTCATTTCCGAGCAAAACATTACACAGCAGCTCGCTTAGGGAGGATCCTTGCCTGAGAAACTAGATGAGGCAGGTTAGAGGGGGCATTTACATGAAGATATCTGCACACCACCACTGCCATCCTGTGTACCTGATTGAAAAACGTTGTCCTGAGGAAAGGAGGCCACAGGGACACTCTGGAGATGGCTCCCTGAGATCACTCAGCATAGCCCTATACGGGTGAGTATATATGTCAGTGTGTGTGAGTGTGGAGTGGGGACAGGAGGCTGGATAAAGGTTTGGCTAAGACAAATTGCACTAGAAAACCCATTTTGAACTGATTAGAGACAGAGAGAGGGAGTATTATAATTTTGTTGTTAAATTCTACAGTTTCAAGGCAAACTTCCCAGGAGCTCAACCATCTGCCTTTTCTCTTCCAAAAACCTAAAAATGAATCGATTTCAAGCACAGAGGGCATCAGAAATGAAGAGCTAGTCAACTAGACTCCCTAAGCCTTTAATTCCTTCCTTGGGCAAATGGTCGTCTTTTTAAAATTAGTTTCGAATGGGTTACATATTTACATGATTCAAAGAGGAAAATAATATCAAAAGGTACATACTGACAAGTCCCCATCTACCCTGGTTATCTTTCTAGTATCTCTCTAGACAAATGTAAGCAAATGATGATATATATTATTTCCTGTTTCTTAAATAAAAGATAGTACACTCTAGATATAGTTCTGCACCTTGCTTTAAAAAAAAAAAGTTACAACAGACCTGGCGCGGTGGGTCACACCTGTAATCCCAGCACTTTGGGAGGCCGAGGCGGGCGGATCATGAGGTCAGGAGATCGAGACCATTCTAGCTAACATGGTGAAACCCCGTCTCTACTAAAAATACAAAAAATTAGCCGTGCGTGGTGGCGGGCGCCTGTAGTCCCAGCTACTTGGGAGGCTGAGGCAGGAGAATGACGTGAACCCGGGAGGTGGAGCTTGCAGTGAGCCAAGATTGTGCCACTGCACTCCAGCCTGGGCGACAGAGCGAGACTTTGTCTCAAAAAAAAAAAAAAAAAAAAAAAAGTTACAAATTTCAAAGAGAAGAGTTGAAAGATTTTAACAAAGATCAACCATATGCCTACCACCTGTATTCTACAATTACATATACACAATTATATATATATCTACACTTGTATACATAGAGTTGTCCTATACTTTATCACATACCTAATCATTTTTCCATTCCTCTACCCTCTCATCAGTTCATAGTTTTTGCTGTATTTCAGAATAAATTAGATAATAAATTATGTCCTAATATAGTTCAGTATGCTTATCATTAGAGTTCAATATTTGTGTACTCTTTTCCTTTGATGTAAAATTTATAAACAAGGAAGTGGAAAAATTTTCACTGATTGTTACAAGTAGATGTCTCCGTGAAACCCAAATCCCTGTCAATACATAAAACATAGTGATTTCCATACAATGGTCCCACGTGTCTCTTACTCATTCCTTGTTCCCACCCAAGAGGGAACTGTTCTGATTTTTTCTCCACAGCAGAGTAGTTTTTCCTAACCTCATGAAAATTGAATCTCGTAATATATACTTTGTAATGTAAGACTTATTTCATGTAGAATAATGCTTTTGAGGTTCATTCTGATCAGTAATTTATTCCTTCTTATTGTTGAATAGGATCCCATTGGGATACATTATACCACATGCCAGTTTATTCATGTTTGTGTTTATGGACACCCAGTTTTTTTTTTTTTTTTACTAGTTTTTGGATGTTATGAATAACATGAACTTTCTATTTTTTGTTGACATATGATATATGTTTTCATTTTTCTTGGGTAAATACCTAGGAGAGGTTGGGTTGTAGGGTAGGTGTAGGTTTGCTTTTATTCAAAACTTCAAGATGTCTTGTAAAGTAGTTGCACCATTTTGCACTCCAACCAGCAACAGATGAGAGTGCAAGTTGTTTCATATCCTTGTCAGCACTTGATACAGCCAGTCTATAATTTTAGCCATTCTGGTGATGTCTGGCAGAATTTCATTATAGCTTTCATTTGCATTTCCCTGATTAATGATGATGTTGAATGTCTTTGCAGTGCTTATTCACCCTTCCTGTATATCTTCTTTTGTGAATTGTTTAGATCTTTTGGCCAAATGTTTTCTCATTTGTCAATACTTAGGCCAATACTACACTTTACTGTATGTCCTCCTACTTTATTCTTCTTTGATAGGACTGCTTTGGATATTCCAGGTCCTTTAAATTTTCACACATATGGCTATTTAGAATCTGCTTGTTGTTTCTTTAAGTGTGACATTTTGCCAATCTGTTAGGTAAGAAATGGCATTTCAATGCAGTTTTTATTTTCATTTCTTTCATTAGATGTTAATTTGATCATTGAACAAACTTTCTAATAGTAATTAGAAAAATGCAGCCTAATGCTTTGGAAGAAGGGAGTGAGCTGGATCAGGTAAACTTTTGACAGAGAAGTATAGTCATGCATGGTGTAATTATGGGAATACATTCTGAGAAATGTGCATTGGGCAATTGTGTCGCTGTGTGAACATCATAGAGTGTACTGACGTAACCCAGATGGGACAGCCTACTACAAACCTAGGCTATGTGTTATAGCCTGTTGCTCCTAGATACAAACTTGTACAGCATGTAACTGAACTGAATAGGCAACTGGAACACAATGATATTTGTGTATCTAAACATATTTAGACATAGAAAAGGTACGGTAAAAATATGGTGTTATAATCTTAGAGACCACTGTTGTATATGCAATCTTTTGTTGACTGAAATGTCATTATGTGTAGCACGACTGTATTTGTGAGAGGACTCGTAATTGCCTGGCTTCCCACTCCCATCATTGCACCATTTTCATCACTTTCATCCCTGCCTGTAACCTGCCTCAGCCTCTGGTCTCTTCTGGGAGGTAGGGCTATAGGGTGCTTTATGGCAGCTCAGTAAAATAGCAGCTTAAAAATAAATGTGGAAAGATGGACAAATACACGGGAATCAAGTAGATGGCACAGGTCTAGACTTCTGGGCAGGGGATTCAGAAATGGGGAGGAAGGCTAAATGCCAAACCCTCCTGTGTGAGCTGTCCAAACTAGGACATTTGCTTAGCACTCCCCAGGCCTCTGTGCACCCTCTCCATGGCCTCTTGGAGTCGCTTTGACTTGGCTGGACTAAGATGGCCAAACATGTTACAGCCTGGGTGTTGGAATAAAGGTCAACAAAGGATCACGCTTCACACTCTGAACCTTGCTCTTTAAGCAAAGCTTTGGCATGGCTGAGATAAAACAGGGAGATGGAATTATTTTCAGATAAAGAGCAGCCCTTCCAGGTTTCCTGTCTGTCCGCATGCCAGCCAAGTAAAGACAGTGCTCTTTAATGTGAATGGCAGTCTTGAGATGGTTCCCTAAAAGGCATTTTAGGCATAGAACATGCCATCTAATGGGCCTGCTGTCCCATTTCAGTAGAACATTCTGTCTGCAGATAGAAAACACTTATTAGAGAAACAAGGTACTACAAGCACTATGTCCCTATAGGAAAAATATTAAACCAATAAATACTTATTTTATATAAGAAAACTGATAAAATGCCTCTTTAGTTGCCTCAGCACAGGAAAAATTGTTCTAACACACAAATTTATAACTCAATTTTTTTTCCTTATTACTTTTAACACCCATTGTATTATGAAAATATACAGAAATATATACTGTGTAAGAAATAAAGAATAACAATATAGGTATCAGTGTAGAGAGCACTTACCTTAAGAAGTAGAGGATTGAGTGTGGTTCCAAGATGGCCAAATAGGAACAGCTCCAGTCTACAGCTCCCAGCGTGAGTGATGCAGAAGACGGGTGATTTCTGCATTTCCAACTGAGGTACCCGGTTAATCTCACTGGGGCTTGTCAGACATTGGGGGCAGGACAGTGGGTGCAGCCCACCAAGTGTAAGCCGAAGAAGGGTGAGGCATCACCTCATCTGGGAAGAGCAAGGAGTCATTCCCTTTCCTAGCCAAGGGAATTCCCTTTCCTAGCCAAGGGAATTCCCTTTCCTAGCTCAAGGGGAATTCCCTTTCCTAGCCAAGGGAAGCTGTGACAGATGGCACCTGGAAAATCGGGTCACTCCTACCCTAATACTGCACTTTTCCAACAGTCTTCGCAAACGGCACACCGGGAGATTATATCCCGTGCCTGGCTAGGAGGGTCCCACACCCATGGAGCCTCACTCATTGCTGGCACAGCAGTCTGAGATCGAACTACAAGGTGGCAGTGAGGCTGGGGGAGGCGCACCCACCATTGCTGAGGCTTGAGTAGGTAAACATAGCGGCCGGGAAGATCTAACTGCGTGGAGCCCACAGCAGCTCAAGGAGGCCTGCCTGCCTCTATAGACTCCACCTCTGGGGGCAGGTCATAGCCGAACAAAAGGTAGCAGAAACCTCTGCAGACTTAAATGTCCCTGTCTGACAGCTTTGAAGAGAGTAGTGGTTCTCCCAGCACAGAGTTTGAGCTCTGAGAATGGACAGACTGCCTCCTCAAGTGGGTCCCTGACCCCTGAGTAGCCTAACTGGGAGGCATCCCCCAGTAGGGGCAGACTGACACCTCATACAGCCAGGTACCCCTCTGAGATGAAGCTTCCAGAGGAAGGATCAGGCAGCAACATTTGCTGTTCAGCAATATTCAATGTTCTGCAGCCTCTGCTGGTAATACCCAGGCAAACAGGGTCTGGAGTGAACCTCCAGCAAACTCCAACAGACTTGCAGCTGAGGGTCCTGATTGTTAGAAGGAAAATTAACAAACAGAAAGGACATCCACACCAAAACCCCATCTGTACGTCATCATCATCAAAGACCAAAGGTAGATAAAACCACAAAGGTGGGGAAAAAACAGAGCAGAAAAGCTGAAAATTCTAAAAATCAGAGCGCCTCTCCCCCTCCAAAGGAATGCAGGTCCTCACCAGCAACGGAACAAAGCTGGACGGAGAATGACTTTGACGAGTTGAGAGAAGAAGGCTTCAGACGATCAAACTACTCCAAGCTAAAGAAGGAAGTTCAAACCCATGGCAAAGAAGCTAAAAACCTTGAAAAAAGATTAAACAAATGGCTAACTAGAATAAACAGTGTAGAGAAGTCCTTAAATGACCTGATGGAGCTGAAAACCATGGCACGAGAACTACGTGACGAATACACAGCCTTCAGTAGCTGATTCGATCAACTGGAAGAAAGGGTATCAGTGATTGAAGATCAAATGAATGAAATGAAGCAAGAAGAGAAAAAGAGTAAAAAGAAACGAACAAAGACTCCAAGAAATATGGGACTATGTGAAAAGACCAAATCTACGTATCATTGGTGTAACTGAAAGTGATGGGGACAATGGAAACAAGTTGGAAAATACTCTGCAGGATGATATTATCCACGAGAACTTCCCCAACCTAGCAAGGCAGGCCAATATTCAAATTCAGGAAATACAGAGAATGCCACAAAGATACTCCTCGAGAACAGCAACTCCAAGACACATAATTGTCAGATTCACCAAAGTTGAAATAAAGGAAAAAATGTTAAGGGCAGCCAGAGAGAAAGGTCGGGTTACCCACAAAGGGAAGCCCATCAGATTAACAGCTGATCTCTCAGCAGAAACTCTATAAGCCAGAAAAGAGTGGGAGCCAATATTCAACAATCTTAAAGAAAAGAAGTTTCAACCCAGAATTTCATATCCAGCCAAACTAAGCTTCATAAGTGAAGGAGAAATAAAATACTTTACAGACAAGCAAATGCTGAGAGATTTTGTCACCACCAGGCCTGCCCTAAAAGAGCTCCTGAAGGAAGCACTAAACATGGAAAGGAACAACCAGTACCAGCCACTGCAAAAACATGCTAAATTGTAAAGACCTTCGAGGCTAAGAAGAAACTGCATCAACTAATGAGCAAAATAACCAGCTAACATCATAATGACAGGATCAAATTCATACATAACAATATTAACCTTAAATATAAATGGCTAAATTCTCCAATTAAAAGACACAGACTGAAAAATTTGATAGAGTCAAGACCCATCAGTGTGCTGTATTCAGGAGACCCATCTCATGTGCAGAGACACACATAGGCTCTAAATAAAGGGATGGAGGAAGATCTACCAAGCAAATGGAAAACAAAAAAAGGCAGGAGTTGCAATCCTAGTTGCTGATAAAACAGACTTTAAACCAACAAAGATCAAAGAGACAAAGAAGGCCATTACATAGTGGTAAAGGGCTCAATTCAACAAGAAGAGCTAACTATCCTAAATATATATGCACCCAATACAAGAGCACCCAGATTCATAGAGCAAGTCCTAAGAGACCTACAAAGAGACTTAGACTCCCACACAACAATAAAGGGAGACTTCACCCCACTGTCAACATTAGATCAACAAGACAGAAAGTTAACAAGGATATCCAGGAATTGAATGGAGCTCTGCAACAAGCAGACCCAATAGACATCTACAGAACTCTCCACCCCAAATCAACAGGATATACATTCTTGTCAGCACCACACTGCACTTATTCCAAAATTGACCACATATTTGGAAGTAACGCACTCCTCAGCAAATGTAAAAGAACAGAAATTATAACAAACTGTCTCAGACCACAGTGCAATCAAACTAGAACTCAGGATTAAGAAACTCACTCAAAACTGCTCAACTACATGGAAATTGAATAACCTGCTCCTGAATGACTACTGGGTACATAACAAAATGAAGGCAGAAATAAAGATGTCCTCTGAAACCAATGAGAACAAAGACACAACATACAAGAATCTTTGGGACACATTTAAAGCAGTGTGTAGAGGGAAATTTATAGCACGAAATGCCCACAAGAGAAAGCAGGAAAGATCTGAAATTGACACCCTAACATCACAATTAAAAGAACTAGAGAAACAAGACCAAACACATTCAAAAGCTAGCAGAAGGCAAGAAATAATTAAGATCAGAGCAGAACTGAAAGAGATAGAGACAGAAAAAACCCTTCAAAAATCAACAAATTCAGGAGTTGGTTTTTTGAAAAGATCAACAAAATTGATAGACTGCTAGCAAGACTAATGAAGAAAAGAGAGAAGAATCAAATAGACGCAATAAAAAATGATAAAAGGGATATCACCACCGATCCCACAGAAATACAAACTACCATCAGAGAATACTATAAACACCTCTACACAAATAAACCAGAAAATCTAGAAGAAATGGATAAATTCCTCGATACATACACCCTCCCAAGACTAAACCAGGAAGAAATTGAATCCCTGAACAGACCAATAACAGGCTCTGAAATTAAGGCAATAACTAACAGCTTACCAACTAAAAAAAGTCCAGGACCAGAGGGATTCACAGCTGAATTCTACCAGAGGTACAAGGAGGAGCTGGTACCATTCCTTCTGAAAATATTCCAATCAATAGAAAAAGAGGGAATCCTCCCTAACTCATTTTATGAGGCCAGCATCATCCTGATACCAAAGCCCAGCAGAGACACAACAAAAAGAATTTTAGACCAATATCCCTGATGCACATTGATGCTAAAATACTGGCAAACCGAATACAGCAGCACATAAAAAGCTCATCCACCATGATCAAGTGGGCTTCATCCCTGGGATACAAGGCTGGTTCAACATATGCAAATCAATAAACGTAATCCAGCATGTAAACAGAACCAAAGAAAAAAACCACATGATTATCTCAATAGATGCAGAAAAGGCCTTTGACAAAATTCAACAATGCTTCATGCTAAAAACTCTCAATAAATTAGGTATTGATGGGACATATCTCAAAATAATAAGAGCTATTTATGACAAACCCACAGCCAATATCTACTGAATGGGCAAAAACTGGAAGCATTCCCTTTGAAAACTGGCACAAGACAGGGATGCCCTCTCTCACCATTCCTATTCAACATAGTGTTGGAAGTTCTGGCCAGGGCAATCAGGCAGGAGAAGGAAATAAAGGGCATTCAATTATGAAAAGAGGAAGTCAAATTGTCCCTGTTTGCAGATGACATGATTGTATATTTAGAAAACCCCATCATCTCAGCCCAAAATCTCCTTAAGTTGATAAGCAACTTTAGCAAATCTCAGGGTACAAAATCAATGTGCAAAAATTGCAAGCATTCTCATACACCAATAACAGACAAACAACAGAGAGCCAGATCATGAGTGAACTCCCATTCATGATGGCTTCAAAGAGAATAAAATACCTAGGAATCCAACTTACAAGGAATGTGAAGGGCCTCTTCAAGGAGAACTACAAAGCACTGCTCAAGGAAATAAAAGAGGACACAAACAAATGGAAGAACATTCCATGCTCATGGATAGGAAGAATCAATATCGTGAAAATGGCCATACTGCCCAAGGTAATTTATAGATTCAATGTCATCCCCATCAAGCTACCAATGACTTTCTTCACAGAATTGGAAAAAACTACTTTAAAGTTCATATGGAACCAAAAAAGAGCCTGCATTGCCAAGTCAATCCTAAGCCAAAAGAACAAAGCTGGAGGCATCACGCTACCTGACTTCAAACTATACTGTAAGGCTACAGTAACCAAAACAGCATGGTACTGGTACCGAAACAGAGATATAGACCAATGGAATGGAATAGAGTCCTCAGAAATAATACCACACATCTACAACCATCTGATCTTTGACAAACCTGACAAAAACAAGAAATGGGGAAAGAATTCCCTATTTAACAAATGGTTCTGGGAAAACTGGCTAGCCATATGTAGAAAGCTGAAACTGGATCCCTTCCTTACACCTTATACAAAAATTAATTCAAGATGGATTAAAGACTTAAATGTTAGACCTAAAACCATAAAAACTCTGGAAGAAAACCTAGGCAATACCATTCTGGACATAGGCATGGGCAAGGACTTCATATCTAAAACACCAAAAGCAATGGTAGCAAAAGCCAAAATTGACAAATGGGATCTAATTAAAGAGCTTCTGCACAGCAAAAGAAGCTACCATCAGAGTGAACAGGTAACCTACAGAATGGGAGACAATTTTTGCAATCTACTCATCTGACAAAGGGCTAATATCAAGAATCTACAAAGAACTCAAACAAACTTACAAAAAAAAAACCATCAAAAAGTGGGCGAAGGATATGAACAGACACTTCTCAAAAGAAGATATTTATGCAGCCAACAGACACATGAAAAAATGCTCCTCATCACTGGCCATCAGAGAAATGCAAATCAAAACCACAACGAGATACCATCTCCCACCAGTTAGAATGGTGATCATTAAAAAGTCAGGAAACAACAGGTGCTGGAGAGGATGTGGAGAAATAGGAACACTTTTACACCATTGGTAGGACTGTAAACTAGTTCAACCATTGTGGAAGACAGTATGGTGATTCCTCAAGGATCTAGAACAAGAAATACCATTTGACCCAGCCATCCCATTATTGGGTATATACCCAAAGGATTATAAATCATGCTGCTATAAAGACACATGCACAGGTATGTTCATTGCGGCACTATTCACAATAGCAAAGACTTGGAACCAACCCAAATGTCCATCAATGACAGATTGGAATAAGAAAATGTGGCACATATACACCATGGAATACTATGCAGCCATAAAAAAGGATGAGTTCATGTCCTTTGTAGGGATGTGGATGAAGCTGGAAACCATCATTCTCAGCAAACTATCAGAAGGATAAAAAACCAAACACCGCATGTTCTCACTCATAGGTAGGAATTGAACAATGAGAACACTTGGACACAGGAAGGGGAACATCACACTCTGGGGCCTGTCATGGGATGGGGGGAGGGGGGAGGGATAGCATTTGGAGATATACCTAATGTTAAATGACGAGTTACTGGGTGCAGCACACCAACATGGCACATGTATACATATGTAACAAACCTGTACATTGTGCACATGTACCCTAGAACTTAAAATATAAATAAATAAATGCTACATTAAATTAAAAAAAAAAGAAATAGAGGATAAGGAGGACTCTAAAGACCCTGTGAACCTCTCTCCATCATGCTCATCTCCTCTTCCCTCACAAGTAACCAAGATTTAAAATTGTGCATTTATTTTCTTGGCTTATGTTGTAGTGTTAACTGCATGCTTGTGTATCCCAAAACAAGGCTGAAAATTTTACATGAAGTTTGGATCTTTATATAAATGGGCTCATATGACGTATCTATGATTTGGTTTTCATTAAAATTTTTGCTTGGTTTTCTGAGGTATAATTTACATATAATAAAACTCACCTTTTAAAATGTACGGTTCAAATGAGTGTTGAGGACTGTATACAGCTGCATCATCATTCTGTCACTAAGAGGGACAGTATTTCCACCATCTCACAGTTTCCTCGGACCCCTTGTAGTCAAACATCATTCTCTGGCAACCACTGATCTGTTTTCTGTTATATATTTTTTGCCTTTTCTAGAATGTCATATAAATGGGGTGATATGGTATAAAGTCTTTTGTGTTTGGCTTTTTTTCCTCTTAGCATAAACCTTTTGCACACAGGTCATTGTGTGGTCTTTTGTTTTCATTTCTTTCCAGGAGTGGATTTTCTGCATCACATGGTAGGTAGATTTTTAATTTTACCAGAGACGCTCAAAATGTTTTCTGTGCCGTTTTGTATCTGCACTGGCAATATGTGAGAGTTCCAGTTGTCCAGCATCCTTGTCAGTGGTGGTAATATCAGTCTTTTAAAGTTTAGCCATTCTATTGGCTGTGCAGTATTAAGGTTTTAATTTGTATTTCTTTGACAACTAACAATATTGAGTAACTTTTTATGTGCTTATTGGTTATTTGTAGTTTTTCTTTGGAACATTGGTTCAATTTTGGGGGTCTATTTTTGAAAAATTGAGTTCGTTTTATTAGTAAGGTATAGAAGTTCCATGCATATTCTGGAAACCTTTTTCAAATGTGTTTTGTGAATATTTTCACCCAGTCCATCATCTGTCTTTTCATTGTATTAAAACTATCTTTCAAATAGCAAAAGCTTTTAATTTCAAGGAAGTCTAATTTATAATTTTTTAATGGTTTGTGCTTTTTGTATTTAAAAATCATTTGCCTAACCTATGACTGCAAAGATTTTCTCCAGTGGTTTCTTTTAAATGTTTTATAATTTTACCTTTGTGTTTAGGCATATTTACCTTTCTGTTTATGATCCATTTAGAAATATTTCTTATTTGGTGAGAAGTAAGGGCAAAGGTTCCATGGCAAATGGCAAGGGTTTTTGCATAGGAATATCCAATTTTTTGGGCACCGTGAGCCTATTTTGGCATGTGAGTCTATTTTGGAATCACAATTTGGTTTCGTTGATCTGTACATTTATCTTTATGCAAATACCAAATGCAAATACAACAGTATTTTGATTACTTGTAGCTTTAAGTAAATTAGATATTATAAGTCTTCTTTCTTTTTCAAATTTTTTGACTATTTTCAGTCAGTTGTCTTTACACATACATTATAGAATCAACTTGACCATATCTAAAAGTGACCTGCTGGAATTTTGATTGGGGTTGCATTGAATCTTTGGATCATCTGGGGGTAACTGACATCTTAATCTTGAGTCTTTCAATCTATGACCATGATATCTCTCTCCCTTAATTGCTCTCAGCAACTTGTATGTCTTAGTGTACAGTTCTTACATACATCTTGTTAAATTTATCCTTAAATATTTCATGTTTTTGATGCAACTGTAAATGGTTTTTGTGAAACTTGTTTCCAGTGTTCATTTCTAATATATAGAATCAGATTGATTTTGTATGTTGACCTTTTATTCTGTGACCTTGCTTAATTCGCTGAATAGTTCTAGCAGCTTTTTTGGTAATTTCTTAGGATATTTTATATGGATGATCATTCTCCTGCAAATAAAGATGATTTTACTTTTTTCCTTTTCAGATTTTTTTTTTTTGAGACAGGGTCTTGCTCTGTTGCCCAGGCTGGAATGCAGTGGCACAATCATGACTCATTGCAGCCTCAGCCTTCTGGGTTGAAGCACTTGTCTTACCTCAGCCCCCAAAAGTATTAATAGCCGGGGCCACAGGCAAGTGCCACCATGCCTGGCTAATTTTTGTGTTTTTTGGAGAGATGGGGCTTTGCTGTGTTGGGCAGGCTGGTCTTCAACTCCTGGATTCAAGGAATCTGCCTGCCTTGGCCTCTCAAAGAGCTGCGATTACAGGTGTGAGCCACTGTGCCCAGCCTATTTCTTTTTCTTACATTAGTATAGTGATTATGACCTCTAGGACAATTATAAATAAAAATGGTGAGAGTAGACATCCTTGCTTTGTTCTTGATCTTAGGGGAAAAGACTTCTTTTTTTAGCATTAAATATTATATTACCTGTAGGCCTTTCATAGATACCCTTTATCAGTTGAGGATATTTCTATTCCTAGTTTAAGCATTTTTATCATTAGAGGATATGGAACTTCGTCAAATGTTTTTTTGTGCAATTAATGAGACAATCATATAGGTTTTCTTTTTTGGTCTGTTGATGTGGTTAATTCCTTTTTAAAACAAATTTTATTTTTGTTGAAGCAACCTTGCAGTTCTGGGACAAAATCCATTTGTTCATGATTTATTATCTTTTTTACATATTGGTAGATTTTTATATGCTAAGAATTTGTTAAGTTTTGTGTCTATATTCCTGAGTGATATTGGTCTGCAGTTTTCATGAAATATCGTTCTATGGTTTTGGTATCTGTGTAATGCTGGCCTCTTAAAATGACTTAAGAAGCATTTCTTCCTTTTCTAGATTCTAGAAGAGTTCGTGTAATATTGTTACTATTTCTTCCTTTAGTGTTTGGTAGATTTCATCAGTGAAGCCATCTGGCCTAGAATTTTCTTGGTGGGAAGATTTTTAACTATAAATTCATTTTATTTAATAAACAGCTATTTGGGATTATCACTTCTTGACTGAGCTTTCATAGTTTATATCTTTTAAGAAATTTGTTGATATTATGTAAGTTGGCAAATTTACTGGCATAAAGTTATTAATAGTGTTTCCTTATACTCCTTTCAAGGTATATAGAGTTGCAGGAGTTGTCCCATTATTACTGATATTGGTAATCTTTGTTTTCCCCTTTTTCTCCTTGATCAGTCTGGTAGGCCTTTGTTGTTTTCACTGATTCTGCCACCCACCCAAGGAATGAGCATACTTTCATTGATTTTTCTCTTTTGATTTTCTATTTATTTCATTGAGTTCTGCTCTTATCTTATTTCCTTCCATCTGCTTACTTTGGCTTTGATTCTCTTTTTCTTCTAGTTTCTCCAGGTCATTGATTTGAAGCCTTTCTTCTTTTTAGTGTAAGCATTGAATGCTATAAATTTCCCTCTAGGTGCTGCTTTAGCTACATCCCACACCTTATTTTATGTTTCATTGAGTTCAATGATGAAGTTTTCTCAGCATTCCTATCCCCACCCTGATGGGAGACCACTTTTCCTTCCCCCTACTCAATGTGGGCCTAGCACACAAGGGGGTTTCCTGCCTCAGAGGCAAATTTTTTTTTTTAAATCACAGAAATGAATAATGTTTAGGGGGTGGCCAAGTTCCTGCCTGTCCTTTAGCAGCAACCACTTGTAATCTTGTATTTCCACTGGGTTAAGATTGTAGATGGGTTTCTCCTAGTACCTCTGTTCTACTCTCAAATCTTGGCAGTCTCTCATGCCACCAAGAACGGCTTTCTCAGGTCTCCCACTCTCATGAGCACCTTGGTGGATACACATGGAGAAGAGATGGCAAGTGGGTGCAGATGCCCTTTGTGGCTGGAGCTCCAAGACTGCCACATGATTTCATACTTTGCCTTTAAGTGCTTGTTATAATTTCAGTTGCTTTCTGTTTAACTGCAGATATGACTATCTCTTCTTCCTGTGCTCTGCCAAAAGTGAAATAGTTTGTGTGTCTCATGTCTTCTCCTAGGATGTGTTACTCGTTGCAATTTAATTTACTTGGTTATATTACAACATTAGTTCTCTGGGGGTCTACAGAAATTTATGGTTTTGTGGATTTTTCAGGGTTTTTTTCATTGTTTATGGTGAGAGTGACATTTTCTTGTGGCTTCTATGTCCTAAGCAAAAGTAGAAGCCTCCAAAATTTTATTTTTGAGATTTATTCATGTTGATTCTACTAAACACAGCTCATTAATTTTTATTGCTGTACAGTATTTCACCATAAGAATATATCACAATTTATTTTTCCATTCTCCTGTTAATGAACATTTCATGTTTCTTGTCTGTTTCTATTTCTTTCTATTCTATTTTCACAGAACAGTGTTACTATGCACTTTTATTTTCTATTTATTTATTTAATTTTTGAGACAGGGTCCTGCTTTGTGGCCTAAGCTGGAGGGCAGTGGTGCAAAAATGGTTCACTGCAGCTTCAACCTCCTGGGCTCAAGCAATTCTCCCACCTTGGTCTCTCAAAGTTCTGAGATTACAGGTGTGAGCCACTGCACCCAGCCTGAACTGTGTGTTTGAATGCCTGTTGGAACACTTGTGCAAGTATTTCTCTCAGACGTATACCTAGGAAAGAATTTTCTGAGTTACAGGCACAACCCATCACTCTCTAAGAATTACTCTTTGTTCCCTATCTTCATCTACGCATGGTATTACCCAACTTTTAAATTTTGCCAGCCTTGTAGGAATCAAATTTTATGTGCTTGTAGTTTTGATTTGCATTTCCCTGATTACTAAAGAGGTTGAGTTTTTTTGTCCCCCTCATGTGTTTATGGGTCATTCATCTTTCTGTGAAATGGGTTTCATTTTTCTCTTGGGTGGTTTGTCATTTCTTATTGATCTGCAGGAGTCTTTTGTATATTACTGATGATTAATTCTTTGTCAGTTGCATGTATTGTAAATATTATCTAACAGTTTATGGTTTGTCTTCACTTTTTCATGATTCCTCTGCATTTACATGTTTTATTTTAATGTAATTGTATTCAGAAGTCTTTTCCTTTTGTGTCTTGTTTAAGAATCATTTCTCTGCTCCAAAGTTGTAAAGATATCTGTATTTTCTTCCAAAAGTTTCAATGTTTTGCTTTTTATATTTAAGCTTTTAATCTAGTTGGCATTTTTTAAGTATGTAGAGTATGAGGTAAGAGTTTAAGCTCATTTCCCCCTCATATGGGTAAGCTAATCTCCCTGCACCGTATAATGAGTAGTCCATCTTTTCCCCACTGATCTGCAGTGCTGTCTTTGCAATGTATTAAATATTTGCATTTGTTTGGGTTTATTTTCGGTCTCTCTATTCTGGTCCATCTTCCTGCTTGTTCATCTCTGTGCTAATACCATACTCTAGCTTTATGGTAAGTCTCATCTCTTTAGGAGTGTCATTGCTATTCTTGATCCTTTGTTCTTCCATATACATTTTAGAATCATCTTAATTTATATAAGGAATCCTAGACATCAAGAATTACATTTTATTTGTAGTCAATTTAAAAAGAATTGATAGTTTTATAATATCTGAGTAAAAATGCACAATATCTTTATAAACTCTAAGTAAAAATGTACAATATTTTTACAGTATCTGGGTATTCCTAGCCATGAAAAGATATGTCTCTCCATTTATCTAATGGTCATCTTTAACATTTTGAAAACTTTCTCCATAAAGGGCTTACATATCTTTCATTAGTTTATTCCAGAGTGTCTTGTAGTTTTGGTTGCTATTGCAACCAAATTTTGAAATTTAAATTTTAAATAAAAATGGTATCTTAAAAATACCATGTATCTTCTCCTTTGACTGGTATACAGAAAATTTTTTTTTTTTCATGTTGATCTTGTATCTAGAAATTTAGCTAAACTCTTATTCACTCTAATAATGTGTTAGTTTTCTGAGGTTCAAAATGTAAGCAATCATATTATCTGTGAATATGAAGTTTTCTTTCCAATTATTACACCTTATTCAGAATTTATTTTTCTTGTCTTTCTGTACCGGCTGGAGTTTCCAATACAAGAATGGATAGAAATGGTGGTTGATGTTCCCTTTTCTTGTCCCTGATTTGTGTGTGTGTGTATGTGTGTGTGTGTGTGTGTGCATGTGTGTGTGTGTGTGTGGTAGAGATGGGGTTTCACTATGTTGCCTAGGCTGGTGGTCTCCAACTCATGGCCTCAAGCAATCCTCCTGCCTAAGCCTCCTGAATAGCTGGGTTTATAGGCACAAGCGATCATGTGTGGCTCTTGGTCCTAATTTTAAAAGGGATGCTTCTAATGCTTCACTGTTGTGTCCAATGTTTGCTGTAGATTTTTGTAGATCTTTTTATAATTTTAAAGAAGTTACATTTCTCCCCTAGTTTTCTAAGTTTTTTTGATTGCCTGGCAGAATTTTATGTGTTTTCTTCCTTGTTCTGTTAATGTGCTAATTTATATTAATAACTCATAAAAATCATCCTTTTATTCTTAGAATAAATCTAATTCAAAATTGATATTTTATATATTTTATTCATTGCTGAGTTAACTTTGCCTTTACTTTGGGAGAAGTTCATCTGTATTCATGATTAAGATTGGCTTGTAGTTTTTTGTATTTTCCTTGTACTTTGTTTTCAAAGTTATCTCATTAGATAGATTGAAGGGTCATTGTCATCTTTTTTTCTTTTTTTCTGGAAGAGTTTGCAAGAATTATCTGTCCCTTGGAAGCATGGTGGATCACCTCCAAATCCTATACTTCTTGGTCTGTTATTGTTTTTGTGGGAAGATTCTTGCTTCCTTATATAATTTTTTAAACTTTTCACTTTGAAATAATTACATATTTGCAAGAGGCTGCAAAGGAATGCACAGGGAAATCTGTGTGTTTCTCCTGGCCACCTCCAAGAATTTGACAGGGGTACAACCATAGAGCTTATTCAAATTTCACTGGTTATACATGCACCCATTGATGTGTTTGTGTGTATGTAGCTCTATGAAGTTTTATCATGTGTAGCCTTGTGAAACCAGCATTATATTATGATACTGAACTGTACCATCAGCACAAGACTCTTTCATGTTACTCATTTATAGCCACCCTCACCCCTTCCCCATCTCTAGCTCCTGGCAATTGCTGATGTGTTCTCTATCTCTGTTGTTATTTCATCAATATTACATAAATTATGCAGTATTTATCCCTTTAAGATTGGCTTTTTTTTTCTTAGCATAGTTTTCTTTAGGTTCATCCTGTGTGTATCAATAGTTTATTGCTTTTTATTACCGAGTAGTATCTCATGGATATACCACAGTTAATGATTCACCTACTGAAGAACTTTTGGGTAGTTTCAAGTTTTTGGCTGTTTTGAAGAATGCTTCTATGAACATTTGTGTACAACTTTATGCATAAAAATAAATCTTCAATTCCCTGAAATAAGTGCTGTGGGAAGATTTTAGACTACTGATTTCAGTTCATTAATGGTTATAGAACTACTCTGAATGTGTATTTCTTCTTGAGTTTGCTTTGGTAAACTATATTTTTTCCTAGGAATATGTCAATTCTTTTTAAGTTTTCAAATTTATTGGCATAAAGTTCATAGTATTCATTTATTACCTTTTCAATCACTGCTGTTTCTGTAGTTCTTTATACCTGTTTTTTGTTTTTGTTTTTTTAATTCCTAGTATGTTTTTTTTTTTTTCTTGGTAAATCTCATCAGAGGTTGGCCTTAAAGAACTAAGTCTTGGCTTCGTTAATCCTCTAGATTGTTTCTCTGTGTAAGCAATATATCAAATATGTCAACTTTTGGGAAATACATTTTAAAACATTCTGATTTTTATCTTCTCCTGTTCCTTTAAAGTTTGTCCAGTTAAAGTCTTCCCCTGATTCTGGATAGAAATTCAGATAGGCCCCATGACTGAAGGTTTCTCAATCATGCCACTACTGACATTTTGGGTCAGATAATTCTTTGGTGTGGGGTCTGATCTGTGCACTAGAGGATGTTAAGTGGCATTCCTGTCTTCTGTCTACTAGATGCCAGTAGTACTCCCAGTAGTGACAACAAAAATGTGTCTGCAGACATCGTCAGATGTCCCCTGGGGGACAGAATGGCTCCCAGCTGAGGATCCGTGCCATGACTTGTGTTCAATCTTAGAAAACATAAAGTCATAGAATAACTTTTTTTCTGACCTTTTAAGTTAAATGCCAAATTCATTTTTCTGCCTTTTTCATTTTCTAAAATAAGTACTCCTCATTGTTTGTTTTGGTTGTCAAGAGATCCAGTGCCATTTATTGCCTAATTGCAGTCATTAACATATTCCAGATACTTGTGTGTTTTTTTTTTTTTTTTTTTTTTTGCTCTTTACAGTTAGATTTTAATTCTAATTCTCCTCTTTTACCTTATGATTAATCTTGTGAACGATCTCTGGTCTTCCCAATATAGACCAATGATTATATTCATGGAACATCTGCTTTGGGGTAAGAAACTGTGGTGTATACTGATAGAGGACTCATTTCAGACCAGGAGAAAGGGTGTGTCTGAGAGAGAAGAAAAGGAAGAATGGGAGGGAGCAGTGAAGCAAAGAGGGGTAGGGATGGTGCTGGAAGTCAGCTGGTCTCCTAGTTCTAAGTTTCTATATGCATTAGACCTGCACAGGGGAGCGGCTGGTATTAGTTTGACATGAAAAGAAGTTTAGGGGTTAACCTGGCTGGAGCAGACAGCTGCTCCCTCACTTTACTTTGTCGAGATGAAAAGTAATGCCAAAAACAGGTAAGATGTCCCCATCGCTGGCATTCCCTGGAAGATGAATGAAGTGTGCAATCCTGGAGGAGAAAATAAAAGCCGGCTTCTTACATTTTTGGCTGGCTGTGACAGGGTCTTCACTATTCTAAGGCTGTAAGACTGTGAACCTGGATGGGTCACCAGTGAGCAAATCCTTCACCTGCCCCACTAACTTCCTTTCATCAGGCTCATGTATCCTAAGTACCTTCCTCAGAGACCCGCTGTGCTGCATCGCTGTCAGAATCATTCCTTGACATTTGGCAGGAGGACAAGAAGTGAGTGGCAGGCAGAGGGAAGGGCTCCAGGGGCTACTTGGGAAATCAGCTTGAGTTGAAATACCAACAGGCTTATTTATTGGCTTTTACCCAGGCTTAAAAGGAGACATTTTGTGAGTTTGTTTGTTTTCAGGAGAGGGAAAGGCCCTTCTGAATGTGGACTAAGACTAAGCCCTGCTGAAAGCTGGGAGACAGAGGCCCTAAGAGGGGAGCTTCTAAGGCTGTCAGTACCTCAGCTTCCTATGACATTTGTTTTTCTATTAATTCTTGGCATTTATATTGCTGTGATAGATCAATTAGCCCATCACAATGTCTAGTCCATTGATCTTATCATTTATCCTGTGGTACCACTGGTTACCACAGGGAGACTGCAAAAGAAACATTTATAATTTTGAATTACTTAAGTCCAGAGCTGGGGAAATATGAAAAAGCTTAGTTTGGATAATCAGCAGCACATTAGGTGAGGGAAACTTTAGGGAATTTTCCTTTTTCTCATCACTCTTGAATTTCAACAGCCATGTTGTATGAGGAAAGGAACAGAACCCACCTCATATAGCGTTGGTGTTTGGATATCTGAAATGACTCAAGAAGCCTTGGGAGATCACACAGTCTCAAAGCTCGAAGGTGTCTTAGAGATCGTCATATTGGTCAGGATCCTTGGCTGCAGACAACAGAAATGGACTATGGATGACTTAGGTTAAAAAAAAAAAAAAAAAAAAAAAAGGGAATTCGCTACAAGGCTGACATGGGCTCCAAAGTTAATGGGGAGGCTAGAGAATGAGGTTTGGGAATGGAAAAAACTAAGGGTGTCCTGGAGTGTTGGGTAGCAGGAATTACAGCAACACTTTACTAGGGAGAATGGACTCTGCTTTAGTGAATGCTCTCAGGCTGTTCTTTGTCCTTCAAGTGTCAGCCCTGGGAGAAAGGATCCAATTGGATAAGTTTACAGACTAGTGAGAGTCCAACCAGGAATGAGATCCTGAGTTTCCCAGCTCCCAGCTTGGTGCTTGTTTCAACACCAGACAGCTTTGGAACCCAGCACCATCAGCCTTCCTTGGGCATAATCACAAGTCTGACCTAAGTGTGTGGGCCAGTCCACGTGTACCACCACATTTTGGAAGTTTGAAAAAGCACTTCATTTAGATTCAGTTTTTATTGAAGGGGCAGCCATTGATGCTGTTAATAGAAACTAGTTCTTACATTTATGTGTGTGTGTGTTGTTGTTTTTGTTTTTTGTTTTGTTTTGTTTTTTTGAGACGGAGTCTCACTCTGTCTCCCAGGCTGGAGTGTAGTGGTGCGAACTCAGCTCACTGCAAGCTCTGCCTCCCTGGTTCACGCCATTCTCTTGCCTCAGCCTCCCGAGTAGCTGGGTTTACAGGCACCCGCCACCACGCCTGGCTAATTTCTTTTTGTATTTTTAGTAGAGACGGGGTTTCACCATCTTAGCCAGGATGGTCTCGATCTCCTGATCTCGTGATCCGCCCACCTTGGCCTCCCAAAGTGGTGGGATTACAGGCGTGAGCCACCGTGCCTGGCCTTTTTTTTTTTTTTTTTTTTTTTTTTTTAACAAGCAACATCACCATTTGCCTGAAGAAATCAGCTAGAAGGGGGAGTGTGAAACGAAGTGTAGGACTTCAAACACCAAAAGAACTCCAGGATTTCAGAGATGCTATTTATTCATCTTGGGGAATGGGATTTCAGTCTGATAGCCAACCTTCTTTGGTGGTGAATGTACCTCATCCTAATTAATTGAAGTCAGTGAAAGCACAGGTTGTCTAGGAGACTGTGCCAGATATCAAACCTGCTGGAGCAGAGGATGCAACTCTAGACAGACAATTATGAGCTATGGTGAAAATGAATTCACCAAGGGCCCAGAAGCACACAGCTCTGGGTAGGGTGCTGTGGAAGCAGGAAGGTTAAGAGGATTGTATGGATTCATTTTGTCTATCCTAAGGAGCTTGTGGCCTACCCCATGAACAGTAAACATGTGTGTTTTTGAGAAGCAGTGGAGGTTGACTCATCTAATCCAAGCTCAGGGATGAGGAGGGGGCTTGGTTTAATGTAAGGGAAGTGTATGTTGCCCAAAATCCATGTAAATAACAGCCGGCAGTTTTAGGAAGGTTACCGATTTGCCAACTGAAGGGTACCTAGAAGTTAAGCGATGGCTCTGTGACCAGCTCAGTCCTGTACAGGACAGGCAAGGATACACATCTGAACTGCTCTAGGGTAGCAGGCTTCAGCCTCTGTTTCCAAACATCTCTCAGCCATCTTTCTCCCGCAAATCCTTGTGTTATGTCAAACAAATCTTGTTATGAAAAGCAAAAAAAAAAAAAAAAAAAAAAAACCCAAAAACCCAAAAGTAAAACACAAAAATCCACGCAAATAGCGAATCCACCCAGATAACTGGGACTTGAGCTCCATTACAGTTTTGATTTCTAAACAGGAAGCAGTGATTGGACTGTAAGCAACACACACCCATTATCATCAGAACTAATAAGCTTAATTACAGAGAAACTGAAAGCTAATAATTTTTATGCACTGTTATATCCCTAGGAGGCCAGTTACCATGGAAATCTTGCCTGCCTTTTCTTCCACTTGGAGCATATTTATATGGAAAAGGAAGAGAAATATAAACATGATGGAAAGATTAAATAAGACAAGGCACAGTTTGCTACAAATATTTTACATTTATTATAGGAATACAATAAAGAGGTTCTGCAGACACATGAGTGGTAACTGGTCTATTGGAAAAGAAAAGACAATTAAAAAATGATCTAAGTTTACAAAAATGATGAATCATGCTTTAAAAATGTAGAAACAATTAAAAAATATCCTACAATGTTAGCCAAAGTTCAAAGTGTATTTCTTTTGAATGTAAAAACTAACAAATAAATAAGTGTTAAATACAGATCTGAGTAAAAATGATAAAAGATAGACAACCAACTGCTTTATATATTTAGCTTTCATCCATTTTTCAGACTTGTTTATAAAGCCAGATAAACCCGCCAAAGCCTTGTTTGTGTTTTACACTGAACTTTCCAGAAGAAGCACCCTATTTCCAGTGTTTATCCACTTCACAAATACATTATCTTAAAACAACAAAAATGATTAAAGGTGCTTTAGCCTAACATTAAATGGACCATAAATCGGCAAACCACAGCAGTGCTTTACTCAAAATGCTGCTTGCAGGTGGAATGTCTTTACCAGAAGTGCCTGAGGGCCCCACTCCTACTCCATCATCTCAAACTCATCTATCAAAAGGAAAAGGAAGGAACTTAGAAAAATCATATTTCCACAACCATTCACTAAGAGAGCCCTAGACTAGAGGGCCACCCACAGTCAAATGAATGGCATGGGCACCATTTGTACATTTTGTCTTGGCTTTCAATTTGCTTGGATTCCTGAAGAAGTCAGGGCTGTTGCTGGAACTTTGACAACTTGATTTTATTCTTCCATTTTTTCATCTGGGCTTTCCCATATGGTTCTATGTCTATGACTTTATACAGTGTTCCAGTCTTTTAGGGCACTTGCCAGAAGAAGCCAGACAAAACCAAGAAAAAACACGAAGAAAACCATAACATAAAGCCAGCAGAATTTGCACCACCACCAACCCCCACTATATTCATTCAGATGCTCAATTGGGCCATCTAACTTAATGCATTTAAATGTAAATTTATGTAAAATCTATAGACGTCTGACTAAAGAAGCTGTTTCAGTGGGAAACCTCAATGCTCTGTAAAGAATGATGAACAGAAATGGCCCATAAATATGCTCCTGGCCACTGGTCCACATTGACAGTCTGATCATGTCACAGGATGCAACTGGGTAGCTGACATTTTGTATAGTAAAGTGAAATGCTCAGCAGGTATAAGAGTTTCATGTCTTTGGACACTTTGGTCATGGATTTGAAATAACTAAGACCCCTCTCGACCAGTTCCCCTTTGTCTGTGATTTTGATTTGATGCTTAGAATCTATATTGGGGATTGAATTTAGAATCATAGGATTATAAAATTTACTTGTTATGGGAAATCAGATGAACCTTGTAGAACCAATCTCTTTGACACTAAAGCCAAAAATAGTGAATTCCATTGGAACATGTACATATTCTGTACACTGCAGGTATGAGAGGTCTAGAATCTAAGGTGGAATTATGACAAGTTATTTTCTGTTGGACTGGTCTTCTGATTGTTACTGAAGCAAAGCAATTCACATTGGCATGGCATGGGATAGACCTCCATAGCATCTTATAGTCTAAATACAAGCAACGTACTTTAATTAAGGAGAAAATATTCAAAGTCCTATCAAGCATGGCTCTGGGCACCTTTCCCTCGGCATTTGCTTCCAACTGTCTGGCATTTAAGAGCAGGCAGGCAAGTTTATTTCTACCAGGTCAAATTATTTGTAAAAGGGAAATTCCTACATAAGAGGGTGTGTTTCTTTCTTTCTTTTGGGTTTAAAAATAAAAGCACGGACCAATGAGGTGGGAAAGACTGCCAGGCTGGTTCTTTTACCTAGGATCTCAGTAATACCAGATTCCAGATTCCCTCTCGGCCTCTAAGGCTCTGAATCCAGGTTAGAGGTCTGAACCCCTCCCCCCGTCCCCAAATGGGGGGCATTTAGTTTTTTGTTTCATAAATACTGTCCAGGCAACTCAAAGAAGACACCAAGGTTATACTATTTGACAACAGCTATATGAAAAATGACTTTGGATTCTGTTTCCTTTCCTGCTCAGTTTTTTGCTGCTCCAGTGTATGAATTGAGATTTATTTTTTAAGGCCCTCCTACATTTATCCTGTGTTGCTCAGAACGCCGACGTTTCCCACTGATATCTGTCCTATACTTTCAAAAGAAGGTATGATCTTCTGGGATCAGATGAATTGCTTAAGTGGTTACAGTTTTTGCAAGGGTGTTCTAACTGATGACAGTGGGGTAAAGTGGGATTTCTATTGTCTTCTTTGGTTACAATTTGAATCTGGCTTCTTACTATGTCATTTTAGAATCTGCTTTGGATACTATTTACAACGTGCTTATTCTGATTCTTAGCAAATAGGAAAATAGGTGTGGTGTTTGGCTTTTCAGGAAGAATACTGCTTTGAGGAACTGCAGAGTACAGGTATTTTCATGCAATGTGCTCTGGGGTCTGTATTTCTAGGTAGAATGACTTATTTTGAACTTAAGGCTTCATATTTGCTGCCCTCTTTTCTGAAGCTATGAAAAAACTCCTTAACATTACACAATTGAAATACTTTCAGACATTTGCTGCCAAGAGGAGTGTGAAGAAAACAACAAAAGGTATTGGCAATAGAACAGTGGAATGGAAGAACTGAGTATGTCCAGGAGTTTAAGATAAAGCAATTATTGCTAGTGTTTACACATTTCTTTAGTGGGTAGAGGAGGCCACCTGATCAGCTTACTTGGTCAAGTCAATAGGCTGCCTCCCAGGATACCTCCCAGGATACCTCTACTCACAGAAATCTTGCTGCGTTAGGAAAATCTCTCAAGAGCTTCTACTGATAGTGTTAGTCATCTAACAAGTGTGACCTGATCATCCTGTCTCCACATCTAGGACTCCAACCAGGTCTTTGAATTCTAACCTGCATCCATCATGGGGCTTATCACATACTGAGTGTGTAGCTGGCCTTGTTAAGTAGGTGCCTGGGAGTTCCTTAGAAGGCTAGGGGCCCCCAAGTACCTGAGGAGAAACTTTGATTGAAACCAATTACAACATTATTCAATATAAGCTGATGATAAAGGCTTTACTATTTTGGTAAAGCAAAATCTTGAAAAACTAAAGATGAGAAAAGGAAATAGTAATCAGAAGTCAAATACTGGAAAAACTAGCACCTGGTAGTATTCTCTGCACCTCATGTGGCAGATGTTCAAGAAAAACTTTCTGAATGAATACAGCTGAGCGAAAACATAACATTCCACTTCCAGCATCAACACTGTCACTTAGAACAGTTCATTATTTTGTAGAACACTTGCATCTTGCTGGCCTCAGTAATATTTGAGAAGATAGTTAGAAATTCAGGATTTGTATCTCTTAGAGTGAATTCCAAATATTCATTTGTTTTGAGGTTTTTACAAATTTGCTGACAAGTGGGAAGCTAAATCTGTCTTCGTGTCACAAACCTGAAAGACTTTTTCTATATTAAAATTAAAAACAGGAGGTTCACAGCAATTTTCCTGAATGCTGGCTATCCTAGACATATGTGTGCCATTACTCAGCTTGCTACTGCTTAGGGAGAGGGCTGAACCACCGTTGTGTCTGAGGCCTCACAGATAAACAGAGCAAGGGTAATTCTGATTAAATAATGGTTACCTCCTGAGATTATAGGGAGCGTAGGTAAAAATTAAACCAATGTCCAATTCAATGCCCTTTAAAAAAGTGTTGTAGAGACTTAAGAGGCACGCACTGTTTAAGGACACACAGCAGGAAGCTCCTCAAACCCTTTGTGAGGGTTAGTTTCCTTTATTGTTATTGCATTTATTGTTGGCTATGGGTCATTTTACATTGGTGCTTTGTTACTGCCCTTCATTTCCTTTCAACCTTCCTTTCTGGATGTCTCTTTCTTTTTGTGTCTTACCTTAGGCACCCTGACTAAGCTTTAGGATTTCTAGATTCCTTTCCCTCAAATGTTATTGAAGACAAGGAACATTGCTACTTGTATTCTTCCATTTCTCTGTTGAATACTATGTTTCCCCACAGTAGCTCTCATCATAGTAAGCTCCCTCTGTGGGTAACTCTAGGAGCCATTTAGTCAACGTTAGTCCAAAGGTGAAATAGGGCGGATCTAAGTGTAGTCCCATTTAGGAGACTTTAGCCCAGGTTAAGCCTCACTGTAACCAAAGATTTCTAATAACGTGTGGATAATCAGTGATCTTAGCTTAAGAAATATTAAATATAACCAATGCAAATGTAAAGAAGCTTTGGGTAGTGTCTTTGAAAAACTGGAATACATATGTCCAAATGCATTAGTTGGGAAATAATGAATATAAGCATTTCCCAGCACACAATCATCTCTGAGCTGGGAATATAACAGTGCTCCTAACACAAGGAGAGGTATTTGGTTTACTCTTTGCTAAGGCCCACACACTGGAGATGACTGCTTTTGCTTTAGTTCTGCTGATCTTTTTTATTTTCCATAGGACAGGATCTGGCCTTGTAGCATGTTCTCCTCAGGCTTCCTAATGACACTGTCCAAATCTTTGTTTCACTTTAATTTTTCCACACTCTGTGTGGGGGTGCATCATCCTGCCTTGGAATAACTGGTTCCTCCCTCTTTTGCATTTGAATCTGCTGCCTCAGCACCTTATTAAATATACTGAAGCCTATGCTCATTACTTCTATGCAGTTTAAAGTGACTAAGAATCTAGCACACCAGGATTTTTCTGCCACCCAAGAATCTCAGTCCTTATTAAGTGGCTAAGTGATTCCTAATGCCTACACTAAAAGTTCAGAATTTAATTTCTGAATCGGTATGAGGCAGGAGGATGGCTTTTAATGGGGTAGTATTTCATTAAATTGAATTATGGCTAAGGTATAGTTTATACACCTTCTGTAGGACAGCATTTTTTTTAAAGGGGAATTTTTGGGACTCTAAGAGTGTAGCAAAATCTCCTTCAAGTAGGTCATTCTTGGTACATGAAATCCTGACTTTTAAAATCAGTATCTTCATATGTGGTTTTGGATTCTTCCAAAATATAGTATTCAGACTTGATGTGAAACTAATCAAAACATAGAAAAATAAATGAAATTAAAATATTTAATGAATATCATTCTGATATGTATAAGCAAATCAGAGTTAGTCATAAAAGAAGTAACGCTATTTTGATGGTAAACTTTCACACTGACTTAGTATAATGGAAATGTAATATAAACTCATTTCCATACAAAATCTGATTCCATTTAATTAAGATATTAATACCTAAAGAAAACATGTCTTTTCCAACTGTCTGTCTCTCTGCTGCTTATTTTGCACTGTTCTGTTTTGTGGGAGGGTGTGGCTTCCTAAATGCAAAAGCAAGTCTTGCGATGACTCAGCACTAACCAGGGCAGCCAATTTTGTTGATAAGAAACATCTAAAATATCAATGATAAATGGAGTATACGTAAAAAGAAGAGGGCTGAGGCAAACAATGCTTTTTCAGAAAATATCAAACTTCAAAAGATGCATGGCCATTAAACAGTGTACACAGTATACTAAGTAAGGTTTTCAGGTACATTCCTACATCTGATGACTCACCAGAATTAATTATAAAGTGGTGTGACTGAAAGAACCCTGAAAAACTGTGACTTATGATTCAGATATTTGTATTGTTACATTATAATTTATTTGGATTGTTGCATTTTAATTTTTGTTTATCCCACTACAAGGTCCTCAGTGGGTGGCGTATGTTGTAACTAAAACACTTTCTTCTTGACATAATCTAACACTAGTATTGTGAAGCCATAGTTATTTTGTGGTACTAGCCAATCTTCACAAAAGTTATATGGGAAAACTGAACTGAATATAATATAGATAGAAAAACCAAATTATGGTTTAAAGGAAATTAAAACTATTTCAATTACAAAACATTTTTTCTTCTCAAAATAATCCTAAAATGAAAAACAACTGTGAAATGTGCACTGAAAATATCTAACACAGTTAGGCTCCTGGTCTATACTTATCTGCTAATAAGATGTTTCAGTAATATCGTATTTGTAATAAAACAGTGAATTACGAAAGGAGAATTTTATTGCCCACATTAAATTTGGGAGATAAAAGAGAAACAATTACATGAGACCTTTCACTGGAGACCTCTCACTGGAGACCTCATGGCAGGACAGGCTGAAATAAAGCTTCAGTTTCTGAAGTTTAAACAAAACCTGTCAATTTTATTTTCCCAGAAGAGAAAGAATATGTTGGCTTTGGCCTTAGATTACATGGAATGCAAAATTAATTTTAGGTTTCACATGTTGGTAATAAATGTTAATTTAACAGTGAAAAATTTCTTTCCTTGTGAAATGATGAACAACCTAAACTGTCTCATAAAGGCCCCTTAGTGACCAGTGAGACACAGACTGCTTGTGTTTACCTCCCCCTTTTAATAAATTTAAGGACTTATGAGAGGAACTATGCAGTAGTAAGAATATATATATATATCTTGAATAATCCATTAACAACACAAAGATTTGTGACTGGACTAATTACATCCGGACCAGAAGAAATTTTGGTTACAACTCTTTTCTTACTAAACAAATCACAGGATTTTGTACATTTCTGAATCTTCCTTTCCCTACATCAACTTGCACATTCTGAACAGTATGTTCGTGCTTCCTGGGCATGGATTAGCCTCCTAAAGTATATAATTCCAATAATTAATTATCAGTGACAGAAGGGATGAATAAATTATGCTTCAAGCACAACAAAATTAACAGTGAAAAACTGTTTGCGTAAGTTTTTCTTAATGCATGTGACTATATTAAATTTAATATTCTATATGACTGAGAGACTCCCAATAAGTTATTAATCCTGAACTATACCACTGCCTGCTTTAGGACAAAGAATAAAATGGAATTTAAATGCTACACATGTCACGATGTTTTGAAAAGCTTTTTAAATTTAAGCACAGAGTAATGATGTGAACTGCAAATTCTAACAGCCTGGATAAGTGAAATATCAATGCTGTGTTCATTCTTAACACCAGAATGTCAGGATTAAGCTTTAGGTCTTGTTCATAAAACTAAAGCCAAAACCATCATTCTCTCTCCTTGCTGAGAGCTTAGCATGAAGCCACTATGAGATGGGAGGCTGTTTTCTTTAAACAGACAAAGAATATTACAGAGATTCACTTAGAAATACTAAAAAAAAGGGTAGGAATATCCCATTTTACTCTTACTTTTGAAGGTTGGTAAGTGCCTCAATACCATAGCACTTCTGAGTTTGCGCTTTGATTTACCATAGTACGTGCCATCAAAAGAAATTTCCCTTTAGTCTGAATGTACTAATCATTAAGTATGTATGAAATCTGCAAGGAGATTGAAATGTTAGATACAAGTCACTTTTCTCTTCAGTATTATCTTTCATACTCTAAAGTACTGGTGTGAGTTCTGTGCGATGGTACAGGCAGCAAACAGCTGGAGAGGGCAGGAGGCATTTTCTATCCCTAAGCTCTTCCAATGAATGCAGACCAAATAATCACTAAGGTAATGTTTACCAGGACACAGGCCTGAGAACTTATAAAAGGCTTCCAGAACATATTTAGCCCTGAGCATGACCATCTTCTATATATGCATTTATCCTGAGAGGCAACTATATACAGATCATGGGGTAAGTAAGTAAGTTCCCTAGATAAGAGTTAAGATACAGAATCCTAGTTTTAACTGAGTGAGTGAGTTACATTTTATTCACATGAGACATCTTCAGCACTCTGCTTGCATACCTGTCAGCTAATGGTAAGAATGTCCAGGGGGCAGTATAATGGTCAATGAAGGTGGAAGTAGAAATGGGAGGGCTGTCCCTATGTCATATTTCTCATTAATATTCACCTGACTTCTAGACTGTCTACTTCATTCACATCTGTCTTGCACCTTGGTGGTGTGTGTGCACGCGCATGTACACACGTGAATGTGTTGGTGAACTAGAATCATGAAATTCTGACAGCTCTAAAAACTGGTACAAATAAAGGAAATTACATTTTGGAATGCCCCCTCTAAGGTGAAAATGCTTAACTGAAAGTATGCTGTTATTTCTGTGGATTTGTGCTTTGCAGTTTCTCTCAAAATTTTTGTTGCCATTACGAGGACTCTACGAACTCCTGAAACTTTTCTTAGGACCTTTCTGGTAAATTCAGACCATAAAATAGAATATGTATTATTATGTGTTTTTAGAATAGAATATGTGAATGTTTGTTTGTTTAGATGTTTAGAAAGGCATAACTCTGATAAGGTGGTTTTATATTTTCACTTTCTTCTTTACTCTGTTAATCATTCTTTAGCTGCTCTGTTCTCCAGCCCACCCTCCTGTTCAAATCTGTTTCTTGCTTCACAGCTCTCTGTACATCCTTGAAAAGCAACTGCCTCAACTCTAACTTTGACGACGTTTCATGCGTTGTGTGTGTGTTTCTTTTTTTTTTTTTGGTAGAGACAGGGTTTCACCATGCAAGCCAGGCTGGTCTCGAACTCCTGACCTCAGGTGATCCGCCTGCCTCAGCCTCCCAAAGGAGGGAGGGGGCTGGGCACTGTGGCTCACGCCTGTAATCCCAGGCATGAGATTACATGCCTGGGATTACAGGCGTGAGCCACCGTGCCCGACCTACGTGCATTGTTTTCTGATGCCCAGACAAAGGAGGAGGAAAATGACAACCTTACAAATAATGTAGGAGCATGATGATTCTTACATTGGGCTTATACCTGGCAAGAAAGAAAAGAAAAATCTCAGGAGGTCCAAATAATTCCCAATATAAAATTCTGTTTGTTTGTTTACAAATATAATCCTGCTTTGGCAGAGGTGAAAGCCAGCTGTGGTTGGAACATGTCCTGCAAACATGGCATTACCAATGCTGTTTATAGCACCAACGGAGTAGGGTCTGTGGCATAGGATGGCAGCCTACAAACTGTGCCTGAAGTAGAAACAAGGTGTGAAAAGGATAGGATAGATCTTTTATCCTTCACACACTTAGAAGCCTGTGCTTTTCTATTTGCAATGGCCTGAAATGGTAGGATTGCTATGGTTAGCTAAGAAAGCCCTTGGTAGGACTGCCTATTTCTTTAACAAATTTGCCTTTGACTTTTTACAAGTGGAACGTACTTTTAAAACACCCAGTTAATAAAAAATAATGGTAGAAGACTGTCGAAGGTAATGTGGTATAAATTCATTGTTAATGAGAACAATAATGTTACTCTGCTGGAGGACAGAGTCCTGAAGGCTGAGTTTGGCGCCATCCTGTCACTATGTGAGTTTTCTCTTGATGATAGTGAGCTCTTTCTGAAGTTCACTGAACTTAGGGCGATTTTCAGGTTTATAATCCCAACACTTCATCATGATTTTGGAAATATCCTCTGGACAGTGCTGGGGAGCTGACATCCGGTATCCTGAAGACCCAAGAGAAGGAGAACAGAATTTAGAATGGAGGTAAGACACAAAATGTTCACACAGGGCATTATGCAGTTATTAACTTTTGGTACCTTATGTTGTAGTTATATGGAAACAAAACATCCATTTCTGGGGAGGCTGAGTTTTTATTTTCTACAGGTGATGCAGAATTCAATATTACAGAGTCTTAGAGTTCTAATTCAAAGAACATTTTTTATTTGTTCATTTCTCAGAAAGTCTGATGTAAGATACAATACAAATGCATATTTTAGTTGCTCTAAGTATTCACTTTCAGAATTAGATCCTGTGAACAGTTTTAAAAAATCATCTGTGTTTTTCAAGATGAAGAGAAGATGAGGATTTTATAAATGTGAATTCAATATGAGGATTTTATAAATGTGAATTCAATAGGGAAATAAAAATGAATATGAGTCATATTCTTTTACCGTCTGTTGGTTGGCAGTGTTTCAGCAGTGCATTGGGTAGTGTGTAAAGGTAGGAGAAGGTAGAAAGGAAGTTAGAAAGGCATCTTCCTTCATCCACTTCTACAACCATGCCCCTCACTGGGGACCAGACATTAGGGCACAGTATTTTATCACGAGCTTTCTTTTTGTCGAGACTGTATGCTACACAAGTGCATGCAAGCCTGTCACCATTACTTAGTTATTCCCATCTATGGTCTAGGAACCCCAAAGGGTTTCTTCAGAAGTGCTACAATGTTGTCATATTCTCAAAGACTTCCTGAAGACTAACTGCATTTCAATTGGGAATATTATTTAAAAGGAGGTTTATCTGGCATAGAATACAAGAGTTTGAGAAACACCACCCTATTTCTCTTAACGACAGTGAACAGCACAATCCTGCAGCTGTCATGCCAGACAGGGAAAGGGTGGAAGAAAAGCCTATATACCTCTCTCTCGCATTGAAATCCTTCAAAGTGTTTGGATAAAGAGCAGAGATGTTAGATAAATCTGCTTCTGAACCCCAGAGATGGTCTCATAACACAACCAAACAGTATTTAACACACCCCTCCTCAAGCAGACACACTATAAGCACTGCCTACCCCTGGGGCTGGACATGAACACTAACAATGAATGTACTTGGCTCACCTCTTTCTACTTGCTCTCTTGCTTGCTGATTTGTCATTCCAGGGTACGGACAAACCCCTAAGCTGAAGGTCTCCCAGAGAAGGATGCCAAAGCTCCACACGTCACTCTCTGAACTGTATCTCCCTGGAAGAGGAACAACAACCATAACCACATGAGGCACAGTAGACAAGTAGGTGACCCTTCCTGGTTATGTATGTCTGTGTCAGTCATGCACCACATAATGATGTTTGGTCAATGATGGAGCACATATATGACAGTGGTCCCAGTATAATGGAGCTAAAAAATTCCTATTGCCTAGTGATGTGGTAGCCATGGTAATGTCATAGTATAACACATTACCTTTTCTATGTCTAGATACACAAAAACTTACCATTGTGTTAAAATGACCTGTAGTATTCAATACAGTAACATGCTATATAGGTTTGTAGCCTAGATGTGTACTTGGTTTCTGTAAGTATACCCTAT
The DNA here is from genome assembly GCF_000001405.40 of Homo sapiens. Taxonomy (NCBI): domain Eukaryota; kingdom Metazoa; phylum Chordata; class Mammalia; order Primates; family Hominidae; genus Homo; species Homo sapiens. The sequence goes on along the minus strand of NC_000005.10, from coordinate 109,185,857 downwards.
GATCATGGAATGATGAAACTGCGTAACGACGCATTTCTCAGAGTGTATCCCTGTCATTAAGCGATACATGACTGTATTTAAACTTACCAAATGAGTTCGACATGCAGTCTTCCTATTCTCTTTACTGGTTTTACATTCCAGGTCTAGTAATATTACCAATTAAATAAATATTCTTCAGGCTGCTAGTTTAATCAAACTAGCCTCCAAATCACTCTCCCTCCCCCCAAGAATAAATATTCAGCCAGTGTGCAAGCTTACTTTCTCTGTGGTATCTGAATGAGATAGATGGCTTATATTAAAAAGATATACATTTTTACGTTATCAATCCTAGGAGATTAACCAAGTTGGATTCCTGCGATTTTGTCTTACGCCTACTTCGTTTTCTTTCCATTAAAATTACAAACAAACTTAAAGCAATTAGGAAAGTTTCTTCATTTTTTCACTCATTGCTGTTTACAGATGTTCTTACATGCTTAAAGGTCTCATTTTCTCTGATAGTTTCATTTACGAAAAATATTTATGTGTGTTTTAAACAGTGGAAATTAACATAGCTGGCTAACAAAAACGTCTTTAAATCACATGGTGCCTTGTTTTGTTGAAATACCTAGGTGCACCTGTTTTACTGAGCTACATGAGCTAAGCTCTAAGAATTTTTTTGGTAGTCTCCTAGAGAAGCACAAAGATACAAACCAGCACAAGGTTGTCTTCTGGAGATGGACGTGGAATAAAGGAGGGGAAGCAGATCAGTTTTTTCCAATCTCCAGCCTCTCCAAGAAGCTAAGAGTTTCCAAGATGTTCCCAACATATTTGTATTTTTTACTTTTACATATACTATCATAACTAAACTCCATTTACAGTGGTGTTAAAGATTTCTTAAGTTATTTCATTTTCTATCCCTCATGTGGTTTCCTGTCTTAACTCTGCCACTGCAGGATTTATAAATACTCCTCCTCCAAAACTGTCATGTTACTTTAAAACAGGATGGCCTTTCTTAAAAAAAGAAAAAAAAGTACTTAGTGAAAACCAGAGTATGCCTGCTATAATAACTGCTCTGACATCAGAGTGGGGTTGTACTAACTGATTATCAGCTCCAGCTGTGTGAAGTAGCGTCCTTCTTAGTAGATAGATAGTAATTATGGACATTTTTGGGTGGAAGATTAATTTTCTTGTCTGCCTATCATTTCATGCTTGGCATTCAATAATTTAATACTTTTCATGAAAATCATTCTATGGCTACAAGTTAAGACTAATTCTTTAAGAAAATGTAGGTTATACAGACTCATATCTTATTTTGTAAGATAATATCTGGGCAGAGATCAATAAAGACATATTACATATAAAGCAAGATCACATTCTGGAAGTAAAAGCTTATAACCTAGCTCTGAAACCTGGATCTTTGAACCTGGTTTTGTTGGGTAATTTTAACAGACCAAGAGTAACTTACAATTGTATAGCATTTGGCTACTTTTCTATGTCTCACTTGATCTTCATAATACTCTATAGGGAAAAGGTCCTATTGTTCTTATCTTACAAACTGATGGCTTGCCAGGGTCACGCAGCTAATGGCATGGGAAACCTGCTCACTAAAAATTCTGCCTCCCTCCCATTTCACAGTACTTAGTTACATCATGCTAATATAACTAATTAGAGGATATATCAGCCCCAAATACCCAGGTGACAAAAGGAAAATTTCTGTTCAATAATTGATGATAAATAGATGATTTATGATTTCTTAGTTGGAGATCAGTATTCTATTTTCCCCTTATAAAAACAGTACCTTTGGTGACAGCTGTGACTAAGGATGGTAGCAATATATGCCAAACAGGTGTTGAGTATTCTACCATTTTGTATTTTTTTTTAAAGTATATGAGAGAGACACATACAAAAAGATTTCTCAGCCACTTATGAGAAGAGTATGAGACTGTATCAAGAGTATTTTCATCTAGGAAGGAAAATGATCTGGCTAGCAATAGGGCTGGGAAGGCCCTTTAGTATTGCTTGATTTTCTTTTTAAAGCCAAATATACAAAAACAACACTTATGATAACGCAGTGACAACAGGTTTAATTCTATGCCCCACCCCCCACTTTTCTTGAGACAGGGTCTCGCTGTGTTGCCCAGGCTGGCATGTAGTGGCATGATCATGGCTCTGTGGCCCTAAGACAGTTTCAGAGAGGTTCCTTGGACTGGAGGTTTCTTTCATCCACCCCGACCCCATACTACATGGGAGATTTGAGTGTTTCACCTATTCTGAGTGAGACAAGAGTGAAGAAAGAGTATATACTGCTTTCATATATGAAAGAAGTATTGGATTGGGCACGGTAGCTCACGCCTGTAATCCCAGCACCTTGGAAGGCCAAGGCGGGTGGATCACCAGAGGTCAGGAGTTCGAGACCAGCCTGACCAATATGGTAAAACCCTGTCTCTACTAAAAGTACAAAAATTAGCTGGGCGTGGTGGCGGGCACCTGTAGTCCCAGCTACTGGGGAGGCTGAGACAGGAGAATTGCTTGAACCCAGGAGGCAGAGGTTGCCGTGAGCCTAGATCGCGCTGCTGCGCTCCAGCCTGGGCAACAGAGCAAAACTCCATCTCAAAAAAAAAAAAAAAAAACACGCTAGGATTTAGAGTCAATCTTCAGTAACTGTAGTCTGTGGGAACTAAACTTCTCTGGGTTGCTAGGAGAAGGCTTGTAGAGTCTTTCAGGAACTCTCTCATTGGACTGGGTATTAAATACTATAAACGTCTCCTATATCAAAATCTCTCCTTCCTTGTCATCTAAATTGTTCTACGTTTCATAAAATTTACTAAAGTCTACTAAAAAAGTCCCTCACTCTAGATCAAGGATCTTCAGAGACTGGGCGCAATGGCTCATGCCTGCAGTCCCAGCTACTCTGGAGGATGAGGTGGGAGGACTGCTTGAGCCCTGGAGGTTGAGGTTGCAGTGAGCCATGATTATGCCGCCGCACTCCAGCCCGGGTGACAAAGTAAGACCCTGTCTCAATTAAAAAAAATCTTTAGACTTGACTTGTCCTTATTACTTACTTAAAATGCTTTGGGTCTGGCTGTTAGATATATCCAGAATTGAAACTTTAATTTGTAAATACAACACTTTAGTCAGCTTGAAATTCAAAAACTATACCGTGATCAAGAGGCAGAATTTTACTTGGCAAAATTGTTTAAGAGTAAGAGGACTTTTAAAGGCTATATAACACAGAGAATCTGGCAGAGTTAAGAGCAAATTCAAGGACTCCCAAGCCCAGTTACAGCTTCCTTAGTGCTTGAAAATGTTTTGTCATCTAACAAAAACCTTTGTGTAAATATTGAGTATTATAATCTATCTTTTATCCTGTGATCATCCCCCTTAGTAATATAATCTGACCCTAGAGTTAATAACAACAATCACCCCAGAGAGGAATCACTATGGAAAATAGCAGCTCTGCCATTTTTTCTAGATTCTAAGGAATAGTGGAACTGGCTTGCAATCACTAGAAAGCTCATAAGAAAGAACCTCTCTTGCTGACACGCTGAAAGACAAACTAAGGGTGAGGGTTAGCATCTGTGGTAGCTGGGTCAGCCCCAATCAACTTCCAAACCAATTACATTCAAAAGCTTTATCTGGAAAACATTTGGTGGTTCCTCAAAAAGTTAAACATAAAATTACCATATGACTTCTAGTATATACCCAGAATAATTGAAACCTGCCCAAATATACAAAAATGGATAAATAAATGGTTGTATATCCATACAATGGATTATTCAGTCCTAAAAAGGAATGAAGTACTGATACATGATACAAGATGGATGAACCTCAAAAATCTTACGCTAAGTAAAATAAGCCAGACACAAGATATCGCATACCGTATAATTCCATTTGTATGAAATTCCCAGAATAGGTAAATCCACAGAAATAAAAGGCAGATTGGTGGCTACTAGGGGACAACGGAACGGAAGAATGGGAGGAGGATGCTTATTGGTGACAGGGTTTTATTTTGGAGTGATGAAAATGTTTTGAAACTAGAGGTACTGGTTATACAACATTGTGAACTGTACTAAATGCCAATGATTGTTCACTTTAAAGTAATTAATTTTATGGTATGTGAATTTCACCTCAATTTTTTAAAAAAGCTTTCTCTAATTTGGGAATTAAATTAAGGCATTTATAAATGCTTTACAAATTAGTTTCCATAATGAGGTAATTTTTCATTTTAAATCAACAAAGAATCATTTTACATTTTTATTCAAAACATACCATACCCATTCACCAATCCATGGCTCATATGCTGCTTCCCTTAATGAAAATATAATTTCTAATTTTATTTAAAGCACACTTTTTTTTTCTCTTAAATTCTTGAGTTGTCATCCATCTTGTAATGGCCCATTTCATCCCAACCACAGATAATGCAAGTTATATTTATTTCCAATTACAATGACGCATAAAAATTCAAGTGAAAAAAATCCCTGCCGTTTTAAAATGTAATTCCCATCTCCTTCTTTGCTCAAGATTTATATCAGTTCCACAGACTGAGATGCTAAGAAACCATGTCGATTTCAGAGTGAGAAACTAAAGAACTGATTGACTTAATATTTTAGGAACCTAACATCAGATGAGGTTATTGGACCAATTATAAGACATTCGAAAGAAATGGTCCAGAGCCACAACAACGCTTACTCTGTATAATCTATTACAAAGTCATTTTTTTTTGGTATAAAAACTCTTTCTCAGATGTATAGTCATATTTAAAAGTACTTATATCTACCTTTTTAATATAGCAATGTTACATATAGAAATCTGATCAATAATTTCAACAAATTAAAAGTATGAAATTCACTTATTTGTGTTGATCCTCAAATCATTCTAACTTGCATTCTGTGCTACCCCTGTAAATATTGCTTGTGAATGTTTTATGCTGATGCCGTTCATTTTTACCATTAAAAAAAAAATGTGGTCTATTCTTACCATAATTAAGAGCTTCCGGTGCTGTCCATTTAATGGGAATCTGCTTTAAGCCAGAAGATGAATACACTCCACCATCCTCTTGACGAGACATTCCAAAGTCACTGATTTTCAGAACATTATTTTCACCTACCAGGCAGTTTCTTGCAGCAAGGTCCCTAGGTTACAGTAAGACACAGAAAACGCCTATTAAAACAAATTGAAAGCCACTTTCACATTTATGATTTCCACACTTTGCATTTTTACATTTGCAATGTATTTATAATGAGGTTAAGAATGCTTGTGATTTACCAGTCCTCATCTTTTCTGTCATAGGTAAAAAACATCCATGAGAACATATGCATATGGAGTAGGCCACATGCTAGTTTTCTAGGTACCACATATATTTCCATTTAAATAGAAAAACACCGATTCTAGCTTTAAAAGAGAAAATTACAGAGAAGAGGCTAAGCAAAGTTGGCATTATTTCTCCTTTGGCTTTCCTAGAGCAGCATTGTCCAATAAAGTAGCCATCTGCCACATGTGCTGCTGGACACCTGCAATGTGGCTAGTGTGACCAAGAAACTGAATTTTTCATTTTATATACTTTTAGTTACATTAAATAGCTGCATGTGCCTAGTAGATACTGAGTAGACTCTGATAAGACAATTCTTAGGGCTTCCCAAAGGTTGGAAAGTGGCTGAGGTACCAGAGAGTTTGGCAACTCTTTTTCTGCTGCATCTGGCCCTGTCTCTCTCTAGCCCACCTCATCTTGTCCAGTCTCCCTATCATTAATATATCCCATCCATACTGGGCTTCTTTTTGTCCCCAAATGCAGGACGAGTTCCCTAAATGAGGCAAGCTTGTTTGCACTGTATACCCTTTGCACTTAGCTGTTCCGCTTTGCCTCCAGTGTTCTTCCAGTTTTGCATAGCTGGCTCCTCTTCATTCATTCTTAGCCCAAACGCTCTCTCTTCAGAGAGTTCTTTCCTGACCACTCTAATCTTCCAAAGTATTTCTGGTGGGGAGGACATTCAATAACCAAATTCATATACAGCCATCCCTTGGGATCCATGATTGGTTCCAGGACCCCCCCTCAGATACCAAAATCCAAAGATGCTCAAATCCCTGATATAAAATGGTGTAGATTTGCATATGCACATGATCCTATATACTTTAAATCATCTCTAGATTACTTATAATACATAATACATTGTAAATGCTATGTAATAGTTGTTATATTTAGGGAATGATGACAAGGAAGTTTGTATGTTTAGTACAGACACAACTATCCATTTTAAAAAAAAAATCTCTGGATGGTTGAATCCACAGATGTGGAACTTACAGATACAGTCATATACAAAAATAACAAATAACCAAGTGGAGCTTGTCCTAGTAACACAAGGTTGGTTTAACATTTTAAAAGTAATCGATGTTATTCACTAGAGTAACAGAACATAGGAGGGAAAAACTTGATCATTCCAACTGATGCAGAAAAAGCATTGGACAAATATTCAAACCCATTGGTAAAACAATCTAGAAATATTAAGGAATTTATTTAACCTGACAAAGGGCATACACAAAAACTTAAATCCCTAACATTACACACTTAAATGGTGAAAGGCTAAATTTTTTTCTATTGAGGTCAAAGCAAGGATACCTGTTTTCACCACTTCTAGTCAAAGGGTTCTCTTGGAAACAATTTTACTACTTTTCTGATATCTGCCTCTCAATTTTGTGTTTTCTCTTATGTCTTTTTCAATTTGAAAATCTGATGTTTTTTACACAGAATATCTTTGGGAATGTTTATAACAAGAACTAGAATTAATGATTTACAAGGCTGCAAAAATACACAAAGTATTCTTGTAAGCAGCAAACAACTGGAAAATAAATTCCATTTACAGTAGTTCCAATAAGGCAAATATCTAAAAATAAATCTAACAAAAGACAAGTCCTTTATACTACAAAACTTGACTGAAAAAAATCATGTGAATATTAATTAAAAAATATGTGAATATTAATATGGCAATTCTGCCCAAATTAATGTATAGATTTAATGCACTCACAACCAAAATTTCTGGCTGATGTGTTGTAGAACTAGATAAATGGAGTCTAAAATGTATATGGAAATGAGGGGCTCTAAAATAAAGTAATTTTAAGAAAGGTGTACAAAGTTGTAGGACTTACCTAACCTGATTTCAGATCCCACTAGAAAGCTACAGTTCTCAATACAGTTTAGCATTGGTAGAAATGTTTGTAGCTCAATTGAATAGAACAGAGAGGATCTAGAAACAGACCCACATATGTATAGTCAACTAATTTTTTTGGCAGAGGTACAATGGCAATATAGTATGCACCTCCCAACTCTAGTCAGTGGGCCAAATGCCATCATCCTTGGTCGGAATGAGTTTTCAGTCACTGCAACACTTTAGTCGTGTATAGGATTTCACTGTTAGTACTTTCTTCAGAGTAATATCTATGTTTTATAGCTACATACACTTCTGTTGTCATAACTATCTTCATTGCATCACCAGTTTAGAGATTTGTCCTCTGAAATGAGAATCACGGTTCTATGAGAGGCCAATCTAAAACTAATTTAGAGATACCTCAATTCAGTGTAAATAAAATTTCAATAACATTTACAGAAAATGCTACTTCCTTTGGGCTGCATTAAGTTCAAGTGAGTGGAAATGGGATCTTTTTGAGATAATCTATGCATTAAATAAAACCTTAGGCCTTTAGGCCATAAGCAGGCACTGCATACTCAGTTTGCAAATATTCTAATAAGTATTAAAGGAGACAGAAAAAAGGATATGGTGTCTGGGCTAAGAAGCCAACAATCTAATTTGGGAGATAAGGCAATCATACACTTTTCCTCCTTTTCTCTCTATTCTCTTCTTTATTAAGCCTACTATTGCCCAGTTCTGAGTCACACTTTGGGAGACACACTAGTACTCCCAGCCTCTTCACACATAAAAGTGCTAGAGAACAATCAGTGTGAACCTGTGTGTTATAGACTGCAAATCCTACATGAATTCAGAGGTGAGAAATCTCATAATAGGCTGGTGTTGTCATTCACCTGAGGTATCAGAGACAGCTATATCTCACCACATGCAGAGGGATATAACAGCAAATGCTGCTCACTGCCAAAAGGAGATGGAAATGTTCCATTTATGTCTGCCGAGTAATCTTATTTGAAGATTCAAACTTCTGAGTGTGTAACAGAGGTGTCTTACAAGTCATACATAATATGAGACAGGTTAATTAAGGATTAAATAAGAACAGAGAGCAGTTACAGGAATGCCAAGGCCAGCAGGCAATGGAGATGAGTAAATTTTCTTCACTGTCTAGAAAGCACAATGGTGCACGTCTTGTTCTGTGGCTATGTTCACTCTTACAGCAAATCGTACAGTAAGCCAGGAATCACCATGAGGCTGAGCCAGAGTTCTCCTTTGCAATGCTGTTATGTAAAAAAAGTTAGAGAAATTTTTGCTTTTTTTTTTTTGGCATAAAAACTATTCCCACTGGGTCTGGATAATATTGAGCCACAAATAACTACTAGCACTTATGAGGAGAAAACCTCTTTAAGGCCCTGGAGTTTCCTGATTCTGGCTGAAACATGGCATAAAACCAACAACCCAGGGAGTGAGGATTAAATGAAGCATATTTCATTTGCTCTACTATATTCTGATAAAAAGGGGATAATTATTATAAAAATGTATTTATATAGTTAGCTGCAAGCATATTTGGGGGACATTACAGTAGTTAAAAGCACCAACTTTTAAAAATACATGAATTACGTTATTTTCTAATAATTTTTATATCACTTATACACTGATACATGTTCTTTAAAAATTTAAACACAAAAGAATGTGACCAAACGTTTCCCATCAGACTTTGCCAGTTTCATTTGACTCATTGTTATACATTTAGATACATACATTATTATAAAAACTTGTACTACATGTATATATTTGTTTACAAACCTGACTTTAATTGTACATTTCTTGTTCTGACATTTATTCTAATATCATTTGATGTCCTTCAGAAAATGTTAATAATTTCCTCCACACAGGCCAAGTGTACTCCTTGGCAGATTTATTTACTTTTTTTGTTGACAACTGCGAGTATACGGTTCCATTACTTCTTTCCCCTATTATTCTTAGTTGACATATAATAATCGTACATATTTATGGGACAGTGATATTTTGATATGTGTATACAATATGTAATGATCAAATCAGGGTAATGAGCATATCTATCATCTCAAACATTTATCATTTGTGTCATGAACACTGAAATCTTCCCTTCTGCCTTCTTGAGAATATAGAATAAATTAACCTTATTCATTCTACACTGCTACAGAACACCAGAACTCTTTCTATATAGCTATATTTTTGGTATCTACAAACCCAATCTCTTTCCATCCTCCCCACCTCTCTACCCTTCCCAGTCTCCTGTACCTTTCAATTCTGCTCTCTTCCTTCATGAGCTCGATTTTTTTAGCTCCCATATGAGTGAGAACACGCAGTATTTATCTTTCTCTGCCTTACTTATTTTGCTTAACATAATGTACTCCAGGCTCATCCATGTTGCTGCAAATGACGGGATTTCATTCTTTTTAAACAGGTAAATAGTATTCTATCATGTATGTATACACACCACATTTTCTTTGTTGATGGACATTTAGGTTGATTCCTTATCTTAGCTATTGTGAATAGTGCTTTAATAAACATAGGTATCCCTTTGATATACTGGGTTTCTTTCCTTTGGACAAATATGCTGGATCATATGTTCTACTCTTAGTTTTTTTTCTTAAGAAACTTCCCCACTGTTTTCCATAATATATATATTAATTTACATTCTCACCAACAGTGTATAAGAGCTTCCTTTTCTCTGCATCCTTGCCAGCATTTGTTATTTGTTTGTTTGTTTGTTTGTTTTTTGGAGATGGAATCTTGCTCTGTCGCCTGGGCTGGAGTGCAGTGGCACGATCTCGGCTCACTGCAACCTCCATCTCCCACGTTCATGCGATTCTCCCACCTCGGCCTCCCAAAGTGTTGGAATTGCAGGTGTGAGCCACCGCACCTGGCGTTGTCTTTTGATGACAGCCATTCTAACTGGGGTGAAATGGTATCCCACTGTGGTTTTGATTTGCATTTCCATAATGATTAGTGTTGAGCTGTTTGAGTTTCTTGGATATTCTGGATTTTAGTCCCTTGTCAGATGAATAGTTTGCAAATATTTTCTTCCATTCTACAGGTTGTCTCTTCACTATGCTGATTGTTTCCTTTGCTGTGCAGAAGCTTTTAAATTTAATATAGTCCCATTTGTCTATTTTTGTTTTAGTTGCCTGAGCTTTTGAAGTCTTAGCCATAAAACCTTTGCCTAGACCAATGTCCTGAAGCATTTCTCCTATGTTTTCTGAAGTAGTTTTATAGTTTCAGATCTTATTTTAAGTCTTCAATCCTTTTTTATATATGGTAAAAGCATCAACTTTTAAGTATTACATCATTTATTAGCTCTTGGAGGTTTGGAAATTTACTTACTCTTAGCTTTAGTTTTCTCATTTGTGAAATGGGGATAATAATTGTACCTACAACATGAGGTTTTTGTGAGAATTAAATGAAATATATAAACCACTTAAACAGAAAGTAGTCAGTGTCAATAAATGTTAGTCACACACACATACAAAACTGTACGTTCATCATAGGAAGACTTGAATTTAGCCTCAGAAACAATGCATCGGGGAATCTGCCTCTTTTCCCTTTCTAATTAGATTCAACTAAATTTGACAATTTTCTCTTCACATGAATATAAAAGACACTCAGTTTAGTTCTCCTAAAACCAACTTAAATAGTATTTACTATATGCTGGGTACTATTTGAAGCACTTTTTATACGTTAAGTCACTCAGAAATTACTGTACTTATGATCTCCATTCCTATAGATGATAAAACTGAAGCCCAGGAAGCTAATCAACTTGCCCAAGGTCACAAAGCCCGTAAGCGGAGGAAAGCAGAAATTGAATCCCAGCAGCGCAGCTCCAGAGTCTGTAATTTTAGCCACCTACTATGCTTCTCAATTTAGCTAATAATTCTCTTTCAGAATGTAATCAAATGACACACACCTTAACCCATGGCCAATGGCTATAACTTTTGAACTTTAAATAAGAGCCAAAATGGATGACCTTTAGGAAAGGAAGTGACACTTCAGACTCCCTCCCTGCCCCCTAAAAAACAACAAAACAACCTACATAATACACATATAAAAATCTGTTTTCTAATGAAGCAGCCAAATGTCACCAACGGCTTTGAAACAATATGAGTGTCCTGATGAAGGACAGTAGGATTGCCTGTTTCTGGCAAAATTTTGCACACAGTAACAGAAGTGGAACCATAAACTGTCTCTTAGAGCACACCAAGAAACTGAGGTTGGGCAAGGTGGGGTGTCTTTGGCAATAGAGGTGGTATGTTGAGCCCTTTTTTAAAAAACAAAAACAAAAACAAGGCAATACCATAGCCACTATTTAGCTGAAAGTGATGGGATCAGAGATTGACCAAAAAATAAATGGCTAGCCAGCTTCTTCTGCATGTCAGATGTTGCTTATTTCCATTTCAGAATCTACCTTATTTCCTTTGAACAGAATACATAAATATGGAATCTCCCTACATTTCTCATTTCAGTGCACTGCTGATCTCACTGTGTTTTCCACTCATCATACTGTTCCTCACCTCTTCTCTTCCCTTTGCGACCTCCTTTACCGCACTTCATACCTCTCTCTGGCAAGTTCTGTGCCCATTACTAACAGGGCACTTATTTCTAAAAGTGGCCCCAAAGGAAGCCTGCAGCTGTAAATTAGTACCATTATGGAAGCGTGTCTGTTCTCTCTCTTTGAAGAACTGTTCCAGTGCCACAGACTTCTGGGAGGATGAAAACAGAAGTCCCGCCTCTTTGAATGCAGCTATCAACTGATGTAGAGTGAGAGCATAATTTGTGCTTTTTTGTTCAGGGTTGGTTCAATGCCCTACAGATATTTATTGTGAGAGCAAATGACTGCTTATTCTTGAAGGATCTCTCCTGCTACCTGTCAGGACGCTCAGAATACAGTCTTCCCATTTACTTAAAGCCACTGTTAAAATGCATGTATGTTACTTGTGGGGGGGGGGGAGGTACATATTATACCACTTACTCATATTTTAGCAGAAATTATTTGAATAGATAATTGAATAGACATCACAGTCTTAAGGGATTAGGAGGACAGGGCTGATATGTTCTGACAGTGGGAAAAAATAAGAGAAAACTGGTTGAGCAGGCCTGGGTGAGGCATGAAGTAGGCTTTTAAGGAATAGTCAATTTGGGCACTGGGAGAATTCTGAAGGTTATGACAGAGCACTGGGTGGGGACAACAATGCAGACATAACTTATAAAAAAATTTGTATAGGGCTAAGCCCTGCTGTATTTATTCTCTATCGGGTTATTTCGTCTCAATAGCAGAGGAAGATCCTACTGGTGGCTTGGATGCCTCAACCATTGAGTCCATTTACTATATTGGAGTAAGATTCCTCTCTCTGGAGAAACAGAGGCCTGTGGTGATTCCCTTCAATGAGGTTGCTGCCTAATGGCTGGAACACAAAACAACCAAGTTGTTGCCTGACACAGCTGACTGAATGGGAATCACTTATGGAAAATACTGCAAGTCATCTGGCTTCCCTTAAAATGGCCATGCTCAGCACAGAGAAGTGCTTGCTGCTTTTGGATCTTTTATCTCATTTCCTTGGGTGAGTTCCCTGTAAGAGAATTCTGGTTGGACATTTACAAGTGCAGATTCCACATATTCTTTTCTTTAGCTTAGAAATCATATTCCTAGATAAAGAAAGAGAACTCATACTAAATATGAATGTTGAGATAACTCGGAACCAAACATATAGTGATAAAGCTTGTCTTAAATTTACCTGAAAAACCCAAGTGGACCTTTCTTTGCATTTAATTACTGTGATTAATCTGGATGGTTTATAGTTTATGAAATGGGTACTAAATTTGTATAGTCAGATATAAATTTCTCTCAGTCAATATTTCTGCTCCCTATCACCTGTGGGCCACATTGTGAAATGAAATACCAAATCTCCAGGCACAAATTTTAAATAAATATTGATCTATTGTTAAACCTCTTAATAAAGATTCTGGTCTAAAGGAACTTGGTGGGGGTACAGATTAAAAACATTTAAGTAAATGTTTTAATCTCTTCAGTTCACAGAAACATATAAAAAATTTTTTTCTTTTTATTTTATTATTATACTTTAAGTTTTAGGGTACATGTGCACAATGTGCAGGTTAGTTACATATGTATACATGTGCCATGCTGGTGTGCTGCACCCAGTAACTCGTCATTTAGCATTAGGTATATCTCCTAATGCTATCCCTCCCCCCTCCCCCCACCCCACAACAGTCCCCAGAGTGTGATGTTCCCCTTCCTGTGTCCATGTGTTCTCATTGTTCAATTCCCACCTATGAGTGAGAACATGCAGTGTTTGGTCTTTTGTCCTTGCGATAGTTTACTGACAATGATGATTTCCAGTTTCATCCATGTCCCTAAAAAGGACATGAACTCATCGATTTTTATGGCTGCATAGTATTCCATGGTGTATATGTGCCACATTTTCTTAATCCAGTCTATCATTGTTGGACATTTGGGTTGGTTCCAAGTCTTTGCTATTGTGAATAGTGCCGCAATAAGCATACGTGTGCATGTGTCTTTATAGCAGCATGATTTATAGTCCTTTGGGTATATACCCAGTAATGGGATGGCTGGGTCAAATGGTATTTCTAGTTCTAGATCCCTGAGGAATTGCCACACTGACTTCCACAATGGTTGAACTAGTTTACCTTCCCACCAACAGTGTAAAAGTGTTCCTATTTCTCCACATCCTCTCCAGCACCTGTTGTTTCCTGACTTTTTAATGATTGCCATTCTAACTGGTGTGAGATGGTATCTCACTGTGGTTTTGATTTGCATTTCTCTGATGGCCAGTGATGATGAACATATCAAATTTTACTGGGTAATTTAATAACAAAACTGAGCTCTGTCTTAAGCAAACAAATTAAAGGCCACTAGCTGTCTGAGGCTACAATAAAATGCACTACAAGGACCTGGCTCAGAAGTTAGTCTCAGTATTGATGGCAATAGCGTCTACTCCTAAAAGACTTCTGGAAGAGAGATTTAAAAAACATACACCCGCTCCCATTCTGAGACTATGAAGTGAAAACAGAAGTACTTGCCTGAGTGACAAATAACATAACTTAAAATGTTATACTTGGATGCAATAAGTTACCTGAGCAACAGACAGAAAAAAGTGACAAAACCACTTCTTACTGAATAGCCGTCATGATAATGGCTGTCATTTATTGAGTCCTTTATATGTGCCAGATACCATTTTAAATGTCTTTCATATAACCCATGCTCTTTCAATACTCAACTTCATGCATACTAATCTGTACACTAAATACTTCCACAGATTTTTTCCATAAGCAGTGATACAAACATTTGCATTGTTGGAAGTTCTGGACTAGGGATTAACAGAGTTTTCACCCAGTGTTTTCTTTAATAAGCTGTATAAGCTTATGTGTTCCATATTTTCCTGGACCCTGGAAATGAGAGCACCAGTTCTTGATTTTCTGAGCATGAGGGCTGCTGAATGATGTCGAACAATTTTATGATCCTTTGCACCACACATCAACCCTGATGTCATGTTTTATAATGGCTGACAGCAAAAATACAACATGATGAAAAGCTACTAAGAATTTGACAATGTTTTGAAGTGAATTTACACTCTACTAATCACAACAGTAAAAGAATAGTGCACATAGATAGATATATGCAAGACATTATTCTGTATCAGGTGATGCTGAATAGACACTTGGAACACTTGCAATAATTTGGAGGAACCACGGGTCCATGGTGCACCAGCTGGTGGCTAGCATATGACCCTTTCAACTCTAACGTCCTGTATACTCCAGGTTAAAGGCACTGTCTTCCTGTAACTAGCCAGATGAATCTAGCCTCACAGAGGTGGTAGATGGTCCTGGCAAAGAGCTTTCCATGTTGACAATACAACAGTGGGTGTCAGCAGCTAATGAATGCAAGTCACACTCAGAGGGTAAGTTAAAAGATTTCCACTACCCAGGAGCTCAACTATAGCAATGGAAGTATCCTCTAGCTTGCCTTTGCTGAGTAACTGTGGGTTACAACCAAGAAATCACACTTCCCAACCCTGTAAGAATATTGGTAACCATTGATTGACACCTATTATGTGTCAGGCACAATGCTAGGAACTTAACCTATTATCCCTAATCCTAACAATCACACTCAGAGGCATAGATGTCTTTGTATATGGATACAGAAACAGGCTCAGAGATTAAATAACTTGCCCAAGATCACATAGCTGGTAAGTGGCTGAGTATGGAATCTGTTTTGCTCCAAAGCTCTAGTTCTTTGTTTTCCACAGTGTTTAGTGTTCTTTTGGTTTCTTTGAAATACTATTCATTTTATCTTGATAAAAGTTATACTCTTTAATCCCTGAGTAGATAGATTTCTGCCATTTTGTTCCTGGGAACTATTTTCTTTCCCATTTAAGATGAATGAAATAAAGCCCCTGACTTGGCACTTAGGCTATGGAATAAGAATATATTGGGAGGACTAAAATATGCATTTTTTTCTATTCTATTTTCTATAAGGGCATATAACAATTCCTCCATAATCATTTGTTATGGTTTATAATTTCATGAAGTGATATACATAGTCACACTAAGACCTAAATTAAGATATAAAAGGCACATAAAGATACAGAGCAACTGTGTAATCTGTGATGCACAAGGTGCCATAATGAGCCTCAAGAACATTTAAATTTTTATAGTCTGCAAAATGTTCAGCTACTAATGAATAAATACACCCTAATTATAGTGGAATGCACCTAGATTTAGATACTGAATGTTCTGCAGTGGTTAACTCTTTGCAAGATTTTCTTCTTTGTACAAGGGATGCCACTGACTTTGTACTTTACCAAGAGTGCCAATAATGGACTACGTCCCCTAAATTCTCCCAACCAGACACAGCTACATGGTCAGCTTGCACATTTACCTCTGGTTTTCTGACTCCTAGGCCACACTCCTGGGTGGCAAATGGCAAACTCTTCATCTGGCATATCATCACAAAAAGCATTTTTAGAGTAGTTTTGGTCCCAACATACAAAGGGGAAATATATTTATTGTAGCACCAGTATTCTGTTAATGGAAAACAGTTTTCAGTATTTATAGGAATTCAAAAGAAGTAATGACTTTTTTATGTATCTCAGCAGTTCTTTCCTTGCCTCCCATTTACATTCTTTTAAAATGAAATTTTCATTATTCCCATTTCAATTTCTAATGTTGCTTTCTATGTTTATGAAGTAATATCCCAGGTGACTTTATAATAAATTTCCCTTCAGTCCTATGATTGCTCGCAGTGTAGAAAACTGAAATAGAGTCTAAGTTATGAATACAGGTCTATTTTATAATAATTCATTTTTATCTTGAAACAAAGATCTGAAATTCAATTTCTTTTCTGTCTCTATATATTTTCTTTCCATAGTCAGGAAAGCTTTCTTTATCTTTGTTCAATTTAATTCTGCATTATATTTGATAAGACTTTATGGTATTAAGACTTGATTTCATATGCATAGCTACTTTTCTTGTAGCTCTACAAGATAAAGGTTTTTAAAAATATTTACCTAAAATATTCACCCAATGTCCTTCCATGATTGTTATTCATTTTGTGATTCTTTGATGTAATCCACAAAAAATCTGCATTGTGCATTCATGAAGGATTATTTGTCTGAGCAAATATTAACTTTGCATATACATGTGTCCTTTTGGTCTCTTAATGAAATTTGCTTTTACTAACTTGCAGACCACAGTTACATAAAAGTGTCTGAAAGACTCCAGGTGGACAAAATAATTTCTATAAATGTAAAATTTATCATGCCTGAAGGGTTTGGAAGAATTTGGCAAATTTATAGCAATTTCCAAATTACAGGAAGAATAATGTGACAGCTGCTTGACAGCATTCAGCAACAGTGTACAGCAATGTAGGCAAGTGGGTATCATAGGATCTTGGTGAAATTCAATGTGAATTACTTATGTAAGAACTAAGACATAGGATTTTAAAATTCTGTGAAACATCAAATGGTCATTTTAGTGCTGTTAGGTAGTAGGCCTTTTAGATTATTCAAAATATTTTTTATACATGCCAGTTTATGATAAATAATATCTTGAAGAATACAAATGAAGAGGTATGGGGAAGGGGATTCCATGCCCTCTCTGGGTGCACCACCCTCCAGCACCTCCCTCATCTTTAGCTATCTGGAAGCTCTGGAAACACTGTCCTTTTGGGTTTTTATGGAGGCTTCAATACACAGGCATGACTGATTAAACCACTGGTGACCAATTTACTTTCAGCCCTCCTTCACTCCCCAGAGATTGGGGGATGGAGACAAAAGTCCCAACCCTCCAGTCATGCCTTGGTCTTTCTGGTGACTAGGCCCCATCCTGAAGCTCCCTAGGGGTTGCCAGCTGTCAGTCAACTCATTAGCATATAAAAAGACGTCATTTATGCCAGGAAAAGGGGACAAAGACCAATATATATTTCACAATATCACAGTCAACTCCCAGTCTTCTAACGGGATCTGTTACATCCAAAGAATATATGACTTAAAAGATACCGGGACATTACTAGAATTCATTTAGTCATTAATACTGTAATTTGTCCAGTCCATCATATTGTATGAATATGTCTCCTAAAGTGAGGCCACTCAGGTTTGCAGGCTTCCAAAGCAGGAGTGGTCTCAGAAAACATACAGGTTCACTCTTTCAGGCATTTGGTATAATTAAGCTAAGAGACAGTGTCATCTCTTGCTCTGAGCCTCTTTTAAGGTAATATAATATTGGATTTCTCTCATATAATTCATTTGTTCATTTCTTTACCCTCAGCTATTTTTCCTTCTGTTCATTCATACTGAAACTTTTCTACCTTTGGAAGGGACACTAGGTTTGACTACCCTGCTTGTCTAGACTATAGGCAACAATCCTAGTCCACAAGTACCTCCCCCTCAGACCACTCCCATTCAGATAGGGTAAGGTTACACTGGGGCAGAACTAGTAGGCTATTTTTACTATCAAGCAATATAGTTGCATTCATTGTTAACTCCAATTCTGGCAGAAGGCCCTCAGGAATTCTGACATAAGGTTTAAGAACTGTAGTTACAAAGTAATTTGGGTCTACATTTGCAACTACTTTTAAGACCTTGTTATTTTGGCACAAATGGTAATGAATCTGACCTTAAATACACGCCAAAGACAAAATGTAACTTGGACTATAAAAGGTCCAACATATTTGACAATGATGGTGTAGAAAAGAGATGATCATTTCTGGTTATTTGATCTGGGAACTGAATCAGGAAACATTACTAAGTCTCTATTATGCAGATGAATTTGTATGTTCTAGGAACACTGCATTCTATGGTTATTGACTGACATATACACAAAAACCCCTACTATTTTAAAATGGAAAAGACATACTTCCAATTTACTTTGGAGTTTTTGCAAAGTACCATTTCTGTTAATCTTATAATCACAGAATTTAGCCATGTAAAACAGGATATTCATTCATGTATATGTATGTACGTATCAACCAGCTGGCACACCATTCATTTATTGAGATCTTACTCATAACAAGTCCTCTGTTATATACTGCAGATATAGATAAACTAATTCCTTCCCTCAAAGAGTTCAATTCTATAAGAAGAGATAGTTATGCAAACCCATAAATTGCAATATTGAAAATTTCAAGTTTGAAGGTAATGCTGAGAGGTAGGCTCTCACAGGTGTGATATGAAAAATGAAGCCGTAACATTTTGTACTTCTCTACCCTTTTGTATCTAGGCTAACCTAGCAGAATGTGGTAGAAGTGATGGTATGAAGTTCTGGAGTGTAGGCCACAAGAGACCTTGCAGCTTCCAACTTTTGTCTTTCTGGAACATTCCTGATACCATGTAAAGAAGCCCAGGTGAGAAACCATGTCGAATGAGAGGGACTCAATCTACAGCCAGCATAAAGGCCCCAGACATGTAAATGTGAGGGTATGTTATACTCTCCAGCCCTAGTAAGGCTACCAATGACTGAAGCTACAAAAGTGATTCCTGAGTAGAACAGTGGAAAACTATTCAGCTGAGCCCAGCACAAACTGTTGACCCAAACTGACAGAACAATAAGAAATAAACAGTTGTGTGTTAAGACACTATACTTTGAGACACTGTACTATAAGACAAAATACTTTGGGGTGGTATTTTATGAATCAATAGATAACTGGGACAACAGATTGATTAATAGTGCAAATGATAGCTCAACAGTAAGAATGGGCAGACTTGGGGTTAGAGATGGAAGAAAAATGATCACTGTTCAGGGAGGGAGCAGAGCTAATTACTTGCTTCTTTCTCATTCACACCTGATAGAAAGCTGTTGCAGGTGCCTTCTCATTGGGGTAATAATGTCTTCTGTCTTGGCTTCTCATCTTCAACTTTGAACTCATTTTAACCGGCTTGTTATGAGTTACAAACCTAAATTTTCCCTCTTCCAAGCTTTGGTGCACTGACATCTGCCAGGCTATTAAGTCATATCTCTGTTAAAATATACCCCAACAGACAGACAGACAAGATGGAAACCCTATGGCTAGGCTAACATGAGAAAATGAAAAAAAAAAAGAAAATCTCATGGCTAGCAGGATGAGGGGTTGGTCCCAATGTTGTGCCATAAGTTTTCCTGTAATCAAGCAGAAACCAGCTCCTGAGAAGCATTGCTGAAACAACTATAGCTGGAAATTTTCCCAACCAACCCTGATAGACTGCTGGATGCCAGCTGACAACCCCTTTCCCCTGCCTTGTGGTCCTGCCATAACTCCAATTAGACAGAGGACCTGTTTTATAAACATTGTTTATTGATAGACAGCCAGTTTTGGTCAGCTGAAGGCTGCACACAAATTGCCTTTATGTCAAATAAGTGAATTACAGGGCATGAAGAGCCAAGTTCCACCTTACTTTAATACTAAAACGCCACCATAGAATGAACATGGGATGTATGTTACATATGTTTACCACCCACTATGCAAGTGCCTGATTTCCCTCATGAATAGTCATAGATTTTCCCCAACTCTGCTCAATATGTACATAAGACTGAGTCTGTGATATATATGTGTGTATACACACACACACACACACACACACACACACACACACACACACACACCAGTTCCCTCCTCCCACCTGTGTGGTGTGCACTTTATTTCCCTAAAAGTGACCCTTCCCTCATCTGAGGATAGTTCCTCCCTCTGAAAATCATGTTGTCTCCTTTCCTTCCTCTCTGGATCTGATGACCTTTGGTTAACATCTTCTAGGAACTGCTTCTTGGAATACCTCTGGCGCCAGCAAATGCCATACTCCGAGGATTCTACTACTACCACTTTTAGTCTGATATAAAGAGAAGAAAAATTTAAACCTGGCATATTGAAACTATTTAATTTAGAGGCACTCAAATTAGAGCAATAGAGATAATGAGGACCCTGAGTCATCAATAATGATCACCTCTTGTAGGGGTATACCTGGTGTCAGAAAGTAGTAACATGTGATTGACAATTTATAATTGTTTCCATAAACAATTTATTCATTCAAAAAATATATATGTAGCACTTACTATTTGCCAGGCACTGTTCTAGGCAAGGCAGGGAACAACAAAAGACAAGAATTCATGTCCTCATGGAACTTTTATGTTCCTCTGATAGGACCTAGTTAAATAATACATCATCAAATAGCACACATAAAAAAGAATTACTCAAGGATCTATTCCTTATAATGTAAAAAGGGAATCTACAAAAGGGGAAGAGATGGGGAGGAAAAACAGGAGCAAAGAAGTGAGACAATTACGACTACATAATTGTTGATTCATCTGTTTAAAAAATGGAGACAAAATTTTAGATGGCGTCAACATGCTAAGTGGAAGGGAGGAAGTGAAAAGTAAAAATATGCCAAAGTTGCTCTCCTGTTCACATACATGAAAATAAGGATTAGGATGTAAAAGGCAAGACTGTTTAGTATATGCTACCAAACAGAAGGTGTGACAATATTGCTATCAGGAAATGAAATTTGAGGAAAAGGCATCAATTAGAATAAAAGGAACCATATTTCTAAAAGGTGGAATTCATGAAAAAGATATGTTAATGATACTAAATGGCAAATGCAGCAAATATAGTGAAAACAACAAGAATCAAGACACATAGTTAAGAGCAAGAATAAAAGAAACACAATTCAATACAGATATAGACATGATTCAGAAAGGAGCAATGTATAAAACATGTAATAGATGGAATGTCAGCAGTATCAGCACAAATGGAGTAGGCAGCATTAGAAGCAAGTATTAAACAAGGACCAGAGGACCTCCTTCTAAGCAAAGAGCAACTTAGTTAACAATAGTAAAGAAAAATGGAGGCCACCTTGGACTATCTTAATACTATCACTAATGGAAGACAGGGTCATTCAAATTCTATCCATGTGAAAACAATCAGCAATTATGGAGTAACACACTATGCCAGCGTGGGGTCTAATTATTAAAAAGGCACTGATGTCATTTTGGGGAAGTTGTGTCTGCTTCACTGCTCAGCTTATTTGAAGCAAGACTGACGAAGGCCTCTGAAAACACCTTACTGGGAGCAAATGTGACTCTGAGAAAGAATGAGCCAATCCACTAGGACTTTCCAGCTATAATCTCAAACATTATTTTTAAATGTTAACTGGTTTAGGTTTTATGCAGCTTAGGTATTTGGGTGACTGACTACTAATACAACAATAGGCAAAACAACCACTATGCAATAAGGAATTCACTTTATTTTCTGAATGTTTTCATAATCTATTAGCTATAGAATAGACAAATAAACCTCATCAAACTGCCATGAAGTTATTGTCTAAAACCCTATCAGACATCCAGAATAGTGTATTAAGGTTTTCCTTATATTCCAAATCATATTTATGTTAGATGATCAAAGAATACACTAAGTAGCAGAAATGTTTTTAAAAAAATGTTTAGTATTTTATTCAAAAATTTTTAGGCCGGGTGCAGTAGCTCATGCCTGTAATCCCACCACTCTAGGAAGCCGAGGCAGGAGGATCGAGCGCAGGAGTTCAAGACCAGCCTGGGCAACACAGTGGGATCCTGTCTCTAATTTTAAAAAAATGTAAACCACAATGAGATATCACTGCACATACCCACCAGAATGACTAAAACTCAAGACTGACGGTAACAAGTGTTGACAAAGACATGAAGAAATAGCAGCTGTCATACATTGTTGGTGAGAACACAAAGTGGAACAACCACTTTGGAAAACAGTTTTGTAGTTTCTTATAAAGCTAAATGTAATTTTTTTCCATAGAACCCAGCCACTCACCTTCTAGATATTTTCTCAAGAAAAATAACACACTGACACAAAGACTTACATATGACTATTCAGAGCAGCTTTCTTCATAATGGCCCTAAACTGGAAATAACCCACCTGTTTATCAACTGGAGATTGGAAAACAATCTGTAATATATTCATACAATGAAATACTCAGAAATAAAAAAGCATAAACTAACATACGCAATAATATGGACAGATCTGAAAAGCATTATAAGTTACAAAAAAGAAAGCTAGAACAAAACATACTGCATATGTTTTGTTCTAATGAAATGATCTAAATGTCGATCATTTAGACATTAGAGATCATAGCTCGATGTAAATGCAATTTTAGAAACATCTAAGCTACAGTGACAGATGAGTGGTTCCCTAGGGCCAGAGATAGGAAAAGGATACTGACTGCAAAACAGTGTGAGGGAACTTTTGGGGATGATGGAAGTGTGGTAATGATTACATGACATGACTATATGTATTTGGCAAGACTCATCAAACTGTACCTTAAAATTGGTGCATTTTATTGTATTTATAGTGCAATAAAGGTGATTAAAAAAATAGGCACCTTAAGATTCTTACAAATATATAATATGCAAGTCTTGTGTGAATCTGTTATTTTTCCTGAGTAAATATCTATTTGTAACTATATAAAATTATAAAGTTACTGGTGTTACTAATAAAGAACTTGGGATGGCATGTTACTGTGGATTTCTTTACATGGGATTGCAAAACAGGGGCCACACAGTCAAATTTAAGTTAAACTCCAGAAAATAAATGTATTAAAATGCTTCTGAGGATAAGTTAAGTTTTCTGCTTTCTAAAAATTATCTTGGTGGGATTTTTGTTCAGTCATTTCCATAAGACCAGCACCCTTGTGGACCGTATTTGTGAGAGAAAAAGGCTTGCTGGGGAATGTGAGGCTCTAATGTAGCCTTTTCTAATACAAACAGGATCTAGATGGCACTTAGCTTTTCATTTTGGCCTTTATTTTTGGTAACACAGTACAAGTAAAATTCAATAAACTATTTTTGTATTTTAAGATATTATCCCATGGAAAAAATGGCATTTCTATTAATATCCAAATAATGATATGACTGTCTTATGGGATTATAATGACTAATTCTTTCAAACGAAAGAACTCTTACGAAACAGACTGAGTTATACCATGAAATGTTACTCATTTGGAGATTCCCTATTTGTTTTAAAAGCTATTAACAGTACAAAAATGACTTGAGAGTAAAGCATTCCTGAAAAAGTACATACATATTTTAGACCACTAAGAAACATTTACAAGAAAAAACCAAACAACTCTGTTAAAAAGTAGGTATAGGACATGAACAGACTTTTCAAAAGACAACATACATATGGCCAACAAGCATATGAAAAACTCATCATTGATAGAGAAATGCAAATTAAAACCACAATGAGATACCCTCTCACACCAGTCGGAATGGCTATTAAAAAGTAAGTAACAGATGCTAGTGAGGTTGTAGAGAGAAAGGAAGGTTTATACACTGTTGGTTGGAGTGTAAATAGTTCAATAATTGTGGAAGACAGTGTGGCGATTCCTCAAAGACCTAGAAACAGAGCTACCATTAGACCAAGCAATCACATTGGGGTTGCACTGGGGTCTAATATACCCATAATGGGCATATACCCAAAGGAATAAAATCGTTCTACCATAAATACACATATACGCGTATATTCACTGCCTCACTATTCACAATAGCAAAGATATGGAATCAACCTAAATGCCCATTAATGGTAGACTGGATAAAGAAAATGTGGTACATATACATCATGGAATGCTATGTAGCTGTAAAAAGGAATGAGATCCTGTCCTTTGAAGGAACATCCTTAGCAAACTAATGCAGGAAGAGAAAACCAAATACCACATATTCTCGCTTATAAGTGGGAGCTAAACGATGAGAACACATGGATACATAGAGGGGAACAATACACACTTGGGCTTATGAAGGGTGGGAGGAGGGAGAGGGTCAGGAAAAATAACCCAGTAAGTCTAGTGGGTACTAGACTTAATACCTGGGTGACAAAATACTGTGTACAATAAACCCCCATGACACAAGTTTACCAATCTAACAAACCTGCACATATACCCCTGAACTTAAAATAATATTTCAAGATACTTATGGCCTCATAATTTTAAATCTACAAATATTACTTACAGAAGCATCCTACAGACACTATTTGAAAAGGATATTTAAATAAAGAACCTTTTATAAACAACGAAGCTGTAAGAGGAATACATTAACAACATTCAGCATCTTACTTTAAGCCATTGCTCCTATTTTTAATCTTACACATTACTTTCTCTTGATCTTTGCATTTAGTGTTTATGTATGACAAGTACTCAAAAGCTTTTAGTGCACCTTGGAGAGACAGAATTTGAAAAAAGGTCATTATGCTAAGAATGGCAAAGAATAAGATAATATATCAAGGTGTGGCTTTTCTCCAACTCCCACATGTAGCATCCGTCATCAGTCTTTCAGATTCCCAAGAGAAAGTTCAGGTACTAGAGGTCTATTTTCATCTTAAATTCAGAATTTAGATAGAAAAATTCTCTAGGTGTTTTTATACAGCTACACAATTGGTCTGGTCCCAAAGGTTGGTTTGTTTCTTCTTCTATGACCCAGACAGTTGACATTCTGCTTACAAAAACAGACTCAGAGAAGAGCAGGCAGTGCTTCTCAAGGGCTGCCAAATTGTGTCTACTTCGGCATTTTACAATTAGACAAAATTAAAGGCAACAGTAATGAAAACAGTATCTAGACCTAAGAAGGAGGTTACTTGAACCAGGATTGGATGAATTTATTTAGCACAGAGAACCGAAATTTAATAGCTCTAAGAATGAATAAAGTAGGGAAGACATAGTATTTTGCACAGCAAGTTACGACTGGATGCTTCCAGAACAGGAATTTTCTTCTTATGAAACACTGACAACACCATTTGCAATTATGTATATATTTCTTCAAGAAAAGTTATTGATATACTAATAGAGAAAGGAGATGAGAGAAAATGAACTGAACCAGTTTGCATTTAGGATGCAGCAAGGTTTCCTGGTGGACAGGATGCCTCATGAATCTCTTTTCATCCCTGTCGTTTGATTCATCACTGTTTCTTCCCATGAAGTCTGCAGATGTGCCAGTCAGTATCACTAAGTCTGGAATCTGACTGAATCCTAAGAGTTACCTGTATAGTTCCATAGGCTAATTTTTAATTTTAGGGGAAGAAATCTATTCGGGATGCCTTGTTTTTCTTATACTACATCTGAATGTAGTAAGCATGAATGACATTCCAATCTTTCACTAAATATTTACTTGATTTGAGACAAAAAGATATCTCTGGTTCATTTCTTTCCTCCCAGCAGATGCTCTTACAAGGTTTAAGTTGGGATCCCCACCCCCACCAAATGTAGTCTTTCTCTTTGTCACTTTAATAACCATCACTAAGAAAACAGAAAAGGTAGGTAAATCAAAACTAGTCAATGGTTTTTTATCAGTGCAGATCATCTGCTTAGTAGATTACTGCTGCCACAGACTATTTTTGTGCAGAGCCTCTATGAGAGGCCTGGGGAGGGTGGGCTGCGACTATTCGCAGACTCTAGTCTGTGCCTCTGCATTCATAATTTTGACCTTCAAATGTTCCTGAAGTATTTTTCCAAGTAAAACTACTTCCTTTTGGCACCTATCTCAGCCATAATCCCTGAATCTCATTTTATGAAAGAGGATTCTACTGACAGTGTTTAAAGAAGTCCTTTAGTACTGACCGTACTATACACCCCACATTTATATACTACTTGACAATTATTGTCTTATAAATTAACATCTATTTTATATTTTTCTTGACATGTATTGTCTCTCTAATAAGGTTTTAAGCCCTTTAAAGAAAATAACTACTTCAAATTGCCATCAGCATGAATTCATTCATTCAACAGAGTGATCCCTGTTCATGGTACCAACTGGTTACTGTGGGAGTTCTAGCATGTAATTAAAATATAATCATAGAATGAGAGATGCTGCTATAAACACAAAAATATGTGATAGAAAAGGTAAAGATTATTTCTGATTGGTGAATGGCAGGAAAATCTGTGAAGGAAAGACTAAGTTGAGCCGCTTGAAAGAAGAGTAGGGTTTTTAGAACTATTTTAAAAGTTGAAAATAACATCTATTATTTTGTTTTCTTACTGTAAAAGCACAAGAAGTTTACTGATAAAATATAGAAAAGCCAAAACAGGGGTAGGGAGAAGAGTAGCTTTTACCCAACTGGCCAGAGATAATGACTGTTAATACCAGGTTGAATATGCCTAAAGTTTGCTCAGCAGTTTATTTTTAAAAAATGTGATTAAACATACTATATTATATCCCTTTTGTTTTATCTAGCAATATATCTTTTCATAATAATCCCATAAAATTCTTTTTAATGACTGAATTTAAAATTATTTTAATAATTATTTTAAATGACTTTCATTATTGGTATTCATGAACATACTAATAATTATTTCAGATATTTTAGGTTCTAAGAATAGGTATGATTCTAAGATATGGCAGAAAAGGCAGACAGAAAGGAAGAGCATTCTAAGTAGAAGGTATAACCTGAGCAGAGGTGGAGATAAGAAAGTGAGAAGTGAGTTCAGGGAACAACGAGTACTTCAATTTTTGAGAGGATCAGTAGGCCCTAAATTAATGAAGACACTCAAGCTAGATTCTGGAGAGTCTCGAATGCTAGCTATCATCCGAAGGCAATGTTGAGCCACTAAAGATTTCTCAAGAGAGGTATGATGAACAGAGCTGAGATTTAAAAGAATATCAAAGCAAAAGTAAATGGTAGATTGAATGACAAAATGGAGGCTATAATTCTAGGAGAAGATTGGTATTCTTAAGTGAAGCATTCTCCCTGCCATCATTTTTTTCTAACTCATTTCACAGACTCCCAGCTTCTTTATATAAAATATAGACTAATTTTTATTTTTATTATTTTTTGAGACAGTGTCTCACTCTGTCACCCAGGCTGGAGTGAAGTGTTCTGATTAGAGCTCACTGCAGCTTTGACTTCCGGGTTCAGGTGATTCATCTACCTCAACTGCCCCGACCCCGACTTCTGACCCCCAGTATATGGGACCTACAGGCATGTGCCACCAAGCCCGGCTAATTTTTTGGTATTTTTTTTGTAGAGACGGGGTTTCATCATGTTGCCCAGGCTGGTCTCTAAGTCCTGGGCTCAAGCAATTTTCCCACCTCAGGCTCCCAAAGTGCTGAGGGGTTACAGGCATGAGCCACCGTGCCCAGCCTATTTAAAAAATAGATACACGCCTGTTTTTTTTTCTTTTTTCTTTTAACTTAGCTCTCTCCCTTCTTCATCTAGCTAAATCCTATGCATTCTTCAAAACCTAACTCCAGCATTGTTACTTTCAGAAAGGCTTTTCTATGATACCATAGCAATATTCGTCACGTATCTCACTGAATAGTAATCATAGCTTTGTCTGACTCTGTCTCAAATGTCAGCTTCGTGCAGAACTTCTTATGTGAGTTGGAACCTCAAAACCGAGGTAGATGCTGCTATACAGTAGTTCTCAATACATGTTTGCTGAATAAATGCATCAAAGTTCTCAAGTCCCCAGTATTCAAATGCCACTTAAACTTTGAAACTAAATTTGTATCAGAGAAGTTCTGGGTAGGTAAACTAAAATCCACAATTTTAGAAATAATGAAAATTCCATAAAAATGGAAAGTCACTAAGGAAAATAAGTCAATTATTTTTTGGAAGCATATCCTCACAATAGGAAATCTATTGAAGTTAACAGCACTGGAGCACAGAGGCAGACTCATTAGGGAACAGTTTGAAATGCTCGATATCAGAAAAAAAAAACAGAACTCATCGCCAGTGATCGAATAAAACACTAGCAACAGCAATGTACACTCCAGCAGAAAATTCCAACAAGAAGACAATGGTTTACAAAAATGACAGTCCAGGCATGACAGAGCAAAGGGAGTAGAATTTAGAACAGTGGAAATTTTACAGCCTCCCCCATTACTGATCACAGCAGTAAATTGCATTTTAAAGTGTTTTCATAGAAACCGTCACTAAGAAAATCTGTGTAACACTGAACTGCCAGCAGATTTAAAAACACAAGTGTCTCTCAGAAGGTAATAAAGATCAGATTCAATTTAATTGTGTATATATTTTTGATTGATTGAGAAATAGTAAGTCTACAGTTCTGATTGACTTTTGGAGAGAGTAAGGGGCTATACCAAGCTTCATCATGATGTAACAAGCATGAAATCCACATAGCTTGGCAGTTTTCAAAAAACACTATGATATTCCTGTGATTTATGGCCTAGGAGAAATAACTGGCTGGGTCTCAGTTTAGCATAATTTACTTACCAAGTGTGGTCTACCTCCTCTTCTCCATGGACTCCATTAGCATCTGAGCATTAAAAAATCTTACCTTTGAGCCCCTTCCAGATATCACCCCATTCTCTGTTTCTATTACTTCACCTCCTTTCTTGGCCCTCCATAATATTAATATGATTTTGCCCCCATTACTTTATTGAAACTGCTCTAGCTTCGTTGTGGTTACATGCTATGCATACTCAGGGCCTTCTTTTTCTTGATTTTTCAGTAGCACTTTACATTACTGACCACTGCTTCTTTGAAACTATTCCTTTAGTTTCTAATCACTAGA
Organism: Homo sapiens; assembly: GCF_000001405.40. NCBI lineage: Eukaryota > Metazoa > Chordata > Mammalia > Primates > Hominidae > Homo > Homo sapiens. Next base: position 109,156,699 of record NC_000005.10, on the reverse strand, counting down.
CCACCTTTGACTACCCCCTCTTGGTCTCTTCTGCCCATAAATTCCTTAAACATTGATGTTCCCCCAGGTTTGGTCCCAGGTGCTCTTTTCTTTTCAGTCTATAGGGTCTTTCTAGATCATCTCATATACTTCTATGGCTCTTACTGTCATCTATATGCTCATGACTCCTAGAGATCTAGACCTAGATCTCTGCCCTAAATTCCTCCTTTGTTCCAGGGCTTAACTAGGTGCCTCCAGATAGCTCTAGTTTGCTATCCTACAGCTACCTAAAATTTATCATAATCTAAATCTGCTTTCTTTATCAGCCAATGGTACCACTATTCACTAATTTGCTCAAGTCTTCTTCCTGAGTGTAGTGTTTGGTGTTTCACTGTATTTCCACTCTGACATTCTATTAATGAAAAACCCTGTCCACCTTATGAACTTAAGGCCTTTCAAATCTATCAACTACTGTCTAATTATACTGCAACTCTCTCAATTCCGTCTACCATCACCTCTTACCTCCTGGCTTGTCTCTGGTATTAGCTTGCTTTAAGCGTTGTCTACACTGCAGAAAAGTGTTATTTCTATAACACAAATCTTATCATTTCTTAGCCTTAGTAAATACAGATTATAATTTTAAAAAGTCTAAATCCCTTAATATCGCTTATAAGGATTTTCATGATTTGGCTGTAGTTCATTTTTCTATTCTTACTTTTTTAAAAAAACTTTCTCTTATTTGCCACTTGTTACAAATCCACTTAACTGTATTATCAATTAGAACCCCTTTCCTCATCTGGTCCTCAAGAGATATCATGAGAAACTTTCTCAAAAACCTTAGTGAAACCCTGATATAACCACACTGTTTCCCTTATCTACCAGTGTATAGGCTCTCTCAGGAAATGAAGAGAAAGAAATGTTTTTGAGTTCATGCTGGCTTCATTTGACCATCACTTTCCCTTCTATGGACTCACAATCTATTTTATCATCCATTTCAGAATTGTGTAAGAGAGTATCATCAAGCTCTCTGGTATAAAGGTTTCAGAATCTATATTTTCACTCTTGTGAAAAATCAAGACAATATTTGTAGACTTTAGTGCTGTAGTTCCCTTTCTATTCTCCATGAGTGTTGAGATCACTATCAACAGTTTAGTGATCTCACTTGCAGGTTTTCTTTTACTTTGGGCTACAATTAATCTTAACCAGGAAACCCACTCCAAGCAATTAAACTTTCCTAGTCACTCTTGAATTACAAGTACCTCTATGCAATTTCTCTTCTCTCCTGATTTGCCCTATCTCTTGTTAAAATGATCACATCTTTTCTAAGTATCGGCTCTATTCTTCCTAGTTTGAACACTAACCCCCAAAATGTTCATCTTACTTTTTTAACTTGACTACTCTTCATATTTTTCAATGACCTCAGCTCATTAAAAATTTTGAAACCTGCTTATGCTAGTCTCACAGAAAGTTTCTTGCCAGATAGGATCCTAGGCAGTAACATATCAGTTACTTAAGAGACATCAATATCTGGTTCTTCATTCCCGAGCACATGGAATACACTTCCTAGCTTCCTTAGGGCTAGGTGGGCCATATGACAAGAGAATATGAATGTGTGACATGTTACTTTTGAACTAGGGAGTAAAAAGCTTCCATGTAACTATTTAGGGCTCCTCTTGCCATGGCAAATGTAGGGTACATATCGAGATGATAGAGTTATAAGATTAACCCACACTGGTTTCTCAGAGTTCCTGCTTGAGATGGAGATGCTCTGTAGTTATAGGACTCATAAAAGATATTCCAAGAGCAAGAAATACTGTTTTATACACGAAGCCACTGAGATGTAGTATTTATTTGTTATTATAGCGTATGTCTAACTTTTCTTAGCTAATATTGGATCTTTCACTATTATTTCAAAATTTCAGTTTTGAAGGTCCCTATTCCAAATGAGTCATTTTTTCATTTTAGGGTCTTAAGATAATGTGGTAGGTTGAATAAAATTTGTGGTAATTTGTTACAGCCACAACAGGAAAAGTGATATAGATGTCGAATAGTACTTTTCCTTTCTCTGAACATTTTGAAAGTGGCTAAGGTATAAGTAAACTATGTCTTAAACGAGATTCCTCTTTCCTTCCATCTTTATCTAAATGTTAATAGTTAAGGGCTATAAGATGTGAGTTTTTTCTTCCTGTATTCTTTAACCCACTCATTCTTCCATGTTCATCTTACAGGCATGGATTTGGTTTCTTTTTTACTCTCTATAAAAAAGTTTCTTTCCTACTTTCAGTTCTGAATTATTTATCTTATCTTTCCTAATAAATTGGAACACAGAAATCATTTCATCAAGGCTTTCACCTTTTACGTGGTAAAAATCAGCTTCCATTTAATGTTCTCAAAACTGGTGATACACTTCATCAAGGAAGATAAACATAGCACAGTCTCTGAAGGTTTCTTCCCTGTTCCTTCAGTTTTCATACTTCTGGTAAAGGTTTGTAACTGTTATAGCTATCCATGACACCTGCTGTGAAGAAGTATAATGTCAAAACATCTGTTACACTTGTTTTCTGGTTCCAATTATGAGACTTATCAGAACTAAACTCCTATGCAGGGTGGACCCGTTCTTCGAGCAGCATGGGTTTTTTTTTTGCGTAAGTATGCATATTAACTATACTCTTGCTAGTTTCTGCAAACCTAGAGATCCTTAAACAAATATAAGACAATGACTTGAGAAAGATCGCTGAGAATATGGTAATTCACTGCTCCCTGCCACTTGATTCTTTCTGTGTTTCCAGGCAAACTGTCTATAATAAAACATTCTGGAGCCAGTCACTTTATTTTTGAGATGAGAAAGCAGAGGCTCTGATAACTGAAGTGACTTTCCCAATATGAGAGACGGTATACTGCTAATGGTTAAATACAAGGACTCTAGAGCCTGGGTTCAAATTCAGAGTCTGCCACTTATTACTAGCTATACATCACTGGGCCTCATTTTCCTTATCTGTAAACTGGGGATAATGATATCACTTGCCTCATAGTGAGGATTAAATTAGTAAAATTTAGAATAGATCCTGGCAAATAGAAAGCAATACATAAATGTTGATAACTACTGTGTTATGCAGTGAATAAATGATAGAGTTAGTATTAAGAAGTGATTCTGGTGCTCACTCTTCCCACTGTCCCACCCAAGATCTTTCAGTCAAATATGATATACTGGAATTGTTAGCACACTTTATTACTGAAAATACAACCGTTAAGTCAAACCTTTTTTTCCCTAGTTTTAGAATGAATTTTGTTGCTGTTGTAAAATAAGGCATTTTTAAAATAAAAAATCAAGCAATCATAGAAAAGCACAAAGAAAAACAATCATATCAAATCCTATCACTTGAAATATCTCTGTATGTATATGTACAACCAGAAGATGTAACTATATTGATGGATAATGTGATTGATCATAACATAATGCTGCTTTTTAATAAAAACTCAAATGAGTGTCCAAATTGATTTTTTTTTTTTTACCATAAAATCCTGGTTTAATAGTTTGCTTGAGAAATAGCACCACCATGGTATAATGAAATTTTCTCTGCTTCATGAGATCATAAAAAGGGCTTCATGTTCATCTTCATTTTGACTCTGTGGCTAATGAATAGATTTTCCTAATTCTAAAGACTAAATCACTTGAGTTTAGCTATACACATATACCATGTATATAGCTATGGTATCTTCTTCCATACTCTTTTTTGATACTCTCTAGTTCTAATCTATGTTTTGTTAATCCACTGTTAATCTATTTTTAAAAGACAACATGAATATTTTTAAAGCTCAATAAAATATCTCCAAAATGGCTTGTTCTTAACGGCTTCTTTTACAATGAAAGTTTTATTACGATGGTGGTAATAAGATAGGTAGTGCATAAAACTACAGGTTCCACATTTCCTTCCTTGACACAGTTTGAAAAGTCCCCTGAAAGGGCTTTGCTTTCCTGAACATGATAGCAAAACTGAAAATGTAGCCATAAGTATAATAAAGGCATGTATATACACATAATTTCACCGTGAAGTTATTCTATAAATACTTGCAATTCAGTACGTATCTGATTATATTTGTTTTATATATTGTATACCCACACCTATAAATCAGAGACATATGTTGACCTTTCTTTTTCCTGACAGCAATCATAATTCAATACTTTTCCAGAGGGCTACACGAGTCCTAAACCTGACATTTATATTTATTAATGATTTCTATACAGCCTAATTCTAATGGGTTTATGGTCTTGGCAATACTTCTAGCCTTATGTTGTCTTTTTGAAAATTAAAACTGGTCTCCCCTCTGGGTAGGCAAATGGATTGCAGTCTACATTTATTTCCCAAGTACCCCCTAATGCAGGGCACAAATTAGATAACTATATGATGAGTCTGGTAGATTAAAACAAAGATTTGGGATTTAAAAAAAATCTAGACCATCTTAAACTAAGAAGAGGAGCTAGCTGATGATATAGCAGATTTTATAACTCTCAGGAACTGACTTTGATTTTACATTTTTGGCAGCTATGGCAGAAAGATAAATATGTAGGGTTACATAGCCTTGTTTCCTCAAGTTCATATATATGTACCAAATCATCTGTATAAATGTACAGGCAAATTTTTCCTGGAATTAAACTCAAATGGAGATATTATTTACATCATGGAATAAAATACCTTGACTATCTACAGCTACGGTTGCCCGAAAGTCTCAGAAATGCTGTACAAACTGAAAATTCTTGCATTGATCCTAAGAACAGGAGGCATGACAGTAAACCATAACTCTATAAAGATGCATCTTTGTGGAGCTAAAAATAATGTAGTCATTTGCTTTCTGATTTTGCGAGTTATGAGACAGAATTTGGAAAACCTTTTTCAAATTTTGTCACATAACTTGTCTGTAAACTTTGTCTCATAACTTCGTCTGTAAAAATGTCCACTGGACTGTTTCTAAAACATGAGAAAGATGAAATGCATTTTGAGTAGGTGCTGGGCTGCTGTCAGATTATGCTTTGACCGCAGGTCTTGTGATGTATTTTCCAGATCATTGTAGCTGTTGCTGTAATGACACCAGTCTGTTTCTAAAAGTTTCTTTACTGGAACCATCTCTTCTGGAGTCAAGTTCTCCAGTAATTTCTACTACAGCAAATGCCCTAATTTACCAATGAAAGAAAATACATCCCATTAGCAAAAGCAAAACAGAAATCACACACCCTGGTCACGTTATCTAACTTTGCATATTTTTCTCATCTTTTACCTTGGGTGAAAGATGTATGTCTGTAGCTTTTGTACCAGTCTGTAAATTTAGTAATCTCTGCATTTTCTTGAGTTTCTTGTTTTATGGTCTTTGGAGTGAAAATTTAATATACTGCATATAAAGCAGAAAATCTAATTTTTCATTTGAATTTAGTAGTCTTGCCAACAATTCATCTGAATTTAACCTTATGATTCCAGTTCTTGTGTCTCAAAGTAATGTGTAGAAAAATATTACCTCTAATACTCAAAAATGGATAAAACAAATGTAAAAACAAAGTGATTTTTTAAAAAATCTGAAACCTCCATCAAAAAAGTATAGCACGGCAGGAAGCATCATTCAGCGAATTACAACAATTTTCTGTTCAGCAAAGCCATTTTAGACTATTTTTCTACTTTCAAAGGGAAAAGAAACTAGCCAAAGATACAAATTCTTCAAAATACTTGGTCTATATTTCATTATTTTAGAGCCCATTACTTATTTCCAATACAATTGTATTAAATACCACTTTGATTAACTTAACATTATTTAGTAATAATTAAATTATAATGTATTCTGTTTTGATGACTCAGTTATGTAAGATAAATTTGCAAAGGGCTCTAATCCAAGGTCAAACATTTAGAATGTCACGAATAAATGACAGATTGTTCTGATAACAATAATATAGCAAAGACACATGAAATTTCATTTTCAATAATGGCTCAGTAAATTTCTATGCAAGGAGAATGTTAATCACAGGGGAGAAACATAAACAACTATAACGTTAAAGATATATTGTCTCCTGGAACCCAAAAAGAGATAACTTATTGTTTTATTTCCTCTTATAAGAGCTAGCCAGGCCAATGCCATGCTATTCTATGGCTGTGTTTGCTGACCACCTAGTTCCTAGTTAAGTTACTATTTTGTATTCCAGAGCAGTGTCAGAGAAGTCTGAGGGAGAGAGGTAGCTATGTAAACAATCATAATTAGTGCAGTAAGTGCTATGAGAGAGTAATAAAAGGGGAAGCTAAACAATTTTTGGTAGAGAAATGGGGCTTGCTAAGGAAAATGAGGTCTAACTGGAACCTAAAGGAAATAACAAAGTGAGATGGGTATAGGATGCTCCAGAGGAAGTGAAAGTATGTTTAAAGTTGATGGAGCAAGAGAGGTATACTGGGAAAGGTGGGTTCAAAGGAAGGAAGCGATGACTTAGAGAAAATGAGAGCCAGCTGATCAGATAGATGCTCAGTTTAAGGCAAAGGGATGACTTAGAGAAAATGAGAGCCAACTGATCAAATAGATGCTCAGTCTAAGGCAGTGGTCCCCAGCGCTTTTGGCACCAGGGACAGGTTTCGTGGAAGGCAGTTTTTCCACAAACAGGGGTGGCGGTGGGGATATTTTGGGGATGAAACTGTTCCACCTCAGACCATCAGGCATTAGATTTTCGTAAGGAGTGCGCAACCTAGATCTCTCGCATGTGCAGTTCACAATAGGGTTCACACTCCTTTGAGAATCTAATGCGTTGCTGATTTGACAGGCGGTGGAGCTCAGGCGGTAATGCTCCCTGGCCTTCCGCTCACTTCCTGCTGGGCAGCTCAGTTTCTAACAGGCGAGGAACCCGTACTGGTTTAAAGTAAATATTTTTCACTTCTGAGTTCTGTGAAGTAACGGAACTTTTTCAATTCATGTTTACTACTGTTCCTGGAAATTTTATTCCCAGCCACATGGTTTTGTTGTTTTCCTATTTATCTTATAAGCGTGTTTCCATATTCTCCTAAAACTACTTACCTACATTACTCCTTTTTAAAGTAATCCTTTACAAGCTTTGTTTACTAGAATTTCCAACACTTGCCATTGTGAGGTCATACCACTGTGAGTTTCTTGATTGATATGAAATTTGTTTCTCTATTGGTGTAGGTATACAAAACTAGATTTGTTTGAGGTCCCTTCAGGATAATATGTACTCTCCAAGCAGTTCTTTGTAGTTCAAAATAAAGAAATTGAGAGCTCCTCATAAGATTTATAAAGACTCAAATAGAGCAGTTTTCTTCCATTAGAGGTGGGTTGGGGACCCCTGGTCTAAGGGATCAGACTGTAGGCGCTCAGAGAAGTTTAGGGTGTCTCATGCTCCAGATACTCTTTTATCTCTTCTCCCTCCCATCCCTATTACAAGTGAACTACTCTTAGTCTTGTACTCTTTGTAGTAAGGGGAAGAAGAGAAGAGCCATTTGTGAGAGACCTTTTACATTTAAGAGAGGCCTCAAATTTAGACTTTTAAATCATCATCTTTAAATAACGTTACACATATGGTCACAGAAACATTCACATAAGATTAGAGAATAAAAAGATGTCACAATTTTAAAACCAGGTTTTGCATTTTTTTTAATATATCAGAAAAAAGGAAAGTGACTTGACTATTATTTGGACCTTTTAGAGACCCTGATTGAACTAGGTTATGTGACAATTGCTAGCAATGGGTAAGACAGATGTAGTTTGGTCATATTTTACTCTCTTAAGTAATATTATAACTTAGGTTAAAATGCAGGTCTCTACATCTACATCATCTTTATTTGATGATCTTTCTAATCCTTAGCATCTCCAAGACCATCTTACACACTCATTGCTATTCTGGTACTTACAATGCCAAGCATCAAAGCCTATCGCTAGCCACTTGCTGGGTGAGAATACATACACACATACCCATACCAAAGCCCCATTTTGACTGTCTTGGCCAAGAAAAAAAGTATTTTACATAAGGAAATTATCCAAGTAACTGAGGGGTAACCCTTTGAGGAAAACCTTTAAAAGTTTTAACCACTTTTAGTGAAAAACTTTCTAAAATGTAGCACATACTTTCTTATACTCTTAAACAGAATGAAAATAGTATCCCAGTGTCCCACACAACTCTAGGAAATCATTATGAATAGAATAACTAAACTTTGGTGTAAGAGAGTTGATACGTCAGACTACTTAAAAGCAGGTTTCTTCCCACATGCTATCTGATGCTTTAAGAATCTTGTCCCTTTCCTTTACTGTCTTTTCAATCTTTTTAAAAAGCATCTTTGTTTCTTTTCTCTCTGGACTGCACCTTCCCTGACAGCCTTTTTCTAACTTGCAGATTAAAATCTATGAGAACCTGAAAACCAAATTTATGAGACTTATGCTTAAAGTAAAAATAAAGATGCCTCAAAAGAATCTCCTATATCTAAACTGTCAGTTTCAGTGCAGGTAACTGTATGGCATACATTTAGGCTTTAGAGCTCTTTCATGGATTAATTCCCATTCTTAATTATTCACTGGAGAGTTGGAGTTGCAGGATAATTATATCCCAGGTAAGTGAACTATTAAACAGATTATAAAATCTACATGCACCCAGTTAAGACAGATGCCCCTACTACATACTTAACCATCTATATATATATGTACAACATTTAAAAAAACCTATTAAACAAATACTTCATTGAAGAAGGAGTGACATGTAATTCAAAAATAAATACATTTTTGAGTATGGATGAAAAAATTTAATTTTTCTCTAGTTACGAAAGTGATTGGTCAATGGAAAAAAAGAACAAACTTATTTGGAACCTAACTAAAAATATCACTCAATATTTTGGTGTGTTTCACTAGTATTTCTCTGTCTCTGTCTCTCTCTCTCTCTCTCTCTCTCTCTATATATATATATATATATATGTATGTGTGTGTGTGTGTTCTCTTTGTATAGAACATACATGTTTGCATGTTTGTATGCACTGATACTTTTCAAAAAGTTACATCATAGATTCTAACATCTGGCCTGCCTTTTTCAGCTAGAAATATAGTGTGAATATTTTCTGCCAACAAATTTTCTTATGGCACAGGATTTATAATGGCAGCATTTGTATTCTACAAATGGGCATACTATTGTTTATAGAACTAATACTTGATTGTTGGATATTTTATCTTTTCAGGATTTAATTTTTTTCTTTTTTTGAAAACTATCATGAATGATGTTGCATGTCTGTAGTCTTTCTGCATGCCTGTAATTTCACAGAATATATTCCTAGACATAAAACAGCTGGGATAAAGTAAAGGCAAATTTGCATGGTTTTAGAAATATATTTCTAACTTACCGCCCAAAGGGGTTGTGCAATTTACACCCCCACTGCCGGCATATGCATGTCTGTTTTCCCATATCCTTATTCACATCGATTCATAGCATTCTTTTAAATTCTTGCCAATTTGCAGTACACAAGTATCTTATTTATTTTTATTCTGTATTTCTTTAATGACTATTCAATTTTAACATTTTTTAAATGTTAATTTTTTGTATATTAATAAGTTCAATTTGTTTTCAATTTTTTTTTGAGAAGTCTGAGTAATCACTTTTCTGTGACTTGCCTTTCATCTCCTTTACCCATTTTTCCATTCAGTTGTTTATTTATAATCTCTATGAATGGAAGTGGTCACTTATCACATATATTCTGTATTCCTCAACATTTTTGCCTCCATTTATTAATGCTTTAAAAAATACATTGTCTCTTAAATATTCCCTTATCATATTACTAAATCTTCTGATAGATTTCTAAGGCTCTTCTCTATTATTATTTTTTTAAATCTCCTTTGGATTTTCTCCCAGTCCATCAGGTCTGAGGTAATGACGCATACAACATAGCAAAGTCAAGTCTTGCCAATGCCATACTTACCATATGGAGCAACATATTAACCTCTGTGGTTCATTCTGTCAGTACTGCATCTCTGGCATATGGATATTTAAATCATTCAAATCGATGTGTCACTTTGGGGAAGAACTTTGTCTTTTGTGAGGCACACATAATTATACGATATATATGATGTCTTATAGGTACTTCATCCATGTCATGTCATACATGTCATATATGTTCATAATTTAAAAATTTTGCCATACAAGGAAATGTTACTGCATGTAGAAATAAACAAGACAGCTAAAACAATTATAATAATAACAGAGGAAATGTGGATAAATATGGCTAGAAGCATGTAAAAGATTAGTAGTTAATAATAATACTTGAGTCAGTAACTTTGGAATTTAGATATTTAACCTCTTTAACGCCAGCTGGATGAGGGGATTTCTACTTGTGCTCCCAAGGGGAGAAAGAGCTGGACCTGGTTCTCCACTTCACTGGTAAACAAATTCAAAAACACTAGAAAAGTGCTACCCAAGATATATATATATATATATATATATATATATATATATATTAGATAGATTATATATATATTAGATAGATAATATATATATATAAAATAGATAGATTATATATATATGTATTTTTTTGCTGCAAAATTCTGTAATTCTATCAGTCCCCCTCTCTGTTGTTTAAATTCAGACAATTAAAATGGAAAACTATATTTTATAAATTATCTTAATTTCATTGAGAAATCTCTACATTATATAGTTTTTTATTGGTTGCCTGGTATGTCATCTGTACGTATCTTAAAAACTGAATACCATAAGATGTAAATCACCTAAGTTTCTATCTCTATATTATTCATGCAAAATTCTGGGAGATTATTGATTTTTTTTTTAAATAATAACATACAGCTTATAAATTGTAAGATATATTTTCTAGGCAGCCAAATAGCTTCAATATTCAGCACATCTACTCAAGGCCTTAAAAAAAGCAAGTAGAAACACATTAGCATATATTTCCTGAGAAATGTAACATCAATGTGACAATAATAAAGTTCCAATAATAACATTCTATATGCATACAGCCTCCCTTCCACAAATCTGAAGCTTCCTGAATGATCTCAGAAAATGTTTTACCACACTTGAATAAAGATCTTCTTTTTAAAAAACATTTCTTTATTTTTGAATGTTAGATCTTGCTGGCAATCAAGATGCCTCCTAGTCTGCCTCCATCCAAAGATACTGCTTGATGCCAAGCAATGCAAAGCACAGAGTAATTTAAACAGAGGGGAGAAAAGTTGCGGGGGTTGGGGGAGCAAATTATTTACAACTCAGGCAAGAAAAAAATTGTAAAGAAAATATAAAACACTGAAGCACATAATATGTAGGTAAATTTAACTTCATAAAATGATATGAGAAAGTTTCTGTAATCATCCTTTTCCTTCCTCATGTTGTTGTAAAGCTTAGCAAAGAAGATGACTGTGCTATTTTGAAGTCTGGAGATTTCAAAGAGAGCATTTTCTTTGGGAATAGAGTCACTTTCTCTGCTTTGGCTGTGCAAGTCCAAGTGAGAGTCCCTTGTTCTTCAGGACATACTGGGTGAAGTCAGTGACTTTATGCATGTGCAACATTGGAGCTATCAGAAAGTTTACCAGGAAGGGAGAGAGGGAGCTTTGCTAGGCAAAGCTCTCTATAGCTGAGTTTGCCATGCATTATTAACACAAAGGCATAACTCTTAATTTGAAACATAACAATAAAGCTTAACTACATTTTCATAAAAAAAAAAACAACTAAAGAAATGAAACAATCCTGGTCAGATTTTTTTGACCTTGAAAAACAGAGAAAGGAGATTTGAAGGAGAAAAGTGGCACCACATATCTCTTCATAGCTTGAAGATTCTTCATAGATGGGAGGAGAAACTGTAACAAATTAAATACCACATTTATTCTCATGTTCTCCAATTTACTTGATTTGGAATTAGAATCAATACAAAAGATATTTGTATTTGTCCTCATATCTCCTAAGGTTCCTTTCTTGCTCCGAGATCCAAAAACCTCTTAAATGCTTTGGGTCCTAGGTCCATCCAAACAACATTTGGTAACATCTCTCTGGCCCTTAGCTACTCCAAGAATGGAGGGAAACTGGCTAGGTCCTGAAAAGGCCCTTGTGTTCTGGTTAGCTAAGTGTAGGAAAATCAAACCAAACCAAAGAAAACCCCAAAACAAGCCAAATGCACATTTCAGATATTCTCACTTTTAAAGATCGGAATGAGAATCAGATATAGGTGTATGTAGATACCATCTGATATACATAGATAATTGGAAAAGGCCATCTAGGTAAATGTAGATAACTAGAATTAGCATGCTACGGAGTGCAGGGCTCTGAGAGGATGCACTGTAATCTTGATTTCCATAGGAAGACTCAGATCTCAAGGAAGCCAGAACTCCAAGGCTGGCCAAGGACATCACCAATCCAGAATGCACGTTCACTGACTCCCAGTTGGTACTTGTTAAATATCTCCCACACAGCCTCTGAGATATAAGGAGCCTCTCTGATATCCAATTTATAAAATTAATCAATTTCTTGTTTACTTTTAAAAAAACCTATTGGTAAAAATGGTAAGAGGAAGAATATGAAGGATAAAATGAGCAGGGAAGTCGGGATTCAGAGTCCAGAGAGCTCTCTACCTTCAGCTATCTGAAACACCTTCACCAGGAAAATGGTTCCAAATCATGCTTTTGTGGTGAGTAATGGATTTGACATTTACATTATGGAAACACAGCAATAAACAAAATAAATTCCTTTCCTCATGGAGCTTAGACATTGGTGGCAAGAGCCAGTGTGTTAATGGCAATCAAGATGCCTCCTAGTCTGCCTCTATCCAAAGATACTGCTTGAAACTGAAAAACACTAGAAAGGTGCTGACCCCAAGATAGATATATATATATTTTATATAAATATATATATATTTTGCTGCAAAATTCTGTAATTCTTAGAAATTACACCTCTAGTCCCAGCTTGTAGGGAGACTGAAGTGGGAGGATAGCTTGAGCCTAGGAGTTCGAATCCAGCCTGGGCCACACAGCAAGACTTTCAAAAAAAAACAAAACAAAACAAAACAAAAAGATTGGTGGAAGACAAAAAATAAACAAGTAAATAAGTGGTACAATTTCTGATAGTTATATCTGTTTTTAGAAAAAATAGAGGAGGTTCGGGGACAGAGTATAATGGAGGTGGGGTGGAGACTATTTTCATGGGGTTCACGGATAAGGCCTCTGAGGAAGTGATGTCTGAAAAAGGGAGGAGATCTCTGAATTCTGAAATGTAAGTTACAGTTAGGCTGATAGAAAGGTCTGACATGAAAAACAGGTCGAGTGAAACAAAAACTTACACTGGATCCTAGTTAGGGTTCTGTTTTCTCCCAAATGTTTTTGCTTGTCCTTTCTTTAACTCAATACTCAGAGGCTGATTAGACAATCTATCTTTTAGGTTGGCAACAAGACAAGTAAATTTATGTGTCTAGAGTCAAGGACTTTATGGCATACAGTAAACTCTTTTCTCTGTGTAAGTGGATTGGGCTAGAGGAGTGAAGTATCTTGTTTCCTGATATAACTCTTCCTGATGCTCCCAAGATTGCTGCAAATGCTGACTCTGACTGTCCATGTTACTTAAAGGAATGACAGAGCTGCTAGCATTTTTCACTGACCCTGAACTCCTTCTTAATTAAACAGGAACATGTGACTCAACATAGATGGGTCCTTGCCTAAATTAAAGTGGCCAGAAGTGGTGCAAGGTTGCTGCTTTTTCCACAAAATAATCACATCTCATCTTCAGTGACAGGATAAAAAAGCGAAGACCCATTTTTCACTGGCTGACCATCAATCTCCCTAACATTGAAGAGGTAAAATTTTTAGGCTTCCTCAGTATCGTCTACTAGCTACAATCTACAATTCTAATACTCTGCATGCCTCACATTTTAATATAAAACACAACCTTCCACAGAAGAAGGAGTTCAATGCTAAAATATATACTGACTTGTCACTGAGAGGTCTGCTGTTTCCATTTTTTCTATTTCTATGTCTTTTTTTCTGTTTCTTTGTTTGTCCTCTTCTGTTAGTCAAATTTGCCTTTGATGCCTTTGGCCAAATCTCCCTCCAGAGTTCCTGCAAACCATACCATATACTGTATATGCTCTCTCTATAAATATTTACTTTGGATCCGTGGTACCTAGCACAGAGTCTGTCGTACAGTGGTTGCTTAATAAATGTTCCTCAAAAGTATGCCTTTCTTTTCACTTCCCTCAAGCATGGCTCTTGTTATCTTAATTATAAAAATAAGTTTTATAGTCCCTAGAATCCTACCTCTTTGATGAAAATTTTCCAGATGGAGCCTGCCTGTTTGTATATTTCCTACACCTGTTCAGTGGCTCACCATCAAACAATACATCCATCATTGTCATTTATATAATAAAAACATTAGAGAAGGGAATTAGGGTCAGATTATTAGAATTAAGCAAAGGAAGTGGAACTGAGTTTTCAAATGTTCTAATATCGACAACTTAATTATTATTTTTAAATCTCTTTGTAACTCACATTAAAAGCAATTCTCAGAAAACTCCCATTGTGTAAATAATAGAACATGAACAGGTTTTTATGGCAGTCTCTGTATCCTCCTTCCCACTCTATCTTCACCCTCTTAAATGAGATTATGAATGCCTTTTCTTCCTGAGCCCAAAGTTACTATGTGAAGGGAGTTGATAATGCTCACGGAAAATTCAGTGGTACTAACAAACCAGGAAAAACGGACCTTGGAATCCACACTCTGGTGGCCACACTGGGAAGAACAGGCCATGAAGTCCAAGGCCTCTCCCACTTGATGTGTCTGTAGGCTTTTATGCTGGTGGTTTGAAAACCACAATAAACCAGGCAAACTGTTCTGAAACCTACACTCCATTGGCATAGCAAATAGAATTGGAAGTTTGGTAGTTATATTATTGGTTACAAATATACAGTATCTCTCTCTGCAGGAGGATTACATATCTCCACCACACTGAATGCAGGCATGGCTGTGTAACTTGACTTAGTCAGTGAAATTTGAGCAGAAGTGATGACTGTTACTTCTAGGAAGTAGCTTTCAGAGCCTGCGCACAGCTTGGCAAGTTCTCTGCCTCTATGATTGTGGAAGTAACTGACTCTCCATCTTCCAGTGTCCCTAAGTCGCTACTGTGCCCAGAGCTCCTTTTCTGACACATGGTAGCAAGAAATAAACTTAGCTGTGTTTAAGCTCCTAACATTTTCATGTTGTTTGTTACTACATCTATCTGTGTTAGCCTAACTGATACAGAAGTCAAAACTTTTCTAGCTTCTGTGGTGGCTGGAATATGAGGGCCATTTGCAGTTAGTCTGCAGTACCACCTGTGGCTTTTCAGTTTAGTGAACCACCAATCAAGCCCAATGCAGAGGAAAGAAAGAATGCTGCCTTTATCTTCAAGTATTTTATCATAACTTAAAGCTCTTGTGAGCTTTTCTTATTCCTAATATTTCAGATATTCATGATAAAATAAAATATTGTTAACATGGCTTATAAAAAATTGAGAAAGGAAGTTGAATTTATATTTTCAAAAAAGGAAATCTTTGTTTTCTCCTGAAAAAGGCCCTCCCTAGTATTCTGTAGAGTTCTTAACATTAGGTATACAAGGTAAGAGGGGCCACCTGTACGCCCTCTGAAGGTGCTGACCTGGTTAGGCCTCCATTAAGTCTTATACTTGAATAAAGACCTCAGAGCTGCTCACATGTTCCTACAAGTTTTCTAAGTCTCTGAACATGGTATGCTCGAGATATGGAAGAATAGGAGCTACTGTGGAATATGGGTCCAGAATTTTACCTTGGAAGACTTCTCAATGGACTCTGGTACTTTGTATATTGGGGGCAATAATGACTTATGAGGGGACTGTTCTTGCAACTTCACTTAAATGATAAAGGATTTTTATGTCTGTCACATAACAATCTCTTCCCTCCCAATTCATTATGATTTAAATATACTCCACCCTATTATCAGATGGCTCAGACTATGAAAGGCATTTTTGTGTATTAATAATGTCTCCAGTTACAAGGCGTAAGGCTAAAAATTTTGCTATCATTAGCAGCATTACCAAAGGAAAAAGCATTTGAAGTCCAAGACTTTCATAAGGGTAGCATAAAACACTGAAATCATTTTAACAGGCTTTTGTATTTAGTAATTTTTTTTCTTTCTTGCTTCCTTAAAAGTCATTAATAGCTTTCTGATGACAATTTTAAAAAGCCACATTTTCTAGCTACATAGGTCTTTCCTAATTTTGTTTTTCTATTTCACGGGCTCATAGCAACACACCACTGATCATACTCTTACAAATGATAGCCAAACTTTTTTTCCATGGAATGCAGATGAAAAACTTGGCCAATAAGAGCACAAGATGTACTACCTTATAAGCAATGCTGTGGTTAGATGCCAATTCAAGATGCTGTTAATGGTGCTTCAGAAAGGATATGTTTTGTACTGTTTCTTTATTTGTATTTTAGATATGATTTTAGTTTAGTACAGGTAAAATTCTGTTATACTGGAATGTATTCTTTTCCATTTAAAGCTTTATTTGAATTAAGAGCCACTCAAATAATCAATTTTTAATATAATAAGCATATGTTTTTTGTGTGCACAGAATTTTAAAAAGGCTTAATTTGCTAGTAGAAAAAACTAAATACTTTGTTCACTGTAATATTTCACATTATACAAGGTAGAATTGTTTGTTTACTAGGCACTAAAGATATTCGCAATTTGAGCTTTTTTGGGAATCACAGGAAAATGCTTTGGCTTTTATTTCTGATATGGTTCAATAACATACTTGCCAGTCAGTAATTGATAGCAGTATACTGTGTTTAATTCTATTTTTTTTTATTGCAATCCATCTAGCACGGTGTAGATCCTGTCAGCTAACTGGCTGCCCATCTTCCTAACCAATACTTACTTCAGCCAATGTAAAATTGAGATGTTTTCAATCAATTCTTATTCCCAGATTGATTCATCAAAATATTAAGCATTAGGGCATGTCAGCAAAATGTGTGTTCCCATATTAACACATCATATCCAGAAGAAAACTGGGGGTTTGCTTTCATAACAGGGGATATAGTAACTACAATTTTCTGCTGACTTGCAGAAAACCTCTAAATCTTAATGGGCAAAAAAGTGAAACAAAAACCAGTCCTGACATCTGAAAATGAAGTCATAGTCAAACTATATTTTCTTAAAAATGCTCTCTTTTAGCATTTTTTCTTAAAAACTGCTATCTTTTAGCAATGTCCCTAGGTTATAAAGAAGGAGAAGTAGCAGGAGAATGGCTTGGAACCGGGAAGTGGAGCTTGCAGTGAGCCGAGATCGCACCACTGCACTCCAGCCTGGGCAACAGAGCGAGACTCTGCCTCAAAAAAAAAAAAAAAAAAGAAAGAAAGAAGGAGAAGTAAAGACATAGGCCCTGCCTTTTAGGGGTACAGGGTGGGGGTGGGAATCTTCTGCAGGGTTGACAGCAAGACAGACTCAGGAAGGAGTCTGTGGAAGACAAGGAAGTGATTTTGATAGACAATATTAAAGAAAAGACCTGAGACTCCTATATACCATCCTTGAATCACTTAGCTCCGCTGTGTTCCTTTTGAGCCTCTCTCAATGTTATACCCTCCACCCCATATTTCAACTAGACTGTTCTGGCTTTCTCTTCCTAGATGTCCTACAGGTACCTCAAATTCAACAAGTCCAAAAGCAAATGTCAAATCTTTGTTCCCTCTGAAACCTGCTCTTAACCCTGTGCCCTATGTCTTAATTCATAGATTGCCATGGGCCCTCTACTTCTGTTAGAAATGTACTCTCAATATCTTCTTGGATTCTCCCCTCTCCTTTACCCTGTCATATCAAGAATTTGTATTTATTCTATTTCTGAAAATGTTTTTGAATTCAACTATTCAACCCCTTCCTTGGCACTCATACTGCACGTGACATAGTTCAAACCCTTATCATCTCTTTCTGGAATAGCTGTAATAGTCTCCTAACTGCTTCGAGAGGGTAAGTGACTTCACAGCCCTCAATCTGTGAAACATCAGATGGAAACACAAGGATAGCTGACTGATATTAAAATAGAGTGAGAGGAACTAGAGAAATCAAGAATTTTTGAGGCAATAACATTTCTTCAAACAAACAAAAATAACCCAGAAGGGGTTGGGGAGAGTAACTAAGTCTAAGGCCTTTAGCTGACATTAAGGTCTTGAATTTTTCTTTTATATTTTAAACTATTTAATTGACAAGGGTGAATATATCCAAGGTGTATAACACGATGATTGGATATATGTATATACTACATAATGATTATCACAAATTAACACACATATCACCACCCATGCTGTACCTTGGATTCCCAGAAACTGTTCATCTTATAACTCAAAGTTTGTGTCCTTTGACTAACATATTCCCATTTCCCCTACCCCTGAATTTCTCTTCTAACATCTTTTTACTGTCTTTGATAATTCCCACTACAAAAAAAATAAGATAATAATATGAATTATGAAACATCCTGAACACTGGCAAGTATCCCTTGGTAATCTGAAGAAACATTTTCCTTTTTTGCTGAATGGAGAGAGTAATTCTTCATCCTCTTTCTCCCACCCTCCTTTTCCTGTACATGCTTTGTTCCAGCCCTACATATGGCATTCTCTCCTATAGTTCCTGAAGCATGAGTCTCTTTAGTTCCGATATGACAGAAAGACTTCAGGCTTGAGCTGCAATGCAGGAAACTGGGAAGACCAAACCAGTGCATTAGTTAAAGACTAGAGCTAGAGAGTAGGCCCAGTACATCTTGCGGGAGAAAATAGGCCAGGATAGCATTCCCAAGTTAAATCAAGACACTAGCTAATGGGTCTGGGTAAGTCCATAAGAAAAAGATTAGAATTAACCATGGCAGAAACCTCAAGCTCTGAAGATTGGAGTGGGACTGAAAATTGGTTTTGATGTCCTTTATTGCTCCTTTTCTCACTGGGTTGAAGCCACAGGGGTACTACAAAAAGGTATCCATCATTTATGGGCCTTTTGCCAGATTCAGTCTCTTACTAACACCAACCCGCCTATCTTTCTACCTTCGTTTGTGGCTCCTTTCCATCAGACATGAGTTCTTTCTCTTTCTGGTACCTGTGCATGGGAGCTTGTTAGATCACTTTGTAATTTATGAGCTAGATTTCCCCTTGGATACTATCTTGAGTTCCCCCCTAGGACTTTATTCTCTACAATTGGAAGCCAGTCTTGCCCTACTTCTTATAGTTCCCCAAGTTTCTAAAATCCAGACCAAGGTTAGTGCCTTAGCACAGTCTTTGGTGATATGTGAATAGAGAAAAACAGGCCTGTCGGGAAAGCTGGTTAGGAACAAACATGGCAGAACTATACAGCTTTAGTAAACCCTAAGGGAGAGTCAATGACTGCATGGTATGTGGACCCTCTGATTGGTACATAGTTGAAGAAGAGACAGAGCAGCCTCTTGTCCATCCTTTTTTCTTCTGGAAACCAAGGGTAAAGTCTTACAGTAGGATCTAAGATTTTGCTGTGTAGAAAAAAATCCTTTCATGACTTACCCTAGGTTGGATGTTTCCTTCATCTCCCCCTTTCCTTCACAGAGCCTAATGAACAGATGAGGTAACCAGTTTATAAAAGCCACTGACATCAAGACACAACGAAAAATATTTCTTAAGTAAACTAAGAGACTTTGGGAAATGCTATTTTAACGCACAGCACTAGTTTATACAGACAAGTTGTATAGCCTGTATTATCTGAATGTTACATTAGGATAAGGCTTCTTTGCTTCAAATTGATGATATCAAAATTGCTTTTACACCAATAAAAAATACTTCAGGTTACCTGAGTAATTATCACAGAGTTGGGAATTTACTTGTTTTATACAAATGCCATAGTGGTTAAAGCTTGGACTAGAGACTCATGTGTCTCCAGTATTAGCTAGTATTAATAAGATTTTGATTCATAGAATTTATAAATGTGAAGAGGTTTTGCATGGTAGTGAAAAAAAAAGCCTAGATCTGAAGGTAGAAAACCTTGAATGAAGCTCTGAAAACACATGTATCTTCACTAAATCTATGTTCTTTAATCTATAAAATGGTGATAATTACCTCACTAGGCTACTGTGAAGATCAAATGAAAATCTGTATATGAAAATAATTTGTAAGCTATAACTAGCTAAAAAAATGTAGTTCCTATCATTATTCTCAAGATTGTCTTTCTAAGCAGTACAGATTAAAGAATAACTGTGAGAAATATGAAATTACTTTTATATGATATTTATGTGCTACCCATACTTGGAGACATTTCTAAAACATAAAACCAGAAAGGACTCAATTAAAACACGATTTTTTATATATGTATTCTAACTATTTAAAAATTCTCTTATGCTTTAAGTTATCTCCTGTTCAATCCTTTTTTTATTGTTTTTATTTTATTTTTATTTTTTATTTTTAGACGGGGTCTAGTTCTGTCACCCAGGCTGGAGTACAGTGGCGTGATCTCAGCTCATTGCAACCTCTGCCTCCTGGCTTCAAGTGATTCTCCCACCTCAGCCTCCCAAGTAGGGTTCAAGTGATTCTCTCACCTCAGACTCCCAAGTAGCTGGGATTACAGGTGAGTGCCACTACGCTCGACTACTTTTTGTATTTTTAGTAAAAACAGGGTTTCGCCATGTTGCCCAGGCTGGTCTCAAACTCCAGACCTCAAGTTAACCAACTGCCTTGGCCTCCCAAAGTGCTGGGATTACAGGCATGAGCCACTGTGCCTGGCTCAATCTTATAGCAGTATATGCTTTATGGGTAGACCTGGGATGGCCCGGGCCAAGCAGAAGGAAGTAAGGTCATACAGAAAAGCTTTACAAAGAGTTGCTTTTGCTTTCTTTTCTGTTTTTGAGCGCTGGTTATTAGAACTTCACCTTATAGTAGCAGAAATCACCAGAAACAGAGAAGTGTCAGCCAAAGGCAACTGGACTGGTAAAGTCAAAGGAATAAGGTCAAAGGGTAAGGAATCAGGCCAATTTACAAAGAAATGGGAATAAGACAGGCTTAGAGTGGGAGTCCTGGATTACTGGATAATAGTGGTCCTTGTTTTTAGAGAGTTTTGGTGAGTTGGGGAGGCTATAGTCTATTGCCCCCAAAAGTCTTGTTTCCCTTGTTCAAACCCTTTCCAGGGTTCCATCTGTATTTATAATACCCAAATTCTTCTGCATGACATTAGGTTGAACCATTTGAAATTACCAATATGTAACCATTGCGACTTGCAAAAATGTCAGTTACATATGTCTAATTAAATACAAAAAGCCCCACACTATTAAGAGCGTAAACTTGGAGCCAGACTGCCTGGGTTCAAAAGCTGGTTCTGCCCTAAGTCACTTATATGATCTGGAGAAAATCACTTAACCTCTCTGTACTTCAGTTTCCTCATCTGTAAAAATGGAAGAATAATAATTGTACATCCTTCAAGGATTTTGTGAGGATTAAGTGAACGAATATACATAAGGTGCCTAAAACTGTGTGGTACAGTAAATGCTGAATAAATGTTACCTACCATTATTATCATCCCTCCAGCTTTATCTCCAACCATTTCCCCACCTGTCTTGACTTTGTGTTCCACAGGTATCAACAATGTATCATTTCTTGAACATCTAATGTAGATAATTCCATTTCTGCTTAGTATGCTCCTTCCTATCTTTCTTTACCTGGGTCATTCAGCAATGCTTTTCTTGAATATTGATTATTATACTAGGTTTTAAAGAAATATTGGTGAACAAAATATACACGGTTTCTGCCCTTACGAAGATCACAATCTCATGGGAGACACATCTGCTGTTTAAAGACTGTTGGTTACTACTCATTTGGACAAAGACTCTTTGCCTTAGCCATGTCCCCTACAAAGCTATCCTAGGCAGAGTGAATCATTCTTCCTATGTATTAATCATGTTTCTAGGAACATACTTTTATAGTATGAGTGCACTTGTTTCAATTATGCATTTACATGCTGTTCCTGCTTCCAAAGCAGATTGTGAACTCATCCAGGAGAGAGACTATATATCCCTCTTCTCAGTGGTTTTAGTGTCGAGCAGAGTTCCTTGGCCGAACTGCTCTTAATGGAAGCACAATCAGTCACTAGCTGGTTGTAGTGGCCAACCAATTACCCAAGTTAAATCTGTGTGGGAGCCACCTTTCAAACTTAAAAGAACAAAATCTAGTTTTAATTGCTTGTTTAGGACAGGCCTCTAAAGCAGCTGGGGTGGAAGGAGTATAATCATATCAGTATGCTATTTAAAAATAATTTTTAATAAATGACAAAGAAAAACCTTAAGATTATAAAACCTCTTGATGTTACATTTCTATTTCACCCTTTTAATTTTGATAAATACTGTAAAGGAAATTAAATTTATCTTTAAAATTTGAAACTTTATGTTTTATATAAAACTCTAACATTGACTGGGATATTTCCTGTTCTGTGTTTAGTTTTTAAAGCACAGCAGACTAATCAAGTCACAAAATATTACATAGTATGGAACTTTTCTTTGGGTATTCGAGCTTTTATTATACCAACACAATGGAATATTTTTAATATTCATTTACTTTTTCATGCTTCAACTTCACAGGAAAATGAAATCAATACAGGAAACATTCTTTTATCCTTTCAAGTAAGAGAAATAAGATACTTAGGAACTAATGTATTTCTTTAAAAATAGAAAAATTATTTATCTATCATCACAACTTAGGAAGAGAGAAAAATTATTCCTGATGTCTTAGTCAAACCCTTCAGCTATCGTCAATAATTAAGGATACAATTATTAATCAGAGGTAAAAAATAACATCTGTGATTAAAATGCTAGTCTTTAAGAACAAATTTTGGAGTTGAAATATATTTTTAATAACTATCAGCAACATTTGATGCAATCTTTTACACCAAATTTTGTTTATAGGCTTTAAAAGAATGCTGGAAATGGCAGACACTAAAGAGAAACTAGTTGACTCATGGGAAATACATAGAATATAGTTTTGTTACATAAATTTGGATTTAGGGAACAATTATCACATAAATGGAGAAGATACAGATAACAAATTTTTCTTGACATGGTCTTGCTTCAACTTTCAATTTTTCAAATAGTCAAATGTGCTTTCTTTTTTATCCCAGAGATACAGGTAACTGTTTTTAAAACCTTGATAATTATGCAGTGCCTTATAAAATTTCTGCCATTTAAAACTGTGAATAAACAAATATTTTTAAAAATATTGCCTTTACTAACCTTTTTAAATTTTTCAAGGAAACCAGCCAAATTCATCATACTATTATCATTTATAAATATTTAGAAATAAGTCCTGAAATAGCTAACAGAGTAATTTTGGCTGTTACTTTACTTGTTTTTGCTGCTGCTGCAAGTTGAATTTTAATAGTTCAGACAAAACTTTTCTGTTTTTCTGTAAGTCACATTATCAAATTTTCTAGCATTGTTTGCATATCTTCATGATAGTGTTTCTCTCCTCTAAAAGGAACACTTTCTGAAATGAAAGCCAGGAACTTATTGACTGACTTATCTCCTACAGTCACTTTCAAACTTATCAATTTATGATATGCACTTTATCAAGCTAGATAACCCTCTGCCCAAGAACATACTAACATTTACTTTCCAATAAAACCGAAAGTTACAGTATGACAAAAATCCCAACTTAAATACTATGAACATCTTCTACAATGACTTATACATGTTAGGAATCATTTTGGAAACTACATATGAGGACACATGCTTTGGTTATGCAGCAACAGGCTTCCCTCCACACAGCACCCTTTCTATCTGCCCACAGCTCTTCTCTCAACTGCTGTACATTCAGTCTCTGCTCCTGATTTGTTCTTTATTTCAGTTCTCTACTAAGAGGAGCCTGAAGTCTATCCTCAATTCCCATCAGTTGGTTTGGGCTCAGATGATGTGACAGTCCCTTTTCACCAGGTGCTGCCATCTGG
Source organism: Homo sapiens (assembly GCF_000001405.40). NCBI lineage: Eukaryota > Metazoa > Chordata > Mammalia > Primates > Hominidae > Homo > Homo sapiens. The sequence goes on along the minus strand of NC_000005.10, from coordinate 109,132,770 downwards.
GCTATATTCCAAATTGTCAGCATTCTTTTTCAGTCAGTATACCACCCATCCTCCAAACCTCTACCCAGAGATCTGTATTCCCCATAGATTGTCTGAGGCCTCTTGGACATCAACATGAACTTGAACTGGACTAAAGGGTACCTGTTTCCTCAGACACTAGGCATTAGATTTTGGCCTGATGGTCTCCTGTCCTGGGATCTAGGCCTTTTAACAGTCAAAGTAGAGCAGACCTTCCTTCCCTGCCTCCACCTGTTTCTAGCACACTCTTCTCCCATCCTCACAGCAGAACCTGCTGGGGTTGAAGTTCTAAGTCTAAATTTCACTAGAAAGACTATAATGAAGGAATTTTTGTTTTGTTCACTGATGCATCCCAAGTTCCTAGAATAGCTCCTGCCACATAGTAAGCACTCAATAGATTAAATGAATAAATAAACTGAATGCCTTAGCTGTATTTTAATTTTAGTTGCCCCTTTTCAGGAATTTCCTCTTTCTTATATTTTTCTTATGGAAAAAGATTGAGAAATCACAGCCCATAATATCAGATGTGATATTTGGCTTAGTACCGGTTGCCTATTTTGGTTTTATTTTTGGGAATTGGGTAATTTTTAAGTTTGTGAAGATGCCCAGCATTTAGATCCCAATGCCGACAACAAAGTATTTGGTTGTTTCTTTAGAAAAGATAATAATATTGATGATAATAAAAGTAACTGCTTGTTGCATATTTACTGTAGACACATACTTTAGGTACATTTATCTCATATAATTCTTGCAACAACTTTATGAGATGGGTAACATATAGATGAGATTGAGAAGATGCTGGACAAGTAGCAAAGCCTGAATTTTAACTGGATCTGTCTGACAGCAAAGCGGTTTTAATTTACATGTCTGGCTACTGTAACAAGGAGTATGCATGATACTAACATGGCTAAACAATGATTCCTAGGCCCTTAACCTAATAACAAAACTATTAGCTAAGAGCACATCAGAAAACAAATATGGATTATTTTCTGTTCTTAGCAACAAATACCATAATGGCATATGATGGCTGCTCAGTTACTATTACTGACAAACTAAAAGCACTCATCAGCATTATTTATAACATCAGTTATGTGGGGAAAAGATATCTCACACACCCAAAAAATAAATACATTACTGATCTCATCTTTCCTATTAGAAGAAAAATTGAAATATTAAAAGAAAAATTGAAATAATGTAAATGTTAAAATTAATGTTCTACATTTTAGATAAAGAAAGCTTAAGGTAATTATCATAACTAATATTATTAATGCTAAAGCTCATTATATGATTAATATTAACCAACTATTGTCTGTCTCCACTGAAGATCACAGGGGAAAAAATCTTATGCTACAGCAAAGGATTATTAAGATTGACAGGGAAGAACTCAACAGCTGTAAAATTTATTCAACAAAGAACAAGGTTGTATTAAGGAAGGCTGATAAATCTCTAATCCTTAGAGATCTTTAAAAATAAAATCAGCAATCAGCCATATTCGATGGCTTAATCTAAAGCTCAAATAAATGAACAGTTGAGGTCTTTCAATTTCTACTGCTAAATGCTAAATAATCCTACAATTTTGAACTTGTGAGACTTAATGTGAAATATCTCAAGAGATGATTTACCAGAAAAAAGTTCTTTGAAGTAAAAAATCAGTTTCTCTCTTCTCTAACTTCCTTGCGACAAACATATATTGAGTGTCTTCTATGTCAGAGATATAAAGCTGAATAAAACATGGTTACTATGTTGAAGAGCACACAATTTAAGAGATGAGTATATAAATGAAAAGTATGAAGTATAAAACAGCAAGTGATATCACAGTTAGAAACTGCAAATAAACTTGTTTGGGGAAGCAAATTCAAATATTAAAATGTTTATTAAATTCCAGGCACTGTATTAGGCACTGGAGTAAAAAGGATTCCCTTGTCCTCACAGAGCTTACAGTCTAAGGCTGTGCTGTTTGGTATGGCAGCCACTAGCCACATATGATTGCTGAACAGCTGAAACATAGCTAGTCCAACTGAGATGTGCATAAGTAAAAAATACACACCAGATTTTGAAAATTTCTATGACAAAACAACGTAAAATTTATCAACAGGCAGCAGGTGGTCAGAAAAAAAAACGTAAAATACCTCATTAACAAATTTCACACTAATTGCATGTTAAAATGATAAATTTTTCATGTATCTGTATTGAGTTATTATTTAAACTAATTTCATCTGTTTATTTTTATATCATTTTATTTTGTTTCTGTTTATATTTTTAATGTGGCTACTAAAAATTTTAAAATTACATATGTAGTTCATACTACATATCTTGGACAAGGCCAATAGGAAGTACAGACAAATTAACAGAGGACTATATACACTATGGCATCTTTAATAAGTGTTATGATAGTGTAGTACAACAGAGAAGGAAAATACAGAAAAGCCTTCTCAGGGGAAAACTGGTTTCTCTTAAACATCAAAATGTGAGAAAAAAATCAATTAAAACTCAAATTATTATATGTCACATATTAAATGCCAAATTTTCCATTAATCAGATGTATTTTCACTATAATATTTACTATGGGATAAAAATCTCTAATCATCTTTTAAATCATTTTTTAAAAATGGGATAGGTTTTGTAAAACTATAAAGGTATTTCTACTCTGAATCACTATGAAAGGAAGCATAAGTATAAATGTAAAAAAAAACCTACGCACAAGTATTAATACATTGTCCTTCTAAACTATTCATGTATAAATATGAAAATGCAAATTTATTTTTATAAAATTACAGCATACTACAACTATTATTTGGTATTGTTATTATTTCTCAATAGTAAAAGTAGGATCTCATATATGTGAGATGTAGGATTTTCCCAAAAATTTGTCATTATAAACAACAATATGATGGGCAACTAAAAACACACATATTTGATGTTTTGATTATTGCCTTAAGACAAACTCTTAGGAGTTGAATTGCTGTGTAAAAGGGTATGCATTTTTAAAGACGTTTGACACATTTCAATAATTCCTATACGAAAACCTTGTACCAATTTATACATCTGCCTAGAGCATATCAGAGTATGTTCTAAATGAACTTACTGTTCGTGTTCTTTGCTCATTTTTATATTTGTTTTATTTTGTTTTGTAAGAGCTTTTTATATCATGAAATATTAAAATTTAGTTTATCGAATATGTTTCAAACCCTTTTATCCAGGTTTCTAGGTCATCATTTAACAGTGACTGGTTGATTGTTATATGGAAGTAGAAAGCAGTGAAATAAAAGTACAAAGAGTCTTGGAAATTCGAGGAGGTTTTAATAAAATTACTATATGATACAGGACTTCAATATACCATTTTAGGATTCAGAACAAGTTAAAGGTAAACAAGTATACATAGATATGAAAAGTTTTAGAATAATTAATGGGAAAATTAAGATGTATGTTTGTGACACGAAACTCTTAAACTGTAACAAATTTTCCATATTCTCCAATAACTATTATTCAAACAGAACAAACTGCTGAAAAAGTAGAATCATTTATTAAGATTCTCCACCCGGAATTCATTTTGTTATAAGATAAGGTATGAGTATCTGACTTTATTCCTCTGCCACCACCCCAGCTCTACCACCAATAGTTACATAATTGTTCCAACACCATTTATGTACAATAATTTAAAGTAATCCACTGATTTAAAATATCATTTTTACTGTATTCTAAATCTTTATCTATATATTAGTCTATTTCTTAACAATATACTATTTCCACATACACTAAAAATAGTTCTCATTTTTACATATATCCATGTCTACCCACTGTTGCTTTAATTACTATAGCTTTATAAAATGTTTTAACATATACATGGGAAAGTTCTTTTTCATCCTTCTTTATTTTACAATGTTTTCTCAATTTTTGTGACATATTTTTCCAGACACACTTTAGAATCATTTTGTGAAGTTTTCCAACAAAAACTTTAAGTTTTGAAAATATATTAAATGTATGCTCCATATATTAAAATAATAACTCATTTAAATTTACATAATATGTGTATTTATTATTTTAGGTACATTGACACCTACATACTATAGAAATTTATGCTTGGTTAACCTATGGGTATTGCTGAATAGTAGTGTGAACATCTTAATACAATCCCCATTCTGCATTGCTACACTGGGGCTTAAACACATGATGAGAAGTGCATGCTACAAGAGAGTAAACACCAGAATGATGACAAGCTGTCCTCCTTTTCACTGATTTTTATTAGGTAACTCCCAAGTATGAATTAGAAATATCATCACATTACTGAGACTAAAGGCAACTGTCTAAAATCACATATTGATAGTAAAAGTGTTTATTGTGAATGACTTACTTAGAAGACTTATTTTAGGTTCCCAAAACTTACAATTGAAAGTTGTCATAAATATTTATAGTATGCCAAAACTCATTATTACACTTACAAATGTGAGAATCTGGGAACTGAAAGAATACTATTTCATGATTAAGAAATAGTTCTCAGTATGTCTCTCATTAAAAAAAAAAAACTTGTATATCTCACAAAGGTATGATGCTACTGACTTGTGTGATCAATCACTGGGTAAGGAAGGAGAGGGTAGGAAAATATATTTCTTTTTCATGGCTAGGATAAATTTAACCTTCAACACTGTAGCTGCTCAGCACCACTTTTACATTCCACATCTCAATTTAAACGCTAAATCAAAGACTTATAAAATTTCTGATTAACGGTTTTCAACAGAACTGGTAAAAGTTAAAATCAAATATGGATAAAGCAGTACTGTAAAAACAAGATAAAATAGTTGGTCTATAAACAGTGTTTATACTACCAAAACTAGCAAGAACATAAATTAGAATTTCAATATTATGAAAAATAACTTTTAATTACAGAACACATACATTGATTTTCAGGAGCCTACTTCTGAACATATGGCTGATTCTGGGTCCCTAGTAAAATGTAAAAATTAAGTTTGAACATAAAAATATTTTCATTTTTAATGACTCCTAATATAGTTAATTAGTAATATTTTTCTAATCTTTAAAAATAAAAATGGAGGCCAAGCACGGTGGCTCACGCTGTAATCCCAGCACTTTGGGAGGCCATGGCCGGTGGATCATGAGCTCAGGAGATCGAGATCATCCTGGCCAACATGGTGAAACCCCGTCTCTAATAAAAATACAAAAAAAAATTAGCTGATGTGGTGGCGCGTGCCTGTAATCCCAGCTACTCAGCAGGCTGAGGCAGGAGAACCCCTTGAACCTGGGAGGTGGAGATTGCAGTGAGCCGAGATCACGTCACTGCACTCCAGCCTGGCAACAGAGCGAGACTCTGTCTCAAAAAAATACAAATAAAAGTAAAAATAAAAAATAAAAATGGAAACACAGTTGAGGCACATATTATATGAACATTAATATAGTTATTTGAGGTAATAAAGACATACAATACACACAGAGACACACTCTGAACTCTTTACTATATGTTCTAATGAAATAGTGTAAATAATCCCCAAAGGTGGACAGTTTTAAAATAATGGATTTTTGTATTGGTATTCAATACAGATATATGACAAAGCCCCCAGAGTAACTCTATATTGAAAGATAATCCATGGTTAGATGGAAGTGCATACAATAAATGCCAATACATATTTATAACATGTGAGAAATAATCTTGGAACGTTCCCAACACAAGAATGTAGCAGTTAGATTTCTTTGTATTGGAAATACGTGATTTCATGAAAGGCTAAGATAGAGCTTATTATAGCCTTTTCTGCTGGTTGGTAAATCCTGAATAACCTTTGTAACACAGCCTGGAAATTTGTTCTCCCTAATCTTCACATCGCTAACTCCCTCAGTGCTCATCAAAATGTAGACTCCTCAGAAGTCTTTCCTGACTTCCTATACTTCCATATAGTTTATTCTTTACACTTTACCTTGTTTGGTTCTATCACAGCATTTATCAAAGCTAGTGTATACCTTATTATTTGTTTCTATACCTGCTTTTTATCTGCCTCTCTTGCCTAAGATGAGTTACATAATGACAAGGAGCAATTCAACCAGTACCTAGTGTGATACTTGGCACAAAATAAACAATCCGGTATCTGCTAACTGAATGAAAAAAGAGATCAGACCTGAGAAGGCTTGTCTCTATTCACTGTAAGTTCACACCCATGAGAGACAGAATCAGCAATAAATTATTATTCATTAATCAATCCCTTTCTTGAAAATTAAAAATTATTTTTTTAATTTACAAAATTTTCTTGTAACCATGCTTGGATTTAGACGGGCCTAGCCCTGAAATCAAGATCCTAAATTCTTTTTCTTCCAAGAACTTTCTGTGTAGTGGCTCCATGTATAATGGATAAGGTGAATATGTAAACAGAGGATAAAAGCAAAAGAGTATTGCTCCTGTTGCTCTAGCCCTTCTAAGAGGAATGAAGGCTAGAGTGCTTAAAGATATAGCAAGCATGCAAACCGCAGGGTTCTTAACTCCGTGTGCACTTAAAATGGGGCCAAGGGACTAGATGAACAGGTGCAAGGAAGGGGGAAAGGAAGTGCCTAAGCAGCTATCTCACCCTACACTGTGAATGTTTAGCGTCTTTTTTCGTGTTTTACAGCTAAGAACTACAATTATTTCCAAGCACATAATTCTGATTATCCACAGATAATCCAAAAAAGATCAGGGAGTCTGACAGAAAGTATGGTTTCTGGAACTCAGCCAATTACTGGCTGTATCAGAAAAGGAAAAAAAAAACAGCTATAGATATGAAGTTCTGAGCACTAAGAAATGAATCAGCCATCTGTGGATGTAGCAGTTTTAGCCTTCACCGTTTCATTCTTTCTGACAAAGGAGAAGAACAAAGAGTCCCGAAACAGTCAGGTGATGCCTAAAAAGAATTTCCAGTTTAGGAAAAAGGATATTAGGAACAACCTGGGAATGTTCTTATTCTAAAACTATTTCTCAAAAGTCTTACATGAGATGATTTACAAAATAAAACACTTGGGAATATCAGGTTTTTAGAAGGACTATATGAAGAGAGAGAGAAAAAATCCAGTTCTGTTACCTTAACATTTCAGAAACAATACTGCTACTACTAAGACCAGCTCACATTTACAGAATGATTAAAATGTTCTAAGCACTGTGCCAAACACTTTACACTGAATCTTCACCAATCTTCTATAAGTGCTATTATTATCCTAATTTCATAGACTGTGTTATATGTGAGTTTGGCGAGGGAAAGATGGTCTGAAATTGTATTATTTTAAAAATATGACTGCAGTAGGAAGAGACAGTGAACTTAGTCACAGATGTTTACAGGTTTGAATATAAGACACTTTTAAGAAAAATTTAGTAAACTTATTTATGTAAAACCACTTACATAAATAGATAAAATATTTAAATCACAATTAATTTTCACAATGATTATGATTTTATGGTTATGGAATTATCCAAATAATACTTCACAAAACTGTTGGAACTCACCATAGTATGTAATACTTCACAAAAATGTTGGAACTTACCATAGTATGTAAAGAGTTCTAATGTATGTATATAAAAGGAAAAAAAACAGATAATAATTCTAAATATTTAATTCATGGGGTATTAGAATCTTGAGAACAGCAAGTTTAGTGAAAGAATAAAGTCATTTGTTTTAAGACTTTTCCTACTGATTAGCAGTCAACTTCTATCTTTCTTCTTTTTTTTTTTTTTTTTTTGAGACAGAGTCTCACTCTGTCGCCCAGGCTGGAGTGCAGTGGTGCAATCTCGGCTCACTGCAAGCTCTGCCTCCTGGGTTCACGCCATTCTCCTGCCTCAGCCTCCCGAGTAGCTGGGACTACAGGTGCCCGCCACTACGCCTGGCTAATTTTTTGTATTTTTAGTGGAGACGGGGTTTCACCGTGTTAGCCAGAATGGTCTGGATCTCCTGACCTCGTGATCCACCTGTCTCGGCCTCCCAAAGTGCTGGGATTACAGGCGTGAGCCACCGCGCCCGGCCCAACTTCTATCTTAAAAGGAATGTTTATGTTTCTAATCTTGTATTTTCTTCCTTTTAAATGTTTTTCTTCCTAAATAACTGGCCCAGAGTCACAGTTTTGAGATCTTGATTTAAGGCTGCTGTCAATCAGGAAGGGGAGCAAAACAACAACAACAACAACAACAACAACAACAACAAAACTATTAAAAAATGTCTGTCTTCTAAGAAATGACAAACAATTATAAAGCTGGCAGATATTATGCTTCAAAGAACAACTGATACTTTTCTGAATACAGAGGAAGAGAGGAGGCTCCACAAAGCCATTCTGGGCAATTTACGAAGGGGTTTAATGAATAACTTCTTCCATCTCACAAGTACACGAAGAGTTCATAAGCCTTAAGAACCAACAGTCTAAGCACAAGCCACTTAATGGAAATATTGCTAATAATTTCCCACAGCATTTAGTTAATGAAAGCCTTCCTTCCAATTGCTTATTATAACAAAGGTAAAGAAAACTGCCAAGCACCTAGTTTTTTGTCCCTTTTAATATGTCTTTTTTGAGACAGGGTCTTGCTCTGTTGCCCAGGCTGGGGTGCAGTGGCACAATCATGGCACACTGCAGCCTCGACTTCCCAGGTTCTGTCAATTTTCCCACCTCAGCCTTTTGTAGCTGGGATTACAGACACACACCATCATGCCCTGCTATTTTTTTTTTGTATTTTTTGTAGAGATCAGGTTTTGCCATGTTGCTCAGGTTAGACTCAAACTCCTGGACTCAGTGATCTACCTCGGTCTCCCAAAGTGCTGGGATTACAGGCATGAGCCACTGCGCCATGCTCTTTTAATATTTCTTGCATTATCTATGTAAACATAATGTAAACATACAAATGTAAACATAGAACAACATAAGCCCACAGTGTAACTAGATACTAAGATGTTCAATAACAGGTTAAAATGTTCTCCAGACAAAAGGAGCAATGATCAAAATGTAAATTCACCTTCTTTTGCCCAGCAGTCACTGATTATAGAATTAAATTTCAGTCTGATCGATAATATAAGAAGATAGAAATAATAAGTTAGAAAGCAGGAGAATGGAATTAAAGTATAGAATCTTTATTAGTTTTCTCTTTGCTTGTTAGTTTGTTTATATAACCAGTGATAAATTGACATCAGTTTAAATAAAATAATTTGTTATAAGATGTTATTTGGAAGCCTCATAACCTCAAATTTAAAAACATACAAGAGATATACAAAAAAATAAAAAGCAAGAAATTAAAATATAGCACCAGAAAAAAGTCACCTTCACTAAAAAAAAACCAACAAAAAAACAAGGCTGGGTGATGTGGCTCACACCTGTAATCCCAGCACTTTGGAGGCTGAGGTGGGCGGATCATGAGGCCAGGAGATCGAGACCATCCCGGCTAACACGGTGAAACCCTGTCTCTAATAAAAATACAAAAAAATTAGCTGGGCACGGTGGCGGGTGCCTGTAGACCCAGCTACTCAGGAGGCTGAGGCAGGAGAATGGCGTGAACCCGGGAGGCGGAGCTTGCAGTGAGCCGAGATTGCACCACTGCACTACAGCCTGGGCGACAGAGTGAGACTCCGTCTCAAAAAAAAAAAAAAAACAAGACAGGAAGGAAGGAAATAAGAGGGGACCACAAAACAACCAGAAAATAACAAAATGGCAGGAGTAAGTCCTTACTTAACAATAACATTGAATATAAATGGACTAAACTCTCCAATCAAAACGTATAGAGTGGCTGAATGGATTAATAAAAAAAAGACCCAATGATCTATTGCCTACAAGAAAAACACTTCATCCATAAAGACACACATATCCTGAAAATAAAAGGATGAAAAAAGATATTCCGTGCAAACAGAAACCAAAAACGAGCAAAGGTAGCTATACTTACATCACAACAAATAGCTTTCAAGACAAAAACTAAAAAAGAGACAAAGAAGGTCATTATATAATGAAAAAGGGGTCAATTCAGCAAGATATATAACAATTATAAATATGTATGCACCCAACACTTGAGCACCCAGATATATAAAGCAAATATTATTAGGGCTAAAGAAAGAGACCCCAATACAACAACAGCCAGAGCTGTCAACACCCCACTTTCCGCATTGGACATACCATCCATACAGAAAATGAACAAAGACACATTGAACTTAATCGGCACTATATACCAATTGGACCTAATAGATATTTACAGAACGTTTCACCAAAGGCTGCAGAACATGCCTTTTTTTTTTTTCTCAGCACATGGATCATTCTCAAGGACAGACCATAAATTAGGAAGCAAAATAAGTCTAAAAACAGGATTAAAAATTGAAATAAAGTACATCTTCTCTGACAACAATTGAATAAAACTAGAAATCAAAAACAAGAAGAATTTTGGAAACTATACAAACACACGGAAATTAAACAATATGCTCCCAAATGACCAGTGAATCAATGAAGAAATTAAGAAGGAAATTAAAAAATGTCCTGCTACAATTGATATGGAAACACAACATACTAAAACCTGTAAGATACAGCAAAAGCAGTACTAAGAGGGAAGTTTAGAGCTGTAAGGGCCTATATCAACAAAGTGGAAAAATTTCAAATAAACAACTTAATGATGTATCTGAAAGAACTAGAAAAGTAAGAACAAACTAAACCAAAATAAGAAGAAATATTAATGGTCAAGGGAAGATAAATGAAATTGAAATAAAGAAAATACAAAAGGCTAACAAAACAAAAGTTGTTTTTTTTAAAAGATAAAATGGATAAACCTTTAGCCAGACTAAGAAAAAAAGAGAAGACACAAATAAAATTGAAAATGAAAAAGGAAACATTATAACTGATACTGCCAAAATACAAAGGATCATTAGCGGCTACTATGAGGAACTATAAGCCAATACATTTAAAAACTTAGAAGAGATGGATAAATTCCTAGACACATAAAACCTATCAAGATTGAACCATGAAGAAATCCAAATTCTGAACAGACCAATAACAAGTAATGAGATTAAAGCCATTATAAAAAATCGCCCAGCAAAGAAAATCCTAGGACCTGATGGCTTCACTGCTGAATTTTACCAAACATTTAAAGAAAAATATTAATCCTACTGAAACTATTCCTGCCCCCCAAAAATACAGGAAGAAGGAATACTTCCCAACTCATTCCATGAGGCCACTATTAACCTGATACTAAAACCGGATAAAGACACATCAAAAAAAGAAAACTACAGGTCAATATCCCTGATGAACATTGATGCAAAAATCCTCAAAGTAAGAATAAACTGAATTCAATGACACATTAAAAAGATCATTCATCACGACCAAGTGGGATTTATCCCAAGGTGAAAAGATGGTCCAACATACATGCAACTCGATCAATGTGACATATCACATCAACAGAATGGAGGACAAAAACCATATTATCATTTCAATTGATGTTGAAATTGCATTTGACAAAATTCAACATGTTTTCATGATAAAAACCCTCTGAAAACTTGGTACAGAAGAAACATACCTCAACATATTAAAAGCCATACATGACAGACCCACTGCTAGTATAATACTGAATGGGGAAAAACTGAAAGCCTTTCCTCTAAGATCTAGAACATGACAAGGATGCCCACTTTCATTAGTGTTACTCAACATAGTATGGAATTCCTAGCTAGAGCAATCAGACAAGAGAAAGAAATAAAGAGCATCCAAACTGGAAAAGAAAAAGTCAAATTATCCTTGTGTGAAGATGATATACTCTTATATTTGAAAATACCTAAAGACTCCACCAAAAACTATGAGAACTAACAAAATACATTCAGTAAAGTTATGGGATACAAAATCAACATACACAAATTAGTAGCATTTCCATATGCCAACAGCAAACAAGTTGAAAAAGAAATCAAGAAAGTAGTTTCATTTACAACAGCTACAGATAAAATTAAATAGCTAAGAATCAACTAATCAAATAAGCAAAAGATGTCTATAATGAAAACTATAAAACATTGGTGAAATAAATTGAACACGAAAAATGAAAAAATATTCCATGTTCATGAATTGAAGGAATCAATATTGTTAAAAAGTCCATACAACCCAAAGCAATCAACAAACTAATTGCAATTCCTATCTAAATACCAACGGCATTCTTCACAGAAACAGAAAAAAACAAAGCTAAAATTTAGATGGAACCACAAAAGACCCAGAATAGTCAATGCTTTCCTAAGCAAAAAGAACAGAATTGGAGGAAACACATTACCTGACTATAAAATATACTACAGAGCTATAGTACCCAAAACAGAATGGTACTGGCAATAAAAATAGACACAAAGACCATTGTTAACAAAATAGAGAACATAGAAACAAATCCATACATCTACAGTGAACACACTTTTGACAGAGAGAGCATACATTAGGGAAAGGACAGTCTCTTCAATAAATGGTGCTGAGAAAACTGGAGATCCATGTGCAGAAGAATGAAACTAAACCCATATCTCTTGCCATATACAAAAATAAAATCAAAGCCGATTAAAGACTTAATTCTAAGACTTTAGTCTGTGAAACCGCTAAAAGAAAACATTGGGGAAACTCTCCAGGACATTGGGCTGATTCTTCAGTAATACCTCACAAGCATAGGCAACCAAAGCAAACATGGACAAATGTGATCAAATGAAGTTAAAAAGCTTCTGCACAGCAAAGAAAATAAAGTGAAGAGATAATACAGAAGAAAATACTTGCTAACTATCCTTCTGAGAAGGGGTTAATAACTAGAATACAGAAGGAGCTCAGACAACTCTATAGGAAAGAAAAATCTAATGATCCACTTTAAAAATAGGCAAAAGATCTAAATAGGCATTTCTCAAAAGAAGACATAAAAATGGCAAATAGGCATATGAAAAGGTGCTCAACATCACTGACCATCAGAGAAATGCAAATCAAAGCTAAAATGAGATGTCATTTTACCCCAGTTGAAATGATTTCTATCTAAAAGACAGGCAATCACAAATGCTGGTGAAGATGTGGAGAAAAAGGAACTCTTGGTACACTATCTGTAGGAATGTAAATTAATACAAACACTATGCACCCAATACAGGAGCACCCAGATTCATAAAGCAAGTCCTTAGAGACCTACAAAGAGACTTAGACTCCCACACAATAATAATAGGAGACTTTAACACCCCACTGTCAACATCAGACAGATCAACGAGACAGAAAGTTAACAAGGATATCCAGGAATTGAACTCAGCTCTGCACCAAGAAGACCTAACAGACATCTACAGAACTCTCCACCCCAAATCAACAGAATATACATTCTTTTTAGCACCACACTGCACTTATTCCAAAATTGACCACATAGTTGGAAGTAAAGCTCTCCTCAGCAAATGTAAAAGAACAGAAATTACAACAAACTGTCTCTCAGACCACAGTGCAAACAAACTAGAACTCAGGATTAAGAAACTCACTCAAAACCACTCAACTACATGGAAACTGAACAACCTGCTCCTGAATGACTACTGGGTACATAACAAAATGAAGGCAGAAATAAAGATGTTCTTTGAAACCAATGAGAACAAACACACAACATACCAGAATCTCTGAGACACATTCAAAGCAGTGTGTAGAGGGAAATTTATAGCACTAAATGCCCACAAGAGAAAGCAGGAAAGATCTAAAATTGACACCCTAACATCACAATTAAAAGAACTAGAGAAACAAGAGCAAACACATTCAAAAGCTAGCAGAAGGCAAGAAATAACTAAGATCAGAGCAGAACTGAAGGAGATAGAGACACAAAAAACCCTTCAAAAAAATCAATGAATCCAGCAGCTGGTTTTTTTTTTTCAAAAGATCAACAAAATTGATAGACCGCTAGCAAGACTAATAAAGAAAAGACAGAAGAATCAAATAGATGCAATAAAAAATGATAAAGGGGATATCACCACTGATCCCACAGAAATACAAACTACCATCAGAGAATACTATAAACACCTCTATGCAAATAAACTAGAAAATCTAGAAGAAATGGACAATTCCTGGACACATACACCCTTCCAAGACTAAACAAGGAAGAAACTGAATCCCTGAATAGACCAATAACAGGCTCTGAAATTGAGGCAATAATTAATAGCCTACCAACCAAAAAAAGTCCAGGACCAGATGGATTCACAGCTGAGTTCTACCAGAGATACAAGGAGGAACTGGTACCATTCCTTCTGAAACTATTCCAATCAATAGAAAAAGAGGGAATCCTCCCTAACTCATTTTATGAGGCCAGCATCATCCTGATACCAAAGCCTGGCAGAGACACAACAAAAAAAGAGAATTTTAGACCAATATCCATGATGAACATTGATGCAAAAATCCTCAATAAAATGCTGGCAAGCCGAATCCAGCAGCACATCAAAAAGCTTATCCACCATGATCAAGTGGGCTTCATCCCTGGGATGCAAGGCTGGTTCAACATACGAAAATCAATAAATATAATCCAGCATATAAACAGAACCAACGACAAAAACCATATGATTATCTCAATAGATGAAGAAAAGGCCTTTGACAAAATTCAACAACGCTTCATGCTAAAAACTCTCAATGAATTAGGTATTGATGGGACGTATCTCAAAATAAGAGCTATCTATGACAAACCCACAGCCAATATCATACTGAATGGGCAAAAACTGGAAGCATTCCCTTTGAAAATTGGCACAAGACACGGATGCCCTCTCTCACCACTCCTATTCAACATAGTGTTGGAAGTTCTGGCCAGGGCAATCAGGCAGGAGAAGGAAATAAAGGGCATTCAATTAGGAAAAGAGGAAGTCAAATTGTCCCTATTTGCAGATGACATGATTGTATATCTAGAAAACCCCATCGTCTCACCCCAAAATCTTCTTAAGCTGATAGGCAACTTCAGCAAAGTCTCAGGATACAAAATCAATGTGCAAAAATCACAAGCATTCTTATACACCAATAACAGACAAACAGAGAGCCAAATCATGAGTGAACTCCCATTCACAATTGCTTCAAAGAGAATAAAATACCTAGGAATCCAACTTACAAGGGATGTGAAGGACCTCTTCAAGGAGAACTACAAACCACTGCTCAAGGAAATAAAAGAGGATACAAACAAATGGAAGAACATTCCATGCTCATGGGTAGGAAGAATCAATATCGTGAAAATGGCCATACTGTCCAAGGTAATTTATAGATTCAATGCCATCCCCATCAAGCTACCAATGACTTTCACTATCCAGGGAAGAGATCAAAATAATATACAGCAAATTATTATAAAAATTTAGGCATACAAATCTTATTTCCAGAAGCCTTATTTTACATAAGAATGATATGAGTTTATCACAAAATGATAGAAGTACACGACAATGTCCTTATGGTTTATAAGACCTTGATATTTCCCTGTTTCACATGAAATAGTGGAATTATAGGGTGTAGAGAATTACCAACACATGAATTATTGTTCTGTAGTCACTATTTCTTCTGACCCACAGAATCTTATACAATGATTTCATCCAATGTACAGAGAAATAGACTTAAGTAGACTAAACATTTAATGGTAAAGATAATTAAATCTTTCTGGTTTGCCATTCTAGAATGTATTCCTGAAAGAAAAAGAACCTTTCTGAATTGTAACATTTTAAGTATAATGGAGTTAACATATTATATCTGAGAAAGAATAAGTAGTGCCAACAAAGTCCCTTAAAATAAAGGTAAAATCTCATATGAAAGATGAAATGGAAAGCTAAAAGCCTGGACAAATTGTCTCACGAAAGGTTCCCTTCCAAAATTCTGACACATATGACAGAAAATAGCAAAATCATAAACTTAAAAATTCTATTCATATTCTGTTCTTTGGCCTTTTTAAAAAGCATAATCACAAAAATACGTATTTATTATTCATTTCACTTTAGTCCTTACTCTGAACTGCTGATAATTTTCATTCATACAAAAAGTGGAAAATGACATTATGTTTAAAAATGCCATTTGTCTTCAAACTATGTTTGTCTTTACTTACAAAGAGTGACATCCTGAAGGCAAAATGCAATGCAAATGTTTTATGTGTAGGAAGACAGGCTGCATCAGTAACAATTATCTCGAAATATGGTGGCAGCCTATAATCAATGACATCAGCACAAGCAACATGTAAAGAGAATAAGGCAAAATAGCAACATTTTAAATGAATAACTTGATGCAGATTTGGTTTAATTCACCAGGTGGGCTTTAGAACTGAAAGAATCATTGATTCCTTAACATTTTAGATGACATACACATTGTCAAAATATACTTTCAAACAGAAATGAAGCAATACATTGACACTGTTATTTTTTTTCATTTTTTTTTTTTTTTGGCGGGGGGAATAATCTGACAGAGCATTCTCCATAAAAAGGGAAAAGAGAAAATCTATGAAGCAACAGAAACAAGTTTTAAACAAAGACTATAGATAAAATAATTCTTTTATAACTGAAGTCTAGAGTCAGTACTACTACATTGCTTTTCAACATCTATCGGTAAAGAAAACTGGCAAACATCATTTCACAGGTTTCCATCTCCCAGTATAGGTTACAGATTTTTGGAAGCATGGCGACCTCTTCGGGACACTGCTACCATTAGAGCAAGGTGGCCAAGGGAGCATAGAGACCGTAACTCAGAAAAGGCCCCCAGCACACTCCCTTTGAGTTCATGTATCCAATCTGTTGAAAGAAATATTTCCCCAATTCAAGCCACTTTAATTTCTTTGGTATCTCATCATTTCATGTTATTATATATTCTGGTTGAATGTGTATGTCTCACATCTTCTTTTATATGAAAAACCTCCTGATGGAAAATAAATTTTTATTTATTATAGAATTCTCTGTTAGAACTAACACTACGCCTACCACAGAGTAGACCAAGGCTTGAGAAAAGGAGGAGAGGGGTAAGAAGAAAAGGAAAGAGTTTACAGTAGTATTTGTGTAAGTGATTTTTTATAATTTTGAATTATAAACAGAAAGCATCTAACTACCAAGTTTATAAATAAAAATACCAAAAACCACAAAACAATTGGAAGCTGAAAATTCTGATTTTTCTGAAAGAACAGAGGAGTCGTGCCAAACAAACAAACAAACAAACAAACAAACAAAAACTGCACAAAATCTGTCTGGAAACTTACTAGCAGGAAACTTACTTACAGAGATGTCTAAAAATAACTTGAACTATTTACATAATTTTAGGTTGAATAACTTGAGGATAAGATAACAATTATTATAAACGAACATAAAAATTCTCCTAGGTGTAGAGATAATTAGTTAAGATAAGATACCACTTACTTTGCTATCTCCATGCAAATCCTTTTCCACTTAGAACTGCCTAGGCTGGTGAATAGGTATGGCAGTATTACTTGGAAAATACCTGGTTTCAATTTGGATCTGAGAAACCTAGGAGTCACCTTCACCCACCATCGCCAACCTATCAATAAATCATGTTGATTCTACTTCCTAAATAGTCTTTAATTTTATATCTTTTTCCTATCACTACTATAGTTTAGGCCTTTCTCATCTTTTGCCTAACAGGTCTCTCTGGTCTTACATGTTTACAAATTTTCATGATAAAAATGTTAAACTCTTCATTAGCAACAAGCATTTAACGACTACTATGTTAGGGCTTGAGAAATTTAAATAAAATAATTACTTTTATAATATCTCCTAAGATAACAGTCAAGAATTAAAATAAATTCATTATTAGCAACAAAATATCTACTGGCTTCTCCATTAAGAACCAATGTGGAGGAGGGAGGGATGGTAGAATGGAGGGAAGAGAGGAGGGAAAGAAGGAAGAAGGCAATCTATATACTCGAATGGCTAACAAAAGTAGTTGGTAAAACAAGACCTTCATTTTAGAAGATAACAGGATATAATACAAACAATAGGGACAGAGAGAATGAGGGGAAGCTGATGAGAGGGGGAGTGGAAATGATTTGAATCACAGTCTCAAAGGAAAATTAAAGATAGATATGCTGAGAAGAGGGATGCTTTTGTTCTCATTTTGGAGTATGGGTCTGTAAAAACATGGCCCATGATCCAAATCCAGTCTGCTTTATTTTTTTGGTAAATAAAATTTTATTGAAACGAAGACATGTTCCTTTTACATATTTTCTGTAACTTCTTTCAGAATGGGAGAGTTGAGTAGTTGTGATGGAAACCATATGACCTAGAAAGCCTAAAATATTCAGTACAGTATTTGGCCCTGAAGAAAAGGTTACAGAGCAAGGGTTCAATCATTTTTTTTCTCATCCATTTATTATCCTCAAAAGTTCCAAGTTAAAACCCTGCATGATTATAGATAGCTTCATAAGCAATGAGGTCTTGATATTAGCATATAAAAATGAAAAGAACAGCACCATTGACTTTAATATCTTTATTAAATATTATTATTTGAATAAAGTTTACTTCTTTCTACTCAAACATCTGCAGGGTTTCACAATTCAAAAGTGATAAATGAAAAATTAATAATTGATAGCTACTGGGAAATAAATTACTCATATTAAATTTAGTCCTGGGTATGCTACAATCACCATTTGCCTATAGAGTAGTTACAAAAGACATGGCTTATAAATGAAATTAATCAAGTCCTTTTACATTAGAGTGAGGGATTAGTACAGTGAGTGGGGAAGTAAGTACCCATCACTTCCAATATACAGTTCACTGAGTGGACACACAGACTTTCAATTCTAAGAATGTCACTTTAGCACCAATCATCATTATCACATTTACTTAGAAAGCGTAAGGGCAATAGCTTAGAAAAGCCATTCTTAAGGCCTTGATTATATATAGTTTTCTATTTTTTTAATCTTGTTTCATCTGTTGCCTATTTCCCATGGCTTTTCCCTTACATATTAAATGATTTAACATTAGATAATGTTTTCAGTATATGCTCTTTGGAGCAAATTAGGGAAATTTACTTTTTCCACTAAATATCATTATCCATGAGTAAGCATTTATAAAGGTAAAACATACTTTGTGCTGCAAAAAGTTAAGATTTCTTAACACTTAACCTACCTTTAATTCTTTTGTCCATGAATTACTCAGCCATACTATGCGCCAGGCATAGTGCTAGGCAAGGGGGATAATACCTCAACATGAATATAGTTCCACCCTTCAAGAGGTTCCCGGCTTGCGCTGTGTATGCATGGACACATAAAGCAACAATATTTAAACAACTTCAGAAGAACTCAGTAGCTTGAAGAGTTTCCTATGAAAAATGTAAGTAAATTTCTGTTGCCCCAAGAAGTGAAAAGAGAATGTCTTTCCTTCCACAGATACTGCTTAAAAGTAGTGGTTCTCAGACATTTTCATCCAGTAATATAAAATAATTCCTGAAATATCCTGTTTCCTTTGCTTCTTACTGTTTAAAAAATTAGAAAAAGAAATATATTTGAGTAGGTATATATAGTCTACACCTTTTCTGTATCTTTTCCCGCTGCTTAATGTGGGACTCCTGATGTCCTCAAGTCATAGATATGTAAGCAGAAGTTCCTAGGACAGATCAAGATCAGGCAGGAAAAACCCAGTTTTCACTTCAGCAAAGACTTAACAAGCCCTCCTCATATTATTAACCTGTTACTATTAACTGAGCAATTGTGGAAGATGAACTCTGTATTATTCTGACATCATCAGGTTGGTTCTAGTTTCAGCAGTGATGGAAGCCTATTCTTATCTTTTCTCAAAACCTAGAGGATTTTAGATCATGACCACTTTTTCTTGCATTGGAAAAGACAGCTTGACAGGTAGATGGATTAGGAAAGACAGATGACTCGAGAGGGCATGGATATCTATGAAAATGTCAAAGGTTTCATACTACTGAGAAGAGGCTGTATATTTGATATATCAGATCAGAAAGCTGTCTACTCTTCTTCAGTAGGATGCAGACTAACAGCATCAAGAATAGGAAGTTATAAGATGCACTGCTGGAAACTGCAGTGACCCTTCTGCATTAGACATTCATTTTTAAGCAGTTTTCAAATGTTTCAAAATATGGGTTCAAATAAACTCTAAAACAGTGATTTAATAAAGATAATGGGAAAAAAGCTAATTCCCCTCTCTCCTCATAAAGACAAGAAAACTAAGGTCGAAACACACCAGCTAAAACTTTCTTAATGTTGCAGTATTTTTCTTCCAAGTAAATAAAATGTTAAAGATGGAAATATGAAAAAGAAAGAGAGAGTGAGAGAGGTGCAGCCAAAACCTCCGGGCATAGTGATCTCTCTCAGAGCCTGCTTTGAAGCAGTGGCCCACACCAGGGAAGGCCCACTGAGATGACCAGCACTGGATGCCAATAGTAAGTTTTACTTCAGCTACATTATAGTTGACACAGGGTCCCTTTATAGTGGATACATAGAGAGGCTGCATTCTTAATTAGAATAATGATCACCATCTACATTTATCCCATTCAAACCTTTTTTAACTTGCACCTTCTTCAACCTATTTATTCCTTCAGCTATCTTTGTTTTCTTTTCATTTTCTAATATACCTTGGTATCTAACTCCCTCTTCATCTACAACTGGATAATAATTTAATACTACTATAATTTGAACTGCCATTTAGTTTTCTCAAAACTTATCTATGTCTTATTTTAATTTAACCTAAAAAAAAACAAACAAACAGTGACTGTGAGGTAGGTTAACATTATAACCCTCTTTTAAATTTGCATTACTTCTTTCCCCACAAAAAGCAAATAAAACTGTGTAATAAAAGAAGTTCAGCATTAAAAGGTTAATTTAAGAGCATAATAAGCAGGTGTTTTTGTTCTATAATAAAAATATGTGTCCATAAGAAGTAAAAATAGGCACACCAGACCACAAACAGTAACCATTCTAAGTTATTTTATGCAAGAATTTCTTATGGTGTCGCTATGTTTCCCCACCCTAATCTCATGTTGAATTACATAATTCCCAATGTTGGGGGAGGACCTGATGGGAGGTGATTGGATCATGGGGGTGGTTTTCCCCATGCTGTTCTCATGATAGTGAGTTCTTATGAGATTTGATGGTTTAAAAGTCTCTCTCTCTCCTGCTGCTATGTGAAGAAAGTGCTTACTCCCTCTTCGCCTTCTGCCATGATTGTAAGTTTCCTGAGACCTCCCAGTCATGCTTCCTGTTAAGCCTGTGGAACTGTGAGTCAGTTAAACCTCTCTTCTTCATAAATTATCAGTCTCAGGAAGTTCTTTATAGCAGTGTGAGAATGAACTAATGAAGCAGAATTTTTTATTATAAGGTTGATGCAAAAGCAATTGTGATTTTTGCCATTATTTCCAATGGCAAAAACTGCAATTACTTTTGCACCAATCTATACAATAGAGTTCATTTTGCTTTAGAGTACATAATCTTTCTTTAGAAGGGAATGGCCTTTTTTTATACCAAACATAATAGCAAATAAATGACATCTTCTCTTTCATGTCACCTTAGTTCTATAGATAACATTGATTCTCCAAAAATTAGCCATGATCTGTTGTTTTTGTTAACTAGCAACAACACGGTTATTCACTTAGGTAAATAATAATTACCTGTGTTCATTTACAAGTCATAAAACCAGAGACCCCAGATGGAAAATATAACCCTCTATAAATTATACACATATTTAATTTTACTTATCTCTCAAAATCAATGGGTCTATGAACTAGGATACTATTAACAAAGTATACTTCTAAAGATCTAGAACTTATTTGGGAAACATATGTCCAATTTAAATATAAAAAACTGTAGCTAAGACTCTGAGTGCCATTAATTTCAAGGTCTTCATTTTTCTTCCATTACAAGAATTACATAGTGTGATAAAACAATGCCAGGAGGAATGGTACTCTGTCCATCTTGCTCATGATTGTATCACCAGTAGCACAGCAGTCAGCATATAGTAGCGTCCCAGTAGAAAAGAAGCTATGAGTTATGTTTTTCTTTCATTTGGCTCATTACAGTTTGATGGAGTAATACGTTAAAATTGTTAGAATTACAAAATAGCATTAGGAGATATACCTAATGTTAAATGACGAGTTAATGGGTGCAGCACACAAACATGGCACATGTATACATATGTAACAAACCTGCACATTGTGCACATGTACCCTAAAACTTAAAGTATAATAATAATAAAATTAAAAAATATATAAAAAAGAATTCCACTGATTCTTCATAAACCTGGAACAGATCAAATTGCCATCAATTACCCCCACCTCATGTGGACTAAAAGCCACAGTCCTTTCAATGGCTTACAAGAACTTTATGATCTGGCCATGTAACAACTCACCTAATTTTCTGACCTTGCTGGCTTACTTTGACACACCTAGCATGCCCCTGTCTCTGTTCTATCTTGCAGTTCCAATGCTCATTGCCAGGAAGGCTCTTCTCACTGATATTCACATGGCTCACTCTTTTATCTCCTTTGGGTCTTCTCTTAACACCCTATATAAAATGGTGCCCATCTCCACCATCCCTTTCTCTTTTGTCCTATTATCCTCTATATCACTTTTTAACACATGGACTATTTTATATTTGATTATTATTTTTTAAAAATATGTTTATTATCCACTTTCCCCAATTACTAAAGTTCCCTAAGGGTAGAGCTTTGTTTCATTCATCACTGTAGCCAGAGAATCTTGAAGAATGCTTGGCCAAAACATACTCAGTATTGGTAACACTTAGCTAAAGGGGTAATGAAAGTGAAGTAGCAGACTATGGAGATATGAGTGGAGTCAGAGATACAGTGCCTAGAGACAGCCCGCCTTTAACTTTGCATTTTTCCCAGAGTAAGGATTCAACCTTGTTAACACCGGATTTGGCACAAAAACCAGTATAGCCCTATGTTTAAAACTTTACATTCAACAAACCTACATAGATGTATAAGTACACCCTGAATGGGAGTATAATTAGCAAGAAAATGAGCATCTCAGATTCAACAAGGCCCTACCCTTTTTAGATAGTGTCACTATTAGAAACTCTGGGGACCATGGTAAGGTGAATTGAAATATCGTGCATTTGCTCTTGCTTTATGTGGCTATCTTTTTCTGGAACATTTCTGTATCTTCAGCTAAACAGACAACTTAATCTAATCTTAAAATGGTATGGGCGTGTGTGGTTTCTTCTTAAGTTGTGGTCCCCCTGAGATGCTGTGGGGAGTGGAAAGCCTTCAGATACTCCTTTGCTACTTAAGTAGCCTTGCCTTCTCTAACCTGAATCAGTGTACTGGAGTGAATATTATCATCCTGATTTTATACTGGAAGAAATGAAGCATAGTAAGTAACTTCATTCACTCATTCAACAAATTTTTGATGAGCAATGACTAGAAGCTCTGTATTGAGTACTAAGTAATGGACAAAATAAAGTCAATGTCCTCATGGAACTTGAGGGGGAGTTGGGGGAGATAAGCAATAAAAAGGAAACCAGTTATTTTACATATGTGTCTATATAAATACATGCATAAGCATATATACATGTGAATATATGCACATACATGTGTATGTTTATATAAATAAAATAAACAGGTGATAGTAAGGACTATCACAAAAAATAAAACAGGTTATGGGTTACAGGGAATTCCCAGGTGGGGAGGAGGGGAGGTCTAAAATCACACAGCTAATTTGTTGAAAACCTAGGATTCATGCACAGAGCATTCCAGTTTCAAATCGGTGGTCTTAGCCACGATGCTGAAGCTGCTAACTGCTCTGCAAATGCTTACACTTAATAGATATCAGAGTTGGCAATGTGGATGGAAACAGTCCAGACTGGCACAGAACACTTTAAAAGAGAAGCCTGGGACTGAAAAGGATTTCTTGTAGTGCTTTTGTATTTAATAAAATGATGAACAATATTTTAAAACAATAATTGGGCAAAGAACCCAGTAATTTTTAAAATTGAGAGTCAATGTCCAGCTAGAGTTCTCTAGTTCTGTATGTTGATTGCTCCAATCCTGCCTTGGAGGCCAGAAAGTAGGAGATAATTTGCAAGCCAGAAGGTCAAACTTGTTTCTGCGTCATCTATGTTCTGATGAATTCCCCAGAATTTGATCAAGACTAACTAGAAAAAGTGAGTTACTTTATCATAAATCAGGTTTGACTTGAGAACATGAATTCTCAAATCAATGCTTGAACCAATGGTCAGCCAAGTTTTGGAGATAATCATGAACCCAATTCCACTGTACTGAGATTGATCTCCTGCCTGTTGGATGGACTTGGTATGACATAGGATTTAAGGAGACTGAATGGACCAACTGGCAGTCCCTGTGACATGAAATGTGAGGGAATGAATCATCCCAGGAAAATACAGAGATAGGATCTATAAAAGATTCTCTTCTCCCTACAACAAGGCTTTCTCTAAATCAGCATTTATTAGTTTTAAGTTTGCTTCATAAGAGGGATATCCATATGGCTGATCATCTTCACAAAAGGGAAGAAAATGATAAATATATCTAATACATAGTTTAATTCTTTTGCTTTACTTCACAGGTTTTATCATCAGCTCAGAATAGGCCTGAATCTTCCTCTTACTAGCTGTGTGACATTAGAAAAGTTACTTACTCTTTTGTGGCTCAATCTATTCCATTATGAAATGTAGATTAAATAGTACCAATCTCATAGAAATATAAGGTTAAATGAGCATATGAATGTACTTGGCAAACAGTGAGCTCTCCATGAGTGTACGATAGCCATCTTTTGAAGCCTTTTAGTACATGCCCCATCATCTGAGAACTATCCCCTTGCACACAAGAGATTGGCTCCTCTAGCTCTAGGTAACAGTGACCCTGCACACTCTTTTCTGTCTAGCCATGTTATTAAAATTGGGATAGACATTTAATATAAGCTGGGCCAATTATTTGTGTCCATAATTTGAAATTTGAGCTCAAAGACTAATTAATTACCTGCAGATGCTGGGCCTGGCAGGTTATATTAGCCTAAATGTCATTTGAGGGCCCTTTGCAAGAGGAGTGGAGGAATGTAGTCTTCAAGGTGAAAGGGAAAATGAGCAGCAACACGTTAAAAAGCATTAATGAAACTCCAAATGAACACACAGGGAAAGACAAAAAGAGATCCTGCCTTGGTCCCTGACTGCTTCCCGGTTACTAGTTTCAAGAACTCCAAAGCCTGGCTGAACTTTCAGTCCTTGAGTTCTGTGAGATAACCCCATAACTTTCCTTATGATAAAGGAAACTAACACAGGAACAACCAAATATTGCATATTCTCACTTATAAGTGTGAGCTAAATGATGAGAACTTATAAATATTAAGAATGGAACAACAGACACTGGGGTCTACTTGAGGGTAGAGGGTGGAGGGAGGGAGAGGAGCAGAAAAAGAAACTACTGGGTACTAGGCTTAATACGTGGATAATGAAACAATCTGTACAACAACCCCCTGTGAGATGAGTTTACCTGTATAACAAACCTTCACATGTACCCCCTGAGCCTAAAATAAAAGTTAAAAGAAAAACTCCTATGGCTTAGTTTCTGTTCCTTGTAATCAAATATTCCCTAAAAGAAAAATGGTAACTGTAACCATTTGTAATTGTTTAATGTAAAAGATCACTTTTTTGACATTCTGAATCCAAAATGTACTTATTGTAATTGACTGGAAAAAAGTCAGAAATGAGGAAGAATATGAGACATCAGCCAATTTTCTCTTCTATCTTATCTGTGTAACACAGGACATGGCTAGCCCTAACTAAACCATGAAATAGCCTTAATGTACTACTATTCCCTTCATTCCTTCTCCTCTCACTCTCAAGGACTTTCAGTGTGCTCAATGGACTGCCCTTAAGTCCTCAACAGTCTCTGCATATACTGCATCTTTCCTACCAGTAACCATAAATAGTTAACTACTGTCCTCTGACCCTTTACTCCAAATCTCTCATTTTTGTTTTCTAAAGTAGCAGCTAGATATGCTGGTACATTAACCCAAGCCAAGATGTTAATTGGCTAACATAAAGGAAGGTCTCTTTTTTCATTCCTGGAAACATATTACACATGTGTCTTTAGGGAAAAGTCCTTAATTAAAATGAGTGAAACTAGTGGTGGGAAATTTTTACCCTGAATAAAGCAGTAGGATAAAAAATTTTTATAAAGGTGTTCACTTACATTATCTTTGTATGATAATTGCACTGCATATACAAATACCAATTTGTAACAGGAAAAAAGGGTTAAAGAAGGACTATATATTCTTAATACATTTAAAATTATTGAGCAGTCCTCTCTGTATTATAGCAAAATTGGTTTCAAAGCTAAAAATAAAAATACAGCTTAATATATTCAAAATTGTAAATCAAATGTCAGAACAAGAAAATCAGTCATAAATGCTTAGTCAACTAACTGAGATTATCACATCTCTATGTTAATCCTGTGTGTTTAATTAACAGATAAAGCATAAGGGGGCATTCTAAACAACAGTATATAAAAATGAAAAAAAATTCAAACTCTTATTAAATAGAGAAGCAACAACAAAATGCTCCTGCATTTCAGCAACTGTTCATTAAATGATAAAAACATCTTGGTTTGTCTTTCTAAAATTATGTTTCACAGCCTTCAGAACCCTCTTCTGTTTTTGCTCATGATCATTACAGAGTGCAGATGTTAAATATAAGCTTAGTCATCACATCAAATACCATTCGGCCTTCTGCCTTGACTTTCCTAGGTAATCAGAAGATACCTCTGTTGTACAAGGCAGTAGAGTAGATTCAGTGTGTGGCCTTAGAACCAGAGTGCTGAGATTCACATCCTGAAACTACCACTTGTTTTTAATATGATCTTGGGCACGATACTCAAACTCCCTAACTGTGAGTTTCCTCATGTGTAAAACGGGCTTAAACAATAGTACCGCTATTGTTTTGAAGGTTCATTCATTTAGCTTCAATTGCTAGGCACTGTTCCAGGCTTTTGGAATCCATTAGTGAACGATATGAATAAAAATCACTGATCTCAGGAAGCTGACATTCTCAGACATTGCATCTAAAGCACTTAGAAGAACTGTGTCTAGTACTCAGTGAGCCCTTAATAAATGCCAGCTGTTAGGGTTACTAATACTTGAATGAGACAGAGCAAAACACTGGCACTGGAATTACAGGAAATGTGTCAGAATGGAGTCAGCACATTTAGGACCTAGCAGTGGCCCAGCCACTAATTGTTTAGGTGACCTTCCTTTAATCTCTCTGGGTCTCAGTTACTTAAAGTGGTCTTACAGTGCCTTCAATTGAGTATATGGTAGATCACGAGTGACAGAAATGATGAAGGGTTCAAAACGTCACAGAAAACATTTTATTTTATTTTTATTTATTTTGTCTTTATTTTACCATTTAAATGATTTGAAGGTGCACCAAGGACAAAATACTTTTTCAGTATACTCACAGTTTAGGAAAAGCTCAGACACTAGGTAATCATTTTCAGTACAAAAATAGAGAAATAAATCCTCAAAGATCATCGGGAAAAATGTAAATGGTCAGAAGCATACCAAATCTTTTACTTAATAAAATATGAAGTCTCAAAACACACACACACACACACACACACACACACACACACACACACACACACAAATATAAGCTGGAAGCAGTATCTTACATTTAACTAAAAAAGTACACATAGGTAATCCTTATTAGAAATCACTGGACAAGGCAATCTCTTCTAGAATATATAAATGAAATATAATATTACTCTCTTCCTGGCAATCTTAGCCTTCCTAAATTAGTTTTCCCAATGAAGCTTAAGAATAATATTAGTCTTGGCCGGGCGCGGTGGCTCATGCTTGTAATCCCAGCACTTTGGGAGGCCAAGGCAGGCGGATCACGAGGTCAGGAGATTGAGACCATCCTGGCTAACATGGTGAAACCCTGTCTCTACTAAAAACACAAAAAAATTAGCCGGGCGTGGTGGCGGGCACCTGTAGTCCCAGCTACTCATGAGGCTGAGGTAGGAGAATGGCGTGAACCTGGGAGGCAGAGCTTGCAGTGAGCCGAGATGGCGCCACTGCACTCCAGCCTGGGCGACAGAGTGAGACTCCGTTTCAAAAAAAAGAAAAAAAAATATTGGTCTCATATACATTTTCATGAGATTATACATTTTTTAGGGTTTTGTAAATTTTGTTCAAATTAGTTTTCTTTTTTCAGTTAAAATTCATATTCGTTCAACAAAATGTCCACAATTAAGTCAAGCTCTCTCTTACAAAGCATTGTAACTTTGCTTTCAATTTTCCTTCAGTTGGAATCTTCTTACTCCTTCTATTCAGTGACACACCCATCCACCAAGTCTCACTCAGAGGGTATCCTCTGCAAAGTTTCCCTGATTATTCCCATCATCGTCCCCATACTGACAGGTCATATTAGACTCTCTTGATATTACTCCCAAAGAATTCTGTAGATTTTATCACAAAATTGACTATCTCTTTGCATTATTGTTAACTTTTGTTCTATCCATCTGAGGGCAGTGACTATAATCTTCATTTTGGTAGCCCCTGGCATAGAGTAGTCAACTGCCCACATTTGTGAAACACTGGAAATATCAATGTCTTCAATGCATAAGCAAAACTCTGACTGATTAATAAAATAAATGTGGTCTAATATACTTTAATTTGTAAAGTTGTTAGCTTACTCCATGATAAACAAAAATCACTGTGTTAGAGCAACCAAACATGAAGAGAATCAGTATAGAGTTGAAAATTAGAAAAAGAAATCATATTCTACCTAACCCCTCCAAAATATATCTTTTCTGATATTGACAATGACATACGAAATTAAGAAATGTTCCCCAAACTCCCCATAAATTGTGGGCTTTCACTCAAGTATATGGCAATAAAAAGTGTGTCCTCCTTTTACTTTCTGAAGATATCAAAGAACAATGGCACAAAGCCAACTTTTAGAAATAAACCTGAATAAAAACAAATTTGGCAGTAGGATTCATCAAGAATAAAACCATAAATGAATGCCATTACCATTAATATCAAGTATGTCAATCCTGACTCCCCTTAACTTCAAAATCAGAGTATTCTTTACAGATGACATCTAACAATCTAGTAACATACCTTTGTAAGTAAACATACACACACCACAAAGTTTATCAGTGTATTTCAAACAGTTCATAAAGTACAAGTAGGAAAGAAAATTTCACACTGGCCTACAGAATAGTTTTAAATAAAATGCCGTTGATTAAAACTAACCCAAAATTCCAACTATACAGCAATCCTCAAGCTGTAAACAGAAATAGTTTCCACTAGAAACTTGTAGCAAGAGAACTCTTCTGGAAGTTAAATGGAAATTACAACAAGAACACTTCCAAATGCAGGTCATTTCTTAATGCAGTAACCTCTTTCCATTTTATAGTTGTCATAATTGTTTTCCTATAATGAAACACTGCTCTTCTCATATCAAAACAATAAAACAAAGCTAAAGAAAGAATATGTGTCCTTAAAAGTTAAAAACACTATTTTGGGAAGAGACAATTGGAAATATTTTCAACTATATACTGAGTTCTAGTGACCTCCCGTCAGTGAACAGGATAAAATTTGTAAATTCATATAAAATTTAAAGAAGATTTAAAATTTTTGCTAGAATTTGCTGGACACAAAGCTTGGCTTTGTAATTCATAGACATGCATTTATTTTTGTTATGTTTTGGCATATAAAAATGAGACTTAGAACCTTTCCTCATTACCTGAAAAACTAAAGGGAACTTTCAATCATGTTTTACATTATTTTAATTCATTAAAAATTTTTTCAGTGAGGAAAAAACTGTTCACTGTAGTAAATCCTATATTTTTTTTCTTTCATATTTCTTAGGAGCAAAAACACATAATCTATGTCTTAACTCTACATCAAGTAAAATTCTATTGCAACTACTATTTCCAAAGAAAGAACTATGTAGGCTGGCACATAGGAACAGGGTTCTACAGCACAATTCACTACTATAAAAAAACTCAACACAAAGAATAATTTATTTTATCAATACAATAGTATGAATTGGTGAAGTACTAAAATGAAAAAAACAATGTATCCAAAAGAGCATTTAATGAGTCTGAAGAGGAACAAAGGACCACTAGTTGGGAGATATCATAAAATTCATCTAGCACTCAAGATTAACAAAGGAAATAAGAAACCAGATAGTTTAGAAGAATTAAATGAAAGTGATTAAAGAAAAACATTATATTGTTGCTAGTAAGGAAAAGTCATAACAAACATTTTTAAATGTCAGAAAAGTATTTATGAGAATAAAAACAAAAAGAAGATATTCTATGCCAAGGATGACAAATTTGGGGCGTGTGTGTTAATACTCGTGAGTACCCTGGCAGATGTGACTAATTGATCACTGGACTCTTTATGGCTGTTCCTAGAATTCTTCTCAACATATACAGGGAGAGCCACTACCATTCACTAAAAGTTGGCGCTAGTGTTGAAACCTATTTGTCAAACCCGCTCTCACTGACATTGTTCAAGATGTTCAACTGGGAAACCTTCCCAGTAGGCAAATGGCATAGGTCTATGCACAACCTGCTAGGATATGTGGTCAAGAAAGGGTTAACTTTCAAAAATTTGTGAAGGCATGAAAATTCTTAAAAAGCAAAGTGGGAAAAACAACATTACAGCAGATAATATTATGATTTAGAGAGGGAAATGAATTCAAAAAAGCTAACTGCCATCTACAATGTAGAATAGTTTCAATTCTCATGACATAGGCATTTATACAGTGACCCATTTTTTAAGAAAATAATCACTACAAAAAGTAGCAAGAGATTGAAACAATGGTCCTCTCAAATGCAATGTCCCAGAAATTAAAGAAGAGTCATGGTAACTGACAAATTAAAAAAAGTTTCAATAATGTGTATTTATTACAGTTTAAAGCCCACAGGCGGTCTAATGGTATGAAATAAATCAGAGACAAAAGGAGTAATTACCAGAGAGAATTTGAAGCACCTCAATACCTCGGCAACCAAAATTACAGATTTTCTCCAAATGAAGAGCAAAACCTTTATGGTTAATTTTAACACAGTGTTGACCACTAATGAAATTAATGGTAGTACAATTTTTATCCAGAATCAAATGCTTTTTAAGTCAATTCTTATCATGTGATTCAATCTACAGTCATAGAAAGTAAAACAGAAATGCAATGATAATGTCTTATTTTTAGTTAATTTCCAAAAGAAATATCTCCATAGAAATGAATTTTAAAATATATGCAATTGTTGAACCATATTTAAAATACAGGTCATAATTATAGTTTCAGAATAAAGCTGAACACTGAGTAAAATTTGGGGTGAGCATGGGGAAATTAAGTCAAAAATATCTATTGAGATCAAATAAATGTATAGTTAAGGTGATGGTAACTTTGTTTTCCTTTAATTATATATTATACAACCTCACTAGAGTGTTAAAGCAAAGCCTGGACAATGATTCCCCTCAGAGAAAAGTATACTTCAGTAACAAAACCAGTTAGATAAAGTGTACAACAGCTCACTCTAGCAATGAACCTTGCTCCACATTAAACAGTATTATGCACAGTTTCTGGTGCATAAAAACTGCATCAGTTCTCCACTTCATTGTGCTTATTTATACTTAGCCATATTTAGGATCTGACATGAATTCTGCAACAGATCATAAATTGTACTGACATTTAGCACTAAAAAACAATTCCCGCTACAAGCAACTAAAACCACAATGTATAAAGCATTAAGACCAGGTCACTACATACAATCAGAACAAGTTTCATAAAATCTCCTTTGAAATAACTAGTATTTATTTTCTCAATACGATGCCATGAATTAGTGAGGTACTAAAATGAAAGAAAAATTAATTTGTCCAAAAGAGCATTAAATGAGTCTGAAAATCTTTTACCCTTGACCAAATTCACTGTTATGAATTGCTGTTTTACTATTATGCTTTTCCATGACTTCATATGTAATTTCTTTGGAAAATGAGAATAGACAACACATGAAACAATCTTATCTGATTATAAGGCTGTAGTTTCTTATATTACTAAATTGTAGTACATTCCATGTCACCGTTGTTCATGATTATAATAAAACAAATTCTAACTAGTAGGCAAATGACTGTCTAATTAGGTACTCACTTCAAGTAAGAGGAAAAAGGAGTGTTTGTATAAACTATATAAACAACTAGCAGAGGACACTTTCACACAAAATACAGAAAACAAGAAAAGACATGTTTCATGAAAGAAAATGACTTCTATTGTAGCAAATACATCAGTTTTCCAGCATTCTATTAATAAAACCAAAAATTGCTTTAAAAATGTTCTCCTTACCTGTGTATACAGTTTTTACTCTCGAGATACAACATACCAGCAGCAGCGTCTAATGAAAATTTCACTAACTGTTTGAGTTTTAGTTCATCCTTCTTCCTTCTCAGAAAGGTGAGGAAATCACCTCCTAGAGGAATTGATAGATGAACAATGAGACAAAGTTATGATGAAAGTCACATTTATCATCTATTTGGATCTATTAGGAATATTTGACAGAGCAAAATGCATTACACATTTGGCCATGCTTTTTGCCCAATTTGTTTGACGTGAGGATAACAGAAAACATGAAAAGAACACAACATATTAGAAAACAGACACCATAATCTCTTCTAGATACCGTTTAAGTACTTTAAGTGTTTCATATTGTACATTATCCAGGTCATAATAATATACAAAAATCATACTTTTTCCTTTATCACTGTTTTTACCAATTTGCTTCACTAAAATCTATAGAATTTGCTTTTCTCTAATACCACATGAAAACTATATTATTATGAGTCAAATATGAGTATGTAAAAAGTAAATTATAAAAGCTAATTACAAAAAAGTAAATTATATGGATTAGCTATTAGATTCAGTGATTGCTTAAAAAATTAGACTATTCACACCAACATAACTGATAGCAGTGTCCGGACAGAGAGAAAAAGAAAAATGCTATGATTTTGGCCTGATTTACTCACTGACCCAGAATGTATTTTTATGTATCAAATAAATTCCAGTGAAGTCTTAGAAAACCTTCTTAAACCTTTATGGTCCAAGACATACATAACATGAGCTAAGTAGTAATTTGAAGTTTACTAGTAGCCACATTTTTAAAAAATTTTTAAAAATATTTAAAAAGTTTTTTTAAACCGTGCAATTTATTTTAATAATATAGTTTTCTTGAATCTAACATATCCAAAACATATCAACATATGTCAATATGAAAATTTTAGTTGAGATATTTTACATTTTAAAATCACACTCTTTGAAATATATTTACTCTACATTTATGATACATCTCAATTTAGATGTAAATTTCATCTGAAATATCTGATCTATATTTAGATTTCATTAAATTTACAGCTGAAAAGTAGATTCACATACCCAAGATGTTCCAAATATGCTTAAAATTTTCCAATTACTGAATCAATATCAGTATTTTAATTTAAATCAATTAAAATGAAATGAAATTAAAATTCAGTTTTTTAGAAGCACTAGCCACATTTTAAGAGCTCAAGAGCCTCATATGGTCAGTGACTACCATACTGACTAATGCAACCATAAACTTTGCATTCACTCTTAACATTCAAAGCTTTGGCTTATTTTTCTTTTTAGTTACTTTATAGTTTATTGCACTATTAAAAAAAGAGTTAAAGTATATTAAAATATACGTTCTCTAAAAACAATCTTTCCCACTTTCTCTATTAGGCCCCCAGATATTAAGCCAGAATTTTAAAAGAGAGATTAGCATTTTATTTGCCATTTCTAGACTATTTTTTTCTTTTACTTTCTTCACCAGGGATCTATGCTTTCTTAAGTAGAAAAGCTATAGAGGTGAAGACTTAGTGGCTTTTTCCTTAATGAGAATACCTAGAAAATAAACATCTGCCTAACTCTCCTTTAAATATCCTCTTCTTTTCTAACCTTTTCTCTTATTCACAGATTAAGTATTATACAAATTTAGGTGAGCCATTAACAAAATCAAATAAGCTATATGCTTTAAACATAAACTTAACGGTGTCAATTTTTTCCTGTTATTTTTAAGAGAATACCAAATATATTAAATTACCAGGATGATGACTGAAATAGTTTCTATCAAGCTTTACTTAAAAATCGGAACAAAACCTGATTTCAATAGTGAAAAGTAAAATTCCACTAATTTATCAACTTTAATAGGTACTAAAATGCCTATTAAAATAGACTTGAAATTAATATTTAGTTCAAGCTATTACTTGAACCAATATTCACATATTAATTCTTTTGTTAGATATATGTAACTGCTTTAGAAAACGTGTACCCTTCTGCTTTTGAAACCACATAGTATTCTGTCTGAGCTACAGACTAACTTTTAAATGAAATGATCTTTTCTGCAATTTGATTTAAAAGCAGCATATGACATAACCCCAGTGTTGTTCTGTAGAATCCTGATACTTTTTTTCCAGTTAGCACTTTATCATCTGCCTCCTGCCTTTTAAAAATTTACTTCTTGATATAATACTTTGTACTCCCAACACACATTTGTTATTCAACAAATTATTTAACAAATAAACTATTATTCAACAAATTACCAAATATTGTTTAATAGTACATAATATATTAATAAACAAAGAAAAACACTACACTTAAATAGCATTAAATAATGAATGAAAAGTGATGTCCAGAAAATAAAGTACTAGGAAAGCAGAGCTATAGACAACTCTTTCCAAATACTGTAACATAGTCAAAGATACACAAGGGGTTTCTGATTGTTCTGTAGTTAATCCAACAATATTTCTGCCTTAGAACAATTTCTTGCTTCGAGTCATTAAATCTAGGAAAGTAAATTTTAAATTTATTTCCAATTTATAGTTATTTAAGCCACAGATATACAAATACTAAGTAAAGGAACACAATTCCACCATTCCACAAGCCTAGTCAGCTTTTTGTAGAAAACTAGAGGGAAGCAAGGACCTCAATAAAAATTAAATAATTATGAATCATTATTGAAAGCCCAAGCCTTCCGCAAGTACAAGTATTAAGAACCCTGAAGCAAGAAATAAACTCCCCAGGAGGCAGAATATGGGACTAAAGTTAGGACACCCAGAAAATAACTCAGACTGGGCCAGAGATATTCCCTTAGCCACAATACTCGATTATCACCACTAAGTGACAAACTGAAGGCTGATATCAGATGACATAGTCTTTAGTGTTCACTGTAAAGTTATTTTAGAAGGCAGAGCCTGTCCTTTTCAACTTGTTCTTTTGTCATTTTCATTAAGTGCCAATACAAAAACCTCTCTTAGAATTTGTGATATATGCAATATTCATACATGCAGCACACAGGTATATATGCATATGGATACATATAGCATACAGTATCCTACCTGACCATTGCAATAAGGATCTTGGTGCTCAAAGTAGGCAAAAAAAAGATAACTCACACCCCTTTTGTAATTCTGCTTATCAAGACTTTTTTCTGTATGGGTATGTTGCACATTAAACCAAAATGGGATAGGTTATTTCCTAGAATTCTATAATAATGATAAATTTCTAAGACAATACTTACAATGTTCTTAATAGTCAGCTTATGGTTTACTAGGGAGATAGCATGACTTGGTGAAAAGACATGGACATTTAAGTCAGACTGACCTAGGTCTGATTAACCATGCGGCTTTGGGTAACTGTTTAATCTTTCTAAACTTCTGGAAAACAGACATTTAATACCATTTATTTCTCAAGACGGCTTTGAAGACTAAAATGTATTTAAAGTATCAAGCATGTGCCTAGCACACAGTACACACAATAAATACTATTACTATTTATTATACTATTATACTTTATATAATTATATATTTATATTTATATATTTATTATATATTTATATACTGTTACAAATACTATTTACTATTTATACTATTACTATTATTGTTGTTGTTATTTTGTAAAAAACAAATGAGAAAGGGTTGTAGTAGGGACTTGGTGTTTGCTGTATAACATCTATTTTCCCTGATTCATCCCAATTTCCTTCATGAGACTGCCCCTCTACCATTTTGGAGGGTATTAACCTGACTTAACCTGACCCTCAGTAATAAGGGTGGTCCTAGACTGGCTTAGCCCAATCAATGAAATCTCTTCCCCTGCCCAAGTGATTGGTTCAGGAATAGGCACAAATCTTAAGAAGATTAGATAACACTGAGAGGCAAAGATGCTTGAAGAGTGAAAGAAACTATTTTTTGAGAGAAGTGCCAGGAAAGAAGTACAACCAGACATAAACATGACATCACATAATATCGTGAAGATTGGCAGCCTTAGGATGAAAGCATCCTAAGATGCATTCACGGAAAGCAGAAAAGAGTGAAGATACTAGCCATTGGTGACACGCCTGAGCCACCAAATTACATACTGCCTGTAGTGTGACTTGCCTCTAAGTTTTTCAATTAACTGAATAAAGCCTATAGAGTTTTTTATACATCTTCTGTATTAGCAATTTGAAGATATCTAACGGATAAGATAATATCTGTATCAGAAGGTCACTTTGAGGATTAAATATATATATTAAATATCTGAAACAAGTAGAAGTGTTTATTATTGTTTGCAGCCAACTTTTAATGAGATGATAGGTGGCTATTATTTTCAACAACTGTTTCTCAAAGATTTCTGCTACTCTGTGCTGTGAAAATTTGATCTCACCTGTTCTTTCAGTATTAATGGGGCTCAGAGGAACCGATCACACTAAACATAAACTCAGTGAGATTATTATGCAACAAGAATATTAATTTATAATTTGTAATTGGAGAGAAGAGATCATCAGGGCAATGCCACTAATGACTTCTTGTCATTGAATCATAGGGATCTTAATTTATCTTCAACAAACTTCAGAGTTTATTCAATTAAGATATATCAGTTTCCCAGTGATGTATAAAATGTATAATTAATTACCCTTGTTTTTAGGATACCAATTTGTTTCCTGAGAAGTTTGGTTTAGCTACATTCAATTATTTGTTAAAAAATAGGCTAGTAATCAAGGCAAATACTAAATCATAGAGAACTATTTTGGGGGTCCATTTATGTCATTATTCAGAATTCTTATTTTTAAAATGTTTTGCTTTTTAACCAGCAGTGATGAGAATTATGGCTGTTAGCCAGCCCATCAGAAATGACGGGGAAAAATCGATATGACAAATATAAACGACAATGAATGCTGATGTAAACTGCACCCCATGAAACACAGAATAGATTTCATACAATAGGATATAAACCCAAACAAGTTCCTGAAGAGGAGAGGACCGATGCAAACACTAAAGCAGAGGATACTGGCTGCTACATATAGGGTATATTTATGAGAGATGGGCTGCACAGAAAGGGAGATTAGCCAGGAGAGGGCTCTAGTTGCTGAGTGGGGTGATGATGGCTTGTAGCATGAACAAACCATAGAAACAAACTGAAACATTAGGTCTGAAAAGACTCAGTAATAAGCTAGAATTGGGTCGGTTTGTGGGGCAAGATGAGGAAGATTAAATACTAAAAAACAGAAAATGACTCCAAAAACATACTGGCTTTCCTGATTCCTTTTCCTTCTTTAAAAAAGTACTTCCTGAACAGCTTGCTACCCAAGTAACAGACTTCAGCTAGACCAAATGCAGAGCTGAATGTGTGGGTTTCCTAATTTGGTCTAATAAATATCATCAGTCTTTTCAGATGAGGTTCATCGATGGTCATGTTCTGCTAACACTAGAATAGCACGAACCTTTTGCATTTTTCCTTGGCAGGTGATTTTTGAGAATATAACCAATAGCAGTTATGATAACAGTTCTGTAAAATAAAAGAGTACATTTCACTGTATTTTTAAGTTGCTTGTTCAAGAAACAACAGCTATACTCTTGCCAGACATGATGCAAACTGCGAGGAGAGATGCCATAGTCAACTTTGACAAACACTCAGAATGTTTGCATTAGAAGGGACTTTGGAGATAATCTAATTCAGCCTTTTCATATTACCGATGAGGGAACTAAATTTATTTGACTTACATTTTTAAGGCGGTGATTTTGGTGATATTACTGAAATTCTAAGGCTAAGTGTCTGCAAACCATGGCCTTGAGCCCAATCCAGCCTATTGCCTGTTTCTGTGAATAAAGTTTTATTGGAAAACAACCACACTAATTTCTTTACATATTGTCTATTGCTGCTTTCATGCTATAATGACAGAGTTGTGATGGCCTGCAGAGTCTGTATGGCCCACAAAACCTTAACATTTTATTATCTGGCCCGTTATAAAAAAAATTTGTCAACCACTGTTCTAAGGTACAGATAGAGTAGTATCTCTTATATGAAATGACTTGGACCAGAAGTGTTTCAGATTTTGGAATATTTGCATTACAGATTGGTCGAGCATTCCAAATCTGAAAATCTGAAATGTTCCAGTGGGCATTTCCTTTGAGTATCATGTTGGCCCTCAAAAAGATTTAGATTTTAAGGAGCATTTTGAATTTCGGATTTGGGATGCTCAATCTGTATTACTCAATTATTCCATATAGCTGGAGCTCCTTTCACTGAAATAATGCTTATGATTGTTTTGTCTATTTTCAACCAATATTTTACTTTTCACTCTGTTTTTGTAGCACCAGAGTTCAATAGTACTGTTATTTCTTAATTCTCAAAAAAAAAAAAAGCTGGAAAGGTGGATTTATCAATTAATTTTTTATGTCTGGAGGCTGATACACAAATTTACACACAAATACACATGCACATTGAGACCATAAGTCCTCTGCCACCCTCCCCATTCACAACCCACTGTTTGCCACCAAGGCAAAGAAGTTCGACTGTCTGCCTCTCTCCCTACTTTGATGCTAAACTACTCATTTTATATTTTTGGCTTCTTATCCCTCTCAAAGTTGCCTCTGATAGACAGTGTAAAAGCAAGAATGAAAAAAAAGGAAAGTCAGATGTATAATATGTTGGCTCGAAACCCCCCAGGATACCCTTCAAATACTTAAATGCTACAATGGTATTTTTTTAAACAAAAAGAAAAATCAATGGAATACTACATTTTGATACCTATCTGCTACAGTAAAACCTGCAGAGAAAAAAAGAAGGCATCAATTCAAGCTTCCTTACATTTTTAAAAGAGATGTGAGATAAAATGACATCCACAAATACATTTAAATTTAAAAAGGGTAAAATATTTACAAATGTCAACAATATTTTCTGAAATTGAATGTATCATAACCCAGATATTTTAGGGATATTAAGATCCCCAAAACAATGATATCAGTGGATGTCATACAATCTTATTAAATAATTAAAAACAGAAAATGTCATACAATCTTACTATTTAAATAATTAAAAACATAAATTTTCATATTTATGAGAATGTGTTGGTCGTAGTCAGAATTTACACAACGTAAAGATTTTGATCAGAAATACATTCACCAATTATAAAACTACTTCTATCAGATTACAGAAATATTATATTGAAATAATACTTGTAAAGAACACATTGCAGCAAGAGTTGGGAATGTCTGTATTAAAACAAGTCTGAATAAACAAGAATCTTCTTTCTCACTTTTTTATTGTGGTAAAAACCACATAAATTTACACAATAAATTTACTGTATTAACAATTTTTAAATGTACAGTCCAATCTTAACATATTACATATTGTTGTACAACACATCTCTAGAACTTTTGGTTTTACTTGATTGAAACTCTACACTCATTGAACAACAACACTGTTTTCCCTTCCTTGCAATCCCTGGTAACCATCATTCTACTTTGTTTCTGTAAGTTTGACTACTTCAGATATCCCATATAAGTGGAATTATGCAGTATTTGTCTTTCTGTGGCTGTTTTATTTCACTTAGCACAATGTTTTCAAGGTTTATCTATGTTGTAGCATTTGGCACAATTTTCTTCTTTAAGGCTGAATAATATTCCATTTTATATATATACCCCATTTTCTTTATCCATTCATCTGTCCGTGGATATTACACTGCCTCTACTTCTTGGTTGTTGTGAATCACACCGAAATGAACACAAGTGTAACCGTATCTTTTCAAAATCTTGTTTTCAATTCTTTTGAATATATATCCAGAAATGGGATGGCTAGATTATATGGTAGTTCCAGTTTTAATTTTTTGAGGAAGCTCCATACTGTTTGCCATCACAGTTTTACTTTTTCACGATTATAACGGCAATGCACAGGATTCTGTTTTCTCCACATCCTCTCCAAAATTTTTTATCTTCTACTTTTTTTATAGTGGCCATCCTAACAGATGTAAAGTAATACCTTATTGTGGTTTTGATTGCATTGTCCTGATACTTAGTTATACAGAAAATCTTTCAATTTGCTTATCTATGTGTATATCTTCCTTGGAGAAAATGTCTAAGTCCTTTGCTCATTTTTTAATTGGGTTTTTTACTTTTTGTTGTTGAGTTGCAGGAATTCTTTATTTATTCTGGATATTAAACCTTTATCAGATATGTGGTTTGTAAACTTTTCTCTCATTCTTTAGGTTGCTTTTTCCCTCTGATGTTTTTTTTTTTTTTTTTTTTTTTTTTTGCCATCATAAGGTTTTTAAGATTGATGTACTCTCCCTGTCTATTTTTGCATTAGTTGCCTAGGCTTTTGGTGTCATATCCAAATATCATTGTCCAATCAAATATCCATGTTTTCTTCTAGCAGTTTTATACTTTCAGATCTTACATTTAGGTCATTTTAGGCAACTCCAAGATAAAGGTGTCAGCAGGCTTGGTGTCTGGTGAGGGCCTGATCTTTGATTCCAAGCTGGTACCTTGAAAGCCGTGTCCTCTGGAGAGGACATACACTGTGTCCTCACATTATAGAAGGGATAGAAGGGCAAAAAAGGACCCCTAGCTAGTCCCTTCCAGCCTTTTTATAAAGTCACTACTCTACATCATAATAGTATTTCTTAATAAATAAATTTCTTAATAAATAATAAAGCTCTTCCCTCTTTATTTATTCACCTCTGAAGGCCCCACCTCTTAATATTATCACATTGAGTCTTAGGTAAGAAGTGTGTGTGTCCAGGGGGTCAGGGAGGATGTTGATTCAAACCACAGCATTTGTCTCCTGGCCCCTGAAAGTTCATGACACACCAGGGTGGGGTATTTGCCCCAAAGACCTTGGGTAGCCCTACACTCATGGCTTGGCTATGTGCAGTGTACATTGCCGCTCTCAAGGGTTGAGGCTGGGTGCCTGCAGCTCTCTCAAGCTGGCTTTCCATGTTGGTGGCTCTACAGGTCTGGGGTTTTAGGAGTAGCACTGAGCCCCTGACTGCTAGGCATTGCTCTAGTCGGGGCTCTCTGTGGTGGCTCTTTGCCCGCGGCAGTTATCTGTCAAGGCTCTGAGGGTCTCCGTGGAATCTGGGTGGAGGCATCCATGCTTTCACAGATGTGCACACTGCATACCTGCAGTTAGCACCATATGGACACCACCAAGGTTTATGGCTTGTACTTTCCAGAGGACAGCACCTGGGCCCACAGGAGCCATATCTGGGGTGACCAAGGAACACTACACCAGGATGCAAGGATTAGAAACTTGAAGCATCCCTGGAAAACACCCTCCAAGGTCCAATGGGTTCCCCAGCCCCCTTAAAAGTGTACTGCCCTCAAGGTCCTGATAATATGGGCCTATGATGGGAGTGGCAGCCTCTAAGATCTCCAAAATGCATTGTTTTGATGAATAGCCTCTGTCTTCCTTCCATCCAGACTAATTTCCTTATTAAATTGGTTCAACCACACCTTCAGTGGTTTCTCCCATTCTTTTACAACATGGTAAGGCTGACAATTTTCCAAATCTTTATGCTCTGTTCCCCTTTTGATTACAAATTTCATCTTTAATCTGTATCTGTCTTCTCACATTTTCCTAGAAGCATTCAAGAGAAGCAATATAGCACTCCAAGCTCTCTGTCCCCTTCTCTTACTTTTATCCTTTGAAAATCCCCTAATGTGTATATTGGTCCATGTGATGGTGTCCCATAAGTCCCTTAGGTTTTCTTCACTTTTCCTCCATTTGTTTTTCTTTTTACTCCTTGGATTTTGTAATTTCAAATGACATATCTTTGAGTTTAATGATTCTTTCCTATACTTAATCAAGGCTGTTGCTGAATTCCACTACTAAATTTTACTATTCAGTTATGGTATTCTTTCACTCCAGAACTTCTGCTTAATTCTTTTTTATAGTTTCCCTCTCTGTGAGTATTCTCATTTTGTTCATTCATTGTTTTCCTGATTTTTTTGTTTAATTGTCTGTGTTCCCATGCAAAGCACTGAACTTTATATTGAATTATTTGTCAGGTAATTAATAAATCCCTGTTTCTTTGGGGGTTGGCCTGTAAATTTATTTTGCTCCTTTGATTGGGCCATGTTTCCCTGTTTCTTCATGTGTCTTGTGATTTTTTGCTAAGTTTGTACATTTACAAAAACAGCCACCACTACAAATCTTTATGGATTGGCTTCATACAGAGGAATATATACACCATTTAGTCCAGCTAGATATTTGGGGAATCTCTGAACTCTTTTTGGGGGGATGTGACTTGAGATTGTGCATGTAATTTCCCACCTAGAGAAGTTTGCAGTTGTCTTTTTTAAGAGCTTGTAATCTCTCACTCCATTTGCTGTCTGCTGTACTACCGCAGGTTCTGTGGCATTGCCACAGCAAGTCACTCTGCTCTCCTTGGTTCTCAGTGCCCCCAGTGATCCAAAGGCCATTGGCTCCTCAGCAGTGGTGAGTAGGCAACACAGATACCAGTCCTTCAGACAGACCTCCAAAAAACCAGAATACTGGATGCACACTCCACTCATCTTCTTCCCTCCTGAAGAAGAAACCACAAGTTGGGTGCTTCCTCCGAAAGGCACTAAGCCAAGCCAGACTTTCTCAGCAGCACAGTAGGTCCTTTGGTACCACAGGAAGCCACTTCTACTCTCCCTTGTTTTCAATGGATTCAGGCATCTAATCTATGCTTGTTTCATCAGTGTTTGGGGTCAGGTGAGACAGAAACCAGTTCTCTGGGGAGATCTCTGAAAAGGTGGAATACTGGCTAAACATTTCATTCTCTTCCTCAAACCCAGGAGAAATTGCAAGCTGAGAAATATGCTCCTGGCACTAAGCTATGCTGGCTTAGTAAAGTCAAACTGCTTTTTTCACTCATTTCAAGATGGCTATTCTTGGCTTTGTACTTGCCCAGTGTACTGCAACTTCTTATCTGGTTTCTGGAGTTCTCATAAAGTATTTTAATCCATACATTGCTATTAAGTCAGTGTCTCAGTAGAGGATCAAGGACTGAGACTTTCTATTCTGCCATCTTGCTGATTTCACCTTCTCCTTTCTCACTTTTGACTTACAAAATGTTGGCCAGTATGCTACAAGGCACTAGCACTTCATCATTTTCACATTTCTTACTGAGATGCTGCCCTCCTTAAAGTCAGTGGTAAAAACCATTAGTCAGCCCTTTGTACTTCAGCATTTGTTTACAATGCTTCAAAAAATGTGAAAGGGGTAACAATTCCATCTTAGTGGTATTTCACTTTTCACTATGTGTTTTCTCTACCAGGGTTCAACAGTACTATTTTAAAAAAATTCTCAAAGAGAAAGCTGGAAAGGTGGCTTCACCAATTTCTAAAAAATGTGATGAAGCTGATACATTTATAGACAAATACATACATACAGTGAGATCATAGATCTGCCACCCACCCTATACACAGCCCACTGTCTGCAACTAAAGCAACAAAGTCTGACTGTCTCCCTATTTCCATGCCAAATACAAACTGCCATTTTCACTCTTTAGGGATTATATTATACACATTTGAAAATCACTCCTCAGAAATCTAGGGTAGCCTATTGCAGAATCTCTCTTAACTTTGTGAGTCACTATCCTTAATACCTTTTTCTTTAGATGAACCACATGTCTCAGTGCAGGT
Source organism: Homo sapiens (assembly GCF_000001405.40). NCBI lineage: Eukaryota > Metazoa > Chordata > Mammalia > Primates > Hominidae > Homo > Homo sapiens. The sequence continues at coordinate 109,088,904 of NC_000005.10, read as the reverse complement.
ATCTTCATTTAATAGTTTTCTCTATAAGAGGCTGTTCTTTTTTTAAGGAGGTCTTGATAACTTCATCCATCTGGGGTTATATGAATTGTCTATAATTCCCCTTGAATGATACTGGCTGACTCAAGGGATAGGGTACTACCTAGTAGGTAATCCAGAAATAAACAAATTAGCCCTTTATATAACTTACTCTTAATTTTATAAAAGGATTTATTTAGCTTAATGATTTATGCATATGGAAGAGCATTAATAATCTTAGAACAATAAAACTTTGACTTCCTCAATTACTGGCTATGTAAGAAAAATAATACTTTTCATCTTTGTATCTTTGCAATCAGCAGATAATTCTCTTCCTTTTCTCACCTCAACCCCAATGCTCAACCAAACCACATTTCTGGAATACTGTTCACCTAAAAATTTTCTGATGCTACTTAGATGATTCTATTTGTACCTGAGAGGGAGGAAAATGCCTGCTTAAATATTTCCCATTATTGATTATCAGAAATAACATTCCATCTTTTTAAAAAATGATTAAATAATTTAGTACCTTAAATACAAAGACAGAGAAAACTACTGTGGAACCAAAAAGCAAACAAGAAAATTAGATTAGCAACTTACTGCCTGGTCCAAATGATAAGCCTAGGAGATATAACTGTTAAGTTCAGCCTAGGTTTTAAAAACAAAAGAAGAAACAATGCAAATGGGAACCTACCAATTCAGAATCAAATGCTTTCTCTCTAGATCTGTGGCCATGACCCGTAATATGTAATACATTTTTCACTATGATCCCAAGTGCAAATACTCCTGTGTGTATAAAACTGAAGAAATATTAATAAAGAAAGATTTACTATGGCCAATATATTCTTATGTCTCCTACTGTGTTTGATTTGTAAATGCATATGAAAACCACTAAATTCATTCCATTACCTATTAATGGGTCATGAGCCAATTACTAAAAAACATTGTTATAATACTTTATAAAATTAGATTTTGAAACATTCAGGGACTGTCCCTGGGACAGAAATTCAGGTAATAATTACTATATTCTGTAAAATCATGAACATCTTTAAGAATGTGATAAAAATTATAGATATTCTACTCAAATGCTTACACATACATACAACATGTTGCATGAAATTTTTGAGGCTGATTAATATTTAAAGTCCATACATTGAGGCAAAATAAGCAAATAAATCTCCTCCCACTACCAAAACAAAAACCAAAAAAAAAGTGCACCGAGGATTGGAAACTTTTTTTCCAATGAGGATTACAATGACAACCCCATTATACCTCCAAGAATATGTTCAGAGATTAAAAAAACACACACAAGCAGAGGTAAATATAAAATGATAGCCTAAACTTCTAGAAATAAATGAAGAAAAATTAATAAAATTAAGATAAAAAGACAAACATATAATCAGTGTTGGATATTTAAACAAACTTTTTCTCAATAATTAATAGAATAAGTAGAGCAAAGGGAAATAAAGATTTAGAAGATTTTAGTATGTTATCAACCAACTCAATATAATTGAACATAGAATTCTACACTCAACAACTACAAAAGGCACATTCATTTCAAGTGTGCACTAAATATTCACCAAAAAGGACCATGTGCATGGCAATTAAACAAGTCTGAATAAATTTTAAAGAATAAAAGTCATACAGAACATATGACCTCAAATTAATTCAGTTAAAATTAATAACAAAGAGGTTTCAAGAAAATGTCCAAATATTCAAACATTGAGCAACACACTTTTAAATAACAAATATGTTATGGGCTGAAATTTGTCTCTCCAAAATTATTATATTTAAGTCCTAACCCTCAGTACCTCAGAATGTAATTATAATTGGAAATAGGTTCTTTAAAGAGAGAATTCAGGTAAAATGAAGTCCCCAGGGTAAGCCCTAATCTAGTATGACTGGTATCCTTATAAGAGGAGGAGATTAGACACAGACAAAGGGAAGATCATGTGAAGACACACAGAGAAGATGACCATACACAAGCTAAGAAGAGAGGCCTCAGAAGAAACCAACTCTGCTGACATTTTAAATTTGTAGCTTCTAAAATTATGGGAAAAAAATTTTTGTTAAGTCACTTGGTACTTTGTATGGAAGCTCTAGCAAACTAATATATCATGGAAAGAAAAGACAAGAATGAAAGAAACCACAAGAAAAATTAGAACATGATTCAAACTGAAGTATAATCAGAATTTATTGTATATAGCTAAACAGTGCTAGGAGGGAAATTTACAGCTTTCAATGCTTATGTCAGAAAAGGATAGGAATGAAAATTAATCTACATACATTTCTAAATGACAAAGCAAGGCAGGAAAAGGCAAATTTAAACGAAAGTAGGAAGAAGGAAATAATAAAGGGCAGCAATCAACAATGAGAAACAAATTATAAAAAAAAGCTAAAAGTTGTTTAATAGATTAAATAAAATGGATAAACACCTAGGAAGACTGTTCTCCGCCATTCCCACAACCCACCAAAAAAGGGGAGAAAACACAATTTACAAATATCAGAATTGAAAGATGAAACATCTTTACAGGCCCTACAGATGGGAAAAGAATAATTAGGGGATATGATAAATAACCTTATGGCATACACTTGACAAATGGATGTAAGGACCGATACCTTGAAAGACAACTAAAGTGAACACAAGATAAAATAAAAAAATTTAAATAGCCCATATTGTGAAGAACACTAAATTTGTAGCTAAAACACTTCCTATAAAGAAAACTCTAGGTCCAGATGGCTTCATTGGTAAATTCTATAAAATACTTAAGAAAAAAATAGAATCAATCATATACAAATTTTCTTAGAAAAGGAGAAGAAAATATTTCTAACTGTTTTTATGAGTCCTGTATAACCTTGATACTAAAACCTTACAAGGATATTATAAGAAAAGGAAATTATAAAACAATGTCATTTGACAAATTTTATAAGCACAATATATATCATTAATAGAATGCAGCAATACTTTGAAAAGGTAACACAACATGATGAAGTAGGTTTTATCCCAGTAAATGTTTAACATTAAAAATCAATCTACAGCAATTCAACATCATAAGGGGAAAAGGAGAAAAATCATGTAATCGTATCAATAGATACAGGAAAGCATTAAACAAATTCAGTATCTACTAATGATTTTTAAAAATCTCTCCGCAAACTAGGGAAAGAATAGAACTTCCTAGGTCCTAAAAGGAACACCTATGGAGAACCTACATCTATCACCATACTTAATGGTAAAATATTGAACACTTATCTCTCAGAATCAGGACCAAGGCAAGGATGCCTGCACTTACTACTTACCATTTATCATTTTACTGAATATCTATCCCAGTGCTATAATTCAGAAAAAAATGGAAAAATAAGAAAGAAGTAAAATCTCTTTGCAGAAAATTATGAGTACACAGAAAATAAGAAAAAAAATCTACAAAAAAAAAAAATCCACCAGATTTGGCAGAACAGTGAATTTATGAAGGTCACAGAATACAAACTCAATTATCAAAATATCAATTATATCTCTATATGCCAGAAAAAAATACTTGAAAAGTAAATTAGAAAAACATCCTTTATAACCACAAATAACAAAATACTTTGGAGAAATTTTAAAGAAGGATGTTTTAAACCTTTATACTGATAAGTACAAAATATCTCTAAGAGAAGTGAAAGGAGAGCAAAATAAATGGAACAATGTATCAAGTCCATAAATTGGAAGGCTTAATATTGTAAATTTCCCCCATATTGATTTACAGAATTAATACAATCTCAACCAAATTCCCAGGAGGCTTTTTTGTTGAATTTGACAAGCTGCTTCTAAATTTTTCCATAGAACTATAAAAGATCTACAATAGAAAAAACGTTGCAGAAGAACAAACTGTGAGGAGTTTGACTATCCAATTTTAAGAATTACTACAAAGTTTCAATCAAGAAAGTACGGTTTTTGGTTTCAGGATAATTACATAGATCAATGGAACAGACAAAGTCCAGAAATGACCCACAATTCATTTATAACATAGACACCGAAGCAACTCAATGAGGAAAGGGAAGTCTTTTAAAGAATTGATAGTTGAAAGAACTACATATAACTGTATGGGGAAAATATAATTTCAACCCCCTCGGTAACATCATAGGTGAAATTAGTTTCAAATGATTTATAGATCTAAAGTATAAGGCTCCTAAAAGAAAACACAAGAAAATATATTTGTGATCTTGGAGTATGTAAAGATTTCTTAGGACTCAAAAGCAGTAACCACACAAAAGAGGGGTAGGGGGAAGATAATGGGACTTCATCCAAAAATATTTTTTTAAAGAACTTTTGCTTATCAAAATATATCATTACACAAATAAGTATAAGTAAACCATACAATTGGCTATTTTTTAAATTTTTTTTTATTTTTAATTGTGGTAAAATAACCCCACATAACAGAATTTGTCATTTTTATCATTTTTAAGTGTACCATTCAGTAGTGTTAGGTACATTCACACTGTTGTGCAATGGATCTCCAGAACTTTCAGAACTGGCTTTTATTCAAGTTTTATAAAACACTCCTACAATTCAGTAACAAATAGGTAAGCAACACAATAAAAATGGGCAAAAGGAACTTCAAAAAGAAGATGTATGTGTGGCAATAAGAATATGTAAAGAGAGTTCAGTATCATTCACATAAAGTTCAAAAATAGGCAAAATTAATCTCTTTTAAAAGTCAACAAAGTGCTTACCCCTGGTGACGAAGGTGGTTAGGAATGGGTGGGAGTGACCAGGAAGGTGTATGAGAGAGGATTCAATAGTCATGTCCTATTTCTCAATCAGGCTGGAAGTAACATGACTGTAAACACTTTGTGATAATTCAAGCTCTATACTTAAGACTTGTGTTCTCTGCTGTGTATTATACTTTGTTAGGTCTAGGATTTTACCTTGTTTATAAGTTAATAAGCTAGCCTATTATTTTTTCATGGATGCTGGCAGAAGGCATGATACTCACAGGTCAGAGACAAAGGACTTTATTATTCATAGCATAGCATGGTGGTATTGGGGATGAGCCTAGATGGATACCTGCACACAGAATAGGTTGTCATCTTTGAGTCTGGGATGCCTGCCATTTTACAGCAGGCAGTAAGCAAGCCTACTCTCTGTCATACAGGGAGGCATTATTTCATCTTTCAGAGTTGCTCACTAAAGATACATCCCTGAGAAATGGCCTGGGTCAAGATCAGTGACGGTCTTGCATTCTTAATATACCCAGTAAGATGTGCAGACATGCAAGTGATCTGTGGAAAAGTATCTCTTCACATTTTCCAACAAAAAGTTTACTAGATATTTTTATACTTCAAAAAAATTAGATTAGAGGAATGTCGCAAATAAAATGCAACAAGATTTCAGCCCAGCCATTTGAGCTATCATTACAATCTTTGGGTTAAAATGGAGATAAAGTGAGATGGATAGAATTACAGTTAAGTGGATTTGTAGGCTGAACAATAATAGCCATGGAATATTGATTTAAGGTTTGATGGAGATCTGTCATAATGTTATTAGTGGTATGATGTGGGACTGCATGCTTAATCTTCTTTTCAATATTTTCATTAAGAACTGGATGAAGACCTACAAGGCATGTTACACACAGAATGAAAAATATAAGTAAAATTAATTGTCATGTCCTGGAAATATTAAAAATATTTGGATAGATATCAAAGCCGCTTTCAATAAATGAAGAGCTTTCTCAAGTGAAGTAAGAACTTGATTATTTCCTATATAACATCAGGTTTCAAGCACAGTTTATATTTTTACACATACTAGGGCAGCATATCATTAATTATTTCTTCAAGAACACTAAAGGAAATCTTCAAATATAGATTTAACACCTATCTTTTCACTTTCAAATATTTGCTTCAGGAGAATTTAAACTGCCTCTGCCTTTTTTTCTTTTTTTGGGGGGTTCAGAACAGAAAGCTATCTTGCTTAGCATTTAGAATAGAAAAGTGTAAAGGGGGTTCTTTTGATAGGTCTGACAGATTTCCACATGATGAACAGTCAATAATAAAAAGATGATTTCTCATCTTGGATAAAGAATTTAGAGGTACTAAAATTTCCTAGGATGGATGACATTTCAAGGCAATTCTTAACTTGATCTCTCAAAGGAAAACATATAAAACTGTTGACATTCTAATAGTACAGTACATGGAATTATTTTGGTAGTATCTGATTACAAGTAGTACTTAGCCCACAAACACTTGGGGTTTTAATGAAAATCAGGACAAAAAAAAAATCCCTTTCTCTAAGAGGTAAAACTCTCAGTAGGAGTTTAATATAAAAAGTTTGTCTTTCGTATGTTTAATAGTTTACACGTGCTGTCATAGGCATTATCTCATTGAGCTCTCTTAATAATAATGTAAGTATTAATTGACTTTCCCAACAACGTACTATAAGTCAGGGCCTGGGCTGGGTCTCAAATCCATGTATTTTATCTAGACAGCAGAATTTTATGGACTATAGCAGTTTTCCAGGTATAGAGCAGTGACTGTGTTCTGAAAGGACATGCATTTGACATTTGTCAGGTGAGGCACATATGACAGTGAGGAACAGATCTTCCACAAAAGAGAGTACTGGGTGCAGGGTGGTGCAGCCACTCAGGTCACACAGTAAGCTCTTCAGCTAGCCATCTCACAAAATGTCTCCTGTGACACATTGGGCAAGAGTAGGGAGTCCTATCTAGAAATGAACAAAGAAAGAATAACGCTCAAAGGACTTTAGAGTAGAAAAAAATAAGACAAAAAATATAGGTGCTTATTTCAGGCAAAGTGCCAAAGGCCTTCTAACTTATCATTAAAGTACATTCCCTGTCCCCCGTTCAAATTTCATACATAAACTATAATAAGATATAGTAAAATAATGGCTACACAGACACACAAGTAATATGTTATAATGGTTCAGAAACCTTCAATGGATTCTGAAGGGGTAGGAGAGGGATCCAGAGAACAGGTTAAGAATGGAGCATTCTTCCTTCACTGGGAGGAAACAAGTACCTTTAAAGTACTTTAGGAAAAAGTAATAAATTAATAAATATTGCTTTAGGATAAAGTAATAAATACTTTAGGAGTATTGATTTTAAAGGGGATGTATTAAATCAAAACAAAGAAAAAGTTCTTGAGAATTAAGCATCCATAGAACTAGGTTCTAAGACTTACATTTCTCTTTTATTTGTATTTTCCTGTTGCTGAAATGTCTGTGCTAAGTCAGTACTACCACTGACAACTATTTAAGTTTCCTCCTAAGTAACTGCTTAGGAGAAAAAGCTAAATCGGTTTCAATATAATACTGAGAATATCCTTTTCCTTAGATATCATTCAGGGTATGAAATAAATATTAATGCCTTATTTGGAGATTTTCTATTAGAATTTAAGTCTGTACTAGAAACAACTCTAGGCCTCTAGAAGCAGAAAAATGTTTGGCCATAAACAGATATTTCTCCTAATTCAGATCGTAATGAAAGAGGTTCCCGATTACACTTAATTTTCTCATATCTAAGTTGGGGAAAAAGATAAGATTAAAGTAACTTGTTTCAAATGTTTTTCTTAGGACAAGTACTTCAGGAAAGAGATAAGAGTCATGCACACAATAAAATTTTAGTTATTTAAAAGAAAAGGACCCATTCTATATTCGTTTAAGATTAACTTTGTTGAGTTTTACTACATAAACTTGCAGATCGTCTTTTCTCACTTCAACTTTACAAGCAATTAGTTGTAGGAGCTCAGACAACTTGCCCAATTTTTCTGGATTTCATTGATTACATAAAGAGATGAGGTTAGAATGCTGTCTAAAGTCCATTCTAGACCAGGAAGCTCAGCCCAATAAGGAAGTGGGACTGTGGAGACTATTTAACCACCATCTCTGGGTTCCCTGTTTTAATATGCTCTACTTTGAACACTTTGCATGAAATCATATTTTATTATTTGTAAAAGTCTTCCATCCTCGCTACCCAGCATTGTCCCTCTTTACTTCAAGACTGTGGCCCTGTTAACTGTGCATACGTGACCTGTTGAAAAGCTGGAACTCCTGTGCAATCCTTCTCCATTCTCAACTCTCGATCCAATCTTATAATCATCTCTGATCTACAATTCAAGCAATCTGAGAATAATGTTTTACTCATTATCATAGTTTATTCTATATGTACAATGTACAATCTTTTTCCTTGCTCCTATCATTTAAACTTTACTGTCACTGTTTTTGGCCCAAGTCCATATCCATTTACTTTTGAACTCACAAGAACTTTCTTTACACATCTTGAACTCAGATAAATGGAAATACTGCCTTACAGATTGCCAGAGAACTTACTCCCATTATTCAGACCTAAAATTTGTAAGAATCAACTCCTTGATTCAACAAAAGATGACTTTCACCGATACCTGAAAATCAAAATGGGTAATGCATTGTTTATTTCTTTACAACTCATATAACTTTATTTTTTAAAACAGTAAATATTTAATTAACTAAATTTTTAATTAATTTATTATCTATGTGACCTTTCCACATTCACTCACATGGAGTATTCCAACCCAGGTCTTTCATCACTTCCCAGAAAGCACAGACTAGTAAGCCACTTTGCACAACACTATGTGCAAATAAGCAATTAAAATTGTTTCATTAAAATGACAGGTTAAATGCCAGAGACAGCATCAAAAGAATTTAGATTACACAGGCATTCCTTTCAAGTTATCACAGATTATTTCTTACAGGGTGTTATTTTTATGTTATGACATGCATATAAGTTTAATGAGCAAGCAGATAGAAAAATGCTATGTATAATTGGGATTTCTTTTTCACTCTAGATACACTTTATTCATTTAACCATGGGAGGAAAAATGTATTTATCAAAAAAGTAGCAGTTTTATTAAACTACCAAGCCTATAAGCTTAAATGTAGAGCATAGTGAAATCACCATCCACTCAACAGGCTGGCAAACAAAAACTACTTTCTGTAATTAATAAATTATCAGAAACTGCTAGAAAAGCATGTAGCATTAAGTCTAGAAATGGGGTCAGGATTAGGAGAGAACTGTGGGGTTGGCATTGGCTTGGCTATGATGTCTGACAGCTACATTGCAGGGCAGTTTAAGCAGGGAAAGGTCTAAAAATCTGCAGAATCTAATCTAATGTGATATTTTCTGTGCTGAACAGATTTCTTTGAGGTAACCATAACCTTTCCTGGGTATCATTTCCTTAGCCTTCAAGCCAGAATTTTACTTAGGGGTTCTGGCATCTACACTGACATGTGTTCTTTCTAAAACCAGAACAACATTAGTATGATTTCCAACTGTGCATACAGGGGAAGATATTTTATTAATGCTAGGAAAAAAATGAGGAAAGCTAAAATTATTATGTTTTATAATTCATTCACTCAGTAAATATGGTCTAATATGGCACCATAAGACAGTCAGACTTATGATGAAAGAATCAATTCAGTCCACACTTCAGAGCACCAATCTGGAGTTACCGATGTCAAACAAGCCTTCAATTGCTTCCCAGTATCTCCCACTTTCCAACAGAGAGGAAGGTGTTTTCCCCACCCCTCCCAATAAACATCGTCCCTTGTGAAAGTTTTTTCTCCACCTTCATGGACAGTTTCTTCTCTGTACCCTTTGCCCCAGGTGGAGCAGTGGTTAGGACATTTCCATAATCACAGCATCTTATAAAGTTGATTTTAACAGGGTTTTTCTTTTCAACTAATAAGATAAAATAGGTCTGGTAAATATCTGTTTGTCTCAGTCTTGGAACATTACCACTAGAAAAAAATAAACAAGGAGAATGTATACAAATTCATCTTTAAATGTCTCCCATAACTCACTCAATCTGATATTCAACTATGTGGGTATGGTTGTGGTAAGACTGAGGATCTCAAATATGGTCTGCAGATACACGAGAACAAATAGAAGTGAATGCAATGTCATACGTTCTCTTCTTTCCATCCAAGAGATCAGGTAAGAATTTTGGCAAAAAGATTTACCTGGTAAGCTATATATTAAAACCCAATTACTAGTGATCCTCTCTTATGGACTTATTAAGTCATAAGGGGACCAACTCTGACAGTATTCAAAATATGAGAAAATAGTGGAGATGTTCTATGTAATCTGTTGGCAAATTTTTCAAGATACAAACTCCCACAGGGTTTACAGTCTTTTATATTCCTAATGTGTGACTACACCCATCATTTGAGTAACTTGGTCAATATTTACTAAATGTGTAACTAGTTTTTACAACAGTTGTCTATTCTAAAACAGTTGATCAACTTCTCATTGTGTGGATGATGTGAAAGAGGGAGAGTCAGTAAACAGACCCAATCAGAGGCATATTCCTCTTTCTTGAGGTAAACTCAAGAGAAAAAAGAACATTAGTACAGCTGGCTCAATTCTCCAGATCTATCCAGGTTGACTGAGAAAGAAAAAGAAACTGGAATGTCTCCTAGTTTTATGACAGATGTAGAGACATCACCCAGACATGGAGCTACCTAAATAATGCAATATTAAATTAGCCACGCAGATTTTAATAATCTTGTCAGTGGATAAAAAATATTTCTGGCTAGTAATAAACTAATAAACTACCTGATTCTCCACAGCATTATTTTTAAGATTACCACTGGTGTGACAGTTTGTAGATTCCATGGACGTATCCTTGAGCCTTTAACTGCTGTATATAGGGAGTATAGAGGGATGTCACTAGTGGCACATATGTCTTTCATTTTGCTCCTTTTGTATTCTTACACTATAGGTGTTCTTCACACAGATGTTGCTGAACTATTCTGAAGCACTCCTGGATACTTCTTGGGCCCAGCCTTGGACTTTTACAGTCCCTTGAGTATACTGGTGATTGCTGACACTAGTACTACTTGATATTAGTTTATTTCAAAAACTTTTTTGATCTGCAAGTTTACAATAAATAATCTTTTTGATCCATAATTTCCTCCTGTGTAAAGTGGAAATTATAATAATACTTAAGTACTATATAAGATGAAACAAATCAAATTATTTATGATTACAAAAAAACTAATTATATGGGTTTGAAAGTTCTTTATAATGCTTTGTCCAATTTAAAAACATTTTAAAAAACCAGCAATAATATTAATTGTGTGATATCCACTGCTTTTTCATTGTTCCTTAATATGGTTGGCTGTTATTAGTGAGACAAATGATACACATAGTGGTTACCAGCTATGGAAAAAGGAAAGTCAACAGGGCAGGAAACAAGGAATATTGCCCTGATGGATGGTCTCAAGTACATGTTCTACTTCTGTTAGGTTTAATGACAGAGTTTACAAAGACCCTGCAATGCAAATGGACCATAACAAATTGATACTATGCTTTAAAATGAATGGTAACTGGGAAGAATCAATTTTAAAAGCTAAATTCCATAGTCTTCATTTTGTAGTAATTTTCATTAATAAGATATGTATATTATTTTAAAAGATGATTCTGAATGTAGAAATTATTGATATTTATTAACAATTATGTTACCTTAAGGTATTTTTTAAAGGCTTTTTGGTTAATTGTCCAGACAAGACTTGATTTAGCAGTTAATTCATATAATAAGGTAAAAATCAAGATTGATGTAAAAATCTAAGAAAGTTTCATTACGGTTGCTCATGTACTCTAAATAGGATTTCTCTTGGAATAGCTCTTGATGACTCCTCACTGTCTGAAAGAGTGATTCACATTTTTGCCCCACAGTGCCTCAACATTTTTCATTTTAGCAATATTGTTAAAATTCGACACTACGCAGTTTCATTATTGCTTTTAATAATATAGCTGATATTAAAGACAGTGTATAAAAGGCAGTCAAGGTAGCTGACATTTATGATGGTATATAAAAGGCAGACAAGTGTAAGAGATGTGAAGAAGACTGGCCTGATTCAGAGGCTCTCTGTGATAAATAAGTTAGCTCTGTGTATTGGCTCTGGCCATAGGGCCTCAGGCTTATCATCATCCATAATGACGGCATGAAAATAACCACATCACAGGGCTGAAGTGAAGATTCAAAAGTGATTACCAGTGTCTGAAATACAGAAAGCTAAAAACTCAAGATATAGTTGCTTTTACTGTTGCTGTTGTTACTATATGTTGTTATTGCTATTACAGGGAACCTAACCCAGACTTCCAGTTTGAAACAACCTTACAGGCCAGGTACAGTGTCTCACATCTGTAATCCCAACACTTTGGGAGGTCAAGGCAGGTGAATCACATGAGCCCAGGAGTTCGAGACCAGCTTGGGCAACAAAGCGAAATCCCATCTCTATAAAAAATACAAAAATTAGGCAGGTGTGGTGGCATGCCCCTGTAGTCACAACTACTTGAGAGGCTGAGGTGGGAAGAATGGAGGATCACTTGAGCCAGGGAGGGAGAGGTTGCAGTGTGCCATGATTACACCACTGCACTCCAAGCCTGGCGACAGAGCAAGACCGTGTCTCAAAACACAAAAAACAAAAGAAATTACAGCAGAATGCTATAAAAAAGTACATGAATCTGCTAATTATCCAGTGGGCAAGGAAGTCATTCAAAATGACCACTAAGAGAAAATAAAAACAGGGTAAAATTTACTTCAATGAAAGCATAGTAATAAAGTTTTCTTTTAGCCTAATATTAGTAATGTTGCTACATAATAGTTTCTGTCACTGTTTTGTTACATGATAGAAGATAACTTTGAATGTCTTGGTTCTAAATTTTACTGATTTCGCTATCTTTCTCCTTATATATAATTTTTTTGATATAAATTCTTAGAAAGAATAGCCATAAAAATGCTACACATAATTAATATAAAAATGTAGGTGGGTGTTATAAAGCTCCAATCGGAAAAATATAGACTGATAAAAACTAAGAGATAATGTTAAAAGAGTATGTGTTCCCTGAAATAGCTTCTAATTTTTTTTTTCATTTTTCTTTTCTGAAGATACATTATAAAAATAATTAGTGTTTATATACTTTATTATGATTATGGATATGCATGCCACTCCTATGTGGAGAATCCCAGATAATTAGTTTTTAGAAGGGAAGAAACATTTCAAACTGAAAAAAGATAATATTCCTTTTTACAAAATATATTTATTGCAAGCTCTAACTATGATTAGCTTCCAACCACGATTAATTTCGGTATGTTTTTAAGTGGTAGACAGGTACATATTAAAAATGCTAAGCGGGCTGGGCATGGTGGTTCACGCATGTAATCCCAGCACTTTGGGAGGCCAAGGAGGGTGGATCACGAGGTCAGGAGATTGAGACCATCCTGGCTAACACGGTGAAACCCCGTCTCTACTAAAAATACAAAAAATTATCCGGGTGTGGTGGCAGGCACCTGTAGTCCCAGCTACTCAGGAGGCTGAGGCAGGAGAATGGTGTGAACCTGGGAGGCGGAGCTTGCAGTGAGTCGAGATTGCGCCCTCCAGCCCGGGTGACAGAGCGAGACTCTGCCTCAAAAAAAAAAAAAAAAAAATGCTAAGCAAAAGCCATTCCAAAGATATTTTTAGCCAAGAAACAATCTAGAAAATAATATTCAAAGTTATATGCTTTCATATATTTGCTATTGATTTACAGATCAGTTTTACAACTAGATGTAATTAACATACCATGCTTAGATAACAACAGAAAAGTGGCAAGCAATGGTATTAATGGAATAACTACATTTTTTTACATTAATTTTTTTCTAAGTCTTAACTAGTCAGAATCTTTGGAATTACTCTTTAAAAAAGAACAAGAAAAGAGACAGCAGCGTAAACAAGAGATGAGAGAAGGGTTGAAGGATTTGCAAGGGGAAGTGTACAGAAGGGACACAGGAAAAGTTAGAAAGCTAAGATATATACACACAGAATTTTGATGCTTAAAAACTGATTTTATTAAATTAGCAATACCTGGTTTAGATATAACTTAAATTTGATATATTCCATACTGATACACAGAATACTATGAACATGTCACCAATTCATTAGTATTGTTTCTGTTTATATTTCCAAAGAATCATTTGTTCTTTAATCACGTTGTATGTTAGTATTATGAATACTTAGCACAGCAAACTAACATTTACTTAGGTTTTCACGTCACTTACTGCAAAACACACTGTATCTGAAAAATGATTCATGCCAAGGTATATGACCCAAACTCTGCTTTCGCAAAAGCGAGCAAAGCCCTGGTTCCAAAACATACCTGTACAACTCTTCAATTTCCATGAAGATTCTAAATGGTACTTTGATGCTTTTATGAAATCAGGTTTCCTGACCGCCCTCTTTAATTTACTTTGAGCTGTGCTCCAAGAGATAGCTGTAAAATTCATTACTGTATTAATAGTACTGCAGAGTGGAACTCCAAGTATATGGAATTCCAGGCTTTAGGGCCAAGGACAGCTATGGGTCCAGGGAAAATTTAAATTAAATTTTGTAGTCACTACGAATGTGGTAGAGTTTATTGAGTTTCTATCTTTGACTTACTTCTAAAGATGTTAGAAATTAATTTGAGACCCAACTCTAGCAATCCTGCATGATATTACAATGTATCTTTTGATATAACAGCTCTACTCTGGTTTCACTATAGGGCTGTGATTCAGAGAACTGGCACTGGATTCTGGCTAGATGTGAATCCTGACAAGTAGCAACTGAAAAGTGTGGAATCTTGGACAGCTAATTACTTAGTCTCTCTTTGCTTCAGTTTCCTTATTTGTAAACTGAGGATAATAATATTTTAAAGAACTATGGTGATATCAAAGAAGTTCTACATGTTAAGTGCTTAAAACAGTGTTTTGCACAAAGCATACTCTAGATATCATTTTGCCCTGCCAGCTTTTTATTTTTCCTTCACTGTGATTTCTATTTTCTTTGCATTTTAGCCAACCTCAAGTTTCAAATACATTTTTGAGTAAGACAGGATAAGTGTTTATAAGATACGAAAGAAAAGTGTAAAATTTTTAGGTAATGATTCTTTTACTCAATATTTAAAGCTTTATCCAAGTAAACACAAATTAATAATGTATTTTTTTATTATTAAGAGTTTAACAATTTGTTACTTTTCCTTCCTAAATGTAGTGTAATATAGTTGACCCTTGAACAACTTGAGTTTGAACTGTGCAGGTCCACTTATATGTGGATTTTTTTCAAAGGCTGACTTTTCATGTAAGTGGGTTCTGCAGGGCCCACTGCAGAACCTGAGTATGCATGAATTTTGGAATATGTGGAAGGGGAGGAGGATTGATTTACGAAGGGAAAAGTGTAATCATTATTTGGATATGAAAGTATCACATTCATAAAGGCTATGTGCTAAAGTTCACAAGTTCCTTAAATTCACAAACTCTTTACTATACATAGTTTTCCCCATTAGATATTTATATAATGGTGAGATATAAACCACACAAAACAAAGACATGCTAAGGTGCAGATACCGGCCCCTTAGCTAGGATCAATTACGGTATAAATGATTCACAGCCTAACACTAGCCTCAGAGCTCATATTATCCTTAAATAAATTATGACGGACTATATGGCACGAGCCATGAGGACAGAGATGGTCATCAATGCTCTGACCACTAACCAAATTCAAGGTGTTTGAGTCTTGTTGAAAGCTGAGATTGGACAGTGTAGCTCCTCAAGTATCTCAAATAATCAGATGTATCATGGATTTAGCAGAACATAAACTACTGTTTTGTAACTGTCTTTCAATATAACATAACCCAATAAAACACACAGATCTATTAATTAAAACAACTAACAGTGTGTACCAGGTTGAACATTGTCCCCCCAAAATTTATGTCTACCTGGGACTTCAGAATATTACATTATTTGGGAATAAGATTTCTGCAGATGTAATTACTCATTATGTGATCATATTAGGGTGGGCTCTTAAACCAATGACTAGTGTCTTTATAAAACAAAGAAAACAGAGATTTGAATATAGAGACACGAAGACACACAGAGGGAAGAAGGCTATGTGATTGCAGAGACAGAAACTGAATGATATACCTGCAAATTAAGAAACACCAAGGATTGCTGGGAATTGCCAGAAAAGCTAGGAAGAAGCAGGAATAAATTACTCCCCAGAGCTTTTGGAGGGAGCATGGCCCTGGTGACACCTTGATTTTGAACTTTCTAACTTTCAGAGTTGTGAGAGAATAAATTTCTGTTGTTTTAAATCACATAGTTTGTGATATTTTGTTACTTCAGTCCTATCAAACCAATACAGAGTATACCATGCTCATCTTCGAGCAGATTTCATTATAGACCTTATATTTCCTTTGAGTCCGATAGCTGGATGTGGAAAGAGAAACATAGCTTTAAGTCACTATCACTAAAAAACGGATTAAAGGGAAACACGACATCACTGGCCTACTGTTTTTCTGGGATCACTTGATTAAGGCATAAGATTTCATTTATTTTTCGTTGTAACAACAACAGAAAATACCGCACAATCTGAGTTTTCAAAGTCCTGGGAACAAACCCAGAGGGATTAATGACTCTGAAAAATATTAGGTTGGTGCAGAAGTAATCGCGGTTGTTGCCATTAAAAGTTTTTATCATTACTTTTCATGGCAACAAGTGTGATTACTTCTGCACCAACCTAATACATTAGATAGACTATCTTTTGAAATACATGCCAACTCACATCATTTACAGTTTTCATTTGCGAGCATAGAATAGAAAGAGGTTTTTTTTCTGTCATGTTTTTAATTGCACTCAGGTAGCACAGAAAAAAATCAAGCCTGCCTGAAAGCAGAAATGTCATAAGGGTAAACAATTTTCTTAAAAGATCTAGTTAGTTATATCCAAATTATTTATATCAAACAGTACAATGTATATACAATCTTGGTCTTATTTATATGAGAAAAATGTGAACCTAAAATATCTTTCTGATTTATATTTCTGTATGAAGAATTAGGTTCGTAACATAACGCACACTCAAAATTAGATATCCACCGAGACCATCGTCAAAAAATGTTATATATCACTAGCAAATATTCAGGAAGAAAAATTCCCTCATGACGATAGAACTATATAAACATTGCCATGTAAAGCTTTTCACAGTTAATGGCTTTTTTCCAGTTTCTCCACTCATTAATTTGTTGCTTAATAAGAATGTTAGTTAAAAATTTCTGGACACATGATGTCCAGATTGTCAATTATATGTTTTCTAAAATTATTTTGCACTACCAATGAAACATAATAAAAATTCCCCGTGTCCTCTTCTCATATACTACTTTTTTGAATTGGAACAAGGAAAAAAAAACCCAAAATTTTGTTAGCTTTCTAAAGATAAGACTGTATACTGTTATAGACTGATTTGTGGGAACACTATATCTTAAAAGGAATTGTCTATGATCTTTGTATATTTTCAAGCATAATAGGAACAATATATGAAAAAGATGATACATATAGAGATAAAATTACAAGGCATTTATTTGTCACTATAAAATGGTTTACTCAAGTGATGTAGGTTTCTATCACCAGTGATGTCATGTGGATATGATGTACCCCCTGCTGTGATATAATGAGAAGGGCATTTTGCCTGTGTGATATTTTTCCAAAATCCATAAGGTCAGTCTAATTATGAAGAGAAAAAATTCAGACAAACTCCGATCAGCAAAACATTTCCATGGACATCTAGCTAATATTCTCAAAGACTGTCAAAGATGATGAAAAACAAGGATAGACTGAGAAACTCTCACAGACTAGAGGATACTGAGGAGATATGACAACTAAATGCAACATAATGCCTTCTATTGTAACCTGGAAGCGAAAGAGGGCATTACAGAAAAACCAGTGAAATTTAATTATAGTGTAATGTTTCGCTTAAGAAATGTTTTTACTGATATTCTCATTAATAGAAGATAGACATACACGAATTTGGAACATTCACAATTATAGAAAATACAATATAGAATTCATGGTATATATTATCCACAGCAAAGCTGCCATACGATAGATACTTGATATGTACCTGTTGGTTGAAAGATAGATGAATCATTTATTTTTAAAAAATGTCCATTTTCAGCAAAAGATACATGAAATAATCATGTTTGTATTACAAAATGACTGCATTAATTATAATCAAATTGCCTCTATTTCATTGCAAATAATCCTGAAATGTTTCTGAATTATGTTATTCGCATTTCTAAATTTGTCCTTTTTTCTAAATAATATAGAAAAGCCTTACCTATACTGTGACTTATTTTTAACAGACTTATTTTCTTCTCTACTTTCTTTTCCCAAGTATTGAGTCTAAATCATACTGACTAGAGCCAAGAGTTAAATTCTTTTTCTACAATTTAACAACAGGTCCACCTCGCAATTCACTTAACCTCTCAATGCATATTTTTCCATCAGTAAAATGGCATACAATAAGTGTTATATTATTATGGAGCTACTGTTATGTTATTATCTTGCTCGTCACAGGGAACACCTAAATTTCACAGTTTTTTCTTTCATTAGTATTTCCAAAGTCGATTATCTTCTAAGGAAAGGTAGGTATACTCATCACCAAACATGGTGATGTTTAAAATACTCCTTTTCAAAATATACTGTTTCCTCAAATCAGTCTGTAAGAGTATCATTCCCCAACATATTATACTGAACTGGATAGACCTTAAGTCTAAAAACATGTGGCATGTCTTATGCTCTTTCATTTATATGACCAAGTGAAACATGTTTTTATCTCCTTTTCTCTCCATGTTTTCAATAATCTTTTCCCAGCTTTATTTAAAAGCTATTTCTGGACTTGCAGGGACATATGGTTGCGGAGATGAAAAAAAAAAATCAACCTTTATTATTAAAAAGGTTATCATGTAATAATTACTCCAAAAAACCACATAAATGGACTGCCAATGAGTTTGATTTACACTTAATGAGGAGAATAGGCAAATCTCAACGTTTAAGATTGCTACTGTAAAAAGTTATAAAAGTACAATCTTAGAATTGTTCAATAGTCTAAGCTTATGTGTGGCTGCAGATTATATAAAACAACTTTATTGTCCATTCAACACTAAGAATTACAAACCAATAACAAATGAAGTAAAACAGACCAAATATTTTACTCATCATCCATTACATTTAAGGTTTTTATTTCCTTAGCCACTTAGAGTTCAAACAGAAAAAAAATTCTATGGCTCATCCTTCTGAAGTAAATAACACAGGGACGTCAATGATGGATTGGAAATAGGACATTTTGAACAATCTTTGACATCAACATCTTTTCTTCTTTTGGCAACAACCTTGTCATTTGCTCTGGAATACTACCAGAACCTATCCTCACTTGGACTCAAAACCTACTCTTCATACCACAGTCATTTCCCACCTCAATTATTAAAATTAAACTCTTCATAAATCTATCTTCAATATACTCAGGGGGTAGAGACAATGCAGCCAACTTATTTTATCATTTAACCCTGTCTTACATACTCTGGTTTCCTATGTGTCTCAGCACATTTCAGAAAGTGTTCTTCTATTCATTCGTATCCATCTCTGACAGTTTTTAAACTCTCTAAAGATCTCTTGTCCTCTAAGCCACCTACTAACTATCCATGTGTCGTCTAACTTTGATTTGCCTATCTCTTATTATCTCTGAGCTTGTGATTTTGCTTAGCCAAACTGCCTTCCAAACTCTTGCCTATTACAAATAAGCATTTTTTATATCTCACCTCAGAAACACATTCCTTTCTACATTTATGGCTGACTTTTAGAAAATGTTTGGTCTACTGAAAGCTGCTATTTGTAATTGTATTGTATTTGTATGATTTTTCCCTAGAATCTAAAGGTTTAATATTTGCAAATATCAAGAAAAAGTTTACTGATCTACACATTAATAGCATTCTTTCTCTGAAATTAAAATTTGTTTGGTAATAGTCTAGTAGGAAGAAAAAAAAATGAAGGCCCCCAGATTAATTTTTTAATTAGTTAGTTAACATTTGGACTAAGCCAAAATGGGCGACTACTACTGCTGTGAAATTACTGAGTTTTCAAAAGGTTGGATATCATTTATTCTGAAATATTTAGGCATTACAAGAATATGATAGCTCATTGAACTGAAAATTCCATCTATACATAATGTTACTTCTCAGCCCAGATTAATTTACCAGCAGGTAATATTTACTAAGAACTCAGAATGAGTTAAGAAATGAGCCACATTCTTTACATATATTATTTCATTTAACCCTTTGAGCATTATATTCTTTTCCCATTTTATAAGTAAAAATGTTGAGGCTTAAAGAGATCAAGTAGCATGCTTAAAGTCACACAAATGATAGTAGAGCAATAATTTAAAACCACATATGGTTCCAAAGCCACAGTGGTCATGTTTAGCCTGGCAAAAGTCACTTCCAGGTATAACAGCATCTAAATAAGAATTACAGTGCATTTTGCATCCCACTGAGCATTTCTTTTTATAAGTGTTAAAGTGAGTAATAACAGAGCAACGGGCACGGTGGCTCACACTTGTAATCCCAGCACTTTGGGAGGCTGAGGCAGGCAGATCACAAGGTCAGGAGTTCGATACCAGCCTGGCCAATATGGTGAAACCCCATCTCTACAAAAAACACAAAAATTAGCCGGGTGTGGAGGCGGGCGCCTATAGCCCCAGCTACTCGGGAGGCTGAGGCAGGAGAATTGCTTGAACCCGGAAGGCAGAGGGTGCAGTGAGCGGACTCTGTGCCGCTACACTCCAGCCTGGGCCATAGAGTAAGACTCCGTCTCAAAAAAATGAAAAAAAAAAAAGAGATGACTGAGTGGACCTAAATGCTTTGGGAGCAGGTATGTTTCCCACTGGGCTTTCTCAGTTTTCTAAAGAAATTCTGACTCCATAATCGAGTATTCTGGAATACAATAAATTTGGTCTGAGGGGAAATTATATAGAGGTATCAGAAAAAAAATACTTTCTGACATTCTTATTCATAAAGAGTAAAATTCCTTCTATGATTACGGCTAGATGTGCGGCTTGCTTGACTATTTGTAAACTCATCTCCTATACATACCTGCTTTTATATAAAATATTATAAAGGCTTCTGGAAGCACAGACTCCACCGGGAGCCACTATATTTTCTAGAAATCTCTTGAGTTCAAATCGAATGCTACCTGAACTGTGGATCTAGAGGTATAAATTTTTGGGAATGTTCATGAATCTTTCCTATACCATATCTATTTAGATATTCAAGAGAGTAGAATTTAACCCAAAATATATATCTACAAGAAAGAAATCATAGATGTACAAAATTTTGACTGAAGCACTCTGTATTACTATAGTAGCAGATGATTAGAAAACTAATTATCAAGGAGGAACAGATACTACCAAGCTAAAAGAATAGATTAAATCTACATATACTGATGTAAATAACTCCAAGATATTTTATCAAATTAAAAAAAATAAAGAGGGCAGAACAGTGTATAAGCTATCATTTGTGATAAAAAATAAAAAGATGTATATGCATGTGTCTCCATTTGCATAAAAAAGCTCTGGAAGGATAAAAACAGAACTAAACAAACAAAAATAACAACAATAAAAATCCCACAAAAAGTAAGAGGAGCTATCTTCAAGAAGAGAAACTAAGGAGAATAGGGGTCATGGACAGAAAGACGGTTTTGGTGTCCCCTATGTAATCTCTGAAAATTAAAAACAGCAGCAGCAGCAGCAACAGCAACAACAACAACAACAACAACAACAACAACAACAAACCAGTCACTCCACTCCCTAACACACGACTGACTGTATGGCAAATAAAATCCAGTTGCTTACCCTGACCTGTAAGGTCCTACCTTTCCAATCTTATGTCAGTCTCTCTAAGGCTCACTGAGCCGCAGTCACTCTACCCTTCTGTTCCCCAAACACAAAAGCCTTCTCCCACCACAGGTTTTTGCATTTGCTATTATCTGAGCCTTTTCCTACCCCTTTGCAAGGTTATTTTTGTCTTTCAGATCTTAACACAAATGTCACCTCCAGATGATGTTTCCTAAGGCCCCTAAAACAAAATAGATTCCACCTGCTACCATCCCTCTGATCACTTTTTTTCATATCAAAATTTGAAATAAATTTGTGATTATTGTTAAACATATGTTTCTCCCATTACAGTGTGACTTCTTTGAGAAAAGAGATCACTGATGTATTTTTCACCAGCGTATTTTGTATGGAACAAAGCTGGTGCCCAATAAGTATTTAACAAATAGTGTAATTAATCCAAATCTCATAACAGGTTTATAAAGAATAGAAAGTCTTAAAGAAAAACAGGTGTATTTCTAGGTTTCAGTCACTTAAATACAGGATGACACATTTGTCTCCAACAAAAAATAAATTAATCGTTGCATCTCCTGGGTTTATTTTTATCAGAACTGACGGGTTTCAACTATTTTTGAAATAATAAAGCTCCATCAAATTATAGCCTCATTAGTTTAGAAATCCTACTTAACTTAAAAAGAATTTAGAAGTATAAATTTGATTCTTAAAAGCAAATAATTTCAATGATGTAATATTTATAAATTTTGTGCTATGTAATTACCTATGTACAAAATCTTTTATTTTAAAAAAGCACATATAAAGATGTAAAAAATTGTAAAACAATAGATATTTGAGTCTCTCATCCTATTCAACAAATGGCATGAAATCATGATAGGTGTTAACTACAGGAAGGGTTTATTCCTTAATTTATAGCACCCAAGATAGAAAATACAGAGATTCAACCACTTGCTGGTAGCAGGTATCATCTTATGAGATATATTCATTTTGAAGTCTTTATCAATGATCTGGTAAAGGTTCCTGAAACTAACGCAGACAAACACAGAAGAAGAAAAAGGTCTTAAAAAAACAGATTCTAACCTGAAAATATTTAATATATGTAATCTCTTACAATAAAAAGTTAAAGACGCTATAGAAAGTCACCTCTTTAATCACCTTCACTTTGCTATACAAAATCTTTCATTTTGAATGCGGATATTATCAAATGTGATCATGTTTTCTCAAGTTTGACCCAGAATAATTTAGGCAAATTTACTCTTTCAAACAAAGGTTACATTTTGTAGGTACATTTATTAGGCTCTCAATCATATTCTCTCTGGAATTGAAATACACACTTATAAACAGGTACTAATGACAATCTAGTTTTACAGGAAAGGACAAATGAAAGCAAATAAAGAATTAAAAAGTTCCACATGTACAAAACCTTGTTATGACAATTTCTAATATTATTTTCACATTTCACTGACAAGAGGCTATACAATGCTTAATATAATATGTAATCCTTCATAATGAATTTGTGAACCCCTGGGCTCACGTGCTCCACCACCCTTAGGCTCCCAAAGTGCTAGGATTACGGGATGAGCCACCAAGCTCAGCTGATTTACCTTCCTTAATATTAATGCATAAGCTTCATCGCTTCCACAAACTTGAGAAGAGTCCAGATACTTTGTATCGTCATCATTTCTGAATACAGAGGCTAACTTACAATTAAAAAGGCATAAAATTTACAAATAAAAGAGTAGCATTACAATATCTTTGGCTAATGCTGACCAGATCATGGCTTTTATTTGGTTTCTACATAATAGAATCTGAATATATATGGTACATCAGTGCAAGCAGGAAAAAATAAAACAGAATATTCACTTTTAACTTGGATTCAATAAATGTTTTTTTAAAATTTTGATTCAAAGGATTTTCAGTTGTCTTTTAATCTTGGAAAAACAGTATGGGCTCCAAACTGTTTTAATGAAATTATAGTTTTCCTTACAATTCTGATAAAATGAAAATTTCATACTGATACTCACTGTTAGTTTCATATATATTGGATAGGTTATTGGTGAAAACCTATTTGTAAAAACAAGCCATTTTACGTAAAATTTGTTTTTTATTTCAATTGAATTCACCAGTTACACTAGTCCTGCTCACACCTCTAACATTTGCATCAAATATAAGTAGACTGCCAATAATAAATTTTCTTATTATTTAAAATATTACATTAAACTTTGTTCATCTTTTGGAATTTTAAGACTTTTCCATGTATAGTAACAAAAATATAAAAATTATCACCTACAAAGCCAACAGTGAAACTCACAGTACCTTTAAAGAAATGTTCATTCATGTGGAAGGATACATATGTATTCATAACTCCTACACTTTCAATTGTGAAGGAACTTCAAATAACAGAAAGTCATTTAAAAAACAGAATCTAAGAGCAAGAGTGGTTCAGAACATGCTTTGTCCTGCTCACCATGCCACCTGCCTCTTTGCTGGAGGTACTTACTCATAGGTATAAATGCCATCGAAGCTCAGAACATAAAAAGCCTACGAGTAATACTACTCAGACATACATAATGCATCTATGGCTCAAATGTACCATGAAAACTTAATGTTTCTTACAACATACCAACATTTCCTCATTAATAGAAAAAAATCCCTTGGCACTCTTTAAAACCACTCAAAGAGGTGACAGAGTAATAGTTATAGATATATTTTCTTTACAGGAGTGATCCTATTAACTGAAATAGTTATATTTTTATTTCTTATATTCTTCTTCTGGGTTAATGTCTTTATCATTTAGCTCAACCTCTGGGAAAGAATATACACTACTAGAATAGATGCCTACTAAAAAAAACAGTGGCCTACTAAGAGAGTATATCTAAAAAACATTAGGAAAAAAGGTCAATACCACACATGTGGAATGCCAATAGGTTACCAACTTATGTCACATGTAAATTAAATAAAGTAACTCCAATTTACAAGGATATTACTGACTTTAGTATCTGCAGGAATGGCCAGTTTAAACTATTCCATCTGTATTTGCTTTGGGATATTAAGCAGCAAGTGAAATACTAAAGCAATCCAAGGTATCACTGGGGTCAGAAAGAAATATCAATTTAAAATTGCTATCTTTCTAAATGTTGTTTTGAAAATACATTATATCAAACATATTACGCATGATGTAAAATGACAACCAAGAGCATAATATTTTGACTTTCAGTAATGTAATGTTCTTGAATTATACAATAAAAATGGGAATGTCTAGGTTTAGATATAACATCAGTTAACATAAAAAAGAAAAAAAGTACTCATTCTCCCAAATTGAAACTTACTGTGCACTAATCTATAATTGCATGCATTTAGGCTCATATCAAAGTTGTTTTAAAGGAATATTCTACCATCATCTTCAAACAACACAAAATAATAAACTCCACAGTATTGGGTTTTCTTTAGTAATCCGTTTGCAACGTTAAAAAATTCAGCCACTGAGTTGCTATATCTTAAAATTTTTTGAATGAAATATTAATTCGAGAATTACTATGTTGTTCTTTTAATCGGCCTCAAAACTGATTACTGTGAAGTAAAATTGTAATATAATTGGCAATGGGTTAAACTATGTTAGGAAAGGCACCAGTTCAGACTTTGAGGATTCTCTTTTAGTGAGTATGAGGCAGGAGTCACATTCCTTAATCCTTTGTTGGCTCAATTTATCCTTTCTACATTTATCACAAGTGAAAGACACAAATGCCAGGCAAGTATCTAGACTCCAAATGCTGGGATTTGTTACCAAAGCAGCTGAAACTGTCATTGCCAGTTAACTACCATAGTAACCTTCCAGAGCTGTGAAGTCACATAACTGAAACTGACTGTTAAAATCCTGTAAAAATATAAAATTTCACAATAAATGGGAAGGATGAAATGTTTATTTTTTAAAAGAATTTAACTTTTTGGCAAAAATTAGTGAAATGTACTATAGAAATTACAAATGCAAATGAAAAATTAAAAGAAAACGAATTTTGACAATTGAAAGATTTATATGGAAATCTTAAAGACATTTATGAGAACAATATAAATAATCATGTCTAGATTTCTAAGCCTAAAATTTCTAAGCCTAAAATAAACCAAATGAACTCAATTACTTTTTTTAAACCATAAATAAAATGTCATGTTACAGAGGTGAGATAAATTCTGACAATGTCTTAAGCCTGGTGAAAACTCTTCAAAAATTCTAAAAGTTCCAAAGTCATAAGTCATTTTAAAATTACGATGAGTTTGAGGATTGCCAAGGGCCATGAGTCTGTGTGAGCTGAGAATTGTACCAGATAATATAACATTTAATTAGTTCCAGGAAGTTCTGAACTCAAAAAGAACATTCAGGTCAGAAAGAAGGGAGTAGTTACTAATCCCTAGGGAAAGAAAAAGTTGAGACTGACATTTTTTTTCAGGCTTTCTAAAATTAACCAGCTTTCCCAGAGTCAGCACAGGTGTTATTGTACTTGGAGGTTAAGGTGCTAAGTCTCCTATTCATCACGGCATCTTTCATTGCAGTCTTAATTTAATCACATATATGAAAACAAATGACAGCTGTCTAGACTACATATTTTACATATAACATAATATATATTGTTATATATATTTTTTTTTCTTTTGAGACAGATTCTCACTCTGTCACCCAGACTGAAGTGCAGTGATGTGATCCTGGTTCACTGTAACCTCTGCCTCCCAGGTTCAAGCGATCCTGCTGCCTCAGCCTCCCAAGTAACTGAGATTACAGGTGTACACCACCATGCCCAGCTAATTTTTTGCATTTTTAGTAGAAATGGGGTTTTTGCTTTGTTGGGCAGGCTGGTCTTGAACTCCCGGCCTCGAGTGATCGACCCCACCTTGGCTGCCCAAAGTGCTGGGATTACAGGCGTGAGCCACTACGCCCAGCCAGGACTAGAAATATTCTTTTAACTCATAGCTTGTCACTTTTAAAAGTCCTCTCTTAATTTGAATTTCTAAGTAATAACTTGTCTATAAAGTAAGGGGTCATCTTTTAGCATATTAGGGTTTTTTTTTCATATTACCCATTGCCATTTAGAGCTGACTTTTGTTTGATTTTACTTATCCAGCAACTCATAAGCAAGCAAGCAAGCAAGCAAGCAAGCAAAGTATTCATAATTCAAGAGATGATTCAAACAAAGACAGAATCATCTTGGACTACTCACTCTAAACTTGAATTCTCAAATGCTTATAATCTTCTCAAACATTACTCTGGTTAAAACATATTTTGGATTTATGATTCCAAAAGGGCTCAGTTATCTGACAAGAACAGGAGCATATTAAATCTCTGCATAATACATTTTAGAAATGATTTGCATATTAGACACTAGGAAGTTATTAAATTCTTGCTTTTAACCTAACAGTTTTCTAAATCTTCCCTCCACAGCTTTATTCCCAGTAGAGAAAAAAGAAACTCAAACAGAAATTTTCCTGTTTACTGAAACGAGCTATTTATTTATCTATGCACAAGGTTGAGAAATTATGAAATAGGGATTCATGTTTTCATCCACAGAGTATCTTGCACAGACATTTTGCTTGAATTTTCATTTCATAAAAGGATTATATATTTTGACCCACATAAAAATCTAATTACACAATAGTAGAAATAGAGTACTATTAGCCTACTTTCTATTTAACTGATGTTGACAGGTCACTTCAAGCTCTCTGTACCTCACTTATTTAATAGTTTCTTTGTAAATGGAAATAATAACTTCTAGTAGAATAACTGACATAATGTTAAAGTGCTTTGACAACTGTAAAATATTATGTAAATGTAAGATACTATATATTATTGTACTAGTTTTATAATAAAAAAACTAGCTGGTTATTTCCCTATTATGTCTTTTATAAAGAGAAAAGACAAATAATTTTGAAGTGGTCTTAAAGTTTATCAGAGGTTTCAAATTTTCAAAAAAATTTCATAACAATGAAACAATTCAAGGTTATAGCTAAAATTTAGAGGTCATGTAATCCAATCACTTCAGTTTCACATATGAAGAAAATGACACGTATAAAGGCTAAACATTACAACATACAATCACAAATGATGGTAAAAGGGAAGAACTGAAGACAAACTGTGCTTCCCAATTTGTTTTTAGGTCATTCTTGACTACACAAGTATCAGGTTAGAATAGAGTTAGAAGCAGGGGCAGGAGCAGGTTCAGTCTGAGTTAAAGTTCTGGCTGGATTATAGCAGGCATTTTAATTAGCCATTTTTTTCCTCTCAGACAATTATGAAGTATAATGATACTGATGATGATGATGAGCACAAACACATAGTGATTATGTGTCAAGCACTCTAAGATATTTATGTAGATGTTTACATATGTGTGTTTGGTGTGTATATATATATATATACACACACACACACCACACATACGCACACACACACAATCACAGTACATTTAATAACAATCTTATTTTTTAATTTTTTTTATTTCTTTTTTGGAGACAGAGTCTCACTCTGTCACCAGGCCAGAGTGCAGTGATGCAATCTCAGCTCACTGCAACCTCCGCCTCCCGGGTTCAAGCAATTCTTCTGCCTCAGCCTTCTGAGTAGCTGAGACTACAGGCACACACCACCACGCCCAGCTAATTTTTGCATTTTCAGTGGAGACAGGGTTTCACCATGTTGGCCTGGATCGTCTTGATCTCTTGACCTCATGATCCGCCCGCCTCAGCCTCCCAAAGTATTATTTTACAGATAAGGAAACTAAGGCACAGAGAGGTTAAAAGTAAGTTGAGTAAGTTCATACAACTTAAAAGAGACTGAGCTAAGTAAGCTTTCAGCTAAGACTGCCTGGCTCTTGAGTTTGTTGTTTTGTTTTTCTTAAGAAGTATATTGAAGCTTAGTTTATATATGTAAATTCTACCCAGCTTATTGTACAATTCAATGAGTTTTGACAAATTTAGAATAATTTCATCACTCCAAAAAGAACCCTCATGCCTGTCTATTGTCTATCCCCATCTACACCCCAGCCCCAGGAAAATACAATCTTTCTTTTTCTATAGATTTGTCTTTTCTGGGTATTTCATATAAATGGAATCATATAACGTGTAGTCTTTTGACTTCACTTGGGATAGTTTTTGAGGTTCATCCATGTTGTAGCATATATTAGTAGCTCATTTTTCTTCATTGTTTAATAGTTATTTACTGTATGGATATACTAAATATTGGTTATTCATTCATCAGCTGATGGACATTTGGGTTCTACTTTTGGGCAATTATAAATGATGCTTCTATAATCATTTACATACAAGTATTTGCACGGACAGAGGTTTTTATTTCTCTTATGTAGATGCCTAGTAGTGGAATTCTTAGGTCATATGAAAGATTTTTATTTAACGTTTTGGGAAGACTTGAAATTCTCTTCCAAAGTGACCATCATTTTACATTCTACCAGTAACGTATGAATGTTCTGGTTTCCTCATATTTTTATCACCACTTATTAGAGCTCCACTCTTCACCACTAACCTCTACTGCCTTTCAATAACTCTGTACGTTTGTCATTACATGTTGAAATAAGAGGGAGAGAGGAACTAAGCAAAGAAATAAGGGAAGGAGACAGAGATCCCATAATTGTTTTTTGTTCTGGGTTTTTTTGAGATGGAGTCTCACTCTGTCGCCAGGCTGGAGGGCAGTGGCACGATCTCAGCTCACTGCAACCTCCGCCTCCCGGGTTCAAGCGATTCTCCTGCCTCAGCTTCCCAAGTAGCTGGGACTACAGGCGTGCGCCACCACACCCAGCTAATTTTTTTTTTTTTTTTTTAGTAGAGGCAGGGTTTCACCATGTTGGCCAGGATGGTCTTGAGAAATCCCATAATTCTTAAAAGCTAACCAAGTCTATTTAGTTTCTCCAGTGCTTTTCATAACCATGTATTTATAAGGTTTTGATTTTGTAGTGGAAATTCATTCAAGGGACTTTTTGCTTTTCTGCTGATTTATCTTTACAAATTCTGAGATGTACATCTGCTCTTTGATGAGAACAAAAAGTGGTATAGTAGATGTTAAACAGCAATATATTGAGAGAAGTAAGTAGAAGGTGGGAAGAGGTTGTTACCAAGGTTTAACTTGAAAATAGCATAAAATTGGCCGGGCATGGTGGCTCACGCCTGTAATCCCACCACTTAGGGAGGCTGAGGTGGGTGTATTACCTGAGGTCAGGAGTTCGAGACCAGCCTGACCAACATGGTGAAACCCTGTTTTTGGTGAAACTAAAAAATACAAAAATTAGCCGGGCATGGTGGTGGGCTCCTATAATCCCAGCTACTCGGGAGGCTGAGGCAGGAGAATCTCTTGAACCCAGAAGGCGGAGGTTGCAGTGAGCTGAGATCGCACAGTTGCACTCCCGGCTGGGAGACAGAGCTAGACTCCGTCTCAAAAAAAAAAAAAAAAAAAAAAAAAAGAAAGAAAGAAAGAAAAAGAAAAAGAAGATAGCACAAAATTATATCATTTTTCAAATTGTTATTTTGGCCCTATTTTCATGATAATATTAGAAAGTTATATATAACTTGTATAAGACTAGAGGATTCAAAGCCATGTCTAAAGAGGACATCACTGGAGATAAGAAAACATAACTGGTCAACCATAAATCCAAAAAGTTTAAAAAAAAATCAATTAATTTTAAGTTTTGTAGAATTAATACCACATAATCTTATAATACTACAGTATCTTACCATTTTAATTTTAAATACTGGCAAATAAATATGGGAGCAAAGAAAACATATTCAAACAATTAAAAGATGCCTTTTACTTTTTTCTTCTTTATTGCACCAACTAGAACACCCAGTACAATAAGAGAAGTTGTGAGTGCCAGCATATCTATCTTATTTCTGATATAAAGGGGGAAAACATTTAGTCATTTGTCATTCATTCATTAAATATAATGTTAGCTATGGGTTTCTCTTAGAAGCCCTTTATCATAATGAGGAAGTTTTCTATTCCTGTTTACAGAGAATTTTATTAAATCAGGAAAGGGTGCTGGATTTTGCCAAATGTTTTTTTCTGCATTTAAATAATCATATAATTTCTATTTTATCTATATGATTAATTATATTGATTTATGAAAGTTAAATCAGCTTTCAGTCCTGGGATAAATCCCACTTGATCATGAATTCTTATATATTGTTAAATTTGCTTTGTTAAAATTGTGCTTAGAATTTTTAAATCTATGATCATGAATGATATTGGTCTGCAGTTTTCTTTTCCTGTAATGTTTCTGTCTCATTTTAGAATCAGGGTAATGCTGGCCTCAAATAATGAGTTTAGAAATATTCTTCAATTTCAACTTTTTCAGTGGGTTGTATAGAATTGGTAACATTTTCTTCTTAAAAGTTTGGTATAATTCACCAGAAAAGCCATCTAGGCCTGGAGTTTTCTTTGAGGAATGGTTATTTAAATGAGAAATTCAATTCTTAAAAGATATGGTACTATGCAGGTTCTTTATATCTTCATGAATGAGATTAGGTAGTTCGTATCTTTAAGGAAATTTGTCCATTTTATCTAAGTTACCAAATTCCGGGAGGCTGAGGCAGGAGGACTGCTTGTGCCAGGAGCAAGGCTACAGTGAGCTATGATCACACTACTGTATTCCAGCAGGTGACAGAGTGAGACCCTGTCTCTAAAAATAAAATAAAATTTGTATAAAGTTATTCATAACATTCATTATCCTTCTAATATCTGAATATTCTGTGGTGATATCACCTCTCTCTTCATATTAGTAATTTCAGTCTTTTTCTGATAAGTCTGGGAAGACGTTCATCAATTTTACTAATCTTCTCAAAGGACTAGCTTTTAGTTTTATCACTATTCCCTGTTTTTGTATTTTCCATTCCATTGATTTCTGCTGCTATCTATATTGTTTCTTTTCTTCTACTTATTTTGGTTTAATTTGCTCTTATTCTAATTTCTTAAGCTAGAAGCTGAGGTTGTTACTTTGAGTCCTTTCTTCTTTTAGTGGTACATCAGTGATAAATCTGACAAAAGATGAAGAGTCCCATATGCTAAAGTAAAGAACCTTGCTTAGAGAAATTGCAGACAACCTATGTAACTACAGAGATATACTATGTCCATGGATCAGAAAGCTTAATATTGCTAGGAAGTCTATTTTCCCCAAATTGATATATTGATAAAATAAAATCTCACTCTAAATTCTACCAAGCCTTTCTATAGAAACTGAAAAACTAATACTAAAATTAATATGGAAATGCAAAGGACTTCTAAAAGAATCTGAAAAAGAAGAATAAACCGGACTAATACTACCTGATTTTAAGACTTTTTAAAGAACTATTATTGTGTATATTAAAGGTACATGTTATGGAATACATATTGATGGTAAAAAGAATATTATAGTGAAGCAAATTAACATATCCATCATCTTACATAGTTACCCATTTTTTTGTGTGACAAGAACAGCTAAACTCTACTCATTTAGCATGAATCCCATACACAGAACAATTTTATTACCTATAGTTCACATGTTGTAAATTACATCTCTAGACTTGATCATTCTACATATTTCCTACTTTGTATCCTCTGACCTACATCTTCCCATTTCCTCTGTTCCTGCCCTCTGCCCTAGTGACCCGTTTCATTCTCTATCTCTGTATATCTGACTTTTTTTTAAGATTCCATATATAATATGTAATATTTTCATTTCTGTGTCTGGCTTATTTCACTCAGCATAATGTCCCCCAGGCTCATCTGTGTTTTGACAAATGGTCAGATCTTGCTCCTTTTTACGGCTGAAGAATATTCTACTGAACATATGTAACACATTTTCTTTATCCATTTCTCTGCTGACAAACATTTAGTTTTTTTCCGTATCTTGGCTATCGTGAGTAACACTGCAATACATATAGGAGTGCACATATCTTTACAAGCGGTGATTAAATTTGCTTTGGGCATATACCCAGAAGAGGGATTGCTGAGGTACATGGTAGCTCTATTTTTAATTCCTTTAGGAACCTTCATACTGTTTGCCATAATGGCTGTACCAATCTTCATTCCTACCGACAGTGTACAGGATTTCTCCATACCCCTGCCAATATTTGTTATCTTTTCCCTTTTTAAAAATAGCCATCCTAATTGGAGTAAGGTGCTATCTCACAGTGGTTTTCATTTGCATTTTCCTGATGATTAATAATGTTGAGCACCTATCGTATATCTGTCGGCCATTTTTATGTTTTCTTTGGAGAAACGTCTATTTAGGCCTTTGCCCATTTTTAAAAACAGTTCTTTGTTGTTTTGTTTTTGTTTTTTGGGTTTTTTTTTTTTTTTGAGACAATGTTTTGCTCTCTTTTGGTACATCAGTTGTATGTGATTTTTTTTTTTTTTTTTTGAGACAAGGTTTCACTCTGTTGTGGCACATCTGTTGTGATCAGTGGCATGATCACAGCTCACTGCAGACTCAACCTCCCTGGCTTAAATAATACTTCCATCTCAGCCTCCTGAGTAGCTGGGACTACAGGCACACGTCACCATGTCTGGTTAATTTAAAAAAAAAAGTCATAGAGACAGGATCTCACTACGTTGCCCAGGCTGGTCTGAACTCCTGGATCCAACAGTCCTCCTGCCTCAGCCTCCCAAAGTGCTGGGATTACAGGAATGAGCCACTGCATCCAGCCTCCTCTGCCCATCTTTAAACTGAGTTATTTGCTTTTCTACTATTGAGTTGTATGAGTTCTTTATACATTTTGGATATTAACCCCTTATCAGGTATATGATTTGCAAGTAGTTTTCACAATCTGTAGGCTACTGCTTCATTTTGCTGATTGTTTCCTTTGCTGTGCAGAAGCTTTTCAGTTTGATATAGTCCTATTTATTTATTTTTGTTTTTGTGGCCTGAGTTTTTGCTGTAATATCCAAAAAATCATCACCAAGGCCAATGTCCCAGAGTTTTCCCCCATGTTCTCTTCTAGGAATTTTATTGTTTCTGGTTTTATATTTAGGTCTTTCATCCAATTTGAGATGATTTTTGTGTATGGTATAAATAAGGGTCCCATTTCATTCTTTTGTATGTGAAAATGCAGTTTTCCCAGCACCATCTGTCAGGCAGACTATTCTTTCCCCTTTGTGTCTTCTTGTCAAAAATTAGTTGACTGTATATGTTTGGATTTATTTCTGAGTCAAGACTTATTATAAAGCTACTGTCATCAAGACATTGTGGTATTGGCATGGAGACAAAAGGATTGACAGAAAAGAACAGAGTCCAAAAATAGAGACACATATAAGTATGAAAAACTGAATTTAATATGAAGGTAAAAAGTTAAGTCAAGAGAGAAAGAATAGTCATTTAAAACAAGTGGTGCTGGAAAAACTGGATATCCACATGCCAAAAATATAAACTTCTAACCATTTCCCACACTATATACAAAAATTAACTTGAAATGGGTCCTACACTCAAATATAAATTTTAAACTTCTAAAAGTAAACTTAAGAAACAACTTTTAGGACCTTGGGTTCAACAGTTTTCTTAGATATACCATCAAAAAAGTATGATCCATAAAAGAAAAAAATTGATTAATTAAACTTTATCAAAATAAAGATGTTTTTCAAAAGACACTGTTAAGAGAATGAAAAGACAAGACACAGACTGAGAGAAAAAGGATTTGTATCCAGAATATGTAAAGAACCAAGACTTAATTACAAGAAAACAACCAACCCAATTTTTAAAATAGGCAAGACGATTTGGACACTTGACCAGTGAAGATATACAAACGTCAAATAAGCAAATGAAAACATGCATGACATCATTATTCAATGGGAAAGGGCAAATTAAAATCACAATAAGGTATAGAAGTATTAGAAAGGCTAACAACTAACCAGGCCAAGTAAGTGCTGACGACGATGGGGAGGAACTGAAACTATCATAGACTGCTGTTGGGAATGTAAACTAGAACAAAAACTTTAGAAAGTAATTTGGTAGTTTCTTAAAAAATTTAACATGCAAATGCCAGATGATCGATTCATTCCACTACTAGGCAGTTTCCCAAGAGAATGAAAGCATTTGTCCAGATGAAGGCTTGTACAGGAATGTTTACAGCAACTTCATTTAGAGTAGCCCCAAACTGGAAATCATCCAAAAGTCTATCAACAGTTGAATGGATAAACTGCAGTATATTCATTAAATAGAACTCCAGGCCGGGCGCAGTGGCTCACGTCTGTAATCCTAGCACTTTGGGAGGCCGAGGCGGGCGGATCACGAGGTCAGGAGATCGAGACCATCCTGGCTAACATGGTGAAACCCCGTCAGTACTAAAAATACAAAAAAATTAGCCGGGCATGGTAACAGGTGCCTGTAGTCCCAGCTACTCGGGAGGCTGAGGCAGGAGAATGGCGTGAACCCAGGAGGCGGAGCTTGCAGTGAGCCAAGATCGCACCACTGCACTCCAGCCTGGGCGAGAGCGAGATTCCGTCTCAAAAAAAAAAAAAAAAAAATAGAACTCCACTCAGCAATAAAAAGAATAACCTATTGATACACATTACAATATGGATTAATCTTAAAATAATTATACTTAGTGGAAAAAAAAGTGCTTACTGCATGATTCTATTTTTAAGAGTTCTGAGAAATGCTAATACCTAGTGACAGAAAGCACCTTAGTGGTTGGCTGTGACAGGGTAGTAAAAGGTAGAAGAAAGGAATTACAAAGAGGCATGAGTAAATTTAGGTGCTACAGATTTGTTCAAAACATGTATCTGCCACAATGAGCTTCACAGCCTCCATTACTTTTTTTTTTTTTTTTTTTTGAGACGGAGTCTCACTCTTTCGCTGAGGCTGGAGTGCAGTGGCATGATCTTGGCTCACTGCAACCTCTGCCTTCTGGGTTCAAGCGATTCTCCTCCCTCAGCCTCCCAAGTAGCTGAGATTACACAGGCATGCACCACCACACTTGGCTAATTTTATTTTTAGTAGAGATGGGGTTTCGCTATGTTGGCCAGGCTGGTCCCGAATGCCTGACCTCATGATCCACCCACCCTGGCCTCCAAAGTGATAGGATTACAGGCGTGAGCCACTGTTCCCGGCCGCCTCCATTACTTTTCTGAGACTTGTGACATTAATAAATGTGTGATATTACATAATGAATTATATCATTATTTGAAATACCTGCATGACTTGGTGATCTGATATTTTCCAAATGACTGAAGCATGATGCTATAAAATCATGCATGGGTAAAAGAGGCATTCAAACTGCAAGATCAACCAATGAACTTAATGTAACTGAATATGAAAAGTTCACTAATAAGATTTGAGATTCCACACTGCAAACAGCCTTTAGGAAAATTTAGCAAAATCTACTGTGGTAGACAGAATTTGAATATGGCCTCCCAAAGATGTCCTACTCTAATACCTGGATCCCTATGAGTGTAAGTACTACTCATAATATGTTCTATCATGTACAGTTGACCTTAAAATAAGATTATCCAGGTGTGCCTGAT
Organism: Homo sapiens; assembly: GCF_000001405.40. Taxonomy (NCBI): domain Eukaryota; kingdom Metazoa; phylum Chordata; class Mammalia; order Primates; family Hominidae; genus Homo; species Homo sapiens. The sequence goes on along the minus strand of NC_000005.10, from coordinate 109,052,692 downwards.
CTAATCATACAAGCCCTTTTAAAAGTAGAGAGTAGCAGCTTTTACGAGGTATCAGCACTTTTCTTTCATTGGGGGAAGGTGTGAGGAAAGTAACAAACAGCAGCGGAGTTTTAAACTTTAAATAGACAGGTCTGAGTGCCTGAATTTGCCTTTTCATTTTACTTCATCCTCCAAGGAGTTCAATCACCTGGCGTGACTTCACTTCTTTTAAGCAAAAGAGTGGTGCCCAGGCAACATGCGTGACTGGAGCACTTTAGGCAAACTCCTTGACAAGGTTCAAGCCTACTTAACTGCTGGAGGGAAGGTGTGGCTGTCAGTACTTTTCATTTTCCAAATCCTGCTGCTGAAGACAGTGGTTGAGTCAGCCTGGGGAGATGAGCAGTCTGCCTTTCGTTGTAACACTCAGCAACCTGGTTGTGAAAATGTCTGCTATGACAAGTCTTTCCCAATCTCTCATGTGCGCTTCTGGGTCCTGCAGATCATATTTGTGTCTGTACCCATACTCTTGTACCTGGCTCATGTGTTCTATGTGATGCAAAAGGAAGAGAAACTGAACAAGAAAGAGGAGGAACTCAAGGTTGCCCAAACTGATGGTGTCAATGTGGAGATGCACTTGAAGCAGATTGAGATAAAGAAGTTCAAGTATGGTATTGAAGAGCATGGTAAGGTGAAAATGCAAGGGGGGTTGCTGCGAACCTACATCATCAGTATCCTCTTCAAGTCTATCTTTGAGGTGACCTTGCTGATCCAGTGGTACATCTATGGATTCAGCTTGAGTGCTGTTCACACTTGCAAAAGAGATCCCTGCCCACATCAGGTGGACTGCTTCCTCTCTTGCCCCATGGAGAAAACCATCTTCATCATCTTCATGCTGGTGGTGTCCTTGGTGTCCCTGGCCTTGAATATCATTGAACTCTTCTACGTTTTCTTCAAGGGCGTTAAGGATTGGGTTAAGGGAAAGAGCGACCCTTACCATGCGACCACTGGCCCGCTGAGCCCCGCCAAAGACTGTGGGTCTCAAAAATATGCTTATTTCAATGGCTGCTCCTCACCAACTGCTCCCCTCTCGCCTATGTCTCTTCCTGGGTACAAGCTGGTTAATGGCGACAGAAACAATTCTTCTTGCCGCAATTACGACAAGCAAGCAAGTGAGCAAAACTGGGCTAATTACAGTGCAGAACAAAATCGAATGGGGCAGGCGGGAAGCACCATCTCTAACTCCCACGCACAGCCTTTTGATTTCCCCGATGATAACCAGAATTCTAAAAAACTAGCTGCTGGACATGAACTACAGCCACTAGCCATTGTGGACCAGCAACCTTCAAGCAGAGCCAGCAGTCGTGCCAGCAGCAGGCCTCAGCCTGATGACCTGGAGATCTAGATACAGGCTTGAAAGTATCAAGATTCCTCTCACTTGTGGAGAAGAAAAAAGGTGCTGTAGAAAGTGCACCAGGTGTTAATTTTGATCCGGTGGAGGTGGTATTCAACAGTCTTATTCATGAGGCTTAGAAAACACAAAGACATTAGAATACCTAGGTTCACTGGGGGTGTATGGGGTAGATGGGTGGAGAGGGAGGGGATAAGAGAGGTGCATATTGGTATTTAAAGTAGTGGATTCAAAAAACTTAGATTATAAATAAGAGTTCCATTACATGATACATAGATTAGGGCTTTTTCTCCCAGCAAACACCCCTAAGAATGGTTCTGGGTATGTGAATGAGTGGGTGGTAATTGTGGCTAAATATTTTTGTTTTACCAAGAAACTGAAATAATTCTGGCCAGGAATAAATACTTCCTGAACATCTTAGGTCTTTTCAACAAGAAAAAGACAGAGGATTGTCCTTAAGTCCCTGCTAAAACATTCCATTGTTAAAATTTGCACTTTGAAGGTTAGCTTTCTAGGCCTGACCCTCCAGGTGTCAATGGACTTGTGCTACTATATTTTTTTATTCTTGGTATCAGTTTAAAATTCAGACAAGGCCCACAGAATAAGATTTTCCATGCATTTGAAAATCTCAGCATTATACATATATTTTTTCCATCCACTTGCACCATATCATTACCATCACTTTTTCATCATTCCTCAGCTACTACTCACATTCATTTAATGGTTTCTGTAAACATTTTTAAGACAGTTGGGATGTCACTTAACATTTTTTTTCTTTTGAGCTAGAGTCAGGGAATCAAGCCATGCTTAATATTTAACAGTCACTTGTATGTGTGTGGAAGTTTGTTTTGTTTGTCATGTATTGGTACAAGCAGATACAGTACAAACTCACAAACACAGATTTGAAAATAATGCACATACAGTGTTCAAATTTGAACCTTTCTCATGGATTTTTGTGGTGTGGGCCAATACGGTGTTTACATTATATAATTCCTGCTGTGGCAAGTAAAACACACTTTTTTTTTTCTCCTAAAATGTTTTTCCCCGTGTATCCTATTACGGATACTAGTTTTGTTAATTATGATTCTTTATTTTCTCTCTTTTTTTTAGGATATAGCAGTAATGCTATTACTGAAATGAATTTCCTTTCTCTGAAATGTAATCACTGATGCTTGAATGACAGAATTTTAGTACTGTAAACAGGCTTTAGTCATTAATGTGAGAGACTTAGAAAAAATGCTTAGAGTGGAGTGGACTATTAAACGTGCCTAAATGAATTTTGCAGTAACTGGTATTCTTGGGTTTGCCCTACTTAATACACAGTAATTCAGAACTTGTATTCTGAGTTTAACAGTCTTTTGGAGTGACCAGCAACTTTGATGTTTGCACTAAGATTTCATTTGGAATGCAAGAGAGGTTGAAAGAGGATTCAGTAGTACACATATAACTAATTTATTTGAACTATATGCTGAAGACATCTACCAGTTTCTCCAAATGCCTTTTTTAAAACTCATCACAGACGACTGGTGAAAATGCTGAGTATGACACTTTTCTACTTGCATGTCAGCTACATAAACAGTTTTGTACAATGAAAATTACTAATTTGTTTGACATTCCATGTTAAACTATGGTCATGTTCAGCTTCACTGCATGTAATGTAGACCTTGTCCATCAGATCATGTGTTCTGGAGAGTGTTCTTTATTCAATAGTTTTAATTTAGCATTTTAAAAAAAAAAGTAGAGAGTATTCTTTAGCTAGTAACGTAAGAGAAAGTTAGAAAAATTCAAAATACTTGAAGGATTTAGCAGGCCCGTGCTGACTTTGAAGATAGAAAGACGATGTGAAAAGGGATGCAGGCAACCTCAAGGAGCTAAGAGATGCCCCTGGCAGACAGAAGGCAAAGAAACAGGAACTTTAGACATATAGCTGCAAGGGACATGATTCTGCCAGCAACTGAATGAGCTTGGTAGCAGATTCTTCCCCAGAGCCTCCAGATAACAGCTCAGCCTGACATCCTGATTTTGGCTTTGTGAGACCCTGAGCACGGAACACAGTCAAGGCTGCCAGGAATTCTAACCTACAGACCCTGTCAGGTAAAAAATGGGTGTCACTTTAAGCCCTCAGGTTGTGATAATTACTTGTGCAGCAATCAAAAGCTAATACATTTACATAAATCAAAATACACAGAAACTCGGATCCAACAATCTCACTACTGAATTTTTACCTACAGACACACTTCCAAATGATTCTTACAGTGAGTCCAAGGATATTCATTGAACACTGTTTGTAAAAACAAATAATAAAAATAAAAATGACCAAACTATCCACAAATAAAGTTGCGGTTGAATAAATTATGTAAATCCACAAAATGGAATATTCTGTAGCCATTACCAAAAAAAGTAGAATTGTATAGATAACTGCAAAACAGTAAAACCATCACACATTATAGTAATAAGAAAAAAAAAGCAAGATCTGAAACAGTGGTGGAGTATAATTTGTTTCATAATTAAATTTAAAGCATCTGCATTAAACATTTTTCTGGAAAAAAATTTAAAAACTGCAAGCAGCAATTAGCTTTGAGATATAATTAGACTGTTGAGTAGAAGGTTTCATTTTCAATTTTCTACCTTTTATTATATTTTCAATTTTCTAATGAAGTTTATTATTCTTATTCATTTAAAAAATATAAACAGGTTACTAGTCAGAGTCTAGATAAACACTTGCTTGGCTCCTCTACAAAGCTATCTTCTTTTGTTTTATTTAACTAGGACTTGTCATCTGGTATTTGCATCTGTGGTCCTTTAACAATTACAGTAAGACCAGAATCACCTTTCCTCAAGTTCATCCCACCTCCCAAATCTGAGTTTTTCAGTGGCGTTCCTTATTATTCAGGGGCTTCATTTGTACCCATGTAAATGTTAATATGTATTTTTATAATATTTACACATTTAAACCATTAAAACATACAATGTACTTAACACAGACAATGCCATCTTAATGAGGATAAAGATGATAATGATCTAGGTATTCTGCAGTTACATGGTAATATTGAGAAATATTTCAATAGCAAGCAAAGCAGTATAACAAAACAGGACCAATAATTATAAATCATGAAAAATTAATTTCTGTAAACAGAAATTAATGAGCAGTCTACAATATTATGTTTACTTAATATATTTTAATTAAAATTAGAAACGTTTTACATATTTCTTTAAATTTCTCCTAAAATGAGTAAATAATTGTTAAAAGTAAAGCAAATCCCTTTCACTTATTAAATACTCTATTTGTAAAGCTTATGAGATCAAATTTTACTTCTGAATGTATCTTCTACAACAGGAAGTTGGACAACGAAAAAAACTTTAAAACATACTATTAATACAGCACTTCAAAGTTTTCTTTGTTGTCAAAAGTTGTTAACATAAAGGTGTTGAAAGTCACCAGAAATAAATACCAAGACATATTCATAGACTGATCACCTTTTTGTTTGTCCACATATGAAAGAAGTTCATAATTCGAAAGTGATTCAAAGCATTGTGAGATTATTATATATAACCATCAAAAAAGAGGTTTTGCAGGGTGCTGCGGCTCATGTCTGTAATCCCAGCACTTTGGGAGGCCAAGGCAGGAGAATCACATGAGCCCAGAAGTTCAAGACCAGCCTGAGCAATATAGTGAGACTCCATTTCTACAAAAAAAAATTAAAAATTAATTTAAACATTTAGAAGAGAGGTTGTGTGGAGATGTACTTGGAAAATGATATACAGTGAACTAAATATAAGATAGTACTATCACTGTTAGAAAGTCTAAGTACACTGCCTTTTTCTAAATAGTGTTTTGCACATAAAGATGTATAACTGAATTCCATGTGTAACTATATTCTAATAATAAATCTGCCTTTTAAAAAAGCAGTTGACATTTTCTAGAAAATAGTAAAGTGTTACAGCCTATAAAAATACTGACTATAGGTACAGACTCTTTTGTTATCTGGAAATGTTAAACAAAATCCTTGGAGACTTTACGAGGAGAAATCAAAGAGATCGAACATATAAAAACAATAAAACATGACATTAAAATGTCATCATGCAAAAATTCTCAGATCACATTACCTGAAACCAGTTCCATAATGATGTAGACAGGCTGTCTTTGTGTGCAAACTCCTATAAGTTTGACAATATTGGGATGATCATATTGCTTGAGAATTCTAGATGAGATGAAAATATACGAATAGTTATCATTTGAATAATAAAGCATTAATTTGTGATCACAAATAGGGTTTACAACTAGAATACTCTTGAATCATAATTCAATTTTTAAAATTTCAGTATGACCCCAAATTATGATAAATTGGATGTATACAAACGAGTAAAGCCTTCCCTCAGTATCTGTAGGAGACTGGTTCCAGGACCCCCGTGGATACAGAAATCTATGCATGTTAAAGTCTCTTACACAAAATGGTGCAATATTTGCATACAACCTACACGCACCCTCTTATATACTTTAAACCATCTCCAGATTACTTATAAGACCTAATATAATGTAAATGTTATATAAATAGTTGTTATACTGTATTGTTTAGGGAATAATAAGAAAAAAAATTCTGTACATGTTCTGTACAGATGCAATCATCAACATTTTCCCCCACTAATATTTTTGTTCTGTGGCTGATCAAATCCACAGATACAGAACCCATGGAGACAGAGGCCCAACCATACTGATACATATTGGCAACATAATGTGGATGCAAATGAGTCAATTCTCCTTAATTTAATATTCTTTTAAAAATTATTATCTACTCTGAATGATTAACAACCATGTTAAAAACTAGTTAATCTAAAACATGTACAACTCCCTTCAAATTATAATATCTGGTTTTAGCCACTACCACAAAAGTATAGCTGAAAAGTATTAGTGGGCCAAAAATTGTAAGCTGCTAGGGTAGCGCATATATATATATATATTTTTTAACACACGCACTTGATTTTAAAATACATAAAATAGGAAATCATTTTATACTGGCAAATGCTACAGGGTAACCATTTCATTGGATTTTGTAATAGTTAAATACTTTCTTGATCAGGGTCAATTTCAAAATGGTAGAAACAAAAGTTCTGAGAAAGTTGGCAAATGGATAATTGAATAATGGAGTTTCAACAGAGACTTCAGCTGAAGCAGAGTAGACTTTGTTTGGATAAAGGCAAAATTTCATCAGAGGGCTATGAAAGTAGGATAGACTTGAAACCATGTCCCTAAAGAGTTAAGAAAAAAAACCTCAACACAGTAATAACCAACAAAAATTCTTGAGTTTGCAGGATAGCACGTAAAAAAAGAAACAACTTGCTTAATCACTGAAACTCCCGTTGTTTATAAAAGAACTGGCTGAAATTGGTTAGAACAAATAGGGCTGACTGGCATCTGTGCAGAAACAAGCTTGCTAACATCACAGCCTGAATTTCCACTGCATGGTTCAGACTAACTCCCCCTGGATTTGCACATATGAACCATGAGATTGCATGAAGAGATAACTGTGTGTGGCCAAGGACTTTCCAGGCCTCCCATTTCCCCTTCCACCAATCACTTAGTAATTTCAGAATCTACCCCCTCAACCTTTTCTAATAAAACTATTGCTTTGAAATCATTAAGAGTTGACGTTTAATAGTAAGCTTTTCTTTTCTCAAAGACCTGGTGTCACAGTATTGGCTTCTAGCACATTGGGCAGTGAGCCCCTTCTACTTGATAATGCACTCACCTATAGGACTCTAAACATGAACTAAAAATAAACTAGATTACCTCAAATGCCTGTCTGTCCCAATTATTTCTATTACCAAATCTTATTCTTTATTATCTTATCAACAGTTATAAATTCACTCATCTTTGAAAACTGCTGTATACTTTCCTAAGAGAATGAAAAAGGTAACTTTGGAGAAAGATAAAAAATTTATGCATGTTTTGTACATGTACAACTAAACCAAGGATAGCTATAAAAAGGTATATAATGTATATATATAATGTATATAATGTATATACTTAAATGTATATACTTAAATGTATATGTAAGTTATACAGTTGAAGAAGAAATCTGAGGTTCTCAGAAATGAAACCTAACAGCTGAGAAAACAGAAGCAAGCAGTACTATCTAAGGAGGGTAGGACAGATGTAATTATCTACTTAAATGTATATGTGAGCTGTACAGTATATGTATATAATACATTAATATTTTTATCATAAGCACAGTATTGCATATATACATATATGTATATGTATGTGTGATGAAAGCAAAATATCTTAACATTTTAAGAACTTGAATAATACTGCTTTTTAACACCTGGTTTGACTATGATTGCTGAATTGATCTGCAGAATATCACAAAAGCACAAATTTTTGGATTCCATACTGTAAAAGTGCTTACCCCTACTATTTCAGTAAATCACAATTTAAGATGTCTTCAAACTTACATTTTAATAAATAATTTACATAATAAATACATATTTTGATTACTTTAAATAACTCACTTGGCTTCTTGTAAAAATTTTATTTTCAATTCCTGAGGAAGATCTTCTTTACATGTTTTAACAGCAACAGAAGTTTTATCCTTTAATGTGCCCTTATATACTTCACCAAAATTTCCCTGAAAATAGAAATACATTCATTGTCTGGGGTAAATGACAGCATGTATATCTTTGCCAAATACAAGGAAAGGTACCAAAGAGGAGGAGGTGCTTACCTACATGTCAATATCACCAGTGATGAACTAATTTCTATCAGACATACGAACTTCTAACTTTACTCTATGGCTAGGACATATTGTGGTATAAAATGCCTCATTTGGCCAGGCGTGGTGGCTCATGCCTGTAATCCCAGCACTTTGGGAGGCTGAGGTGGGCAGATCACGAGGTCAGGAGATCGAGACCATCCTTGCTAACACAGTGAAACCCCGTCTCTACTAAAAAAATACCAAAAAATTAGCTGAGCATGGTGGCGGGCGCCTGTAGTCCCAGCTACTTGGGAGGCTGAGGCAGGAGAATGGCATGAACCCGGGAGGCAGGGCTTGCAGTGAACAGAGATTGCGCCACTGCACTCCAGCCTGGGCAACAGAGCAAGACTCTGTCTCCAAAAAAAAAAAAAGGCCTGATTTATAGTGTATTTATTTTAGAAGAGATGACATTTTGAAATCTATTTTTTAAAATTAAATCCAAAACATTACCGAGAAGATAAACAAGACTAACACACTAGCACAACAGCTATTCTTGAGTATTCTCTTAGGTTTTTTTACACTGCATATGTATTTTTTACATAGCTATAATCATATTATGCAAACTTTTTTTTCTTTTTTTTTCTGAGACAGAGTCTCACTCTGTTGCCAGTCTGGAGTGCAGCAGCACAATCTCGGCTCACTGCAACCTCCGCCTCCCAGGTTCAAGCAATTCTCCTGTCTCAGCCTCCCGAGTAGCTGGGACTACAGGCGCACACCACCACACCCAGCTAATTTTTGTATTTTTAGTAGAGATGGGGTTTCAGCATGTTGGCCAGGATGGTCTCGATCTCTTGACCTCGTGATCCGCCTGCCTTGGCCTTCCAAAATGCTGGGATTATAGGTGTGAGCCACCACACCTGGCATATGCAAACATTTTATAATAAACTTTAATGCTATTGTTGAGCAAGAAGTAACTAAACTAGAAGCCTACTTTGCTTACTGAGTTTTAGAGCACTAAGATGAATGTAACTCTTAATATTTGAAGTTCACAAGTTAAAATTTGTACCTTGAACTACGGCTTATTAATAAATAAAATTATTAAAATACCTTAAAATATTTTTAACAAGTCTTATATTCAATTTTTACCATTTAATCTAATAGTCAACTCAAATATTTATAAAACAATGATCAATCATGTTTTCATAAAAAATATACTTAAACAGTAAACATTCGTGATAAATTTAAAAAAGGAAAATTTGAGCTTCACATCTGTTATTCTCAAGAGATTGTCTTTTACCCACAATTGTCAGATTATTTATTACATCAGAGGTAGAGCTGAGAGAAGATATTAATTTACATGATTACTGCTGGGCCTCCACTTACCTAAAGCACTTACGATTCAGCTTGTCTAAAACTTACTGTTTTATTAATCAAAAGATTCTTCCTGGCTATATTACTTTTTTCGGTTACTAGAACCATCATTTGCCTTGTAAGCATTCAGACCCTACCTCCATAATACTTTTTGTCTTATTCCTTGCATCTCAGAAAGGTTACCCTGATTCATGACCTCAATTCTATTACCTAAGCTGATCTCATCTTCAGTCCCTCACTTCTCCAATCCACCTACAACAGCACTGCCAAATTAATCTTTCCTAGAGAAAACTTTGATTATACTACTGCTTTGCTCAATATCCATCCTTCAATTACTATCACTTTCTTGGCCTCTATATAGCTCCACATTATAACCCCCAACTGTTACATGTACTCTGAACTCAAATACATAGTGATCCCTAAATACGTGTCATGCCTTTTCTACATTTTTCCCTCTGTGGAAAACGCCCACCTCCAATCAGAAGCTGATACTTCGTCTTTAAATCCATTTCTTATGCCCCTTGTTCATGAAGACTTTCTTGATTTTCCCAAAATTGATTTTCCTGTCCCTGAATACATATTATCCCCATTGCCCTTTGTGTCTTTCTAATGGTTTCTGCCCTATTTTAAGAGGTACTGGCATGTACTAGGCATTTGAAAAATTTAAACATTAATTTAGCAACCACTATCCAGAGAATGTCAACTTTATCAACGGTGGTCAGGGGGACAGTCTTCAGACACTGAGAAATGACTATGCTTTCCCAGACCACCTCTTCTCTATCCAAAGAGGTGAGGAGGAAGCTCAGGACACTCATCACTCTGTATCATTCAATCATCATTCAACGCAAACCTTTGCTTTAAAGGGGAGGTGAGGGACTGAATATAAGATCAGCTTAGGTGACAGAATTGAGATTCTGAATCAGGGTAACCTTTCTAAGATGCAAGGGGTGAGACAAAAAGTCATGAAGCATGACTTCATCTCTGCTGCTGCCCTTCAGTCCCTGAGGACAAATCTTATGCCCCTTGACTGTGTTTATGTCAGTCAATGTAAGATGACCCTGGTCCTCGGTTAATCTTCATTTCTCCCTCTCCAGCCCCCTCAGATTCAGCATACTTCTATTTGATCCTTCTTTCTCATCTATCTCCGACTTGCATAGTGCCTTCTGGAATTCATGGCCCATCATCATCAAAATTATATTTTCAATCTATTCTTTGATCATTTCCTTTAACTTCCTGTTCTAACAAAATCCTGGCTCTCACTTGAGAAGACCCAAATGGTGGATGAACTTCCTTTTGCCATCTAAACTTAAGTGATGACTTATTTTCCCCACATATAATCCTACTAATGCCCTGCAGATAGAACACAGTGTTCTATTACCTACTTATCACTGGCTTTAAACCATTATCTCTCCCACATTCCTGAAACTCTCAGCTTTGAAAATTTGTCACTCAATTATATTACCCACTATTCCTCACTCCAGCTGTCATTTACTGAATTTGAAAATATTTTGTTTATTGGCAATTTGAGCTGTTGGGTAACTGTCAGTCTACCCAGTGTCCTAATTCTTTGTAATTTCAATAGACATTTAAAGGACCTTCCAACAATTCAAACTCTCAGTTTCTTGAACATCTCTCCTCCAATTACCTTGCACTCCAAGCTATTTTCTAGGGTCATACTTTAAACTCTGCCATACCAATAATGCAAATGTTGTATAACATCTATCTCATTCATTTCAACTTCCGGTTGGCTTCTATCTTTCTAGCTTACTTCCTCTTTTTTTTTTTGAATACTTATCCAGACTTCAAAAGTCCTTTGACTTTATAGGAACTGCCAATCTTTCGGTTCTATCACTTTTTACGTCATTCTTTTATTATATTCTCCTCCTTCTGTGTTCCACCTTAAATTCCATGGTCAATAATTATAACTGCCTTCCCATACACTCTCAGTTTATTTGCTCCTCTGTTAATCTGTAAAACTCCCTTAGCAAATCTACAAGTCTGATTAAATCCAAAACTCTGCCTATTCTGCACCTATAAAGCTAATATGGCTGGAGAAAAACCATAATCATGCTGACTGATTTAACTTTAAATTCATGAACACAAACCCTTAGGGGGCCCTTAATGCTACTCAATAATCATATTATATTTCTTTAGACCATTCACACTCCCAGTTTTCTGGATGACTGCTTCTCTTCTATTCTCTTCTCAAATCTCCCATCCTCATTCTTAGCTGATGCTTTTGTTTCCTACTTCATTTCAAGAATTGAAGCAATATAAAGAGAACTCTGGGCTCTTGTCCCTATATTGACCCACCTACCAATTTTCCTCGCTGTTATAAAAAGTGAACTACTGTGTTTCTATTAAAGTCAATCCTCCATTGTGAACTAAATTGCATCCCCTCTTACCTGCTCAAGGATGACGCTCTAGCAATGTTCATCCCTCTCTCTTAAATGATGAATTTTCACTAGATCATTCCCAACTGCAAACTAGTATGCTATTATTTTTCTCAAGTTAAACAGTAACAGTGACAAAGCACAAATCATTCTCTTGAAACTATCACCCCACATCTCTGATTTCTTTTGCAGCAAAACTTCAAAGAATTACATCTTTGCTATCGCTAATTCTCTCCTCCCGTTCCTCTCAAATCCATTCCAAACTGGCTTTCACCTAAAGCATTCCAAGGAAACTGCTCAGCCAAGTCATCAGTGATCCTCTCATTGCTAAATCCCATCTTGTTTGGCTTTTCAGCATCATCTGACACCACTGATCACTCTCTTCCTTGGTATATACTTTCTCTTCTTGTCTTCCAAGGCATCATATCTCCTGGTTTTCTGCCTCCTACTTGGCTGCTCTTTTCAACCTTCTTTGGGGATTGCTTCTCTTATCTCCACCTCTTAATGTTCGAGTGGGCAAGGCTCAATCCTTGATCCTCTTCTCTTCTTCATCTAGACTCACTCCACTGTTGAATCCACCTAATTGTGGTAAGTACCAGCTATATACTAACAACTACCAGATTTGTACTTTTGACTCAGACCTCTTTTCTCCAACTCCAGACTTAATACCCAATAGTTTCCATCATCCCCACTTGGAAGTTTCATAGAAAAACTCAATACATCCAAAACTGAACACCTCTTCTCGTTCCCTGAAATCTTTTACACTTAGGACTGAAATCTTTCTCTAATACCCCACATACAGAGTCCATCAGGATATTCAATTGGTTCAATTTCAAAAGTACATCCAGAACTCACTACTTCACACCACCACCACTGCTATCATCTTAACCTAGCATCATCTTTTAGTCAGGTAAGTTCAACTGCCTCCTAACCTTCCAAGTTGTCAGCCTATTTTCACAACTCCCGGAGTAACTTTTTAAAAAAGATCATGCCATTCCTCCTCTCAAAATTGCCCACCAGCTCGCCATTTCATTCATGATCAAAGCCAAAGTTATACAATGACTTAAAAGGTCAATGTAATTTATACCCTCATCACCTAACAGACTTCCTCTCCTATCACATTCCCTCTTGCTTACTGTTACAATGAAAATGCTTCCTTTGCTCTTCAAACAAATTTTGCATTGGCTGTTTACTCTGCATAGACCCCTCTTCCCTCAGATGTCCATGTGGCTATATTTCCCACCTCCTTCAAGTCTTTATTCAAAAGTAAACATAATAAGGTTTATCTGGATTTCCTACTAAAAACAGCAACTACAACTAGTAACGCTTCCAATCCCTCTATTGTTCACAGGACTTAGCACCCTCTAACATTATAAAATTTACCTATTTATTATGCTTATTGTTTATCTTCTCCTCCTAGAAAGAATATTAAGCTCCGTAAGAGAAAGGATTTCTGGCTACTTGCTCATTGAAACTGTAAAACATGCCTAGAAGAGTGCCTTGCACATAGTAGGCATTCAAAAAACACTGGATGACTGAATATTTGTTGAATACCAACTATCGACTATAGCTGCATCTGATACTGTATATCAAGTACAGTCTACTAAAAATATAGTGCTGAATACAAAAAAAAAAACCCTCAGCGTTCCTGCCATTACCTTATATTATAACTTAACTCCAAAGTCTCTAACAATAGGAATCATGGCTAATTGTCTTAATTAGCCATGTACTCTTAAGCAGTATACTGTAAATGATTATTTAAAATAGGCAGTGAAAAATGTTAAATAACCATTTTCTTGTACTTAAAACTACTGGATGAAATTAAGCTACACACTGCCTCAAAGTCACAGTCTTCTATTTAAAATAAATTCATTAAGACTGACATATTACTTGTCGTTGAGAAAAAAATTATTCTTTGAAATAGTCTAAGGAGATAAATTCCTCCTAATACTTTATAGCATAAACTAAACACAAAAATAGAAATATTTCTCTTTAACTAAAAATATTTTTTTCGTAGTACTAAAAAGTCTGTCCTTCTAAACATATTCTGCCTTTATTTCAGTAAATGCTTTAGTTTTATAATTTATTATTTAATTGTATCATGGAAATTAATCTTTGTAATATTTTTTGGCCCAGTCACTGCTACTGAGTTACCTAGAGCAAGGGAAAGAAGAAATATTTCCTTAAGGATGAGGAAATAAACCCAGAGGAAATAACATATGAGTCACTGCTTTTAGCTTGAGGTTCTTTAGAATTCACTTACTAAATATGCCAATAAAAATCTGCTTTCCAATAACAATTCGATGCTTTGGGAAAAGTATTTTAAAATCATAAATGATAAGAATCCTGCAAACTATGTTATTTCAACAGAGATTTACTTTCTCAGAGATTTTTTAAAAATAGGGGAAAATAGTCAATTCATCAAGTTTACATTTGAATCAAAAAAGTAATGAGTAATCATTTCTTCATCTAAAATGCTGAGCCTTAATTAAGTTCAGTACTGATCACTCATATGTATGTTAGCTTTTCCTAAATATATAGATTTTAAACTATTTTTTGTATCACACCATAAGCTAAAATGAATTCACATTTTTATATATTAATGGAAATAATCACTAATTAAGTCACTGACAAAAAAGTGAATACTTATTCATTGGAACTCAATTATAAATAAAAGTTATTAATAAATTTTCAAATAGTCCATTTGGTTAATTCTCAAGTATCTGCCATTATTGTTAAATAACATATACTTGACTACGGCCTATGAGTTCAAAGAAACTTCCAACTACATTGGAAGAAAAGGGACTTTTATTATATATAGTTGCTTTTTCTGATTAATAGAACTAGTTATAAAATTAATATTTATATTGAAACAAGTGTCTTGTCCACATTTTTAGATTGAAATATGCCCAGTGTTGTTACATACTGTAATTCTATATACAATCCTGAAATCCCAAGAGGCAGTATTTCATTTTTTTCTAAACTATCACATGTAACCAGAAACAAAAAGAACAAGACTATTAGGTATTTATTTAAACTTTTATTATCTCACTGTTTCTTTTCAAATCTCAGTTCACTAGTTTTGACTTTACTGCACACTGAAGTAAAATCATTATGATTTTTAGTCCTTCCAGGGGAAAACACACATATAATATTCTTAAATGTTAAGAATCATCCTTAAATCTTTCAAAGACTTTCACACATCTATTTCAGTGAGCATCACAATATTGAGAAGATATAGCATTGTGTTCTAGTTAATGTGTAATGTGCCTTGTGGCAATATAAGAAAAGCTTTGAGGAAAATGAAAAAATCTGCAGTCTTCACAATCAATATAGAGACTTCTGGTTATTTAGCTCAGTTGATTACATACCTTGCCCAGTAATTCTCCCAATATGACATCTTCATGACTGAGAATCCATTTCTTGTCCTACAGCAAAGAATAAGAACAGTTGTTTAGTACAAGCAAGGGTACACTTCTTGAAGTTGCATTTGAGCCAGTGGAAAGTCGACCTAAAGGGATATTTCATTCAGACCATTCAATCAACAGCACACTGAGAAGTTATAACCCCAAGATGCTGTAAAACAAATTTAAGAAACGGTACTACACAATAGGACATTAAAGTCTACATTACAGCCAAATTCTATCAGAAATCTCAGCCTTCGAAATGATAGTATCTCTGTAATTAGAGCACAGCATGTACTTTCCACCAACCATAAAGTTTATGTTATGCTATTATTTGTCATTTCAAAAAGCTGTCATAAATACATGAGGGAGTTTGATTTTACAATGTAAAATTTTCAGTTCTCATTTAATCTTAGAAATTGTTTTTCTACTCAAATCATATTACTAAGAGCTAATTTTTCCACATATAAATGGGCCATGAGTTATAGCTGTCTATGACACTTCATATAGTCCCATATCTTTCCCAAGTAATCTCCTGTGGTATAATAAAGCAACAAACACCAATTACAATATCACTAGGGTGCATAAGGCCAGTGATGCAAACATATCATTGAAAGAGAGCATCCCATTATCTGATCTCAAGAACTGATTACTAGAGGATATTTTATCATCTAAAAAAGGCTCAACTATGAAATCCCACAATACCATAATGTAAGAAAAAATATGGTTTTTAATGAAGAAAGGAAAAAGGAAAAAAGTAAGAGAAAAGGAAGGGAGGAATAAAAAGGAAAGAAAGAGAGGAAGGGAAGAAAAAAAGGAGGGGAGTAGGAAGGAAGAGTTGGAGGAAGAGTATCCTGGTTGATATATTTTATTTATGAGTTAGGTTTCTTATTAATGTTAGAGTGTAGTTTTCCCCTCATTACAAAGACAGATGGAAATGTAATGATGATCTATGAGTTGTAACAAGTAATCAGACATCTTGAAGTAAAAATTCACCCTAACTATGACTTTAAAATGTCCTGGACAGTTATTTGAAGTGCTTTACCTTCTGAAATACCATGTGGCAAACACTCAACCAACACTCTCTGTTAGGTCAACAAAGGGACAACACTGATTTTTAAAATGCAATAGTTTTTATGCATAGTTTTTTCACCTAAATATAAAGTTAATGCTATAAAGATCCTGGAAGAAAACTTAGGAGGATAACGTCATGATCAAGTGGGTAAGTGAAGGTTTCTTAGAGAAGCACAAAAAAACACTAACTATAAAAAAGAAATGAAAATTGGACCTCATCAAAATTGAAAACATTTATTCAAAAGCATCACTTAAAAAATGAAAAGACAAACTACAACCTGGGAGAACATTTTTGCAATACTGAATTTCTATCTGATAAAGCATTTGTATGAAGAACATATACAAAACTCGTATCTCAACAACAAAACAAAGAACCCAGCTCAAGAAATTGTGTAAAACAAGTTCAGAAAAGATGATGAACAAATAGCCAGTAAGAACATCAGAGACACTTAACATCATTAGTCACCAGTGATATACAAATACAAATCACAATAAGACGATACTTCATTACTTCGTACCCATTAAGATACTAAAATTAAAAAGATTAACAAATCAAGAGATTGTGAGGGTGTGGAGCAACTGTAATCCTTATGTATCGCTGGTGAAAATGCAAAAGCATTTTTTTCCCAACGCAGAAAAAGCATTTTTGCGTTTGGGAAAATAATTTGGAAGTTTCTCATAAAGTTAAACATACACATCCTATGACTCAAATTGCTCTCCTAGGAATTAACCAAAGATAAATGAAAACATATCCACAAAAAGATTCATCAAAAAATGCTGGAAGCAGCTCTATTTGTAATAGCCAAAAACTAGAAACAACTCATATGTCCATCAAAAAGAAAACTGATAAACACATTTTGGTACATTCAGGGAACTGACTATTCGGCAATAAAAAGGAACTTACTACAGATGCATACAACAGAGCACTTGCAAATCACTTTGCTGAGTTAATAAATCTAGACAAACTTTACATACATAGATACTAATTCCATTTACATAAAATTCTAGAGAAGGACAATCTATAATGCTAGGTATCAGAGAAGTGGTTGCTTGGGGTAGGAGTTGAGAAAGACTGACTGCAAAAGGGAAAGAAGCAACTTTGCGGGGGGTTATAAAAATGTTCAACTCCTGGCCAAAATGGTGAAACCCCATCTCTACTAAAATACAAAAATTAGCTGGGTGTGGTGGCGCACACTTGCAGTCCTACCTATTTGGGAAGCTGAGGCAGGAGAATCGCTTGAACCCGGGAAGCAGAGGTTGCAGTGAGCCAAGATTGCGCCACTGCACTCCAGCCTGATGACAGAGCGAGACTCAGTAAAAAAAAAAAAAAAAAAAAAAGTTCAATTTCTTGGTGTTTCATTGAACTATATATTTAAAACCTGTGGAAAATTTTATTTTATATAAATTACACATCCATAAAGTTCATTTTTTAATAAAAAATAAAAGAGCTGTACTTTCCATTTGATTAGCAGTTCTGGGGTTTAATTCTCCACCCCAAACCCTATATATAAGCAAATGTTATTCTTCTAAGAGTGCCATCTGGCAGTCAGGAAAGTTATTTTAAAGTTGCAAACTGATTCTTGGACAGCTTTTCCACTTTAGACAATGATAACCTAGGCAGTTGAGCCCAATCCTTGTAGTGCAAACCACTGAAAAAATAGGTTGAAATGTAGAAACAAAAACACAAAAAGAAAAAACAACCAAACAAAGAAAACCCCTAAACATCCATTTAAAGGCACTGGAGAGCTAGTAAAATAGTGAAGTATTGACAGACTAAAGCTAGGTTAAGAAAAGAAGCCATGTCAAGGATTTATGGGCTACTTTTACCCTTGAATGCACATGGTCATTGTGAAAGCAGAAGCCAATAGGTTAAAAAATACAGAGAGAGTTCAGGGCCTGCAAGCAGAAGAGGCTCTGATAAAATACCCCAGGCTTTTAATAAACCCCAAACATACCACACTGTGGTAGAAAAAGTAACCTCGAAATGAAAAGAAGTAAGCCTACCTTCTAAACATGTCCATCATGGATTGAACCAAATTAGGGATTGGCAGACTAAGTCTGCAGACCAAACCGGCTCACTGCCTGTCATATCAAAGTTGAATTTCAGTGTCCTTAGATAATTGATCAATAGATCTACAGAAATTATCCAGTCTAAGTTATAGACAGAAAAAAACAAAAGAAC
Source organism: Homo sapiens (assembly GCF_000001405.40). Classification (NCBI taxonomy): domain Eukaryota; kingdom Metazoa; phylum Chordata; class Mammalia; order Primates; family Hominidae; genus Homo; species Homo sapiens. The sequence goes on along the minus strand of NC_000005.10, from coordinate 109,034,189 downwards.
AGTAGAGAACAGAATGTTGGTCAGCAGAAACAGGAGGTGTGAGGGGTTGAGGAATGGAGATAAGTTGACCAAATGGTACAAAGTCTCAGTTAGATGGGAGGAGTAAGTTTCCAAGATCTATTGCACAGCAAAGTGACCATGGTTAATAATAATGTATTTCTACTTCAAAATTGCTACAAAAAGCTCCAGATTTTAAATGATCTCACTACCAAAAATAAGTTATGTGAAGTGATGGATATGTTAGTTAGCTTGATATAATCATTCCACAATATATACATATATCAAAACATCACATTGTACTCATACCCATAAATATATACAATTATTATTTGTTAATTAAAAGTAAAAATTTAAATAATAAAAAAAGACATGTGACTCAGCCTGTAAGAGGCAGGGATAAATGCCCCAGGAGAATTCAGTGACTATTTTGATCAGAATTTGTGGATAGTCTGCAGAAGTGTTGATAGAGAGGCAAACTCCCAATCCGTTAAATTGGATAAAGATGGGGTAGAACTACCAACCCTCTCCCCCTTAGGTATTAAATGGAATATTCCTAAGAAGGCTGCTAAGTGGCTGAGAAAGACATTCAATTTCAGTTATATGATGATGCTAAAGCTTTACTTACGCCTCTGAAATGGTTTCAGAGGGCAAGTCAAAAGTAAATTAGGGAACATGGACATTGAGTAACGCAGAGTTGGAGAATGGGGAGTTGCTGAAGAAGCCTGGAACTCTGCATTTGCTTTTATTTTTACTGACTTTTCTCCTTCTCCCCTTCTATCCAAAGGAAAGAAAAGTCACACTCAGAAGATATGGCCAAAGACAGCTGCAGCTTGCTCCTTAACAACTGCTCCAGAGCTGGTTTCTCCTAAAGTGATTATACTACATATTTCTGGTCTCTATCTTTGCTCTGTTTTTTGTAAAGGGACAAGCAGACTTTTTGCAACCTTCTCAAATATAGAGAAAAAACAGAAAAAATGGAAGCAGACTGCCTCTTAGTCTCTTCCAAGAAATAGGAATAGTAGCTTTATCAGTCCACAGGTTAATGAATGAAAATAAAAGTTGTAATTAAGTATAAACCATCAATAGAAACAAGGCAAAGACATAAAAGATGTATTACAATAGGAATGAATAGAGTTGACAGAGTTATATTTAACATTTCATTTGCTTGCAAGTGATCTGTGACCATACAGAAAAATCTACAGACCTGTGTTCAAAACTAATGGTTAAATTTCCCTGATCTTGAAGCTACAACAGATTGACTTAGACTCCTGACTTGTTAATATTTGGATTCTATTCTTTATGTTAATTCCTGAGTATTAATATATCATGATTACGGTAAAAGAAAAATATCCACTTTTCCTATTTATCAATTCTCTTATTTTAGAGAGATTCTGGAGATATAAATTATGCACTTTGGTAATCACTGTAAGATATGGGCTACATATAAAGATTTTGGTGGCCTTATAAACCCATGAAATCACAGTGTACCTTCTAATTGCCTAAGCAAATAATACTTATTTTTATTAATTGATTCGTGAGTGACACTGAGAAAAGAAGAAATGAATGAGATGGATTAACTGCCCTTCTGGGGAGTTGGCTGATGCTACTGAATCTAGTTCTAATAACTTGTGGATGTGAGGTAGCTGACTGTCCCTGTCTTAGTTTGGGTTCTCTCAGAAGCAGACCCTGAGACAAGGATTCAAATGCAAGTAGTAGTTAATTTGAGAAGCACAAGGAACAGAAGGAAAAAGAGATGTAATACAGGAAACTGGGGGCAACCAATAAGGTAAGCTATTACCTGTTGAGTGAAAAAATGAGGCACAGGGAGGAAATGTAAGTGTGTTCAGTGAAGGGTAGGAGTTGGGCAAGAATACCTGTGTAAAAGAAACATAGTTTCTTTTCTAACCTATGATTAGTGGTTGTCACAGTCCCACCAACATTAGCTCTCTTCTCTCTAACATCTCTAAAGAGTTTATTTTTCTACTTCGCTGCCAACAAACTTTCTCTCAGTCTGCCATGCAGCAGTCTCTCTGGCATAGCCCACAGAAGCCACCACTCCTATGGGACTCAGTATTAACTACGCTGGTAGAGAAGGGGTGTAAGTCTAGGAATATGAACCTGGAATTTTAAGATAGAACTGTCAGTATATAAGGATATATTCCATTAGACTCATGTAAAATGGTAGTTATGCTCCATACATTGCATATGTTATGGATATACTTAAGCATTGCTAGCACTGCTTCTCTAGGAAAGTTCATCTCCAAACAGATGAGTTAAAGATAAACTTAGATTACACTCTGTTCAAAATGTCATTTCAAGTGTCACATGAGTAATGTAAGTGATGACAAAGGATTTCAGAGGAAAAGGAAGCCATATTGTGCTAGAAAAGTCAGAAGAAGTCTCAAAAAACAGGTAGTATTTGAGATAAGTCTTGAACATGGATATGATTGATATGCTAAAAGGAGAAAATAACTTTGGCAAAAGCATAGAAAGAAGTAGAAATCTTCTAGATAGAGTGAATACACAAGAAGAGTGAAGGCAAAGACTTCTTAAAGGGGAGTAATGTTCAGTGAAAAACTAGAAATGTACTTTCTAACCAGGCCATGGAGAGCTTAAACAAGGAATCAAGTATTCACTTAATCTTATAGACCAGAAGTCTCCAAATACTCTTTATTGTGTAACCCTTTAATTTTTTTTTAAAAATGTGAGCATTTGTTCTACTATACAAATATAGAATGTATATTATCCAGCATCCAAACAAACAATTAAAATACTATGGTCATTGGACAAGTTCTAGAAGCATAATTCTCCCTGCTCCTTTCCACAGGAAAGTATTATAGCTATAAACCCTGGACATAATTCAAGAGGCAAACAAGGAACTCTGAAAGATGGTATGAGAAGGGTGAATTGGTTTGGGACTCCTGGAATGGGAGAACAGAATAGTGGCAGGATGTCTTCCATCCTACCGCCACAACAGAAGGCAGTTTGACTCCCAACATAGCCATAGAAGGCGGCTCAGTTAGGCCTATTCCTCCCCTGGATTATATAAGAGTCCTCAAAATGACCAAATGAGCCCAGTACCACCTTCAAGGGGATTGACTGGAGATCCAACTAACAATAAGCAGCTAAGGGAAGACTCCCTTTCCCAGCTGGCCTAAGACTGCTTTGCCCCACCAAGAAATACTGGGATGGCCCACAAGTAACAGGAAGATAGATCCCAGACAAATGAGCGACCAAGCCTAAGAGGCCTCTTTGTTTCTGTGGGCCTGTTATCTCACTTCCCAACTGAGAAATAACAAGGCAGCTCAGTTGCATTGGCAAGAGAAGTACTGCCACAAAAAAAAGACCTATCCTGGGAAGTCTCTTTGTCTCCATGCACTGAGACTCCTATCTCCCTTGCCAGAGATGACAGGGCAGTGTGCCTAACGGGAGAAAGAATCCCACCACAATAAGGTCCCAGCCCAGGAAGTACTCTGTTCCTCAGAGGCAGGAGAAGTCTACCAAACAATCCCATAGGCCTAAGATGCCCTTCCTCAGTGAAACACCTGGCAGCCCAGACTTGGGGAATTCCCTCTACTCCTAGAGGCAGCATTAAAATGAACAAGTTAGAAGGAAGCCCAGTGGCACCAGATAAACCAACAAAACAAAATAACACCAAAAAAGCTCTAAAAATTGCACTGTCATTGAAACCATTTAAAGCAGGCCAGGCCCTACCTGCTAAACCTAAACAAGGTAACTACCTGCAAAAATGAAAGATTTAAATGGGACCCAAGATGTCCTAACATAATAGATTATATGTCTAGGGTACAATTAAAAATCATCCATCATATCAAGAGCCAAGAAAATCACAATCTGAATGAGAAAAGACAGTCAACCAACAGTGGGATGGATCTGATGTTGGAATTACCTGACGAGGATTTTAAAGCTGCCAGAAAAATGCACAACAATCACTTACAAATTCCCTTGAAAAATATGAAAACACATAGATTATCTCAGCCATAGAAACAGAAGTTATTAAAAAAAGAACCAAATAAAAAGTATATAACTAAAAATTACAAAGCAAATTTTAAAAACTCACTGAATGGGCTCAATAGTAAAGTGAAGATAAGAGAGGCTAATCATTGAACTTGAGGACAGATCAATAGATTACCCAATTTGAACAACAAAGAGAAAATAGATTGGGTGAAAAAAAATGAACAGAACCTTAGGAACCTGTAAGGCAAGCAATCCCACATTTGTATAATCTGAGATAAAAGGAGAGGAGAAAGAGTAGGGCTGAAAGAGTACTTAAAGAAATAATGACTGAAACTTCTCAAATTTGGCGAAAGACACAAATCTACAAACAAGAAGCTGACAGGACCTGAAATAGGATAAACACAAATAAATTCAAGCCAAGATTCATCATAATCAAACTTCCGACAAGGAAAGACAAGGAGTCTTGAAAGCAGCCAGAGAGAAATGACTTTACCTACAGGGTATACCAATTCACAGAAAGCAGACTTCTCTTCTGAAACCACACAGTTTGGACAAAAGTAGCACAGTATCCTTCCAGTGTTGAAAGAAAATAACTGTCAACTGTAAATAGTAAATGTGGTAAAACCATCTTTCAAGAATGAATGGAAAACAAGGCTGGGCACAGTGGCTCACCCTAGCACTTTGGGAAGCCGAGGCAGGAGGATTGCTTCAGGCCAAGAGATCTAAACCAGCTTGGGAAACAAAGTGGGACTCTTTCTCTAATTAAAAAAAAAAAAAAAAAAAAAAAAAGAACAATGAATAGAAAATAAAGACATTTTCAGATAAAGAAAGCCTTGGGAGATATACCTAATGCTAGATGACGAGTTAGTGGGTGCAGCACACCAGCATGGCACATGTATACATATGTAACTAACCTGCACATTGTGCACATGTACCCTAAAACTTAAAGTATAATAATAAAAAAAAAAAGGTAAGAAGAAAAAAAAAAAAAAAAGAAAGCCTAAAAGGACGTAGGTAAAACCAAAACTAAACAGAGCTCTACCTTAACTTTCACAATAACTCTGTGAGGAAAGTTTAACAAAGTAGGTCTGTTTCATTCAGTTTCTGCTTATCTCTATACTCTTGACCACCTTTGGTGAAAATGAGAACTAAACTACCAGAATGTTCAAAAGTTACTGAGTAATATTAGTCCATAATGACTGAAGTGGCAGGTCAAGAAGAACTAGGTTGTTAGCATGCTTAAAGTAAACATAAATATCCATTCTATGCACATGGTGCCTGGTTTGGGGTCCTCACATGGCTGGTCATGTTAACAGGTATGTGATCAGCCCCTGGTAAGAACTTTGGACTCCAAAACTCAAATGGGATTTCCTGAGTAATGGTATCACACATGGCCTTGCAGTTTGTAGACAGAAAGACTTAGCCATACAATTCCTGCTATAAATAGGGCAAGAAAGCCTCTTTTGACCTAGCTTTTGCTGTTCCTACATGAGTCAGTCTTTTGCGACAATAAATCCTAGCCTTGAATATAACTTAATGTTAACTTATGTGAGCCTTTCTAGTGGATCACTGAACTTGGGGGTGTTAGTGACACCATCAAGCCAGGACTCTGAGGTTCTGAGAGACAGGCTACTCTGACAGCAAATGGCAGAAACAATGTTTGAACCCATATATGTCTGACTCTGAAGCTTATGTCCTTTCTAACAAATTATACTGTTACCCAAAATAGAGTAATTTATTTAAAGCAATGCATATGACTCTTTCAAGTTCAGAGATAATGATGCAATCAATTTTAATTAATTGAAACACAATGGGTTATAAATTCTATTTTAAGTTTCAAGTTCTATTCCTAACAGATTTTTTAACTTATGATTTACATACTTTGTTTGAAATTATTTCTATGCAAATGAATTATAGATTGCTCTTCATCTACTGCATTCATTAGATTATAATCTAAAGCTTTGCATTTTGCACATTCACAGTTTTTGTGCCAAAAAATGAAATCACAAAAAGCTTTACAGTTGTAATCAAGTATGTCAATATAACTGGCAGAGTTATGAGTCAATTTTGTATAATCTTTATGTAATCTGTAACCTAAAAAAATAATGACTCAACTTCGGTCTCTATACCACTTATTTCCACTAGATAAATGACAAATATTCCATTTTCCCACAATAACTCTGTTCCAAATTTTCTATAAAATATAAAATCACTTAAAAATAAGGTTTCAACAAAATTGTCATTAATATAGTACTTTTAATGAAAACACTATGTAAATCCCACATCTTTATACAAGTAGATACAGTAATAAGCAAAAGCTATAAAAATAACTGAAAATAAAATCTAATTAGTTTTAAAATGCTAAAACCTAAATCTTAGAATTTTGCCTCACAAATGTAGTCATTTTAAATAAAGTGAACAACTATCAAATAAGCAACGTCTCCTTTGTTCACCTGCTGAAGACAACCAGCAGTCTGCCCAGGCTGCAGGGACTAACTGTGCTTCTTGGTGGACTGCTACAGGGTACAGATGGTCATTATTTATTATGTCAATCAACCGCTGCCAAATCTCTTTGGATGGTTGTGCCATTTCTTCCTAAAGTTATCCCTTTAAAGGGCTTTATGGGGCACAGGGACATATTTGAAATTCGATCTCAAGTAGGTAAGTCAGAGTGATTAGAAGTGTGACTTAAATTAACACTTCCCTTTGATTCACAGTTCTCCAAGAAGAATGCCCACCAAAAGAAAATACTGCTAATAGTAAAGAACAACCTTATTCTATTCCTATATATCTCCCCAACATTCAAAACTGAAATAGAAGTTCTTGCTTCCATGTGACTGAAGTTATATTTTTAATTCAACATTTTCATTTTTAAATCATTGTTTTTGATAAATAATTCTACCTTAAATACAGGCCAATTCACTAATACAGTAATACAATCTATTCCTCAGCAAGAGCCAATGTATTGCAGGTTCAACATGAGGACTTAATTACAAAAAATACTGGAAATACAAGCTTTGTCCAGCCCCTGGTCAAAGGGATAGTGGTAATCATCCAGTGTAATAGTTTGAAAGAAAGAAAGAAAAAAGGCAAAATTTAAATCAGAATTAAAAAAAAATATTATCTCACTACAAAGATTTAATACCTGTAGCAGATGAATTTCTAAACATATTGACAACATGGTATTTTGGAGCTAATGCACAAAGACCAACATATAATCCTTAGAAAGAATAATTAGCCGGGTGTGGTGGCTCACGCCTGTAATCCCAGCACTTTGGGAGGCCGAGGTGGGCAGTTCACAAGGTCAGGAATTTGAGACCAGCCTGGCCAACATGGTAAAACCCCGTTTCTACTAAAAATACAAAAAAATTAGCCACGCATGGTGGCGGGCGCCTGTAATCCCAGCTACTCGGGAGGCTGAGACAGGAGAATTCCTTGAACCCGGGAGGCGGAAGTTGCAGTGAGCCAAGATTGGGCCACTGTACTCCAGCTCAGGCAACAACAACAACAACAAAAAAGAAAGAATAATTAACAAAATGTCACAATACATAAGATGATTCTCAGAGATTTTTCTACTACTCATACTGAGAAATATTTGCTATCTCTATTTTTCTTTTATATACAATTTTTCAGTCAGCCTGCTTCATTATCTCCCTAGCTGGCTCAGCACATTTATTCCACTCAAAGTCTCAGCCATAGAACCTTTTTATAATCCAAGAATTATTCAGAATTTGATCAGCTTTGTCATTAAAGTTATCAGGGTTGCTTTAGAGGAAAAAAAAAAACTTATTGAAAAGTATGCAAAGTAGTTGCCCATCTGGAATCTATCTGAGAAGCTTTTAGTAACCGAGTATTTGTTTAAATGTTCTATAAATTCATTCTAAATAATCCAAAAGTACTTTCTTCCCAAATGGTTCTTATTTAGGAAACACACACATTATTACCTTAGAAAATATTTCATTATATTTGCAAGCTACATAAAATAGTTCTTGTATGTGTATAATTTATTTTATCCTATCATTCTAGAAAGGATTTTAATTGGTTCTTATTTTTAATGTATGTCTATGTAATTTCCCTACTTATAAAATAAACTTGTTTATTATAGGATAGTATTAACTGAACAAAAGGCTGTATAATTTTCTGTACACATATGAATATTTTCTAACTCATTTTCATTCATCTCAACTTTAGAATGTCTCATTTTTCTTGACTAAAAAACTCTCAGAGCCAACAGTTATGCCCTCCAAAGGAAGCAATGCAGGTGATAATAAGTGAAAAAATGCTGATACAGACCCTTTTCAGGTTCTGGCAACTGAGTGGCTAAAAATAGCCAGCTAGAAAAATATGTACGTTCAAAAAGGCCTTTGACAAAATTCAACAACCCTTCATGCTAAAAACTCTCAATAAATTAGGTATTGATGGGATGTATTTCAAAATAATAAGAGCTATCTATGACAAACCCACAGCCAATATCATACTGAATGGGCAAAAACTAGAAGCATTCCCTTTGAAAACTGGCACAAGACAGGGATGCCCTCTCTCACCACTCCTATTCAACATAGTGTTGGAAGTTCTGGCCAGGGCAATTAGGCAGGAGAAGGAAATAAAGGGTATTCAATTAGGAAAAGAGGAAGTCAAATTGTCCCTGTTTGCAGACGACATGATTGTATATCTAGAAAACCCCATTGTCTCAGCCCAAAATCTCCTTAAGCTGATAGGCAACTTCAGCAAAGTCTCAGGATACAAAATCAATGTGCAAAAATCACAAGCATTCTTATACACCAACAACAGACAAACAGAGAGCCAAATCATGAGTGAACTCCCATTCACAATTGCTCCAAAGAGAATAAAATACCTAGGAATCCAACTTACAAGGGACGTGATGGACCTCTTCAAGGAGAACTACAAACCACTGCTCAAGGAAATAAAAGAGGATACAAACAAATGGAAGAACATTCCATGTTCATGGGTAGGAAGAATCAATATCATGAAAATGGCCATACTGCCCAAGGTAATTTATAGATTCAATGCCATCCCCATCAAGCTACCAATGACTTTCTTCACAGAATTGGAAAAAACTACTTTAAAGTTCATATGGAACCAAAACAGAGCCCACATCGCCAAGTCAATCCTAAGCCAAAAGAACAAAGCTGGAGGCATCACGCTACCTGACTTCAAACTATACTACAAAGCTACAGTAACCAAAACAGCATGGTACTGGTACCAAAACAGAGATATAGATCAATGGAACAGAACAGAGCCCTCAGAAATAAGGCCGTATATCTACAACTATCTGATCTTTGACAAACCTGAGAAAAACAAGCAATGGGGAAAGGATTCCCTATTTAATAAATGGTGCTGGGAAAACTGGCTAGCCATATGTAGAAAGCTGAAACTGGATCCCTTCCTTACACCTTATACAAAAATCAATTCAAGATGGATTAAAGACTTAAACATGATGTGAAAGGCACAGGGGCTCATCAAAATGAAAGCAAAATATAGTTTCTGCTCTCAGGAGTTTCTTATCCAGTGACAATATGAAAAAGAAAGGGGGATTAGACGGTACCTTTATCTTCAAAGAGCAAAAAAGATGAGACTCCTGGCTTTTTCCTTTCATTCTTTGGTATCTACCCACCGTCCTCCGTAGCTCACACACTCTGGCCATTATGAAGAAGGGGTCTCTATCAGATGGGCTTGGCACTGTCCCCAGTGGCTACCAGAAAAAAGGAGACCTGCCTGTGAGTTGAAGTGAATCAGGATCTTGCTCCCAAGGACCTCTCTCCACTGCTTTCTTTCGTTTTCTTTCCATTCCACTCTGCATAGGGTGGTAGTCTTATGAAGAAGAGATATGCAAGGAGTGAACCTTGTCCAGGCTTCAAGGAATACACAGTGGTGTCATTTTGTTGGGCTGTTGGAACCTGACACTGGGAAGAGGCATCTGAGGAGTATTATGTACTATTCCACTGAGTTTATCAGAATCCTCTTCAATAGCATCAAAGGCTAAGGAAACTACAATGATCTACAGCACTGCAGAAATAGTCTTCTGTTCTATGTATTTGTTAAGAGACTAGGCTATGGAGCGAAACTGCTTGAGCTTGAAATATGGCTGTCCTGCACTAGCTGTGTAACTTTCAGCAACATGGCCTCTTTCAGTCTCAGCTTCCTTATCTGCAAAATAAAGATAAAAAGAGAAGCTACTATATAGGGTGGTTCTAAATATTAAATGAGATCTTAATAAAGTACTCAGTCAGTGCCTAACATATAATAAGTGCTTAATAAACATTAACCATTCTTCCTCTTACTCAAGAACCCTCAAATCTTTGGGGGAAAGGGGAGTCCATCATCTCTCATACTGTTCTACTCCTAGCACCTTGTCTTTCCTTTTAAGCAAACCACAACTGCTCATTCATTCATTCAATCAACAAGTATTTACTGAATATCTATCAAGTGACAGGCACTGTGCTAGGCATTGGCTAGATAGGGTGAGTGAAACAATGTCCCTCTTCATGAAGAGAAGAAAAAGTGAAAATGTTTGCAAATTAAAAAAAAAAAGTTACAAAAAAACCCCAAAACACAAACAATACTGAGATAGAGAATAAAAATGGACATAAGGGAACCATTTAGATAGATTGGCATTTAAGCTGAGACTGAAAGCAGGCAAAGGTAGGAAAGAATACTGCCGACAAAAGGCACAACTGGAACTAAGGCTCTGAGACATAAGAAGCATGTGGTATGTTCACAAAACAAAAGGAGAGTCCACATTGTTCCCCTGAGTTCAACTTGGACGTATCCAAGTGCCTACTTGAAATCTCCACTTGATTGTCTAATAGTACCTCAGACTAACCATGTTCACAATAGAACTCTCAATTCCTATCTCCCTAAAAAACTGTGTTTCTCTCATAGCATTCTCTATTTCAGTAAATGTAACTACTATTCATCCAGGTTCTCAAACCAAAAATCTTAATCATTCTTGATTATTTTCCCTGCCTCATTCTCCACATACAATGCATCAGGGAAAATGTTAGGTCTACTTGCAAAACATCACTCGACACATACACTTTCTGTCTATCTCTACTCCTACCAGTTAAGACCAAGCAAACATCATTTCCTTCCACAGGTCACTATAATAGTCTTTTAACCTGATTTCATGCTTCCATCCTCCCTTTACATACATTTTACACATAAGAAAAAAGATGTGGTTTCTTTAAAAAGATGTAATTAAGAACCTGCTATTCTCTCATTAAATCCCTCCAGTAATGCCCCATTGCTCTTAGATTAAAAACCAAGCTATTATCTATAGCATAATAGGGCATAATCTAGTCCCTGCAGATCTCTATCCTTATGTTATTTCATTCCTTCCTCTGAGGTCCTCTTTTGATTCTTTATGCAGATGAAGCATCTGGTTATTGTTGATTTTGATCCTCTATACATTTGTATGACATAGTTACCCTAGCTGGAATACCCTCCAGTTAAAACTTATTTGTTTTCCTCTACAAGTTCATGTTCCAGGTCTTGACTTGAATCGTGTCTCCTCAGAGAAACTTTATCTGATCATCCTAACTAAAGTGACCCTCACAAGGTAATATTTCTATATATTATGTCATTAGCCTTTGTGGGGCCCAATGTCACATGTCTAAATATGTAAAACTTACATATCAAGTCAACAAATCATTAAATGTGACATCTTCTTTTCCATTACTTTGACAAATATACCTCCCTAATAACCTGGAAAGTCAAATATTCACTTCAAGACTTCTGCACTAGAACATGGCAGTATAGGAGAAGTCTCCCCAGGTCCTGTACTGCAAGCCTACTTGTCTCTCTTCCCATTCCTGGTTCCTTTATGCTCCTCATGTAGCCTAGTATGTGGTATCTCTAGACTCTCCTTCCTGTATATTCCAAGCTGCATCCATGTGTTCCTCAAATATATTGGCCACCCTTCCTGTGGTCCACCCTTGAGACAATGGACTTCCCTTGAGACAATAGACTTCAGTCATTAGCTTGGGCAGGGCATGGAAGTGGGCTCAGGGTTGCTGGAACAGGAAATATGAAGATCTACAGACTCTGAGGTAGAAAGCATGGACTGTATATGGGCACATATTCTAGGTACTTTAAACTCCTCAACTGTAGGGAGGGTGTAACTGGTAGACTGCCAAAATGGAGCCAGAGAAGTAGCCCTCCTTTTGGATCTAAGGACATTATTACTTTGCTTGTTTCCTTTTTAGCATGATGAACCTATAATTATCTTATAAATTATTTGTTTACCTTTCTCTATCTTCTCCCTCTAAAAGGTAAGCTGCATACCTACAGGGGCTTTATCTGTCTTGCAATGCTTAACATGCGGTAGGTATTTTTTGGATTTTACTTCTTGTAGTAATGCAACATGAAAAAACAACAACTTTTAGGAACAAAATGCACACATTTCACAACGTCATGTTTCATAAATATCTATCAAATCTAAGAAAGCTTGTTTTTTTGCTTTTCAATTAATCTTATTCATAGAAGACATACAGTTTAGTAGAAAATTAATTACTTTATAGTAATGAGATGGGATATATGTTGTTTATCCTAAAGCTTCAGTAATGTTATAAAGTACTAAGATAAGCACTAAGAATCCTTCATTATAAACTAAAAGCTAGTAGCTAAGAAAAAATTGGTGAAGAAAGCTTACTTTTAGGAAAAACACTTTTATTCTAATAGATTCTAGTATTCAGAGTATCCCTCTAGCAAATGTTGTTAGAATACTAAAAATGAAAAAAGCAATTCCCACTTGTGAGTCTACAATCCATTAAATGACTTGATAATTATGTTAAGTATACCCTTATATTATGCATATGCATTTTTAAAAATAATGTACATAGAAGTTTGTTGATTTCAACACTAAAAGAAGCATCCAGAAAGACTTCACACAGGGAAGTCAACATTATAGTCCCTGTTCTCACTCTTATTAAGGTCAAATAAATCTTAACAGACCTACCGTTAGTAAGCACACCGGCTAAAATCTAAATTTATTAATTAAAATGGTAGTAGGATAACACTGAGTACAGCAAATATACGTATTATATATATTCACCTTTTTGGATCTGATCATGAGGTGGGTGTGCAGTATTTTGGCATTTCTGATAAAAGATGTATAAAGTAGCTACACTAAAATTATTCTACTTAATATGAAGCAAAACACTTAAAATAACTTGAATTTAAAGGAGAATAAAGGTAAAATGGTTCCTTAACTCCTGGTTACAAGCATACCAACAACATGCTATCTTTATGTTCTGAGTGTTAAAAACAAACATTTCATTCAAATCAGACCCAAATCAAACAGGACCATTTAGAAAATTTCAAAACGATTGAGATAATTATTTCTCTACAGTTCTTCAATAATTAAAATAAACAAAAGAGGTTCATCAGTACAAGGCCTTTAGTTTGGCAAGGTGGCTGAAAACCAATTTTGAGGTCTTTTTACAGTGTTCATAAAAGGCAGAGTGCTTCTGGATACAAAACAAAGTCATAAGGCAAAGCTCGGCCGCGAAGTGTGTGCCAAAAGTTCACAAGGGGATATATAATAGCTGGATAAAACATAATTAATCTTTGTCATCCATCAATTTCTCTAATTAGGGAAGATTTCCAGCAAGCCAATTTTAGTAACCAAAAAATTCCAAGTCATATAGAAGGAAACTGAGATCTAAATGTGGCTTATTTTCTTCCTCAATCTTACAAGTTAATGATCTGAAGGAATATTTCTTTTTATTAAATAACAAAGAATGAAAAGGATGTTATTTGTTCAGTTCTAAGTTGAGTTTTAGAAGATTCTTTAAAAAAGAGAAATTTTGGTCTTATTTCTAGAACTGTGGTAGAGACCAGTGAGATGGGCCAAATTTATGCTTTATTATATATGACTATAAAGTAATATTACTGATTTTTTAAAAGTGTAATTTCAAAGTAAGCTTATTCTAAAAATGCTGATCTTGCTCAAGGCAAGATGTTTTAAGACTGATTTTAAAATTAATTTCCAAATGCAGGAAATTGGAAATTCATACTTAAAACTACCTTTAAGCAATTTAAGAATATTTCTAATGTCTGTAGATTAGCAATGTACATACAATTAATTTTCAGAAAGCCAATCATTAAGAGTCAAATCTGGTGGGCGTGTTAAGAGGTCAAACTTGGTGAAAAACAGTTGCACTGCAAAGCAGTAAGACACATTTTATTTTGGATTAAAAGTTACCTTGAAGTAAATTCTAAAAGAAACAAATTGCAAAGTACATTAGGAAAAAGCAGCACTGCTACAATTTTTTTCTACAAGGTGATTTTGGTGATAATGTTTATATTGTTACCATCAGCATTTTAAAATCAGTCGTAAAACATTTTTTATATATAAATATATCTACAGACATATAAAGAAATAGGTTAAGTTTGGAAAGTAAAAGGTTATTGTCAGGTGTGTAACTCACTTCTTCCCTGGGATTGCAGGGAAGAATGCTAGAAGAAATGAATGACCTCCACCAGATCTCTTTATAAAGTTATTACAATTGTTTTTCAAACTTTAGCCTGCATCAGAATCAACTGGAGAGCTTGTAAAACATGACTGATGTCTCATCCTCAAAATTTCTGAATCAGTAGGCCTGGCATAGGAACCAATAATTTGTATTTTTAATAAGTTCCCTTATGATATTGATGCTACTGGTCTGGCGATCACACTTTGACAATATTAATAATGATACTTTAACCAGATACTGGTTTGGTAATCATACTTTGACAGTACTAATAATGATACTAATAATGACCACACTTTGACAATACTAACAATGATACTTTTGCATTTACTTGAGAGAAAGTTACTAGGAAGGACCTATCTATTATATAAAATGTTTTGAGCAGGATATATTAGTGTCTTCTAGACTGCTATTGTAAATAAACCTATAATTTAAAATTTTATGAGGGCATGGCTAGAGAATATGACATAATCACATAAGAATTTTTCTTTTAATGAAATTAATGGAGTATAAAACTGAAGAGTTCCAAAACCAAAATAGCATACACTGGAGCCCATCTCTTAATCCAAAACCAAAATCTAATCAAATGTGGATAAAGGGACATTTTTTGAAGCTGTCTATGATACATTCAAACCCCTCTGGAAAAAAATATTACACTTGTGCCTGGTTTCTGCTTGTATCTTTTGAATTATTAGGATATTATGGTGTTAGATAATACCTATGATTCATATGAATCAGCTTTGACAATTCAATCTGTTTTGTTACCTAAGTGAATTCTCAAAGTCATATGGCTCAACAGCAGTACTACCCACAGTAATCAAGGTTTCCTGTTCTATTTTACATTTCCCTCTACTATTTGTCCAAACAAGGGCTTGGGAAAAAATATCCAGAAAACGATGTGGGTGAAATCCAACTCTACTACTTAAGTCCCTTCTAAAGGTTCATATTTTGCTTACAGAACTTGATGAATTCTTAACAATGTTGTGGGAAATAATTATTATATCTATGCCATTTTAAATGGTTTTTATATGCCACTGTAATGTTTACATATATACGATTCAAAGGATTACATGATTCCATTAACATCTACACAAACCTACCACACAACCACAATTTACAGATAAGGAAATGGAAGCTCAGACTGATAAAGTAATTTAACCATTCTACACATCCACTATTGTGGGACAAGTCTTTGATTCTAAAATCTGTATTCTTCACCACCAAACCACACAGAAAATTGTGAAAAGGTAAATTAAAATGAAAATAAGGGTGTAAAAACCTTGCTTATCTAAGGTTCTCTACATGTGTAGTCCCAATGGTAAGATATCAATTATTTTAACTTCATCTTAAAGCCATATTGAATTATTGATCAGTTATCAGTCGCAAATCTTTATATAATCAATTATCAGAAGACAATCTATTTCTAAGTGGGCAGGATAAAGCAAAACCACTCAATGACTATCACTGATACTGATACTTTCTAGTCAGTGTTAAGCAATTTTCATGGAAAATTTGTGGACTTTTAAAATTATTTCAGCCTGTTTGTCTCAGTCTCATTTTTTCCTTCTTATGTCTCCAATTCAATGAAAATGTACTAAGTAGAAGTAAAAAATCCAAAGTATTAAGTCATTTGACTAGGCATTCTAACTAAAACAGACAGGAGACAATAGGTTGACCATACATACATGATGCTTTCTTTCCCTACTATTACAAAGTAAGATGTTAGAAAATAGGGTTTTTAAAAAGAGAATCTATAGAGAAAATGAAAACAAAGGGTTTGTTACTATAGAAGTCCCAACAATCATATATGTGACCACAGATGGAGGTTGTCAGGGAAAGAAAAGGGTAGTGACTCTCTACAATGCATTAGTTCTCATAATTGAGGGAAAACAAGTAGGTTTTGTGAATTTCTTGGATAATGGTCATTTAAGTATTCACATTTCTAACCTGAGTTGTTGGATTTGGTCTCTGATAAGACTTATATTTTATCTTAAAGCAAATAAACAAATTAAATAACTATAATAACATTTAAGAGCAATGATGATATATATCCTCCAAAACTAGTCAACAAAATAAAAGCAAAATGAATTTTATTTTGATTTGGACCCAAGCTAAAAGAACTAAAATTTATGATATGCAAATAAGTTATCTCTTTTCTTATGAATTACATTATTTCAAGACAAAGGTTCAACAATGAATAACAGAAAGACTGTGAATATACAAGACTTATTTATAAGGCATGAAAATCTTACTATGTCATTTGGGTATTTCTGCAGCAATCATGAGCAGAGGACATCACATCCAACATTTTGCTTCAAAACAATCCAAAGCAATTCTTAAAACAATATGTTTTGTATTTGTAATGTATGAAATAAAATACTTTAAATTCTATAATAACTATCTTGTCTTTTCTAATAATTTTTGATTTGCAAAATATATAACATATCTTTTTGAAAAATTTGAATAAATCTAGGGATATTTTTCTTTCCTAGCCCCTCATTAGCCCTGCAATCCTCTCAAGCTCACATTTCAAAAGGCAACATAAAATAACTGTCTCATTTCAGTAAAAAGCCTGTAATATTAAAATTCCTAAAATAACTATGCAATAGAAATAAGAAAACAGCACGTTCATTACATGGTGTATTGGTCAGCTTAGGCTGCCATAACAAAGTATCATAGACTGGGTGGCTTAAACAACAGAATCTGCTGAGGGCTTTCTCACTGGATTGCAGACTGCCTTCTTCCCACTGTGTCCTCACATGGCCTTTCCTAGGCATATTCACAGGTAGAGATAGGTCTCTCTTCCTCTTATAAGACCACAAAACCTATTGAATTAGGAGGCCATTCTTATAACCTTATTTAACCTTAATTACCTCCTAAAAGCCCTACCTATAAAGACATGTTGGTGGTTCAACATATGAATCTGAGAGGAACTTAATTCTGTGCATAGCACATAATAAAAAACTATAATAATAATGTGGAAAATATGTATATATTCAAATAAAGAATAGATTCTAAACATTGACTAAGTATACACATACACATTTCAAAGTTTTGCTATTGCTTTGCAACAAAAGCTTTTTGTTTGACAAGCGACCTACAATTAAGTCATTTGATTTACATCTGTGGTCATGGCTTTATCAGTGATAAGAGAAAGCTGGTCTGATATCATCAGAGACACAAAAAAGTACACAAGTGTGTATTGTTTCCTGTTGTCCTTGGTTAAAGTGAAACCAGTTTTCTTCACACACTGCTTGCAATTTCACTTTGCTTTATAGGAGTTGCTCAATCCTCTTATCTTTATTCATATTCAACAAAAGTCCAAATCAGAGTGGCTGATACACAGTGAAGTTTTAATCAACAAAGACAATCTTGAACTACTCAGAAACTAATCCTCCAGTATTCTGTCACCTGGCCTTGTCATCTTCAAGCTTATCATCAGCCTATAGAATTGGGATGGATTAAGTTGTCCAAAATTAACAATATATTGTATGCTTCCCTACACAGGATGCCTTGGAATACATAAAGATCTTGTAGAAACAGATACTGACAGGGCTATAACATTAGCATGTAATTATAGTCTCTGATTACTGAAGAAGTGCACAACTTAGGTCAGATATAGAGGGAAAAAGTCACCTAGAAAAGGGCATTCTCAGCTCCTGGTGCCTTTGTTCTCTTTGCTCACTAATAGTAACCCTTAAACTAAATGTGACCCAGTCCTCCAAGAGGAGCAAAGGAAATGCAAATAATCACCCCCATTCAGGAGCATCCAAAGCCAGAGAAGGTAAATCTGAGATGCAATGTGACATAGTGGTTCAAACATTAAAGACATTCTTCGGAGTATGGAGGGGAATGAGGAGGTGGAAAAAGGCACACGATGCTGACAACACAGAAAAAAGCCAATTTCTGAATGACAGCAACTCATTCAAAACTAAAATTTAAGTTGAAAAAAGGCTTAATTTACACTAAGAAAATCATATTTCTGCTTTAAAATATAGGGTTGCTCATGATTCCATTTAATTTTGAATTACCATATATAATGCTGTCTCCTGCTTCCCCGAGGCATGATGTGCTGATCCTGCTCTAGTGCTTCCACAGTTCTGTTCATGCTTATGTCACCTGTCAGCTTGGATTATACTGATCTATTTACCTGTCAGTCTCCACTGGCAGATAGAAGCTCTTTGAGGGAAAAGGCTATGTCTCAGTCACCAGTATAGCTCCAGAGTGTATCAAGAAGCTGTCACATAATGGGCATTCAGTTAATGTGGCATGAAAGAAGGAATGAATATATGCTCCCTCCAACTACTACTTAAAAAAAAAAGTCACACGTTTGCTTCTCTATCTACATCTTAACCATTTTTAATTTATCTAAAAGTCAATTTTAAAAGAAAGTATTATTTGACGCCAAGAACTGGTATTTCAAGTTTTACTACAAAAGAAACCGATACAGCAGTTTTAAAAAGTGCTGAACAGCAAAATCAAAATGGAACGACACTACTGTGATAACTGCAAAGGGGCTAGCACATGTTGCTTTAATAAAAAAGCCATATTACTATGTGCTAGAAACAAGGGGCTTATCAAATCATACATATACAAAAAAATCAAGATGTATGTTAACTGTCAAACACAAAAACAACTTTTTTCTATAACTAGATTGAGTCTGAAATTATTTCTGAAGACACCAATTCCATACTTTCAAATTACCACCTACAGAGACATTTAGAACAAAACAGTCTTTAAAAAAAATCAACATTAAGAAGATAACTTTAAAAGCAAACATAGTGCTCGCTTCAGCAGCACATATACTAAAATTGGAACGATACAGGGAAGATTAGCATGGCCCCTGCGCAAGGATGACACGCAAATTCATTAAGCATTCCATATTTTTAGAATAAAATACCTAGGAATCCAACTTACAAGGGACGTGATGGACCTCTTCAAGGAGAACTACAAACCACTGCTCAATGAAATAAAAGAGGATACAAACAAATGGAAGAATATTCCATGTTCATGGGTAGGAAGAATCAATATCATGAAAATGGCCATACTGCCCAAGGTAATTTATAGATTCAATGCCATCCCCATCAAGCTACCAATGACTTTCTTCACAGAATTGGAAAAAACTACTTCAAAGTTCATATGGAACCAAAAAAGAGCCCACATCGCCAAGTCAATCCTAAGCCAAAAGAACAAAGCTGGAGGCATCACGCTACCTGACTTCAAACTATACTACAAGGCTACAGTAACCAAAACAGCATGGTGCTGGTACCAAAACAGAGATATAGATCAATGGAACAGAACAGAGCCCTCAGAAATAAGGCCGTATATCTACAACTATCTGATCTTTGACAAACCTGACAAAAACAACAATGGGGAAAGGATTCCCTATTTAATAAATGGTGCTGGGAAAACTGGCTAGCCATATGTAGAAAGCTGAAACTGGATCCCTTCCTGACACCTCATACAAAAATTAATTCAAGATGGATTAAAGACTTAAACGTTAGACCTAAAACCATAAAAACCCTAGAAGAAAACCTAGGCATTACCATTCAGGACATAGGCATGGGCAAGGACTTCATGTCTAAAACACCAAAAGCAATGGCAACAAAAGCCAAAATTGACAAATGGGATCTAATTAAACTAAAGAGCTTCTGCACAGCAAAAGAAACTACCATCAGAGTGAACAGGCAACCTACAAAATGGGAGAAAATTTTTGCAACCTACTCATCTGACAAAGGGCTAATATCCAGAATCTACAATGAACTCAAACAAATTTACAAGAAAAAAAGAACCAACCCCATCAAAAAGTGGGAGAAGGACATGAACAGACATTTCTCAAAAGAAGACATTTATGCAGCCAAAAAACACATGAAAAAATGCTCACCATCACTGGCCATCAGAGAAATGCAAATCAAAACCACAATGAGATACCATCTCACACCAGTTAGAATGGCAATCATTAAAAAGTCAGGAAACAACAGGTGCTGGAGAGGATGTGGAGAAATAGGAACACTTTTTTACACTGTTGGTGGGACTGTAAACTAGTTCAACCATTGTGGAAGTCAGTGTGGCGATTCCTCAGGGATCTAGAACTAGAAATACCATTTGACCCAGCCATCCCATTACTGGGTATATACCCAAAGGACTATAAATCATGCTGCTATAAAGACACATGCACACGTATGTTTATTGCGGCATTATTCACAATAGCAAAGACTTGGAACCAACCCAAATGTCCAACAATGATAGACTGGATTAAGAAAATGTGGCACATATACACCGTGGAATACTATGCAGCTATAAAAATTGATGAGTTCATGTCCTCTGTAGGGACATGGATGAAATTGGAAATCATCATTCTCAGTAAACTATCGCAAGGACAAAAAACCAAACACCGCAAGTTCTCACTCATAGGTGGGAATTGAACAATGAGAACACATGGACACAGGAAGGGGTACATCACACTTCGGGGACTGTTGTGGGGTGGGGGGAGGGGGGAGGGATAGCATTAGGAGATATACCTAATGCTAAATGATGAGTTACTGGGTTCAGCACACCAGCATGGCACATGTATACATATGTAACTAACCTGTACATTGTGCACATGTACCCTAAAACTTAAAGTATAATAATAATAAAATTAAATTAAATTAAAAAAAAAAAAGCAAAAGCAATGATAACACTAAAGCCAAAATGCATTTAACACTTCATCACCATTCTAGTAACAGGTAATTCCGCTCCACACGTTCAGCCAAGGGAGAAATAAGTGAGTTAAATATTCAATGAGAATCTTTACTTCCAATGTCCCTTGCTTTTGTCATTTTAAGTCTATCAAGTATGACTTTGGTAGTTTTTAATTTTTATTTCATTATTCATCATATTGTCATAGAGTTTTCCAGTATTTATAGTCATTGATTTTTTTTTCTCTTTTCCATTTTGGCAAAAGCCAAAAGGAAAAAAGGCACTTCATAATTTAAAAGAAACTGTAATTAGCAGTTATGCTGAGCCATACCTCTACATTCACTTAATGTCCTATCAAGACAAAGTATTTCTTTGAACAAAACTCTCCAATATCAAGTTCTACAGATACTGCTGATGTAGTGCCATCGCAATGATACCACACAGGTCTCAAATTTTTGGAAAGGCTTTATGGAATCATATTACCTGAATGTTATTGATTTAAAAATAAAAGCTTTTACTTTGAAACAAATCAATAAAAAGTGGGAGGGAGGCAAGAATAAATGCCTCTTAAAGATGACTAAATCAGTATTGGAATTTCATATTTAGCCTCAAAATACGTACATAAAACTTTAATTGTGACACGTGAAACTTGCCATCAATTGAAGGCAATGTTGCTATCCCTCCCATGAAAAACATACTAAATAAGCAACTCACCAATTCTCCACAACAGCTGCTCTACATTTAATCACTAAACCGGCTGAGTTGTATTTATCTATGTGAACATTATCTTAGTGTAATCATGATCTTTACTAAATTTGCTAAGCATTTTAAGCAAACCTATAACATGGCTGGCATACGTGAATACACAGTCTACCTCCAAGAAGGTTACAATCAAACACCTCTTCACAATAAGTAAAAATAAGGAAAGAACTAAGTGCGGAGCACCAAAGAGTGCGGCGAATGCAGAGAAGAGATGGTTACTTTGATCAAGGACTGAGGGCTAAAGATGGCTGCACAGTAGAGAAGTAGGCTCTGCTGGGGAGAAAAGGGAAGCACAAGAAGGCAATACTCCAGGTAAAGAAAACAGCATGAGCAAAGTAACTGACGCATGAGTGTTCATAGTGGCTGTCAGAAACAGAGGCTAAAGAAAGGATCAATTGGAATTAGGTAAACTAGTTACATTAGATTTCCACAATCAAAGAAAATTGTATCAGCTCGCTATTGTTTTGGAGGTCTTTTGTCCCAAAGAAAAAATAAAAGAGGAAGCAGCCCTGAATCTGCACAGGTCTGTAGATTTATTGGGTTTGATTTAATTTGAATGAGAGCAAAAAGATAAAATAGCCCTGAACGCATGCAGGCAAACTTATATTCAAAAAAATAAAAGCAAGATAAAGCCCTGCTAAAAACATAAACATGCAAAAAAGGAGAAAACAATGCCTTGTGAGAGAAGGATAACCATGGGAGGTTAGGGGAAAACTCAAAGAGGCTAGCTCATTAAGTCCAAGAAGTTAAAGGAAATATTACAAATGGCATGCTAATAACAACAAAGGGATAATTTAAAAAAGAGGTGAGGTAGAAAGGTAACTGAGCGAGACAAGAAACAAATTCCAGTTAATGTACTGAAAACAAAGACAAACCAGAAAGTACCTTATCTCACTAATTCTTTGTCTAAAATTACATTTCTCCTCTGATGTTAAACATTAGAGGTCCTCCGTTGTGCATACATTTTGCTGTATCCATCTCTAATTTTTAGAGATGCTGATTTTTAGCCTGATATTTACATCTTCTCAATATCTCACTGAATTCTGTTCTTTGTCCCACTTTTTAAGTCTTAGAAGAATTTCTAATACTATGCATCAAAAGAAGCTGATTATATAATTTGAAAAAAACAGATAAAAACAATACCTATAGCATTAACACATTTAAAAAACATGCTTAAAATGTTTTTTAAATGTAAATGTATTTGGACATTAGATATGCATATTTAAAAACCTAAAAGAATGTACACAGAAAGCTTAATACTGTGTACATCTGAGTGAGGCTCATGGGTAATTTTTAATTCCTTTTACATTTTTCCATATGTATGTTCCTCACTTTTTCAAAATAAACTCATTTCACTTTTTTACTTCACAAAATAAACTGATTTCATTTCACTTTTGCCAAAAATATTCAAAACTCAAAAACACTGTAAATTACTCAAATACTAGTATTAAAATACAAAGAATAATGGAAACCTGAATAATGGCTCTGAGGTAGAAAACGAGAGGGCAGATGTTCCAAATTTATAGTCAGCAGGACTTTATCAGCAACTGAATATGGGAGGTAAGAAAAGGTACAAAAATAATCTAGTTTGCATAACTACAGATAATGCCATGGACCGGGGATCAAGATATAAATCCAGGAAGGGAAGAGAAGATGTGGGGTGAGAAATAGGGATTATGAATTCTCTTTTGGACTATCTTAATTTGGATCACCCACAGGAGATCCAGGTGTTGATCCTTGGAGACGATTATAAATATTGGTGAAAACCTTATGAAACTGGTAAGAGAACAGGAACACAAAACATTTAAAGAAGGATAAAAAAGGCTGGGCACGGTGGCTCACGGCTGTAATTCCAATGCTTTGAGAGGCCGAGGCGGGCGGATCACGAGGTCAGGAGATCGACACCATCCTGGCTAACACGGTCAAACCCCGTCTCTACTAAAAATACAAAAAATTAGCCAGGCGTGGTGGCGGGCGCCTGTAGTCTCAGCTACTGGGGAGGCTGAGGCAGGAGAATGGCATTAACCCAGGAGGCGGAGCTTGCAGTGGGCCGAGATTGTGCCACTGCACTCTAGCCTGGGCGACAGGCTGTCTCAAAAAAAAGAAGGATAAAAAAGAAAACTAAGAAGAGATAACTAAGAGTCACAAAATAAGAAATATAGTAGACTGTTTAATATCCACACCTTTCCCACCCAAGTACAGGTACCTCTTTGAAATGTGATCTTGCTGTTTCTCCTGTCCAGAGGTAGTGTCTCTTTCTCATTTTGACTCTGAGTTAGTCTTGTTACTTACTTTGACCAACAGATTGTGGCAGAAGTGACACTGTGGAAATTACAAAATTTAGACCTGAAGAGGCCTTGATGTTTCCATCTTCACTGTCTTAAAACACTACCCGTGTTTAACAGATCATGACACTGTTAAACCTGGGCTTAAAAGACTAGCCATTTCAGCTGTCTCAACTGAACCCATCCCTTAATCAACCTGTCAGCTGAATGCAAATACATGAGTAAATCCAGGCTAAGTCAGCAGAACCTCCACCCAGTCAACCCAAAGAATCATGAGAAACATAAAACATTATTTTTTAAGACACTATATTTTTGGGTGGTGGCTTATACAGGAATAAGTAACTGCAACAAGGACAAACGGAATTGTGTCTTGAAAGAAGCAAAACGCAAAGGGAGAAGGTAGATTCTATAAGAGTAGTGAGACTCTTCCAAAAATAGCAGACATTTCAAACAGGCTGAGGGCTGAGAAGAGATGATTAATGCTAGTAATGAGTTGTCTCCAACATTTGAGAGTTAAATTTAAGTAAGGTGGTCAGGGGTAGAGGCTTTTGGTGGGTTTCTAATAGGTCGCTGATGAGAAACATCAACAAAGTAAGATATATTATGCTTATAAGTTACTTCATAAGAAAGGAGTCATGACCTATTAAAAAGATGGAAGAGGGCCGGGCACGGTGGCTCACCTGTAATCCCACCACTTTGGGAGGCTGAGGTGGGCAGTTCACTTGAGGTCAGGAGTTCAAGACCAGCCTGGCCAACATGGTGAAACCCCGTCTCTACTAAAAATATAAAAATTAGCCAGGCATGGTGGTGTGCACCTACTTGGGAGACTAAGGCAGGAGAATAGCTTAAACCCGGGAGGCGGCAGTTGCAGGGAGCCGAGATCACGCCAGTGCATTCCAGCCTAGACAACAGAGTGAGACTCCGTTTCAAAAAAAAAAAAAAAAAAAAAGACTGAAGAGGAAGACTAGACTAGTGAAATGAAAGCTTTGGCTATTGTTTTGTTGTTGTTGTTGTTGTTGTTTTGAGATGGAGTTTCGCTCTTGTTGCCCAGGCTAGAGTGCAACGGCACGATCTTGGCTCACTGCAACCTCTGCCTCCCAGGTTCAAGCAATTCTCCTGCCTCACCCTCCCGAGCAGCTGGGATTACAGGCATGCGCCACCATGCCTGGTTAATTTTGTATTTTTAGTAGAGACAGGGTTTCTCCATGTTGGTCAGGCTGGTCTCAAACTCCTGATCTGCCCGCCTCGGCCTCCCAAAAGGCTGGGATTACAGGCGTGAGCCACTGTGCCCGGCCTGCTATTATTGTTTAAGATAAGGATGGAGTGGCTGAGGAAAAAGACTGTAAGGAAATACGCAAAATATTTTTTTAAAGCAGAGAAAATGATACATGAAAGGCCTAGGGAAGGTGAGAAGAGAAGGGACAAGATAGATGAGTTAACTAGAGAAAAATGAAGAATCAAAGACCTGGGTGAGGTGAGAGGAGCTGCGATAACACAGAGAAAATTAGGACAGGTGAAAATAACTGCTGGTGGAGTGTGCAAGTGTTTCTTCTTCAGGTTCTTAGTAAAAGAAGGAAGCAAGTCCCTGACTAATACTGAAGAAACTACAGACAGTTTAAGAACTTGAGAAAAAATGGTAAAGGTTGGAAATAGCTGTGGGAAATGGGGAGAGGAATCAATTAGACATGAGAACTATTAGGAACATGGTAAACATCTTTAATGATAGTTGTAGTCAGGAAGAATAATTACCATTATGTCATTTAAATAGACAATAAAATGATTTTTGTCAATTTTATGTACTAATAAACTCAATAATATAAGGTTAAAGAGAGATACACTTTATTTCCTCCGTGAGTACAAGATTATAATTTTAATCCACTAGTTTGTCTTTCTGTGGTTGTCAAAAGTGCCCACAAAGAAGACATACAGATCACAAATAACCACATGAAATGATGCTCAACATCTTTAGTCATTAGGGAAATACAAATTAAAACTACAGTGAGATACCATTATATATACCTATGAGAGTAGCTAAAAGTAATTATCTAATTTATTTATTTTAAACTGAAAAAACTAAAAGCTAGTAAAAATGTGGAGTCACTGGAATTCTCACGCAGTTGGTAGGAATGCAAAATAGCAGAGCCACTTTAGAAAATAATTTGGCAGTTTCTTATAAACTTAAAGGAACACTTACTAGACAAACCACCAATCTCATTCATAAGTATATACTCGATAAATGAAAAGTTAATGTTGACATAAAACGCTTTAAATGAATGTTTATAGTTTTATTCATAATTGTTAAAAACTCAAAAACTCTTTCAACTGAGGAATGAATAAACAAATGGTGGTACATCACAAGGAAATGTTATTCACAATAAAAGGAGGAAATTACTGATTTGTGCAACAATACAGATGAATCCCAATTGTACTTTGCCAAATAAAAGAAGTCAAATTGAAAAGAGCACATACTGTACGATTCCTTGTATATGACATTCTCACTTTCCAAAGGGTAAGTAGCTGGGTTGACTAGAAAGGGGCATAGAATAATTTTGGGAGCTGATGCAATTGTTCTATAATTTGACTGTGGTGGTAAACAACTATATGAATTTGTCTAAACTTATCAGAACTATATGCTAAAAAGAATTAATTTTCACTTCTCTATGTAAAATGTATCCCTTAATAAGTCTGACTAAAACAATGTGAAGTGCCTTTTCAAAATGAAAGGACACTGTAAAGACTGATGTCTCCTACTTTGGGTTAAAAGACAACATGATCACTATACTGATATAATGTTAATACCTCATGTATCTCAGAATATGAGCTATTACTTCGAAACTGCATTTGGCCAATATCAATAGACAATGTAATTAAAACTTTTTAAATCATAAATAATTTCTCAATTTTCTGAATAACCCATCTAAAAAATAATGCCTCAATTTTCTGAATAACCCAACTAATAAAAACCTCTGAACAACATCAGAATATAAAAAGCACAGGTCCCATAGCATGTTAATCTTATTCAATACCAAAGTTAAGTAAACTTTTGAAGCAAAGAACTGAAGACAACCTCTATCAAAGTTTTCCTCCAGAATTGTGCTCTTAGTATCAATATATTGCTTTAATAATCTTAATTAAGTGGAGGTGAGGCAGGTAAGATTTTTTTTCCCCCCACCATATGAGCATCACATTCACTTTAGGCTAATTTTAGAGGACATTTGTGGTAAAATGAAAACAGGTTTGTTCAAAAACTTAGATTACAATTTTTTACTCATCTTTAGAAATCACATGTAAATAACAATTCTCCCCCCACCCTTCCTATTTTTGTTATAGTTTTAAAAACAAAAAGCCAAAAAGCTAAGAGAGCTAATTTCATCACAGGTATATGTTAAACACAAAAAGCAAAACCTTGCTTACTGCTTGTATTACTCTATTCTCACACTGCTAATAAAGACTTACCAAAGACTGGGTAATTTATAAAGGAAAGAGGCTTAATGCACTCACAGTTCCACATAGCTGGGGAGGCCTCACAATCATGGTGGAAGGCAAAGAAGAAGCAAAGGCTTGTCTCACATGGCGGTAGGCAAGAGAACACTTGCAGAGGAACTCCCGTTTATAAAACGACCAGCTCTCGTGAGACTTACTCTCACAAGAACAGCACAGGAAAGACTCGCCCCCATGATTCATTACCTCCGCCAGATACCTCCCACAACAGGTGGGAATTATGGCAGCTACAATTCAAGTAGCTCAATATAACTGCTCAATGAAAACTCCTCACAGCTTTCTTCATTTCACTATCTCATTACAGAAGGGTAAAAGGAAAAAGGAAAATTGTTTAACCTCCCCAAGATTCAAAGTCATCATTTACAAAATAGTCTTAATGCTGCTTCTCTCTACATCATCAGGTTGTTACAAAAAGCATATAAGTAGCTTTGTGCAGTACCATAAACAAAATCATGATATGTTCCTATAGTATATCTGAGTTAATCAATACTGGTTAAAAACAATAAATATTTTAAAAATGTACAATTCCTTTTCATTCAATTAATTGTTCTAAAAGTGGTCTCCAAGCGAATACAAATTTGTCTTAAGTTATACTCTGGTTGAGTGAAAACAATATTTAAATGGAATGATTAATTCATTCATTCTTACAACAGTGAGACACTTCCTGGGTGTGAAGCACTGTACAAGAGTTTACAAAGCACAGGAAGGCAGAACACATGGTCCTTGCTGCTAAGGAACTTCAACTGAAGGGAAATTTAAACTCTTGTGTGTTCAGTATGCTTTCATTGGTGTGCAAGAGCATGTGTATCTAAAACAAGTGTTACCTAAAGGTTCCCTAGCTATTTTTTGGAACTCCTCTGTCTAAACCAGAATTCTTTTCCAACTAGTTCCATTGTTTTCTATATTTACTAGAATTTAAATATCTTGTATATGTGCATATGTTTGTATGTGTCTGGGAGTATGCACAAACGTTGGAATCTTCCACAAATAGATGACACATGCTTATACATATATACATCACAACTCATGTAAATATAATACCAACCATTAACCGCATATGTATGTGTTACATAAGTATGTTTGAATAAACACATACAGAGAAATACACACACACACACACACACGGGATAGTTTTTTTCCATTTGCCAACCTGCCTCACCCTCTAACACCTTCTATCCTCTCTCCTGCTTGGATCTATTACATGCCCCAGGAGGCTGACTCCTCAGACTTCACTTGAGGACTGTCTTGTTGATGGACCTCCAGTTAGATTCCAGCATGAGATCCAAAGGTGGAAGAAAAGAGGTCTGATTTCTTTCCCACTCCTTTCCTCTTGCTGTGTTTAGGGCAGCTGCATCATCTCGTCATGGGCAGCCCCATTTGCAAAGTTCTGGCACACACTGGATTCTGGTAACTATTTCTGCCTCTTGTCCCTTTATCCCTAGGGATGGATAGTAATAAGTTCCTACTGTGGCTAGTTTCCGAGAAATCAGCCATCCCTAGTCAGTTTGTTCCTTAATCCTGGAGTGCTTTTATCAGTAGTTCTTTTTATTAAAAAACAAAACAAAACAAACATAAAAAAAACAACTCTTCATTTGAACCATTTGGTAATATGATACTTATTAATAAATATATAAATTTGTCAACCACCACAAAATTTCAAATGAAACAAACAACCTAAAATGAACACAATCACTAATGTTTCATAAGGTGCAAAACCAGGTTCCAAACCAACATACTTTTGACTTTTTTGTTACTATAACAGTAGTACATTATAATAGAAAACACTATAAAAAACCACCAACACTATAATGCTCTGTAATGTAAATTTTAAAATATTTTAAAATAAATTTGTAATCATATGGTAAATTTGTGGTCATGCTGTTTTGTGGCCTGTCTGTTCAATTAGAAGGATATTTTGTAAGCATATTACCATGACATTAATCCAAACACTTATTTTTAATAGGCTGCATAATATCCTTTCATATAAATTTATAGTCATTTACAGCTCCTTGTTGTGGACATTTGGATTTTTTCCCATTTTTGCTGTTGTTTTCAATGTTTTGGTTAGGATCCTTAAATGGCTAATATTTATTTATAATACATTCCTAGAAATAGCAGTATTTGAAAAAGGATATGAATATTTTGAAACTACTGAGTGATAGCCAATAAACTATTCTGTGATTAGGGAAATGTTATCTCTGATGTATGCAATATGTAGCCACAGGCCACGTGGAGGCTGATGAGGGCTTAAAATGTGGTTACTGAAACTGAGGACATAAATGTTTAAGTAGCCAATGTATCTAGTGGTCATTTAGAGCATAGGATAGCTCTAGATTCTTACTGCCCAACTGTCATTCAGAAAAGTTGTAGGGATTTACATTTGCATCAGCAGAGTATGAGAGTGCTCACTTCCTCATACCATTATTAGCAATGACATTTATTGTTTTCTAATATTTGTCAATTTGACAAAAAAAAAGATTGTACAATTGGTTTGTTGTTTGGTTTTGTTTCTTGAGACCCGGTCTTACACCGTCGCCCAGGCTGAAGTGCAGTGGCATGATCACAGCTCACTACAGCCTCAACCCCCTGGGCTTAAGTGATCCTCCCACCTTGGCATCCCAAGTAGCTTGGACTACAGGTGTGCGCCACCATGCCCAGCAAATTTTAATTTTTTTTGTAGAGATGGGGTCTCTCTATGATGCCTAGGCTGATCTTGAAATTCTAGGTCCAAGCAATTCTCCCACCTCTAGCTCCCAAAGTGCTGGGATTACATGTAAGAGAAACCATGCCTGGCTATAATTTTTTAATTTTTTAAATTTAAATTTTTGAATGCTTGGGATAAATATTTTTATTTTTATTTTTTTAATTTTATTATTATTATACTTTAAGTTTTAGGATACATGTGCACTACGTGCAGGTTTGTTACATATGTATACATGTGCCATGCTGGTGTGCTGCACTCATAAACTCGTCATTTAGCATTAGGTATATCTCCAATTGCTATCCCTCCCCGCTCCTCCCAACCCACAACAGGCCCCAGAGTGTGATGTTCCCCTTCCTGTGTCCATGTGTTCTCATTGTTCAATTCCCACCTATGAGTGAGAACATGCGGTGTTTGGTTTTTTGTCCTTGTGATAGTCTGCTGAGAATGATGGTTTCCATCTTCATCCATGTCCCTCAAAGGACATGAACTCATCATTTTTTATAGCTGCATAGTATTACATGGTGTATATGTGCCACATTTTCTTAATCCAGTCTATCATTGTTGGACATTTGGGTTGGTTCCAAGTCTTTGCTATTGTGAATAGTGCTTCAATAAACATACGTGTGCATGTGTCTTTATAGCAGCATGATTTATAGTCCTTTGGGTATATACCCAGTAATGGGATGGCTGGGTCAAATGGTATTTCTAGTTCTAGATCCCTGAGGAATCGCCACACTGACTTCCACAATGGTTGAACTAGTTTACAGTCCCACCAACAGTGTAAAAAAGTGTTCCTATTTCTCCACATCCTCTCCAGCACCTGTTGTTTCCTGACTTTTTAATGATCGCCATTCTAACTGGTATGAGATGGTATCTCATTGTGGTTTTGATTTGCATTTCTCTGATGGCCAGTGATGATGAGCATTTTTTCATGTATTTTTTGGATACAAAAATGTCTTCTTTTGAGAAGTGTCTGTTCATATCCTTCGCCCCCTTTTTGATGCGGTTGTTTTTTTCTTGTAAATTTGAGTTCATTGTAGATTCTGGATATTAGCCCTTTGTCAGATGAGTAGGTTGTGAAAATTTTCTCCCATTTTGTAGGTTGCCTGTTCACTCTGATAGTAGTTTCTTTTGCTGTGCAGAAGTTTTTAGTTTCATTAGATCCCATTTGTCAATTTTGGCTTTTGTTGCCATTGCTTTTGCTGTTCTAGACATGAAGTCCTTGCCCATGCCTATGTCCTGAATGGTAATGCCTAGGTTTTCTTCTAGGGTTTTTATGGTTTTAGGTCTAACGTTTAAGTCTTTAATCCATCTTGAATTAATTTTTGTATAAGGTATAAGGAAGGGATCCAGTTTCAGCTTTCTACATATGGCTAGCCAGTTTTCCCAGCACCATTTATTAAATAGGGAATCCTTTCCCCATTGCTTGTTTTTCTCAGGTTTGTCAAAGATCAGATAGTTGTAGATATGCGGCGTTATTTCTGAGGGCTCTGTTCTGTTCCATTGGTCTATATCTCCGCTTTGGTACCAGTCCCATGCTGTTTTGGTTACTGTAGCCTTGTAGTATAGTTTGAAGTCAGGTAGCGTGATGCCTCCAGCTTTGTTCTTTTGGCTTAGGAGTGACTTGGCAATGCGGGCTCTTTTTTGGTTCCATATGAACTTTAAAGTAGTTTTTTCCAATTCTGTGAAGAAAGTCATTGGTAGCTTGATGGGGATGGCATTGAATCTATAAATTACCTTGGGCAGTATGGCCATTTTCACGATATTGATTCTTCCTACCCATGAGCATGGAATGTTCTTCCATTTGTTTGTATCCTCTTTTATTTCATTGAGCAGTGGTTTGTAGTTCTCCTTCACATCCCTTGTAAGTTGGATTCCTAGGTATTTTGTTCTCTTTGAAGCAATTGTGAATGGGAGTTCACTCATGATTTGGCTCTCTGTTTGTCTGTTATTGGTGTATAAGAATGCTTGTGATTTTTGCACATTGATATTCTATCCTGAGACTTTGCTGAAGTTGCCTATTAGCTTAAGGAGATTTTGGGCTAAGACGATGGGGTTTTCTAGATATACAATCATGTCATCTGCAAACAGGGACAATTTGACTTCCTCTTTTCCTAATTGAATGCCCTTTATTTCCTTCTCCTGCATAATTGCCCTGGCCAAAACTTCCAACACTATGTTGAATAGGAGTGGTGAGAGAGGGCATCCCTGTCTTGTGCCAGTTTTCAAAGGGAATGCTTCCAGTTTTTGTACATTCAGTATGATATTGGCAGTGGGTTTGTCATAGATAGCTCTTATTACTTTGAGATATGTCCCATCAATACCTAATTGATTGAGAGTTTTTAGCATGAATGGTTGTTGAATTTTGTCAAAGGCCTTTTCTGCATCTATTGAGATAATCATGTGGTTTTTGTCTTTGGTTCTGTTTATACGCTGGATTACGTTTATTGATTTTCGTATGTTGAACCAGCCTTGCATCCCAGGGAAGAAGCCCACTTGATCATGGTGGATAAGCTTTTTGATGTGCTGCTGGATTCAGTTTGCCAGTATTGTATTGAGAATTTTCCCATCAAATGTTCATCAAGGGTATTGGTCTAAAATTCTCTTTTTTTGTTGTGTCTCTGCCAGGCTTTGGTATCAGGATGATGCTGGCCTTATAAAATGAGTTAGGGAGGATTCTAGTTTCAGAAGGAATGGTACCAGCTCCTCCTTGTACCTCTGGTAGAATTCAGCTGTGAATCCATCTGGTCCTGGACTCTTTTTGGTTGGTAAGCTATTGATTATTGCCACAATTTCAGCTCCTGTTATTGGTCTATTCAGAGATTCAACTTCTTCCTGGTTTAGTCTTGGGAGAGTGTATGTGTCCAGGAATTTATCCATTTCTTCTAGATTTTCTAGTTTATTTGCGTAGAGGTGTTTATAGTATTCTATGATGGTAGTTTGTATTTCTGTGGGACAGGTGGTGATATCCCTTTTGTCATTTTTTATTGTGTCTATTTGATTCCTCTCTCTTTTCTTCTTTATTAGTCTTGCTAGCGGTCTATCAATTTTGTTGATCTTTTAAAAAAACCGGCTCCTGGATTCACTGAGTTTTTGAAGGGTTTTTTGTGTCTCTATTTCCTTCAGTTCTGCTCTGATCTTAGTTATTTCTTGCCTTCTGCTAGCTTTTGAATGTGTTTGCTCTTGCTTCTCTAGTTCTTTTAATTGTGATGTTAGGGTGTCAATTTTAGATCTTTCCTGCTTTCTCTTGTGGGCATTTCATGCTATAAATTTCCCTCTACACCCTGCTTTGAATGTGTCCGAGAGATTCTGGAATGTTGTGTCTTTTTTCTCGTTGGTTTCAAAGAACATCTTTAGCGATAAATATTTTTAAAATATGTTTTCTATCCATTTGTTTTGCTTCATGAATTGTTCTCTTTCTTTACTCATTTTTTTTTACTAGAGAGTTTGTTTTTCTTAGAACAAATGTACTCTATATATTAAATAAATTAATGTCTGCTTAAATATGTGGCAAATAATTTTAAAATTCTGTTTATGATGCTTTTTGATAAACACGTTTTACATTTTAATATAAACTATGGTTCTTCCATTTGTGTCTTTTTCCTAAGTCAATTTAGTCTCAAATAAACTTATATATATATTATATATCATCTTTATGAAAAAAAGGTCAACATTAACCAGTAAATATATACATTAAAAGACTATGCCAGCGTCCAACACATAGCAATGCAGAAAAATATAAAGAGAAAGAATCAAAAAAACTGCTGGACTCAGAAACAAAATAAATACTTTCAGAGAAGAGAGATGCAGAGTTAATGCCCCAAATCAGCTGTACTACTGTGTGCTATGTAGTGAAATTAGACAGTTATAGTAAAGGGCTTTCCTCCTACTTATTAAAAGAGACTAAAAATCAATCCATAATCCCACATTGAAGCAAATTTAAACAGTAATACATAGAAGTGGAAAACAGAAGAGCTAATACACACAGGAAAAGATGTTAAATCATCTAGTAATCAAAAAATATAATCTAATCTAGTAACATAATTGAAACCATACCTACCAGGATGGCAAAAAAAAAAAATAGTAAGAATGGTAAAGGTGTACATAAATGAAAACTCTTTTGCCATACTGATAGGAGTATAAATTGGTACAAACATATTGGGAAGCACCTTAGCAACATCTAATAAAATTAACGACATGCAGACCCTTTCTTCTTGGTACTCTACTTCTAGGTATACAAAATAAAAGAAACTCTCACACATACGTCACATCTCTAGAAGAATCTTCTGTATGTTCTGTTTGTGTCAGTGAAAATTAAAAGCAAAACAAATAAAAATATCCATTTAAAGAAAAATGTATGAATTGTGTTACATCCATAAATTTTAAAAATCTATTTAAAAATTAAAAACAGTTGAAACAAATGAACCAGAGCCACACTATCCATACAGGTGAATATAATTTTTTAAATGTTCAGTACTAAGAACTGGGTTACAGAATAGTAAAATTGTATAAAAAATTTAAAACGTAACAAATGATAAACATGCAAAGACATATTGTGTATGGCTAGTACAAATAGCACAGTGAAGTAACAGTATAAAATTCAAGGAAGGAGAAATCAGAGAAGTATTATAGATAACACTAACTGGAAAAAACATAGAATCAAGGAAGGCTACAAGTTTATGCATAATGTTTCAATTCTTACTTTTAAAAAAACTAAAGCAAGAACAGTCAAATGTTAGAAAAAAATTAAAAGTTAGTTCATATATGGGTATTTACTAGTTTAGTCTCTGTATTTTTTCATGTTTGAAACAATTCATATTATGTATCAAAGTAATAAAAACAACCTACAAAGAGTTCTCTAGAACCTTTTCTAAAATACAACATATATAAATCACTTTAACATCGAGGCAAAAATCCTCAGTAAAATATTGGCAAACGGAATCCAGCAGCACACCAGAAAGCTTATCCACCACAATCAAGTCAGGTTCACCCTGTGATGCAAGGCTGGTTCAACATACACAAATCAATAAATGTAATTCATCACATAAACAGAACTAAAGACAAAAACCACATGTTTATCTCAACAGACCCAGAAAAGGCCTTCGATAAAATGCAACATCCCTTCATGTTAAAAACTCTCAATAAACTAGGTATTGATGGAACATACCTCAAATTAATAAGAGCCATTAATGCGCCAAGATGGCCAAATAGGAACAGCTCCAGTCTGCAGCTCCCAGGGAGAAGGCAGGGGATTTCTGCATTTGTAACTGAGGTATCCGGTTCATCTCACTGGGACTGGTTGGACAGTGGGTGCGGCCAATGGAGGGCGAGCCGAAGAAGGATGGGATGTCGCCTCACCCAGGAAGCACAAGGGGTGTTAGCGAATTTCCCTCCCCTGGCCAAGGGAAGTCATGAGGGACTGTGCTGTGAGGAACACTGCACTCTGGCCCAGATACTGTGCTTTTCCCAGTCTTCACAATCCGCAGACCAGGAGATTCCCTCAGGTGGCTAGGCAACGAGGGCCCTGAGTTTCAACCACAAGACTGGGCGGCCGTTTGGGCAGTACCTAGCTAGCTGCAAGAGTTTTTTTTTTTTTTTTTTTTTTCATACCCCGGTGGTGCCTGGAACGCCAGCAAGACAGAACCGTTCATCCCCCGGGGAAAGGGAGATGAAGCCAGGGAGCCAAGTGGTCTGGTACGGCAGGTCCCACACCCACGGAGCCTGGCAAGCTAAGATCCACTGGCATAAAATTCTCACTGCCAGCACAGCAGTTGAGGTCGACCTGGGATGCTGGAGCTTGGTATGGGGTAAGGTGTCCACCATTGCTGAAGCTTGAGTAGGTGGTTTTACCCTCACAGTGTAAACAAAGCCACAGGGAATTTCGAACTGGGAGGAGCCTACCACACACAGCTCAGCAAGGCCACTGTGGCCAGACTGCCCCTCTAGATTCCTCCTCTCTGGGCAGGGCATCTCTGAAAAAAAGGCAGCAGCCACAGTCAGGAACTTATAGATAAAACCCCCATCTTCATGAAACAGAGCACCTGGGGAAAGAGGCAGCTGTGGGAGCAGCTTCAGCAGACATAACCGTCCCTGCCTGATGGCTCTGAAGAGAGCAGCGGATCTCCCAGCACAGCACCGGAGCTCTGCTAAGGGTAAGACTGCCTCCTCAAGTGGGTCCCTGACCCCGTCTCTCATCACTCCTATTGAACATAGTATTAGAAGTCTGGCCAGGGCAATCAGGCAAGAGACAGAAATAAAGGGTATTCAATTAGGAAAAGAGAAAGTCAAATTTTCTCTACTTGCAGATGACATGAGTGTATATTTGGAAAACCCCATCGTCTCAGCCCAAAATCTCTTTTTTTTTTTTTTTTTGAGACAGGGTCTCGCTCCACCACCCAGGCTGGAGTGCAGTGGCATGCTCTCGCTCACTGCAAGCTCTGCCTCCTGGGTTCACGCCATTCTCCTGCCTCAGCCTCCCGAGTAGCTGGGACTACAGGCGCCCACCACCAAGCCCGGCTAATTTTTTTTGTATTTTTTTTTTTTTTTTAGTAGAGACGGGGTTTCACCGTGTTAGCCAGGATGGTCTCGATCTCCTGACCTTGTGATCTGCCTGCCTCGGCCTCCCCTCAGCCCAAAATCTCCTTAAGCTGATAAGCAACTTTAGCAAAGTCTCAGGATACAAAATCAATGTGCAAATTTCACAAGCATTCCTAAACACCAATAACAGACAGAGAGCCAAATCATGAGTGAACTCCCATTCACAATTGCTACAAAGGGAATAAAATACCTAGGAATCCAACTTACAAGGAATGTGAAGGACGTCTTTAAGGAGAACTACAAACCACTGTACAAGGAAGTAAAAGAGGACACAAATAAATGAAAAAACATTCCATGCTCATGGATAAGAAGAATCAATATCGTGAAAAGGGCCATATTGCCCAAAGTAATGTATAGATTAAATGCTATCCCCATCAAGTGACCACTGACTTTCTTCACAAAGTTGGAAAAAACTACTTTAAATTGCATATGGAAACAAAAAAAGAGCCCACACAGCCAAGACAATCCTAGCAAAAAAGAACAATGCTGGAGGCATCATGCTACCTGACTTCAAACTATACCACAAGGCTACAGTAACCAAAACAGCATGGTACTGGTATTAAAACAGATATACAGACCAACGGAACAGAATAGAGGCCTCAGAAATAACACCACACACCTACAACCATCTTATCTTTGACAAACCTGACAAAAACAAGAAATGAGGAAAGGATTCCCTATTTAATAATTGTGTTGGGAAAACTGGCTAGCCTTATGCAGAAAACTGAAACTGGACCCCTTCCTTACACCTTATACAAAAATAAACTCAAGATGGATTAAATACTTAAATGTAAGACCTAAAACAATAAAAACCCTAGAAGAAAACCTAGGCATTACCATTCAGGACATGGGCATGGGCAAAGACTTCAGGACTAAAACACCAAAAGCAATGGCAACAAAATCCAAAGTTGACAAATGGGATCAA
Organism: Homo sapiens; assembly: GCF_000001405.40. Taxonomy (NCBI): domain Eukaryota; kingdom Metazoa; phylum Chordata; class Mammalia; order Primates; family Hominidae; genus Homo; species Homo sapiens. Next base: position 108,996,266 of record NC_000005.10, on the reverse strand, counting down.
ATTAAACTAGAGAGCTTCCACACAGCAAAAGAAACTATCATCAGAGTGAACACGCAACCTACAGAATGGGAGAAAATTTTTGCAATCTCTCCATCTGACAAAGGGCTAATATCCAGAATCTACAATGAATTAAACAAATTTACAAGAAAAAAACAACTCCTTCAAAAAGTGGGCAAGGGATATGAACAGACATTTCTCAAAAAAAGACATTTATGCGGCCAACAAACATACGAAGAAAAGCTCATTATCACTGGTCATTAGAGAAATGCAAATCAAAACCACAAAGAGATACCATCTCACACCAGTTAGAATGGTGATCATTAAGAAGTCAGGAAACAACAGATGCTGGAGAGGATGTGGAAAAATAGGAACATTTTACACTGTTGGTGGGAGTGTAAATTAGTTCAGCCATTGTGGAAGACAGTGTGGTGATTCCTCAAGGATCTAGAATCAGAAATACCATTTGACCCAGCAATCCCATTACTGGCTATCTACCCAAAGGATTATAAATCATTCTACTATAAAGACACATGCACACGTATGTTTTATTGCAGCACTGTTCACAATAGCAAAGACTTGGAACCAACCCAAATGCCCATCAATGATAGACTGGATAAAGAAAACATGGCACATATACACCATGGAATACTAAGTAGCCATAAAAAAGGATGAGTTCATGTTTTTGCAGGGACATGGATGAAGCTGAAAACTATAATTCTCAGCAAACTAACACAAGAACAGAAAACCAAACACCACATGTTCTCATTCATAAGTGGGAGCTGAACAATGAGAACACATGTACATAGGAAGGGGAACATCACACACTGGGGCCTGTTGGGGGGTGGGGGGCTAGTAGAGGGATAGCATTAGGAGAAATACCTAATGTAGATGACAGGTTGATGGGTGCAGTAAACCACCATGACACGTGTATACCTATGTAACAAACCTGCATGTTCTGCACATGTACCCCAGAACTTAAAGTATAATAATTAAAAAAAGAAAAGAAAAGCCATTTATGACAAAACAACAGTCAATACCATACTGAATGGGCAAAAGCTAGAAGCATTCCCCTTAAAACTGTACAAGACAAGGATGCCCTCTCTCACCACTCCTTTTCAACACAGTATTAGAAGTTCTGGCCAGGGCAATCAGGTAAGAGAAAGAAATAGAGGGTATACAAATAGGAAGAGAGGAAGTCAAACTACCTCTGTTTGCAGATGACGAGATCCTACATCTAGAAAACCCAATAGTCTCAGCCCCAAATCTCCTTAAGCTGGTAAGTAACCTCAGCAAAGTCTCAGGATACAAAATCAATGTGCAAAAATCACAAGCATTCCTATATACCAACAATAGACAAGCAAAGCACCAAATTATGAATGAAGTCCCATTCACAATTGCTACAAAGAGAATAAAATACCTAGGCATACAGCTAACAAGGGAAGTGAAGGACCTCTTCAAGGAGAACTACAAACCACTGCTCAAGGAAATAAGAGAGGAAACAAACAAATGGAAAAACATTCCATGCTCGTGGATAGGAATAATCAGTATCATAAAAAAGGCCATACTGCCCAAAGCAATTTATAAATTCAATGCTATTCACATGAAACTACCACTGATATTCTTCACAGAATTAGAAAAAACTACTTTAAAATTCATATAGAACCAAAAAAGACCCCAAATAGCCAAGATAATCATAAGCAAAAAGAACAAAGCTGGAGGAATCATACTACCCAACTTCAAACTATACTACAAGACTACACTAACCAAAACAGCATGGTACTGGTACAGAAACAGACACAAAGACCAATGGAACAGAATTGAGATCTCAGAACTATGACTGCACATCTACAACCATCTGATCTTCGACAAACCTGGCAAAAACAAGCAATGGGGAAAAGATTCCCTATTTAATAAATGGTGCTGGGAGAACTGGCTAGCCATATGGAGAAAATTGGAACTGGACCCCTTCCTTATACCTTATACAAAAATTAACTCAAGATGGATTAAAGACTGAAATACAAAACCCAAAACTATAAAAACTCTAGCAGAAAATGTGGGGCATAGGCATGGGCAAAGATTTCATGATTAATATATCAAAAGCAATTGCAACAAGAGCAAAAACTGACATATGGGATCTAATTAAACTAAAGAGCTTCTGAACAGCAAAAGGAACTATCATCAGAGTGAACAGACGACCTACAGAATGGGAGAAAAATTTTGCAATCTATCCATCTGACAAAGTATTAATATCTAGAACCTACAAGGAACTTAAATAAATTTACAAGAAGAAAACAACACCATTAAAAAGTGGGCAAAGGGCATGAACAGACACTTCTGAAAAGAAGACATTTAAGGGGCTAATAAACATGAAAAAAAAGCTCAACATCACTGATCATTAGAGAAATGCAAATCAAAACCACAAAGATACCATCTCACACCAGTCAGAAGGGCAACTATCAAAAGTTAAGACACAACAGATGCTGGCAAGGCTATGGAGAAACAGGGATGCTTTTACACTGTTGGTGGGAATCACCCAAGTGATTAACATCAGAAGAACCATCCTCAACTTGTATTTGAAAATACAGCCCTCTCCCTCTCCCTCACCCTCGCCCTCGCCCTCGCCCTCGCCCTCACCCTCGCCCTCGCCCTTGCCCTCTCCCTCGCCCTCGCCCTCTCCCTCTCCCTCTCCCTCTCCCCACGGTCTCCCTCTCCCCACAGTCTCCCTCTCCCTCTCTTTCCACAGTCTCCCTCTGATGCCGAGCCGAAGCTGGACTGTACTGCTGCCATCTCGGCTCACTGCATCCTCCCTGCCTGATTCTCCTGCCTCAGCCTGGCGAGTGCCTGCGATTGCAGGCGCGCGCGGCCACGCCTGACTGGTTTTCGTATTTTTTTGGTGGAGACGGGGTTTCGCTGTGTTGGCCGGGCTGGTCTCTAGCTCCTAACCGCGAGTGATCCGCCAGCCTCGGCCTCCCGAGGTGCCGGGATTGCAGACAGAGTCTCGTTCACTCAGTGCTCAATGGTGCCCAGGCTAGAGTGCAGTGGCGTGATCTCAGCTCGCCACAACCTCCACCTCCCAGCCGCCTGCCTTGGCCTCCCAAAGTGCTGAGATTGCAGCCTCTGCCCGGCCGCCACCCCGTCTGGGAAGTGAGGAGCCTCTCTGCTTGGCCGCCCATCGTCTGGGAGGTGAGGAGCCCCTCTGCCTGGCTGCCCAGTCTGGAAAGTGAGGAGCGTCTCTGCCCGGCCGCCATCCCATCTAGGAAGTGAGGAGCGCCTCTTCCCGGCCGCCATCCCATCTAGGAAGTGAGGAGCGTCTCTGCCCGGCCGCCCATCGTCGGAGATGTGGGAAGCGTCTCTGCCCCGCCGCCCCGTCTGGGATGTGAGGAGCGCCTCTGCCTGGCCGCGACCCCGTCTGGGAGGTGAGGAGTGTCTCTGCCCGGCCGCCCTGTCTGAGAAGTGAGGAGACCCTCTGCCTGGCAACCGCCCCGTCTGAGAAGTGAGGAGCCCCTCCGCCCGGCAGCCACCCCGTCTGGGAAGTGAGGAGCGTCTCCGCCCAGCAGCCACCCCATCCGGGAGGGAGGTGGGGGTCAGCCCCCGCCAGGCCAGCCGCCCCGTCCGGGAGGGAGGTGGGGTGGTCAGCCCCCCGCCCGGCCAGCCGCCCCATCTGGGAGGTAAGGGGCGCCTCTGCCCAGCCACCCCTACTGGGAAGTGAGGAGCCCCTCTGCCCGGCCAGCTGCCCCGTCCGGGAGGGAGGTGGGGGGTCAGCCCCCCGCCCGGCCAGCCACCCCGTCCGGGAGGTGAGGGGCGCCTCTGCCCTGCCGCCCCTACTGGGAAGTGAGGAGCCCCTCTGCCTGGCCACCACCCCGTCTGGGAGGTGTACCCAACAGCTCATTGAGAACGGGCCATGATGACAATGGCGGTTTTGTAGAATAGAAAGGGGGTAAAGGTGGGGAAAAGATTGAGAAATCGGATGATTGCCGTGTCTGTGTAGGAAGAAGTAGACATGGGAGACTTTTCATTTTGTTCTGTACTAGAAAAATTCTTCTGCCTTGGGATCCTGTAGATCTGTGACCTTACCCCCAACCCTGTGCTCTCTGAAACATGTGCTGTGTCCACTCAGGGTTAAATGGATTAAGGGCGGTGCAAGATGTGCTTTGTTAAACAGATGCTTGAAGGCAGCATGCTCGTTAAGAGTCATCACCACTCCCTAACCTCAAGTACCCAGGGACACAAACACTGCGGAAGGCCGCAGGGTCCTCTGCCTAGGAAAACCAGAGACCTTTGTTCACTTGTTTATCTGTTGACCTTCCCTCCACTATTGTCCTATGACCCTGCCAAATCCCCCTCTGCGAGAAACACCCAAGAATGATCAATAAAAATAAATTAATTAATTTAAAAAAAAAAAAGAAAATACAAAGAAAAGGAAATAGAATTACTCAGCCAAAGGAAGAGAAAGCTTTGAAATAATTTAATATATTTCTGTGGCTAAGTTATATCTTGAGAGCTTTAAAGTGGTTATAACAGAAAATTTTTCCTGAGTAAAATAGCAAGTGCTAAAAAAAACCTTACTGAATAAACTTAAAACCTTACTGAATAAACAAATGAATGAATAACAAATGAATAAGGAAGGAGATATTGAAATACAGAAAAAAAAGTTTATCTGCTTGTGATTATAAATTCTGCACAAATGTGATATAAATGACAATCCTGGAATAAATGTTGAACTCTTAAAAAAATAAAATATCAAAGTATACGATCTGAAAAGCTGCTAATTTCTTTTAATGATACATCTTTTCATTAAATTATAAAACCTTACATATGGATAAACAAATTAATAATTTTCAGTAATTTGAGTGTTAAAAATTTGTCTGTTTTTGGGGGGGCCGTGACACTTCATTGTCTATAATCACTTAAGATTATAAAATATGCCTATACTTTTTTCCTTTGCCTTAACAATAATTAGAGTAATTAAACTATGTTATAATTCAATTAATTGCATTATCCAGAATCCAGAAGCCAGCTGAAATACACACACACCCATATATACATGTGCGTATATACACATATACAAAATGAGACAGACATGCTATGCTAATATTGGTATTTAATTTCAATATTGAAACTTTCTCCTTTATACTTAATAATTTTCTTATTTTCTGTCTTATTACAAATAAAAGTACCCCTGTTTAAGATATATATTTGTATATATGTGTGTATATATACATATACTATATATCTAAATATTAAATATTTATGTCAAACTCAGAAGCACAATATGCAAATACATATTCATTCTAATTCTCAACAAAGCCTTATTTCTTGCTTCATAAGTTATGTACATATTTTAATATTAAAAGTAGAGTACTAGGTATTTTAGCAGTATCAGTGTGAAAAATCATGGATGTAAATCTAGAAACATATTTCATTTCTGTACTATATTTGGGTAGAGAATCTCTGTATTGCTTGATTTTATTTAAGCTTCCTTCATTTTAAAGATGTTAATAAAGATGACTCATCTATTTCACTGAATAATTACTCTTCATTTTCTCACTCATTTCTGGCTTTATAAAGATGTATTTTCTGTGTCTCTCTCTCTTAAGACCATTTAATCTCTTTCAACTCCCAAATATAGCATTCCTATTAATACTTCCCAAATATTTATACATTATTATAATACTTTCTGTTATCCTCTCATCAATTTCCTTCATTTTCTCTTCACCTGTAATTTTTTTGCAAGTATACTTACCTTTACATTTATATTTCTTTGAAATGTATTAAGTGGGCAGTTAGGATGAAATGTATCTACATACATACACATGCATACACCAATAGAGATACAAGTTGTATCTAATTTTCTAAGCTGAAATATTGATATACATAAATCAATATGTAATATACAATATTTTTAGAAAACTCTAAGTCTAGTATATTGAAACTTATTATCAACCATATTTTTTAAAGTTTGATTAAATATCTATCTACAGGAGAATTCAAATGAAAACCACCAAGTTAAAACAAGCTAGCAAAATCATGTTTCCTTCTAATACTATGTAAATACTAGCTTCCTTTCAGTTTCATCAGCATTTTAATTCAATGACTAAGCTAATTTAAAATTTGTTTTTGCTTGTATTAATATACACTAATGTTAAGAAGCTGCTTACTTTTATATGACTGTGACAGAAAAAATTAAATAGATTGTATGTGTCACATGTCCCAAATCACCTAATCAATTCTTTAGAAATTTACTGAGTATCTAGTAAGTACAAGGCACTAGGGGGACACAAAAAGTATTATGACATACTCCTTGACCTGAGACTGACTAGAGGGAAAAATGTGACTGCTTACAATAACTAAAACAAACATTGGTGAATATAGTACAAACTATCTTCTTCAAATTAAAATAAATGCATTAAATGTCTAGCTATATCATATTATACTATTTTGTATTAATGTATTCTCATGCTTACACCACATACGATTTTTATAAAGGAAATACTACTAAAATAATGACTATTTTAATTGCTTTCTTGGGCATTTTTCAAAGCTAATACTAATCATCAAGATGCAATGGGAGAGAAATAGTTATAAATAAGAGATACAAAAATGTTTAGAAAATCCTAATGTAATCAAATAAAGAAAAAATACACATATGTAATATTAGTTAAGTTCATCTGTTAAAACAAAAATGGAAAGATGGATAATATTTCACACTCAGAAAGAAAGGAATATGCTAAATGACCTAGGATTTTTTAAAGTATCCAGGAAGCTCATAAACAGGCCAATATTTCATTGGATTCATAATAAAATATTTTTTGGAACTTAGTATTTCTTAATGATTCTTAATATTTCTTAATATTTATTTCTTAATTATTTTCATTTGATTATTTGTAATGTAAAGCAACTGAAGAATATTGCAGAATGCAGTTTGGCAAAGGTTGTTGGTCTTTTTAAGAAATCCTGAAAGACCAACAGATCAGCATTATCCATCTTCATGCACTCCCATAATCGTTTTCTCATAATGACTAGTTCTGATTTTTTTCTATTATAATAAAAACAAGACGAGTAACACTCAGCATCCAGATTTTACACATTTGAAGATTATTTCAGTAGGACTGACTCCTGGTAATAAGATTAAAAGGTCAACAGTAAAATAAAATTGGAAATCAACTCCAAAAGGAACCTCAAAACCATGCAAATAAGTAGAAATTAAATAACCTGCTCGTGAATGACCGTTGCAAATGAAATCAAGATGGAAATTAAAAAATTCTTTGAACGAACAATAACAATGACACAATGTATCAAAACCTTTGGGATACAGCAAAGGTAGTGCTAAGAGGAAAGTTCCTTAAATGTCTACATCAAAAAGTCTGAAAGAGTACAAATAGACAATCTAAGGTCACACCTAAAGAAACAAGAAGAAACCAAACCCAAACCTATCACAAGAAAAGAAACAACAAAGATCAGAGCCAAACTAAATGAAACTGAAACAAATAACACCAAAACCAACAACAACAAAGATAAATGAAGCAAAAAGCTGGTTCTTTGAAAAGATAGATAAAATTGATAGATCATTAGCAGCATTAACCCAGAAAATAAGAAAGAAGATCCAAATAAGCTCAATTATAATTGAAATGGGAGATATTACAACTGATACCACGGAAATACAAAAGATCATTGAAGGCTACTATGAACACCTTTACGTACCTAAATTAGAAAACCTAGAGAAAACGGACAAATTCCTGGAAATAAAGGACCCTCCTAGATTAAACCAAGAAGAAACAGAAACTCTGAGCAGATCAGTAATAAGCAGTGAGATTGAAATGGTAATAAAAACTTGCCAACAAAAAAGTCCAGGACCAGATGGATTCACAGCTGAATTCTATCAGACATTCAAAGAAGAATTGGTACCAATCCTAGTGACACTATTCTCCAAGATAAAGAGAAAATACTCCCTAAATCATTCTATGAAGCCAATATCATCCTAATATCAAAATCAGAAAAGGACAGAGCAAAAAAAGAAAAACTACAGACCAACATTCCTGATGAATATAGATGCAAAAATCCTTAAGAAATACAAGCTAACCGAATCCAACAGAATATCAAAAGGACAATCCACCATGACCAAGTGGGTTTCATACCAGGGATGCAGGGATGGTTCAACATACACAAGTCAATAAACGTAATACACCACATAAACAGAATCAAAAACAGAAATCACATCATCTCAAGAAACGCAGAAAAAGCATTTGACAAAATTCAGCATCCGTTTGTGATTAACACCCTCAGCAATACTGGCAGAGAAGGGATATACCTTAACGTAATAAAAGCCATCTATGACAAACCCACAGCCAACATAATATTGAATGGGAAAAAGTTGAAAGCATTCCCTCTGAGAAGTGGAATGAGACAAGGACGCCCATTCTCACCACTTCCATTCAACATAGTACTGGAAGTCCTAGCCAGAGCAATCAGACAAGAGAAAAAAAATAAAGGGCATCCAAATTGGTAAAGAGGATATTAAACTGTTGCTGTTTGCTAATGATATGATTGTATACCTAGAAAACCCTAAAGACTCCTCCAAAAAGCTTGTAGAACTGGTAAATGAATTTGGCAAAGTTTCAGGATACAAAATTAATGTACACAAATCAGTAGCTCTTCCACACACCAACAGCAACCAAGCTGAGAATCAAATTAAGAACTCAAATTCCTTTACAATAGCTGCAAATAAAATAAAATAAAATAAAATTTAGGAATATACCTAACCACTGAGGTGAAAGACCTCTACAAGATTTTGGTTTTCGATTTTTTTGTTTTCTTTTTTTTGAGATGGAGTTTTGCTCTTGTTGCCCAGGCTGGAGTACAAGGGCGTGATCTCATCTCACTGCAACCTCCACCTCCCAGGTTCAAGCGATTCTCCTGCCTTAGCCTCCCAAGTAGCTGGGATTACAGGTGCCCACCACCATGCCCGGCTAATTTTTGTATTTTTAGTAGAGATGGGGTTTCGCCATGTTGGCCAGGCTGGTCTCGAAATCCTGACCTCATGTGATCTGCCTACCTTGGCTTCCCAAAGTGCTGGGATTACAGGTGTGAGCCATTGCACCCAGCCTCTACAAGGTTTTAAAACTACAAAACACTAAAACACTGCTGAAAGAAATCACAGAAAAAACAAACAAATGGAAACACATCTCAAGCTTATGGATGGGGTAGAATCAATATTATGAGAATGACCATATTACCAAGAGCAATCTACAAATTCAATGCAATTCCCATCAAAATACCACCATCATTCTTGACAGAACTAGAAAAAAAAAATCCTAAAACTCACATGGAAGCAAAAAAGAACCGTCATTGACAAAACAAGAGTAAACAAAAAGAACAAATCTGGAGGCATCACATTACCTGACTCCAAATTATGCTATAAAGCCACAGTCACCAAAACAGCACGGTACCGATATAAAAGTAGGCATAGACCAATGGAACAGAATAGAGAACCCAGAAATAAACCCAAATACTTACAGTCAACTGATCTTCAACAAAGCAAACAAAAACATAAAGTGGGTAAAGTACACCCTATTCAACAAATGTTGCTGGAATAATTGGAAAGTCACATGTAGAAGAATGAAATTGGATCCTCATTTCTCACCTTATACCAAAATCAACTCAAGATGGATCAAGGACTTAAATTTAAGATCTGAAACTATAAAAATACTAAAAGATAACATCAGAAAAACACTTCTAGACACTGGATTAGGCAAAGACTTCATAACCAAGAACCCAAAAGCAAATGCAACAAAAACAAAGATAAATATATGAGACTTAATTAAATGAAAAAGCTTCTGCACAGAAAAAGAAACAATCAGCAGAGCAAACAGACAACACATAGAGTGGAAGAAAATCTTCACAATCTATACATCTGAAAAAGGACTAATATCCAGAATCTACAATGAAGTCAAACAAATCAGGAAAAAAAAAAAAGAGAAGAAAAAAACCCAGCAAAAAGTGGGCTAACGACATGAATAGACAATTCTCAACAGAAGATATACAATTAGCCAACAAATATTTGATGAAATGCTCAACATCATTAATGATTAGGGAAATGCAAATCAAAACCACAATGTGATACCACCTTACTCCTACAAGAGTGGCCATAATAAAAAAAACAAAAAATAATACATGTTGGCATAGATGTGGTGAAAAGGGAACACTTCTACACTGCTGGTGGGAATATAAACAAGTATAACCACTATGGAAAACAATGTGGAGATTCCTTAAAGAAGTAAAAGTAGAACTACCATTTGATCCAGCAATCCCACCATTGGGTATCTATCCAGAGGAAAAGAAGTCATTGTACGAAAAAGGTATTTGCATACACATGTCTACAGGAGCACAATTTGCAATTGCAAAAATATGAAACCAACCCAAATGCCCATCAATCAATGAGTGGATAAAGAAATTGTGGTGTATATATACCATATAACACTATTCAGCCATAAAACAGAATAAAATAATGGCATTTGCAGCCACCTGGATGCAACTGGGGACCATTATTCTAAGTGAAGTAACAGAGGAATGAAAAACCAAACATCGTATGTTCTCACTCATGAGTGGGAGCTAAGCTATGAGGATGCAAAGGCATAAGAATGATACAATGGACTTTGGGGACTCGTGGGAAATGGTGGGAGGGAATCAGGGATATAAGACTACACACTGGGTACAGCGTATACTGCTCGGGTAATGGGTGCACCATAATCTCAGAAATCACAACCTCCATAAAGAACTTACTCATGTAAGCAAACACCACCTGCTCCCCAGAAACCTATTTAAAAAGAAAGAGAGAAAAAAAAACTTTTAAAAAGTGGAAAGAAACAAATAGTGACTATCAGGTTAAATGCACGAAAAAACAAAAATATTAAAAGGTCAAAGAGTAGAACAATTTATATTACTATTTACTGTAAAGATATCATCCCGTTATGGTCCAGCTTTTTAAATTTTGCTAAAAATGTTTCAAAAAATAAAATCTATTCAGAGCTATATTTGTACATATGGTTACATTGAATTGTCATACTTTACATTTATTTTTAAAAACAATTTTAGTCACTCTCATGTGACCTGTCAGCCCATGTCCACTCTCCATTTAAACCCTGAATTTGTAGTATGTTTCTCCCTATTTTTATGAGTTATTTGTATGATAAGCACTAGTTTTAATTCGTAATTTGTCTTATTATCTTGGAATTATTCTTTTAATATTTTAGATTAGAATATTATTAGATACTCAAAATTGCTAACATTAACCTTTTTTATTTTCTGTGGGTTTTCTAACCTCTAAATGTCTTATCTCCATGTCCAAAAGTTTATAAATATTAAGTTATATTTTATTCTTTCTTACAACTTGATTTTATATGTAATTCTAATTCATTTTAAAAGTATAATACTGTGAAAAGCAATGTCTAAACTGTTGCCTTACCAAATTGCTACCAGTTTATCTCACCACCACGGATTGAGAGAAAATTCCCTTTCCAATTGATTTTTGATATAGCCTTTGTTACAGTTTCCCCACGTACTTTTAGATAAATGACAATTTGTCATATTTGTGTGTTTTTCAGTGTAATAAAAAGACATGAGCATAATACTCAATAAATATTAAGTACTGTATTATATTCAATGAAATATAACTCAATGAATAATACAGAATGTAAAAAAAAAAAACTATCGTGGCATTTACTTATTCTCCAACATCATGTTTGGGATAAGAATAATTTCAGTTCCCAGTTAGTTTTCTTCTATAGTATTTTCAAATATGCTTTGATGATCCTTCAAACAAATCTTATACTCTTCAGCTTTATTCCCTAAGGATATTTAAACTTGTATATATAATAACTGGGATTTCGTAGGACATTTTATACAATTTTTATATTTATATCTTCTGAGCTATTATTAACTTGACTAATAGAATTGTTTCTGTACATCTGGTGAACACATTCTCAATTCCTTTTTCTATATTCCTCTAGATCTTTGCCTACAGTAACTTTAACTCCCCATAAAGAGAATTTTAAGAAATAAGAATGGTAAGACAGGATTCTGGGAAAACTTTTAGGGATCTTTTACTTTTGGAAGAATAAAAGGTAAGACAAGCAAAGGAAAGGACAGAAAACTGCTAGTAGAACTTGACCTAAAATAATATTTTTGAAAAATTAAATGAGTCCCCAGAGTATACATTTCAAGAAGAGTAGGCACCGTGTCTGTTTTGTTTTTTTACTGTATTGCCAGCACCAGAGGCAAAGCAGGTGCTCAATAAATATTTGCTGACTGCATGAAAGAAACCAAGAAAGCAGAGAGAAAGAGAGAGAGGATGATAGAGCAAAGGGAGAATGAAAGCGTGAGCACAAGTATACCGGTGTGTTAGCTTGCTTTCAGTAGCTATTTGAGATGTCTCATAATTCTATGCATTTTTGGAAGAAGAATCTGGGTAGTGCATTTTAGCTGACCTAGAAGGACTTGAAATCAGGAGCTGTTTAAATCACCATATGTCTCTTGCTCCTCTATGACCTTGATTCTGCCATTAAAATTGTAAACCGCTTAAAGTCAAATTTCACCCACAGACTTCAGATGAGTAACTCCAGTGTTCCCTCTGCTCTCAACTTAGGAATTCCATATGGCTTAGAAATACTACTCATCTGCTTAATGTGTTGATGAAACTACTAAGGATGACTGTAATGTCAAAAACTTCACTGTCATCAGAGGACAAAAATTAATTTACTACTTTACATATATTTCATACCTAGAAGAATACTATGAATCAGCTGTCCATATTTCTGCCCAAAATCTACTCAATTTTAAAATATAATTAGATTTCAACTTGGTTTAAACCAAAAGCACAAAGGCATTTTAAGGAAGCATACAGTAAAGTAAAAGAATAGGGGTTTTGAGGAAGCAGTAAAGAGCTCAGACTGGGAAAAAGTGTTAAATTATGGTCTAAGTATAAATCTTAGTCAGAGATGCTATTGGTTTTGTAATTTTGTGCTAGTAATTCCTTTTTCAGAAGTCACATTGAACAGAAATGTTCAATATGATGCTCAATTATGTCCAAAATTGTTCCTGACCCCGTACATATTTCCATATTGTCATAGCATCTCATCAAGATTAGAATTATTCAATTTATCAATTCACTCATTCAACAAATATTTACTGAATACATACTAGGTGCTAGGGAACACAATGGCACAAAATATATACCATCTTTGCCATCATGGGGTTTACTGTGTAGTGGTATTAGTATATTAGTAGTAGTAATAAATAACAGAAACGGTTAACATATTTAGTATGCATGCCATTTAAGACAACAGAACCAATGAGGTAAAATTATCACCATTTTATGGATGAGAAAATGAGGCTTAAGTAGGTAAATGCTAATAAATGCATAATTACAAAAAAAAGAGAAAAATGTTGAGAAGGAAAACTAAAGTGTGTAGGGAATATCTGATAATTGCCTAGGAGTTGGGGACATATTTCTGAAGAAATAATCTTCATAGTAGCTTTCTTGACTCAACCTAAAATATGACAGACCAAACATAGGTTTAAGAATTATAATTCTTACAAAGATGAACTTTACTATTTACTGTTTCAAATCACTTCAGAATGATTGCAGTGAATAGTTCATAAGAGGAATACCGAAAAAATAGTGTTAATGCAGAATATTATTTCGGATACCTTTCTTTTGAGTTCTATAAGACTGCAAAAATCAATTTTGGAACATCAACTTCTCCAAAAAGCCATAAAATAGGTATTTCTGCACCACTGATTCTTGATCATTAGGATGCTTGGAGATGATTAAAGTTTAAAGAGGTCATTGCTTATACCTCAAATAATTACCAGCCTAGTCCCTGATAAATGCAATTTTTTCTCTTATTACCAAAGGTAGAATGCACGTGCTTTTACTACAAACTCCTACTATATTCTCCATCTAAATTACAAAGATAAGGTCATAACAATAACTTACAGGCTCCAGATACCCTTTTTTTCTTTCCATCTAGATTACTTTATGTTACAGGTTCTCAAACTTTAGGGAACATCCAAATCACCTAGAAGTGTCATTAAAACGCAGAAAGCTGGGCCCTACTTTCAGAGTTTCTGATTCTGTAGGTGTGGGGTGGAGTCAGAAAATTTGCATTTCTAACAAGTTCCCAGGTGATGTTGACTTTACTGGTCCAGAGCCTGCGCTTTCAAAACCTCTGGTCTAAGAAGTGAGCCACAGGGAGGTCTATAAGTAAAAGTGGGAAAGTACTCATGTTTCCCAGTGTCAGTGGTCCTTAATTAGCATCATTGATGGTTATAAGAAACAGGCACAAAAATTCAATAAACTCTTACTATGAACATGAAATTACAGGCACTCTCCTCTTAGATGCCACTTGGAGAGGCAGCATGGCATAATGTTGAAGACAAAATACCCTCAAGTCAAAATGTCTGGGTTGGAATCCAAGCTCTGCCACTTAATAGTTATGCAGTCTTGAACAAATTATGTAACTTCTCTGTGCCTCAATTTCCTCATCCATAAAACTAGGAAAATAATATCCACCTCGTAAGATTTTTACAAAAATTTAATGAGTAAAGCACTTAGAACAATGTCTGATTTATATTACATATAAATGTTTATTAAATAAATGCTAGTCTTCTGATTAAAGCCTTACAAAAGCTATCTCTAAGGTCTCAGGACTATGCACAGCTGTTCTCTTCAGCACCTTCCTTTATTTTACACTTTTATTGTTTACCCACTCAGAACTGAATGTGTAGCCTATATCGACTTTAGAGGAACCTTGATAAACATTTCTGTATAATATTTACCTTATATAAGGAGGGAATATGTATTTATACCCTCCTTAAATATGTATATATGCTTTTTTTCTCTTCTCTCCAGTTTCAACATCCCCTCACTTTTAGCCTGTTTGATTTAACATAGCTTTGCAAATGTCTCCTAATCCTTTAGGGGAATTAAGCAAGATATATAAATCAATGACCCCCATAAATATGCTCTGACTTTTTCCTATGTTTAAATACTACAGTCATTAAACAATGGAAGTAAACTAAAACACATTATTAAGCTTCAATTATGAACTAAAAAAAAAACTTCAGCGATTGTGTATTACCTTTTACACAATAATGAGCTATAATACAAGCATACCTTATTTTATTGTGCTTCACTTTACTGTGATTTGTAGATATTTCTTACAAATTGAAGGTTTGGCAACCGTGGGTCAATCAAGTCTATTGATGTCATTTTCCAACAGCGTGTGCTCACTTCTTCTCTAAAAAACCCTACCAAAAGTTATTCTTTTCCCCTTTAACAAAAACATGTTTTTCAGTTTTTACTAAAATTTTATCAAATGACAAGAAATCTGAATTATAAGTTGAATGTTATATCTGTCCAACAAAACACTTGTTTCTTTTGCTTCTTCAAATAATTCAGTAATAGGGTCAGACCCACAGAGGATATTCAACAATCACTCATGGACTATGACAATCAGGTGACAATAATGAAAATGCTCAGTCTTCTGAAGGGTGTTTGGAAATTCACTCTGTTATCGGTCTAAACCTATAAACACTGTTTCTTCATTATGACTTCTAAATGCTTCCTTTGATCTTGCAAAGGGCCTGAAAAACCAACCAATTTCAAACAGATTAGTCTGTGACATGGGAATTGAGGATGAAATTTCACATTTCTATATACATCAGGTGAAATGGCATTGAAGAAATAGTAAGTGCTATTTTGGCTTGGAATATTTCTGTTAGAAAGAAGAATCAAAACAATTACAGGAGTTTATCAAAACAAGAGACGCTCTCCTGTATAGATGAATACTGAATATTCAATTTATGCAAAAATTTTAGACCTTTGTAAATTTTCTTGGTCTTTACTCTTCTCTATGGCCTTCCTCTTTTTCTAAGATTTTAGACCTCAAGGATCCCAATGCTTCTTGCTTTTTTACTCTCTCCTGGCCTACCAGTATAAATTTATACATAGAGGCATGGTACATGGCTGAAATGAATGTCATTCACAGTAAGATTTTCCCTGAATCAGTCATTTGTAACTTCATCCTTTTGATCTCACTCACAGAAAGAAAAAAATTTGATTTTGTTTTTTATGTTGTTTGTTTTGTTTCAAGGATTTGTTTCTGTTCCTCATCCTCATTGAAACAATTGATTACTCAGTATGGGCTGAACAGAAAAAAAACAAAAGTTTTGTAATTTAGAACAGTGCTTCTCAAACCACAGATCACTTTAATGATAATTACCTGGTATCTTTTTGAAAATGCAGATCTTGGTGCCCCATCCCATATTCACTGGATCCTAATCCCATTGTAATGGTCCTAGAACCTCCACAACTCACAAACAGTGCAGATGACCCGCACATATCTAAACACTGAACACTACTATCTGAGGGTAATTATTCAACTTGTATTCATATAAAAAGGCAATGTCACACTAAAAGTATTTCTTCTAAAATAAATTTTTATAAGAAAAAAAGGACACAACAGGAGACAATGCCTCATGGCCCTTAGTCAACATAGAAAAATTGGCTCACAAGATGAATTATTTTTCACTAGTAACAGAGAGAAACTTCTATTGTATTATATCAAGTATGAACAAGATTAGAATGATCTTATGCCACATTTAATGATATACTTAGCAAATGGATATTTTAATAAGAATTACTTTTTAATTTTTTAATTAAGCCTTTCTCTATACTTAAAGTAATGCCGTGTAATATTTTTTGAACTCTTGACTCTGACTTAATATTTAAATGCTTAATACATCTACTGTTCAAACTGTAACTTATAAATACTGACTTCTTAATTTCTTTATTTTGGAGTTAATGCTTTCACCACTTTGCCCTTCCAACAACACTGTGAAGTAGGTACAGAAAATGAAATTCAGGGAAAGAGATTAAGCATATTGTCCAATGTCTCACAGGAAAAACAAATAATCTAGCAAAGATACAGCTGGTAGAGAAGGTGTCAAGCTGAATCGACTTCTGAACAGGCTTTCCTGCCAGATTTCTTCCAGGAAATAATCAGGAAGAACTTTACAGGAAAGAATATTGCTTTAATTGTCTATAACCACAAGCTAGGATTTCTAAGGGTAAATAATGGAAATGCAATTTGCCAACAATCAAAGTGGTAACTCAGGCCTCTCCAAATATCTAAAAAAATAGTTTGATTCACAATATCTATGATATTGAGAATAATACAAATAAGCTCTACAGGAATGACACACACAAGAAATCACTGAATCATTAAACAATAATTATTTCCTTACCTACAGGTAGTTGCATAACACTTCCAAGTTTGTAATCCCAATAATTTCTCCAATCTGAATATTTTTTAGTTTCATTGGCTCTTTCTTGAAGGTGACTACTAGAATTATAATCTAAGGGATGTAAGTGCCACTCACGTCCTTGAGTAAGAACCAGACTATTGTCTCTGACTTATTAATTATAATATTCCTATTAATGCCTAGATCGTTTTGGGCTTCATGTACACAGTTTGCATCTATGAGTATATATAGTGTTCTGTTCTTTAAAACATTCTCTCAACGCATATTTATTGAGTACCTTTTATGTGCCACAATGGATCAAGGAAGACAAAGATGAATTAATATACTCCCGGACTTCACAAATCCACAACAGAAGTATTTTTAAAAAATAATTTCAATACTACACAATAAATAATGTAATCATGCTTGTGAATTGTATGCAAGCACAGGGAAAGGAGGACTTAATATGAACTGGTAGAGTTAAGAAAGACTTTAAACAGAATTGATGCCCAAAATATATTTCCAAGAAAGAGCGCAGCGTTACAAAGATAGAAAGGTATGAAATAACAGACCACATTCTGGGAGTGAAAGGGATTTTGGTAAATTGCAGCTTCAGACATGCAAAGGATTGTCAGGAGAAACAACTGGAAAAACTGAAAAAATCTATAAAGGATTTTTGTATGTTAGAATGTATCAACCTGATCAATGAGTAATGTAGATTCATTAGGGTATTTTAAGCATTTAAAGAACATAATCGGTCATTATTTTAGATATTCCAAACATCTAAACATGACAAAGGCAAACAAGAGAAACAGGAGTTAGCTAGGCACGATGGCTCATGCCTGTAATACCAGCACTTTAGGAGACCAAGGCGGGCAGACGCTTGAGCTCAGGAGTTCAAGACCAGCCTGGGCAATGCGGTGAAACCCCATCTCTACTAAAAATACAAATATTAGCCAATCGTGGTGGCATGCATCAGTGGTCCCAGCTACCTCGGGAGGCTGAGGCAGGAGGATCGCTTGGGCCCAGGAGGCAGGGGCTGCAGTGAGCCAAGATCGTACCACTGCACTCCAGCTGGGTGACATAGTGAGACTCCATCTAAACAAAAGAGAGAGAAGAGAGAAACAGGAGTCGCTTCACAAGTGTCTGACCCACATTGCTGAAGGCCTCAGCTGAGATAGCCGCAGCAAGGAAATAGAGCAGGTAACAAATCTGAAAGCCATTATGAGGTTTAAGTTACAGGAATTCATGACTTATTAAATGTGAAGGATGAGGAAAAGGGAGTATATAAACATTCCAAATATGTTTTTATAATAGAATGGATAGTGTTAACAAAGACCAAAACTGAAAAGTAGGGGCAGTGGGGAACATAGAAGTAAATCAACATAATGAGTTCATGCTTATAAATGCTGAGTTTGAGGTTCTATATTATTATACAGTTGACCCTTGAACTACATAGGTTTGAACTGTGTGGATTCACTTATACATGGACTTTTTAAATTAAATACATTGGAAAATATTTTTGGAAATTTGAGACAACTTGGAAAAGCAGATGAATTGCCTAGCCTAGAAATATTGAGAAAAAATAAGAAAAAGGTATGTCATGAATCCATAAAATACATCTAACTATTAGTCTATCTTATTTACTACCATAAAATATACATAAACCTATTATAAAAAGTTAAAATTTATCAGAATTTATACACAAACAGACCATACATGGTGCCATTTATAGCTCAGAAAAATATGAACATAAAAATGCAGTATTAAATCACAACTGCATAAAATTAACTGTAGTACATACATTACTACTGTAATAATTTTGTAGCTACCTCTCACTGCTATTGTGGTGAGCTCAAGTGTTGCAAATATCTGCTTAAAATGCTGTGTGATGCTAATCATCTCTGTGTGAGCAGTTTGTCTCTGTACTAAACTCTATCACAGTAAAAAGTGATCTCTTGTGGTTCTTGTGAATTTTTCATCATGTTTTATGCAATACCATAAACCTTGAATAACACCATGGGACCCACATAAAGTGCCACTAGTGATGCTGGAAATGTTCCCAGCAGAGAAAAGTCATAATATTACAAGATAAAGTTGAATTGCTTGATATGCACCATAGATTGAGGTCTGAAGCTATAGATGCCCACCATGTCAGAGAGATCATTCATCTTGTAAACAGATGATACAAACTTACGGTATCAATAAATACAGTACAATACTATAAATGTAGTATCTCTTCCTTATAATTTTTAAAGTAATATTTTCTTTTCTCTGCCTTATTGTAAGAATACAGTATAGACATATAGCATACAAAATATGTGTTAAATATGTTATCAGTAAGGCTTCTGGTCAACAGTAGGCTATTAGTAGTTGTTTCTGGGAAGTCAAAAGTCATATGCAGATTTTTGACTATGCAGGGGGTCAGCACCCGTCACCCCCAGATTGTTCAGGGGGTCAACTGTATATGCATTCTAACAGGGTGGCTAAAGGAAAGGGAACAAAGGAAGAAGGGGCTAAATTGGGCAGGTGAACTAGGATCCCACCTTAGAAAACCTTGATGAGACAAAGAGGCCTGCATTGCTTCACAAAAGCAAAAGAAGTATCATAAGTTTTAAAAGTAGCAATCTGATAGGATAAAATGTTATTTTAGAAGGATAATTCTAGTGAGAAGAGGGAGGAAAAGATCCTAAAGGAAAGAGAAGTAGATGAGTTATCAGCAATCTAGGTTTAAAGTGATGAAAGCCTGTATAAATAAGGCAGCAACATGAGTGAAAGGAAGAAATAAGTGAGAGAGACCAATGGAGCCTCCTCTTCTGCCATCCCTGAATTATCTGTCATAGGCCCTTGTCGCATGCTAAATATTTTCTCATTTACTCCAAACCTTCAGGTATTTTCTCTACATATTGGTGACTCCCATATCTATATCTGTGGCCCTGAGGTTGCTTCTAAATTCCAGATATACATATCCATCGGCCTACAGGTCACATCTATTTGGAAATGTCACATATATGTAAAACTTAGCATGCCCCCAATTTTCTCCTTAACCTGGCTTCCTATAGCATCTCAGTCCATGACATCATCACCTAGCTGCTGAATTATAAACCTGAAGGTAATCCTTAAAACCTCTCTTTCACCCATCAACTTCTTTGCCAAGTCTTAGTGATTCTGACAGATAACTAAGCTAATGATTCGTAATTTTATCCAGCAATCAACACCCCCACAAATACCTAATCATTCTCTAAAACCCAAATTTACATTTTTACATCTCATTGTCACTTCTATTTCTTACCTGTCAACAACTCACTAAGTGATTTCCAAGATGAAGCCATAATTATCCGTAGAAAATACAAATCTGATCATGACTTTTCCTAGTATAAGACCATTCAAAATTTCCTGTTGCCCCCAAAGATCAAACCCTTTAGGATGAAATGTTATTATTTGGCACCTTTTCCCTTCTCCAACCTCACCTCCTGTATTAGTTTTCTACTGCTACTGTAACTAATTGTCATATATTTAGTAGCTTAATGCAAGACAAATTTATTTTTATTTTATTTTAAGTTCTGGGATACATGTACAGAACATGCATGTTTGTTACATAGGTATACATGTGTCATGGTGGTTCGCTGCACCTATTGACCCATCATCTACGTTTTAAGCCCCGCGTGCATTAGCTATTTATCCTAATGCTCTCCTCTCCCTTGCCCCTCAACCCGACAGACCCCGGTGTGTGATGTTCCCCTCCCGGTGTCCATGTGTTCTCACTGTTCAACTCCCACTTATGAGTGAGAACATGCAGTGTTTGGTTTTCTGTTCCTGTGTTAGTTTGCTGAGAATGATGGTTTCCAGCTTCATCCATGTCCCTGCAAATGACATGAACTTATTCTTTTTTATGGCTCCATAGTATTCCATGGTATATATGTGCCACATTTTCTTTATCCAGTCTATCATTGATGAGCATTTGGGTTGGTTCCAAGTCTTTGCTATTGCAATAAACACACATATGCATGTGTCTTTATAGTAAACACAAATTTATTATTTTACAGTTCTGGAGGTCAAAAGTCCAGAATGAGTCTCTTGGGGCTAAAATCATAATGTCTGCAGAGCTATGTTCTTTTTGCAGGTTATAAGGAAATAATCTATTTCTTGCCTTTTCCAGTTTCTAGAGGCTGTCATCATTCCTTGGACCTTGGCCATGTAACTAGTTTTGTAGTCATACTGTAGGCATATCTTCTTGTCTGACTACGACTTCTACCTTCCTCTTCCAGGTAAGAATACTTGTGAGTACAAGAGGTCCATGTGGATAATCCAGAACTATCTCCCCATCACAAAATCCTTAACATAGTCACATCTGCAAAATTCCTTTTGCTTTGTAATGGAACCTATTCACAGATGCCAGCAATTAGGGTGTAGACATATTTGGGGAGCCATTATTCTATCTACCATGCCTCTTTTCCTCTCTTTCCCTGATGACTAATGTAGTCTCCACTCCAGGTGTATAAGATAGAATCCTTCAAATAGTTCTTCAAATGTGCCACAGAATTTTTCACCCCAAGATCAGATGCACCTCCTCTGAAAAACTATGCTGTCTCAGGCCCTTCACCAGTGCAGTTGTAGTCATTCTTCACAACTCAGCCCACCTTTTGTCCTTTCCTCAACTGTCTAACATACTATGTCCCCTAAAATACCATAAAATTCCTCTGGAATGGGGTTCATCACCTCAATCATGAATGAATTCTCACTAATCTATCTTGCCAACCAGACTCTTAATTTCTTTTGAGGCAAATATTGTCATAGTCATCACTGTATCCTCAGTACCTAATATAATTTCTATGATATACTAAGCAACTAAATACGTATTTATTGAATGTTAACTCAAGAGATAATCAGAAAAATGCTTAAGAGCTGTGGGATTCCTCGAAAATTTCTACTATTTATTTCAGATGAACATTGATGATCTTCCTGAAAACCCACATTCAAGACTGCAATAGAAGTGAAGAAGTCTTTTCAAACTTATTTCTAGAGAAGACTCAGAAAACTTTATTGACTATCTCATGATCCAGTATTATGAACATTAAGAAATGATTCCTAAGGTCTCCAACTGAAGTGATTCTAGAGTCAAAAAAGGATATAGATTTATTATTTAAAAGAGAATACAGCATTACTAGAAAGTAGTGAGAAAATCATACCTCTTATAGGCCACCATTAGGAAGTATCCCTCATGGTAAGACCATGAAACAATGAGAGCTATGGTGTGAAGATGAGGATCCTTGATTACTAAGAGACACATAAGAAATTGTAACTGATTTTTGCTGAGGTTGATTCTATTTCTCATTAATTTAAATAACTATCAATCAACGTTCAAGGATGTCCACAAGATTGTAATTTCTCTCTATGGGTATTCCTGCTACAAAATCCATTTTTGGTGTAGTTTTAATATATACAAATTGTTACATAAATAACAAAAAAAAACAAAAAGAAGTTTCATTTTTCTGTAAGGCTTATAAATACATACAATGAGGTTTCTCGTTTTTTAAAAATCACTTGCAGATATCTTTTTAATGTCTTTGGTTTTTCTAACTTAAATCCTAGTATTTTGATGTCATTAAAATTCTTAGCATGCAAACTTAGTCTACATAAAATAGAATGTGGGACAAGCCTTTTGTGGCACAATTAAATCGTTCCCTTGAAGGACAAGGTAGCAGAAGGTGAACACTAATTTAATTAATATGATAAAGATAAATGGTGTTTTTTAAAGTGAAAACAAGTATGTCTGTTCTTGTATATCATTCTCACTTTTCAAATGGGTTAATACAGGGCTTTAATTTTCAAATAAGGAATATTAAATATTACACAAGATTGTGTCACCACTTTAATATCAGAGAGAAATCTCATCAAGGTGTCAAATAAATTTAATGGAAACAATTAGATATAGTTTGCCGTAGTATAAAATACAGATAAGCTGAATAAGAGTGCAACCAGAAATGTTTTCTATCTGTACTCAAAAACATTTATGAAGTTTCCGAAGAGCACTGTAACTACATGGAAAACTCACTTCAAATATAATTTAAAAATAGAAAGTAAATTACTGTACAAATAGAATTGAAACTGGATATATCTTATTTCCAAAGAGATGCCACACATAAATGTAAACAAAGCCCAACTCTGGAATCGTTAAAAGCCAAAATTTCTACATTATTCTGAAAATAGAATATGAGTCTTGTTTATATTTTTCAAATGTTATATTGGGCACTTCTTAGATGTCTAGATTTTTTCAAAAATAATATCAAGTATTTACTGAATGTATATTACACGTAAGACTCTGAGAGATACAAAAAAGTGAGTAAAAATATCCTTATTGCTCTCAAACACCTTTAATGGGCACGTCAGATATACAAAACTAACATAGTACAAGACTGAATAAATTAAATGCCATAACTACTTCAAAGATCAATGTAAGCTGAGGAAGAAGACTTTTTATGAGATGCTTTATGAGTATGTATGTCAACTAAAGGAGACTAATAATGAAGATGGAATAATGAAAATATCATCATGCGAGATGTTCTGCCTCAGAAGTGTATGTGAGCTGCAGGTAGGGACAGAGGGAGGAGACTACTAAGAATAAGGGGTTATGTGGGTTGAAGAGACCAGTCCAAGACAGAGGCCGAGAAGGTACCCTCTTCTCTCTGTCACACTCCTACTGCTCACAGACTCACCACACTCACTCCTTACCACCTCTCATCTGTCCCTCCATTCTGATAACCACTTTTCTTCTGCTTGAACTATAGAAGTACAAACACTAATAATCCTTGTATCAGAGTTCCTCTGTTCTTTTGGGGTTTATAGAATATCAAATGTGTCCTCAATGTCTAAGTTCAAAATCTAAAAAGCAAAACATTAAAGAAGATGGTGAACCTCCATTAAATTAAGTAATTTTGAACTGATAATTTATAAAATAAAATAAAATATTGGAAACATATTTTCAAAAGTGCAAAGCCTAAAGGGAAAAAAAACTTCAACAATTCATTACATCTTAATGTTTGTTTTCACTCAGCATGTGCATTCTCTACGAACCTGACTAAATATTAAACTGTTCAGGTATATAAATATCATGAGATATTTGTAAATGTCATATGTATAACCCTTGATATTCTGAGTTGTTTAAACTTTTTAATGTATTTAATGCTAATTTTTATTAATATTTTGATAAGTCTGGAGTCCTAGAATTTTACTATTCTATTCAGGAAAAATTGAAAATAGGGGGAAAATGCTGATGTAGAATGTTCTTTATTAAGCTGTGTTTTAATATTATAACCTTGGCTACATTTAAAGGATGCTAAAATCAACAACCTATGAGATCTGTTTCTAAACTTGTACAAAAATATTGTTGAGGACACTGTTATCTAAAATCCCAAGAGAGAAATTTCCCTTAGAACTTACTGGCAGTAAAATTTTGCTTTAAACAAATTAAAATCCTTCTTCCTTTCTAATCATGAAATTAGCTAACTCCTTTTCTGTAACAGCTTCCAGGAAGCTTACAGCTAAATTTTAAGCTCAACAAGGAAATTATACATAGGCCATTAGAAGCCTGTATTTTATTTACTATTTCTGAATTCCTACCATTACTTATTTTTCTCCAGTACTGAGAATTTCTTTCTTTCTTTCTGGGTTTTTTTTTTTTTTTTTTTTTTTTGAGACAGGTTCAAGTGATCCTCCATCTCAGCCTCCCAAAGTGCTGGGATTACAAGTGTGAGCCACTGAGCCTGGCCATTGTGTTTCTACTCCTATTTTAACATTATTATACTAGGAATTGGTTTTAGCTACACAAGTACTATTTGAAACATGGTAAAATGAACATTGATTTTTTTCTGTTAAGTGTGCCAATGAATTCCTTAACTTCTTCCCACAATTAAAAATCGGAATAGTTTCAATATTTTAGTGAGTTATGTATATATCTCACATATGAGGTATGAAGTATGTGGTATCACCATCATATTTAAGATGTGCTTATATCACATCCATCCTTTGCTTATAAACCTTTACCAGAATGGCATTTTCCATCACAATTCTGGTATTCAGGGCCTTCAAAAATCTGATTTTAACCTAAACTTTTCAGATTATTCACCTTTCCAAATCACCTGCTTCTGTCAAACTGATCTTGCCTGACTTAAAACAGGCCTAGAAATTTCCCATGTTTAGCTTCTCCTCTTATCAAATAATTTCCCTCCTCCTCCTTCTGCCTATTCTCAAGACCTACTTCAAGTTCATTTTCCTTTTTAAACCATTCCCAGCCAATTTTTTCCTCTCTTCTGAATTCCCGTAACACATACTGCGACTTTAGAAATAGCTTTTGTTGATTTTTAAAAATCCTTCATATAAATACTTTTCAAATTGAGGTTCAAGAAACCAACTTATTGGCTGTAAACACTTCTAAAAATAAAGTATAGGCTGGGCGCAGTGGCTCACGCCTGTAATCCCAGCACTTTGGGAGGCCGAGGCTGATGGATCATGAGGTCAGGAGATCAAGACCATGCTGGCTAACACGGCAAAACCCCGTCTCTACTAAAAAATACAAAAAAAAAATTAGCCAGGCATGGTGGCAGACGCCTGTAGTCCCAGCCACTTGGGAGGCTGAGGCAGGAGAATGGCGTGAACCTGAGAGGCAGAGCTTGCAGTGAGCCAAGATTGCGCCACTGCACTCCAGCCTGGGCAACAGAGTGAGACTCCGTCTCAAAAATAAATAAATAAAAATAAATAAATAAATCAAATAAATTAAATATAATGCAGCTCATTTAGGAAGCATAAAACAGTGTTTGGAAAACTTGTTTTAGTTACGCACACACATAAATATCAATACTCTCAAGTTTGTGTGTCCTGAGTCTTAAACTACAATGCGATTTCTTCATATAAATTATGGGAAAAATAGTTTTTAAAACATTGCTCTATAGTGTTCTACAAAACATTAGCATGTAATATAATTTTAGAAAATGTTCATATTACAAACATAGTAACATGTTCAATGAAAAACGTTTTTAAACTGCCCCAAATCACCCATTACTACTCCACTCTAAGGTAATCATAATTAATATCCTGGAATATAGCCTTCCAACTTTTTCCATGTATTTGGATATCTATACTTTATTTAATAAAAATCAGATAAATACCATAATGCTATTTTATAAACTGCTTTTCCTACTTTAACAATATATAGCATGAATATTTTGTCTTCTTATCAATAATTTCTCAATAAAGCATCATCCTAAAAATTTATATTTGCTTGAGGACAGGTGCCATGTTTTCAATATTTCTTAATCTTACCTTTTGAATAGGTAATACATTCACAGTGTTCAAAAAAATTAAAATGTAAAATATAACAAGTAAAAAGTTTCCCCTAAACCTCTGCTTTCAATTTCAACCACCTCCCCAAACATGTAATCTGTTATTGTTTATTGTATTATTTTTAAGTTTCTTTATCACATAAAAGCAAAATCAGACTTATAATCATACTCCTACCCTTTTTATATAAAAGGTAACAACATAACCTAAACTGTTTGCAGCTTAGTTCTTTGTATTAACAATGTCTCTTGGAGCTCTCCCCAGTCAGTACATATAGAACTTCCTCATTCACAGTACTCCACTGGATAGGGTACTATAATTTATTTAACTAGCCCCTAATGGTGAAAATTTCAATGATTTCCAGTTTCCTAATATTACAAACAATGCTGCAGTGACTAACCTTGGAATGACACAACTTCATACATGCATAGAACTAAAGGATAAGTTGTAAAAGTGTTATTGCTGAATCAAAGATATATACATTTTACAGTTTTGACAGATTCTGCCAAAATGCCTTCTATAGTGGTTTTTCATGTTGTTGTTGAGAATTTATACTTTCAACAGCAAAGTATCAAAGAGCATTTTTATCCACATCTTTGTCAAGACACTGTTATTAAATTTTAAATTTATGCTAATCTAATAGGTGAATAAATATATTTTTATTTTTCCTTTATTTTACTGAGAATGGGGCAAATCAACTTTAATATATTTAAAATCATTTGTATTTCTATTTTCTAAAGTAGCCCCATATCCATTGCCAATATTTTTATTTGGTTGTCCTTATCCATTTCTAGTAGCACACTGTATATTGAAGAGATTCACCCTTTTGTGGTATGAGTTTGTATTGATTATATTAACAAGTATTTTAATTATTTATTATTTTCTAAAAGCAACTATTATATACATATTATATTTTTCCCTTTTCTAATTCATTCCTTTATGCTTTTAGTTTTATTACTTCCATTCTTCCATATTCCTTTGATTTGATTGTGGGTTTGATTTTCCTCGTTTTGGGTGAGATGATGAACTCATTTATTTCATGCTTTTTATTTTATTAATACAAGTACTTAAGGCTCTGAATTTTCCTCCAAGGGCAGTTTTGGCTATATTAATTAACATATCACATAAATTTTTATTTCCTTCATCCCTTTCTCACATCCATTTTTGTAAGCAAGGAATACAGCCTTAGAATTTAAGGGTACATTCTTCACATTCAGCAGGTAATTTTTTTTCTTTTTTTGAGATGGAGTCTCCTCTCTCTGTGGCCCAGGCTAGAGGGCAGTGGCATGATCTTGGCTCACTGCAACCTCCGCCTCCCAGGTTCAAGCAATTGTCCTGCCTCAGCCTCCTAAATAGTTGGGATTACAGGCATGCGCCACCAGGCCCAGCTAATTTTTGTATTTTTAGTAGAAAAAGCATTTTGCCATGTTGGCCAGGCTTGTCTCGAACTCCTGACCTCAAGTGATACCTGCCTTTGCCTCCCAAAGTGCTGGGATTACAGGCCTGAGCCACTGTGCCCGGCCACTTTTAGCAGGTAATTTTTGTTGGAGGTGGTAAAATACATTGCAGCTTGTTTCTCTGATTATATCTTCTCTTAACTTTATTATTATGTGATTTCTCCACAATCTATGTGATAGCAGCAAGAGGCAGACAAACGCCTAGGCAGATAGGGGCAGGTCCCCAGTGAAACCCCAACTCCAAGCCAAAACCTCCAGGCTTTTTCAGTTTAAAGCCAGAAAGCCAAGCCACAAGTCAAACTATGGACTACATTGAGAGCCTGTCTTCCCATTTGGCACACTTTCCCCACCTTTCACCTGTTTTACTCATACCTACCCTTTCCTAATTGTTTTTTTTTTTTTTTTTTTTTTTTGAGACGGAGTCTCGCTTTGTCGCCCAGGCCAGAGTGCAGTGGCACAATCTTGGCTCACTACAGCCTCCACCTCCCGGGTTCAAGCGATTCTCCTGCCTTAGCCTCCTAGGTAGCTGGGGTTACAGGTGCCCACCACCACACCCAGCTAATTTTTGTATTTTTAGTAGAGAGGGTTTCACCATATTGGCCAAGCTGGTCTCAACCTCCTGATCTTAGGAGATTCATCCACCTCGGCCTCCCAAATTGCTGAGATTACAGGTGTAAGCCACCGTGCCTGGCGTCATAATTGGTTTTTCACACTGTCATGCCCAACTTTCAGTGGTGCCTTTCTTTTAACCTTTTCTGCATACTCACAAACCAATCAGCACACACTCCCCTATTCTGAGCCCATAGAAGTCCCAGACTTAGCCACACTGGGAGAGAAACCAGCTGACTCAGGATAGCTGACCACTCTCATGTCCCCTCTCTGCTGAGAGCCGTTTTGTTGCTCAATAAAATTATTCTCTGCCCTCATCACCCTTCAATTGTCAGTGTATCCTTATTCTTCTTGGACGCAGGACAAGAACTTGGAAACAGTTGAATGTGATACCAACTATAACACAGGCGGGCTGAGCTGGTGCATAAGCCAGGGTTGGCCCGGGCAGGCCAAGTGAGCAGGCCACCTGTTGCAGCAAGTAAAGTGGCTGTGTGAGGCCTAGGTGGGGGCATCACTGGCTGAAGGTCCGTGGCTTACAAAGTGACTGAGAAAAATCATGTGTCATAAGGTGCTTTGGGCTACTTTATGATATACTCTGAAGTCCCTGTTTCATGAAAAATGCAGTTTACGAGTTTTCCAATTTTTGTTGTTTTTGTTCTATGGCTTTGTTTGTTCTATGTTTGTTCAATGTTACTGTGTATGTTACTCTTTGTTACTGTTCTATGGCTTCCAACAAGAAATGGGGGAGGGGAGAATTATACATTATACATCCATGTTCATATCAGAAATATTGTACATTTTGTTGTACATTTCTACAAAAGTACATTTGTAGAAATGCTTTCCAAAGTCCATGCATATAGAAAGTATAATAAATACTTGGCCAGGCGCAGTGGCTCACGCCTGTAATCCCAGCACTTTGGGAGGCTGAGGTGGGTGGATCATGAGGTCACGAGTTCGAGACCAGCCTGAGCAACATGATGAAACCCCGTCTCTACTAAAAACACAAAAGTTAGCCCGGCGTGGTGGCACGTGCCTGTAATCCCAGCTACTCAGGAGGCTGAGGCAGGAGAATTGCTTGAACCCAGGAGGTGGAGGTTGCAGTGAGCTGAGATCATGCCACTGCACTCCAGCCTGAGCAAAAGAGCAAAACTCCATCTCAAAAAAAAAAAAAAAAAGAAAAGAAAAAGGAAGTATAATAAATACTTTAAAATGATGAAATGGTGAATATCAGGCAATGTTTGTGCTATAAATATCAAATCCTGCCTTTCAATTTGCATTAAAAAATTCCAATGACTTATTCTTTTAATAGACCTTACCTGCCTATGCCCATTTCCCTTCAAATATTTATAAAGTAGGCAAAAAAAATGTATAGAAGTAATTACTGAAAACCTGGCTCTTCTGACTAAAAACATAATGATATTTAAGAAAGTCTGAGGTAGGCTTATGGATGTGAAACTTTTGAAGTATCATTTATGGAACATCAGTGGTTTCTAAAGTCTATTACTTTTTTGATACTAGCATTGCTTTTCCTCAAAATATCTGCTGGTAGAGGATGAGAGTTTTAAAAATCAGTCTGGGTGTTATTAAATATATGTACCATGGTAGGGTTCTTTTATATTATTAAGTAGATCAAGCCTAAAGTCCAATCTTAATTTAACTTTGCAGACTATACTAAGTAGTGACTATATAGTCAAATATCACCCTGTATTTCCCTTAGCACAACACGCTTATAGTCTCTGCTAGACTTTCATGTGGGTTGGGGACATAGCTGTTAAGTTCACTTATATCCTGGTGCTAAAATATTGGAGTATAGAAAAAATTTTTGTTAAGCTATTGACATTAATCAGATAGTAGAGATTATGATTTATGCTAGCTGGAGTTGTAATTAAAAGATGATGAATAGAACAGAATCCCTTTCAGGTAACAACTCTGAAACTTACAGTAAATTTGATTTAGGGTAAATTATAATGTCTGAGTTTCCTTACCTAATAATGGGGATAATATTAATAATCAAATTCACAGTTGTTGAAAAGATTTAATAAAATAATAGAGGTAGAGTATTCTCAACAGTACTCAAGTGTTTTTTTTCCTTCTTTCACAATTTAAAATGCTCCAAATTTTCCTTCTGTTAATTATTTATCTGTCCTGCGAAAAATGCTTTCAAACAAAAACTATACGCTATTTTGCAGTTTCCACCATATAACTACAGAGATTTTCACACATGATTTTTATAACAAGTGAGGTTATTGTAGGCCACAGATGAAGTTAGAAGGCTGGCTTGCCTAAGAAGATGTGGCTGATAATAGTGAAAACTGGGATTTAAAAATGGATTCTCTGTGCTCAAATCCAAGACCGACATGGAGATTTATATATTCCTGATAAATTTCCTAAAAAGAACATTTTGTAATTTTTTTGTGCTCTTCACTCTCAATAGACCTAATTAATTGATTTAAAAAAGCCAATTAAATAGAAACCTTAACAGTGAGTATTCCAGTTCAGAACGTTTTTTTCAAACTGTGAGTTTCCATGCCTGGAAATCCAATTTGATATTTAATTATCTAATTTTAAAGAGCTAAAAATAAAGATCACTCTTATGTCTTTTCAAATGTTCGACACACAGCAATTTTTGAAAAGCCCATACAAGTGACAGCATAAAATGATTAACTGCAAAAGCACAGCTAACTAGATGCCTCCAAAAATAATGTTACTGGGAAAAAAGTTCTTAGAAATAAAAACATGGAATTTACTGTAATTTATTTGGATGGCCTATTCTAC
Organism: Homo sapiens; assembly: GCF_000001405.40. Lineage (NCBI taxonomy): Eukaryota > Metazoa > Chordata > Mammalia > Primates > Hominidae > Homo > Homo sapiens. Next base: position 108,964,788 of record NC_000005.10, on the reverse strand, counting down.
TAAATATACTCCCTTGAAATTCACTACCAGTATTAAACATAAATCTTTTGTTTCAAGAGACCCACTATGAAAACTTGTAAAATTTTATGCTGAATTTCTACTCAAATGATGTGAATTTCTTAAATTATACAAAGAAAAACTGGCCTTTTAAGATGATATGTATTAATTATTAAATTAATCCAAATCTGCGCTCATCTCCCATCACTCTCCCTTTTGACCACTCTGCTTCAGCCATACTAACCTCTGTAGTTCTTCAATCACACCAGCAAACACTCTTCCCCAGGTACACAAGGAGAATAGACAGTCAGTAAACACCTCTACGGCTCTTCGAATTGTTTGCTGCTGGCATCTGTTCTGATAGGTTGGTACACATGCTGTACTAACTGCTGAACACTTTCACCATTACCCCTTTATACAACCACACAGATAACTCCCTGTTTCCATTTACGTCTCTGTCCAAAATTCATTAGGAGGCTTTCTTTGATAATATTTAAAAAATTAGCCCTCTCTATGCACATACACACACACTACCTAAACACTGTCCTCAACACAGTCTAGAACTTCATTATCTCCTTACCCTACTTCATTTTCATAACATTTATTCGCTCTAACATAATAAAGAACATAGCACAGAGTGAGTACTAAGTAAATATTTACTAAATGAATACTGAATCACATATATTTTTCATTCCTTTCTTAAAAAATTAAATTATTTTAAAAATTACACAATAGCTCTTAATGAATTGAAGAACATGGATATAGACTTAAGGAAAAGGAAGACTGATTTCATAAAATGATGAATTGGTAAGACATCAACATATCAAAAACTATATTATAAGCCTCTATAAAATGAAAATTACTAAACAGTAATATTGGAAAAGGCAAGCTATATCAGATGTAAGATAAAATGGTCTTTACATCATCTAAAACTAACAATGTAAACAGCGCTTAAAGTGCAGTTTCTTCTCTTAAAAACTGTCCTTTGCAGTGTCTGATAATCATGAATGTTGCTGCCATGAACCTGTCTCCCCAGGACAAGTCAGTAGTTTCAGACACAGACTTACTCTCCTCTCACAAATCTAACTCTAATATTCTGACAATCTATATGACATTCTGGTAAAAAGCTACAATTACAATTACTTAATTTAAGCTGGTTGTCTAAGGTTCAAATTAATTGCCCTCTGCCTATCTAACGTACATTTTGTTTTTTGTTTTGTTTTGTTTTTTGAGATGGAGTTTCACTCTGTTGCCCAGGCTGGAGTGCAGTGGCACAATCTCAGCTCACTGCAACCTCTGCCTCCCAGATTCAAGTGATTCTCCTGCCTCAGCCCCCCAAGTAGCTGGGATTATAGGTGTGTGCCACCACACCTGGCTAATTTTTGTATTTTTAGTAGAGACGGGGTTTCACTTGTTAGTCAGGCTGGTCTTGAACTCCTTACCTCAAGCAATCCGCCCACCTCAGCCTCCCAAAGTCCTGGGATTACAGGCACGAGCCACTGCACTTGGCCTAATCTACATTTAATCATAAATGTTTTTGCTTTACCTTCGATTCAGAAAGCGATTTCTTACTTAAAAACATCTAAATATGAAGAAATATTAAACTTAACAAAGCAAATATCTTCCAAAAGTGTCATTTAAATGTTAAACTAGATGTCTTTCTTAAATATATTTGACCAATCCCTATATTTTAGCTCAAATCCTAGCTTTCCCTACCCAATATTGCTGTTCAGTAATTTTTCTTTTATAGAAACAAATAGTTTTTGATATATTAAAATCTTGTTCAAGTTAATATTTTATAGAATGAAAGAGATTTCCTCTTCCTTAAACTCACATTCATATTAATTAAACAGTTTATTTTAGCCTCTAAAACTTAGACTCTACAATCTGGAAAAATATATAGTGGTTAAGAATGTGGGCTCAAACTCCAGATCTGCCTCTTAACCAGTTCTGTTTTCTTGGGGAATTCATTTACCATTTTAATCTTTAGCTCTTCATTCATAATATTTTATAGCAATAACAGCAACAATAATATTATATGAGATTAACAACAATTCTTATTAATATTTTATAGGAATATGTGAGGTTAAATGAGATAATGTGTATAAAAAGGTCAGCAATTACCTGGGCTCCTAGCCATTGCTCAGTGAATTCAATCCTCTAACAAATATTTATTGAATGTTACCCTGGGTCAGCACTCTTCGAGACACTGGAAATACACTACACTAATTGTTAAATACAACTGTGACCCTATTGAAGTTATTTTACTTGGGAGAGACAAATGATTAAAAATACATCATATAATATAATGTCACTTAAATGTTAGCATGACAAAGAGAAATAAAGGCAGAAGAAGGGGGAGCAAAAGGGCTTGATGTGTTATTTTATACATGGTAGTCAGACAAGGCCTCCCTGATGAAGTGACATTTGAGTAGAAACTGAATTAAGTAAAGAACAGGTCATATACATGTCCAACTTGTTTGCTAATGTAAGAATGATGATAACGGGTGATTAATAACCCCTCTTTACAAAAATTTCTTCCATCTTCCATATGTTTACACAAGCTCTGAAGGCAGTGCAGGAAAAATCAGGGAGAGGGATGGGTGGCTCAGGCACCCACTAGTTTTCATAAAGTGAGAAAGTTAAACAATTTAATCCTGTCTAGTTTTCGGTACCTCTGAGTGAATGTGCATAAAAATGTGAAGGTAAGGAAGAGATTACTTTGGCCATTCTGTCCTCAAGTTAGGCATTATGATGATAAACATATTTTTATGGGTAGGAGCAGAGATAAATGGGAAGAGAAATAAATGGGAAATAGAAATTACAATGAACTAAAGTGGAATTCTTTAGGCTAAAAATGAAGTCTAGCAAGACAGAAATTAAATATTTTACAGCACATTATATAATCAAAGACATTTACTTTTCACACAAATTAAATCAAGAAATAGATTCAGTTATAAGAGTACAAATAATTCAAAGGAAGATAAGTAACAGATACTACCACCATAACAAATCCATATCAATTTGTTATGTACTCATAGTTGAAAATTATCTAACTCAAAGCTTCTGCTTTGTGATTTTCTTTTAAAAGAGCAACATGAACCTTTAAATCAGTGTATAATATTTGCAACAAACTGAGATAATGATTTGCATATTTCAAATACCAGTACTTTAGATTAGGTTAATACCCAGATAAACTTTAAATTTCTACCTCATATAAAAAATCACATATAACGATTTAATTTCTACAGCATCCAGTATATATTTATTTTCATAGCTAGTTCTATCAGATGGTGAGATAATCAATTCCAAAGTGTTGGGGGTTGGAAAAACAATAATTAACCATGTAATAGTCCAGAGAATCTAATCTATTATCAAAGTTTTATAGCAAATTTTATATTATAAGGGGTATAGCTTTATTTGAAATTTTGTATTCCTAGTCAAACTCATACCTGCGTTGTTATTTCTTTCTTTTATAGATTTGGTCTCCCAATTTAGACCTGGCTAAGCCTGTAGACAATGCAAACATTTGGTTGACTTGTGAAATGGGACATCAGTATCTCTGAAATCCTATTTGTATATTTTGTTAACCTAATCTGGATAAAAAATATCTTCCTGCACTGAATTTTATTCATACTGATATATACTGGAATTGATGTTCATACTTCCACATGAATAATTAAGCATACAAAACACTTTATTTAGAGACAGGGTCTCACTCTGCTGCCTAGGCTGGAGTGCAGTGGTACAATCACAGCTCACTACAGTCTCAACCTCCCGGGCTCAAGCAATCCTCCCATCTCAGCCCCCCAAGTAGCTGGGACTACAGGCATGTGCCACTACCCCCAGCTAACTTTTGTATTTTTAAGAGATATATACTTAATTGTAACCTAGAGTGTTAGAGGGAGGGCAGTGATGTAAAAGAAAGAGATGTCAAAGAAGACCCCTCAATTTATGACTTGAGAAGCTGGGTATTTGGTGGCATCACTTGTTTAAAAAGAAACAACAAATTTTGAAGTTAAAGGTGATAAGCACAGTTTGAGGTGGAAATTTGAACAATTTCAGTTTTGGAAAATAGAAATCTGAGTTATAAATATAAATTTGCAAATTGTTGATATATAAATAGTAAATAAAGCCATGAGAATAGATTGCTTTGACTAAAGAGAAAATATCTTAGAATTCTATAACAGCATTCATTTACAGATGAAGGAGGAAATATTGAAAGATTTATATATATATATATTTTGCTATAGAAAAAATGTGACAACCTATTTCAGGCTGAAGAAGAATTTTTTATGGTTTTGGTAATTAAGGGTAGAAAATGAATAAAAAAATTTAACAAAGAATGAGCCAATTTCATAATTATAGAAAACTGTTCAAGAAAGCCAGTTCCTTAACCAGAGAATTAGAATGTTTAACAAACAACTGTTAAAATCTTCTGTGAGAGAAATATTAAAGGTCACCCTCTCAGTGAAGACTCAGTAGTACAATAAAAGTACAAATATAGATATTATATCCCAGATTAACAAAAGGAAATAAAATACTTGTTTTTTAAATTTCCAAATCACTAAATCCAGACTAGGTACCAGCATTCTTGGAACTGGCACTTACTTCAAATTAAAAGCAATCCCTAAATGTATAAAAGTCATATCAACAAATATTAATCTACCAAGTTGTGTGGCTTTCCTATTTCTACGCTGTTCTTCATATTAGACAGTCCTGAAAGGAAAGAGCTCTTGCCAATACCAACCCAACTCCTGAAACATCAAAAGTGATCAGAAACTAAGCCAGTTCCATTATTCCACTTCAGTTTAAGTCCCAAAGATTTTACCTTTAAAACACAAAACTTCCACATACCCATACTTTATTGAACAAATCTTGTAAAGCACATGTAAGTAGTGTTTTCTGTGATAGATCATAGAGGTAAAAATGACCTAAGACAATCTCTTATCCAACCACCTTGCTCCACATAGATAAGTTTCTGATTTACTGCTTCTGTGAAGAGTAGACTAATTTTTAATAGTTCCAATATCTTATAATACATTGTAAATGTAACATCCCAAATTAAAACCCTAATTTATTCCTAACTGCTAGACATTTTCTTTGACTTATACAACTTAGAATCTGTTATAACCTGAACCTTTCAAAGTATGAACCTTATAAAGTGAAGAAAAGCCTCAAGTCTGAAGAAAAACTAGGAAAGGGGAAAAAAAACCAAGCCATCTGTATACTAGCAAATACTGAATAAGAAAGCAGCTCATCTTAATAAAATCAAGGAAGTTTCATGTTTCAATTGCATTAGTAATAAAAGCTAGAAAAACAAAAACAAAACTTTTTTTCTGAACTACTAGCATATAACCTAAGAATTTTATTTACTGTTGGAAATGTTAACTCACCAAAAATTCTTTTAAAACAAACAGACAAAAAAGTATATAAGCACCTACCTTAGGAATAGGATTCAGCAGAACTACACCTGATTTCTTAGTGATGACCTGTTTTGTTGTATAGTGATGATCTATAAGTTGAGGAATGTTTGAAAACCCAGTGCCCTCGAATCGATACATGTTCTGGAGAGAGAACAATAAGGTAGAATAAATGTGAAGACATTGCTTTAGAAAATCTACATTCATTGATAAATTAGATTCCTTTCTTAAAAAAACTATAATTGCACAACAATGTGAATATACTTAACACTACTGAACTATACCCTTAAAAATGGTTAAGATGATAAAAATATAAATAGATAAATAAAACTCTGACATGTTTTAAAATTCTACCTTGTGACAGATAAATCAATTTTCACAATGTTTAAATCTAATTCAAATTGTTGAAAAATAAAAAATCTAACAAACAGACCTGAAATGCATTTTGCTAAAATGCTAACCAAAGGAAACAAAGCATGGGATACACCTGAGTTACTGGACAAGATACATGTTTACATATGTCTACATATGTGTTCCATTTGATAAAACTTTCAATATCAAAAATGTCAAAAATATAAGGAAAGATATCCAATCTGATGGTAAATATTTTAATACATCTGATCATTTATTTTCTATCTGCTGATACAGTATTAGTTTGCTTTCTGTAGTGGAGTATTCATTTATTATTAATTACCAAAAACACTCATTCACACATCTTGGATAAAGAAATAAAATGCAACAGTGACAAAACTGTAGATATCAACACGCTCAAATCTTAGCATTTTTTAATTGCATATCACCAGGTAAGGTGCAATTTTCCTCAAACTCCTCCAAGACCGCTTTTCTCTTGTTTTCATATTTCAAATTGGCCTATGAGTAGGTTGTCATATGGATAAATTGATAGCAATAAACCTGGCAAATCAAAAATACCCTATTGGCCATATTTTTCAAAGCAAGAAGCATTGCAATGCAATGTAACAAAAGCTTCCAACTGCTAGTTCTCATACCCAGGAAGATATATACAAATACAGATATGGGAGTACCCCCATTTTAAGAAAATGCTGTGAAGAAATAAGAACTTTCGAAACTGACTAAATTCTGACATTACTTGCATTACTGGAAGATTACTTTCCCAGCTGAAAGTTTAAAAACTCAAAGCTCTTTTTCCATACTATAAAATAAAAAAGATTGAATGTATCAAAATTTAATTTATATAAAACTTTTTAAATGAATATTTGTTTCATTGAGTAATGAACAAACACGCATTAGTTTACTTTAACACTTAACTATGGAGAATAAATCAACTCAAGGGCAGTTAGTGTTTGAATCAGTTCAAAGCAGTTGTTAATTCACTGCCTAAAGAACTTTTGTACATAGTAGGCAGACCTCCTATGATATATTAGCACTGATCCTTAAGAATATTTCACACTGAAGGTACTAACCTATTTCTAATAATATATGTTTCTAGGTGTGCAAAACACTGAGAAAGATCTCTCAGTGTCTCAGCTTATTCCTTAGTGAAACAGAGATAATATTTGTACCTCCTCACAGAGTAAAAGAGTTGAATAACTATTAACATGCAAACCACTTTACCCAGTATATGGTACATGTACTGGCACACATTCAATTGTCAAATCACCAGACAAATAATAAATGTTAATGGACACAGATTGATTCCTTATCTTTGCTACTGTGAATAGTACTGCAATAAGCATGGGAGTACAGGTATCCCTTTGGTATACTGATTTATTTTCCTTTGGATAAATACCCAGTAGTGGGATTGCTAGATCATATGGCAGTTCTATCATAGCTTTTTGAGAAATCTCCATACTGATTTCCATAATGAATTTACTAATTTACATTCCCATCAACAGTGTGTAAGAGTTCCCTTTTCTCCACATCCTTGCCTGCATTTATTATTTTTTTGTGTTTTTAATAATAGCCATTCTACTGGGATAAAATGATGTTTTATTGTGGTTTTGATTTGTACTTCTCTGATGATCAGTGATACTGAGCATTTTTTCATAATACCTACTGGCCATTTGTACAACTTTTTGGAGAAATGTCTATTTATACTTTGTATTAAATGTTGTATTCAATGTCTTGAATGCATGAATGCATGAGTACATGAGCTTTCCAGTATTCATTTCTATGCTGCCTTATTGGTTTATTTAATTTCACGTCCTGCAAAGTATGTATTCACTGATTTGATTCTCGCAAAAACTCTTTAAGATATTAACCCCCTTTATTTCCTAAACCACAGAACAAGTAAAGACAGAGCTAGGACTGAAAGCCAAGTGTTCTAACTCCAAATTCAGTGCTCTTTTTATTGATCAACTATTTAATATTTTTAACTCCTCTAAAATCTTGTATTACTTTATAACCTCTTCTATTGGAACACTTGTTGACTCATTTACTTACAGCTCGTATAATATAAACTCCTTCATTAGAATACAGTAGGCACTCATTAAATATCTGTTAATGAATTTCCCCATTTATTGACCCCTTCTAGTCAACAGGTATATGAGGCAATTAATAGGATAATTTTAGCTCATGGAAGATTCACCTGCACAAAATGAAAAAGAATTAAAACTGTCTATATCATCTTAAACTGTTTACAACTGCTTCAGGAGCTCAACACTATACAGCAAAAACTCACTAGAATAAAATTAGGCAGCAGAAAACCTGAGGCATTTAGTGAAAAATAAATGTTCTCATCTTTAACAGAGATATTTGAAAAATTTCAGTGACAGAAGGAAACCAGATAAAACTATCAAATGTGAACTCGTAACCTCTTATTTTTAGCATATATTATATTGCTCATTTTAGCCACTTAAAATGGCAATATTAAAAACAAGCAAAAATTTGCACACTGACCCTTTCCTTTTTGTTTCTAAGAACGCTAATTTAAATACTTATAGTTACAATTTAAACTAGAAGTGATAATAAGACAAATATTTCAGGTTTACATAATACATATTTCAAAAATAGTTACTTTTAGAGCTTAGAAAATAAAATGAAACATTCATACAAGTTGTGGTTAACGAGTTTATACTTTACCTACAATCTTTCCTTCTACAATTCTCATACCACGTAATAAATATTGGCAATATGGTCGCAAATTGTAATAGGGTAGGTTATCTAAATTCATAACTTAAAGGCATATACAAATTACAAAAGAGTTTGCCAAGGAAATAAAAAATGACACATTATTAGAAACAACATAGTTTCCAAAACAGTAGGTTAGATGTATGAATGTGGGCAAATATGATTATCAAGTTGAGGTCTGAATACTACGAAAAATTAACGAATAGTGTGAACATTATGATAGTGGAAATACTTTAATGGATATATTCCTTTTAACCTATTTGAATGGTATCTACTTTCATTTAGCTATAACTACGAGATGTAAATGTACTAAATGCCACTGAATCCTACATTTTAAAATGATTAATTGTATGGTATGTGAATGTCAGCTCAAAGATACGTTTTATATATATATAAACTTATTAAGAGATGTATGTGCACATGTGCATGTCTGTGTACATACACCTGTTACTAAGTTATCTAAGCCCTCAAGTTCATCTAATGATCATGGTTCAATTTCTGTAAGGCAATTAGTATCACCCTAGTCTCTCAACATAAAATGAAATCCTGTGGATAGCAATCTTGAAAATGCAGGCCATTTGAAATGATGGGAATGGAAAACAAACAGAGGCATCAATTCTTTCATATGCCAAAAACATTAAAATTCCTTAGTGGGTAAAGCTAAATTTTGAAATTACTCTTCATCTGTTTAAGGCTCAATAAAGAAATGTAACAAACATAGAAAGTAGTTTAGCAATACTTAAATAAATTTCAAAAAATAAATTAGCATTAGAATAATCAATGTAAATAGATTTTTAATTCTTCATTAATTTCTATTCATTATTAATGCCAATAAACAAGAGCTTATCTATAAAAACCAATTCAACCATCATCCCATTCATTAAGAAATTTTATTATTACTATTGAATAAAATATTTCTTAAAAATCTTTCATGGCACCATTCTGAAAACAATTCCAAGCTCCAATTTCAAAAGTATAAGTTTCATAAACTTAAGTTTCTCTAGAAAAAAATTTATAATAATCACATTGTTTTTAGTTTTAATTCAAAATATCTTTAATGTTCAAATTTAACAACATATTTTAAATAGCTATATACTTTGATTTTATAAACATTATTTTTAATTTAAAATATTACTAAATACATGTTTCCTTAAACATATTTAAATGTTAGTACATTTTGAAGCACTGTATTTAAGAAATTCAGAAAAAAATTAAGTGCTAAATTTCAAGTGTTGCAGGCATTTATCACAAACCATTCGTTATTTTAATATAATTGTACCGCAATGAACTACATCAAAATATACATATGAACTAAACTGGAAACGTACATCAACATATTGTATGATAAAATGTCTCCTCTGTCCATCAGAATATACAGAAAGGACATATTCACCAGGTTTCCCATGACTCTCTCGCACCAAAAAGTCTCCTTGTTTTTTTAACAGTTCTTGAGCTTCTATTCTGGGAATTGCACCATGGTACCAGTCCTGTTCTGCCAAAGGCTTCTCACTGATGGAGATCATATCAGAAAGCTTAAACAAATATTAAAAAAAAAAAACTAAATTAGAGAAAATACTGATTATTTTCTAATAAAATTCATAGCAACTATAAAGGCTTCTTACAAATGTTCCTCCCTTTAATTGACCAATTAAAAGTTATACAATAAACCTAAAATATCTTTTGAAGTACTGGTGCTGAAGTTTACCACAAATACATATGCTTCAACACTTTGTTTTATCTATCATACAAAGGTAGACACAATATTAGCATTTAGAGTTAGCACTGATAATCTTATTCACCATGTCCTAAAATAAATCTATATACTAAAATTATCAACCAGAGAAATTATGAAGAAAAGGAGGGAATTAACAGAAATGTATCACAAAATAACTTAATTTTTATGTAAATGAAAAGTTGAGTTATTTCTTTTTTATGTAATTAACTCTTGATCACAGAGGTTCTGAGCAGTGTCATACATTCCAGGAGTACTATCTCAGGTTTTATTTGATGCTGCCTTGCTGCTGTGCCTTTCTGTCTTTATCTTCACTCACCTGACTTCCTTAACCATTACCTCTGCCACATGGCTGGCCCTGCTTCTACAAAGCAATGGTAGATAAAGCCCTAGGAGAAATAGCATCACTGAAAACCACCAACATGCAATTACAAACACATGGCAAAGATAAGGAGTGGTTATAAACCATGAGCATGGTAGAGAAAGCAAATTCTCTGTTATTTTAAGAGGCCAAATGCTAACACCAAGTCAGAGATAATTTAAGAGATGATTGTATTTCCTTGAAATGTGCTGATAGTAGATTAAATCACACATTTTCTGATTACAAGTAAGAATCTTGTTGATGTTGTTGTTGTTGTTTTTATGGCACACAGGAACTAAACTGCTCCAGATAGAGAGAGTACTTTGCGGTTAAGGTACAGTAATCTGAACTAACTTTTAAGGTTCTCAAAATACAATATGCACAATGCCTCATGAGAAAGTAATTTATAAATTGGAAAAATCAGAATTAATAATAAACGAAAGGCAAATATTCATATATGAAGTTTTATAGGCTGATATAAATTCTAGGTAGGGCCAAAGTATGGTAATTTTGTAGTAAGTAAAAACTGGTTTTTAACATAGCCTTTATTGTTTCGTACCACTGAGGAGACCCAAAACTTACTGCTCAAAGTTCTATTTCATGTTATCCAAACTCATTCTGTTGGTTAAAAGAACAAAACAAAACAACAATAAAAAACTTGAAAAGTCCCAAACAGACCTCAAGGAAAGTCTACATTCTGATTCTTACTTCTTCCACTTGTATTAAATAACATTTTAAACTTTTAAAATATATTCCGTTTGTGACTATATATGGAAGTTTTGGTAAACTAAGTCTTTTAATTTTCATGCAAACTATGACAAATAATATTGTATCATATTTAACATATATATTTTATTTCAAAAAATGGTTTAATGTATTCCCAAAAATTGTTTTAAAGAGCAATTTTATCTAAAGACCCACCCACGACTATGAGGTAAAAGAATATTGCTTTTAAAAACAAACGCATAATCTACACAAAATTAACTTTTTGTATATACTGATACTAATAATTTACAATTATTAAAGAAGTAAAAATAATCAAATGTTTTCTATTTTTATAATCAAAAATTTTATTTTAAAATTTTATGATAGTGCATCTAATTAGAGTAAATTCTAAAATTTTTACTATAATAGAAATATTTCTGTCTCACCAATAGCAAAACTGCTTATTTATTCAACAGTTATTACTGAATACAAGAAATTCAATGTAACATCTTTACAAAGGACTTTTTATCATTGTCTCTCTAAAAGGTCAACGTAACAGGAAAGCATCCCAAACAAGGATGCTACCTGTTGATTTCTTGTCCTAGCCAATCTATCCTTCCAAATTTGCATTTATTTCCAACTGAGAGAATGATGAACAGAGTTCGATGAACTAATTAAGGTGGAAAAAAGTACAAAAGCTCAGCCAGCATTCCAAGAAATTTATTTAAACATATGACGAAGAATATGTATGGGGGAAAAAGTCATCTGGGGAAAGTATCTGAGTTTTGTTTTTAAAAAACTAAATAGTAAGGAACTTATATTGCTATCTCATAAAGATCACACTTCAATTCTATAGGCTTCTTAGTTCCTTTGTAGGTAGGAAGGGAAGCTCAAAGATCTGTTATTCCCCATCCCCTATACAACACTGTTATGAAATATAAGCTGAACTTACTGTCAGTGTATGTGTGTATATACACATGTATATACACACATACACAGGGAAAAGTCACACATATCCCCTGCCTGGGTATATCAGGTCTTTCAAAGACTTCTCTAGAAGCACTGGAAGGAATATTTTTATCAATATGATTTCAATGAAATCCCAAACAATTTTACAAACTTGACAGTAATATATGTAGGATGCATCAGCAAAAAAAATGTAACATCCCAAGAGCCCACCATAATGACATCACAAATGAAAGGAAGCTTTCTACCTCAAATATCCCATCTTTCTCAGCCTCAATAGACAGGGTTTTTCTTTGTTGGTAAGTTATCTGAGATTTTTGCCAAAGATATGGGGGTAGGAGCAAAGCCTCCTTTTTAAAAGTTTCAGTTAATACAGTACAGTTAATAAGTTATATTTAATAAGTTTTCCTGATTGATTGGGTTAGCTGTCTTATTAGTTATTTTCCCTAGATCTTGTTCCTAAAGAATAGTCCAGCAAAAATATGCTGGAATTAGTGAAATTAAAGAGATTATTTTATATGAAAAGGCAATAAGGAGGCAGCACTTGAAAATATTTTTTTCTTGGGGAAAGAAAAAGAGATTATTTTTTTCTCCTTACCCTGGTCCAGGCTAATTCTCAAGTATGTAATGAAGATTTGTATACCTTTACTCAAGCATTTGAGTAGCAAGATGAGCTTCTTTTTGGGAGGCAAAAACAAAAATGTTTTTTAAAAATATCTGGTCTAGATTCTATTAAAATTAATTACACAATAAACCATTTTGAAAAAAGCAAAACAAGAATAAAACAGCATCAAAAATATACAAGTAAAACCCTTACTGAGCTTGAACAACCTAAATAAAACTTCAACACAAACTTTTTTAAATTCTGAATTTTTAACATGAAAATGACATTTAATTATCTTTTCTATTCTCATGTAAATTTAGTTATTAACATTAATTTAATAGTCTAATTAATAAGTTATTCCAAATCTAGTTTAGTAATACACTAGGGTGACAAAGAGTAATTCATAAGATTTTAAACATTTCTCAAAAATTCCGTTAAGACTCAACTGGTAGCATGGCTAAGTGGTCTAAGGCACTAGATTAAGATTTGGCCGGGCACAGTGGCTGTATCCTGTAACAGCACTTTGGGAGGCCAAGGTGGGAGGACTGCTTAAGTCAGGAGTTCAAGACCAGCCTGGACAACATAGTGAGGCCCTATCTCTAGAAATTTATTTTTATTTTTATTTTTTTGAGATGGAGTCTTGCTCTGTCACCCAGGCTGGAGTCCAATGGCGTCATCTCCGCTCACTGCAACCTCTGCCTCCTGGGTCCAAGTGATTCTCCTGCCTCAGCCTCCCGAGTAGCTGGGATTGCGCACCACCCCACCTGGTTAATTTTTTGTACTTTTAGTGGAGACAGGGTTTCACCATGTTGGCCAGTGTGGTCTCAAAGTCCTGACCTCATGATCCGCCTGCCCGAGCCTCCCAAAGTGCTGAGATTACAGGTGTGAGCCACCATGCCTGGCCCTATAAATTTATTTTTTTTTTAATTCCATAGGACCCCTTTTATTTTAAAGCTATGTATTACTTAGGAATTTTGGGAGGGGATGAGAAATCAACTGTTTACAAAAGATGGGAAACACTAGTCTACCGAATGTGCCTGGTGGTAGTAAAAATTATTTGCAGTGAAAGGGAAATGTAATCATAGGTAGGAAAGTGTATTTTATGCCATTTCTAGTTTGATAGTTGAACATAATTTTTTTATTTGTACAGATATACTAAATGTTTAATATAAAATGAAAACAAAAAATAATGTTCTCCCTTCCAGTTTTTTAAAAATTTCTAAATAGTTACCGTTTGAATCTATTGAATTAATCTTAAAATAATGAAAAATAAGATATTCCGAATATTTGTACCTCAGGATCATTTGTGTTCAGGATAGACAAACAGGATGTAAATTAGTTAAAATAGTGGTTCTGTCTTTGGCACTAAATGACTATCTTTAATTCTACAAATTCTGATTTTTTAGCAGTAAAGCTGAATTGGCAGTTTTTTCATGCACTGGTATCATTAACCAAAAAAAAATACTTCACCTAATATTTACATTCTATAATGAAACTAGCTGTAAAATTTTTATTCATAAATTTCTTAACAATTTTTTGTACTACAATATTTGAGAATTTGAATTTGTTTGGTTTTTAGCTAACAATAAAACTGTTCTCTAGGATAGTAACTATAAAGAATTACATGTTAATCAGAGATAAGCATTAGTACACAATTCTTTCTAAAACTTGTATTAAACAAAAATAGACAACTAAGCCAAACTCAAGTATCAGGTTACCTCCACAGCTTCCCATTTCCTGGCCTTTTTGTACCCCTTCTTGGGTCTCTGATAAGGGACACTATCTTTAGCAAAATATGTATTTTATTTTACCTTTCTTTCTTTCTAACAATTCTGCTTCCTTCAGTACCTTTGGGGTTTCCTCCGACTTCTTTTTTGCCGGCTTCTTTTGTTCCCTTACTCATCATTTATTGGTAATAACATGCTTTTCTCTCTTTATTATTTTTACCCAGTTACTTTTACGATTGTGCCTGTGACTCTCACTCATCCTCTCTCATCATTTTAACACATTTTTGCTATAGTTTCATTTTATTCAGTATCAAATATTCTTTCCTTAAACCCATATATTTTACATATAAAATGTGCCACAATATCAGTAAGAACACATTTTCATCAATTAACTATATTCAATGCTAAAATCTTATCACACATTGCAACTAAAACTACTACCAGATCATTGCAATATGTCAATACGCAACCATATTTCAGTAAATGTAAACATTTATCATCAAGTTGGGATTGCCTGTATAAACTTAGTATCAGTCTGACATGATCTCTGTCATCTGTTTTAAGCATTTCAGCAAACATATAAACAATAGATTTGTTCCATTACAGTACAAATTATGGAATATCAATCTCAATAAGTCCTTTAAGAAAAATTACATGTAATACTGCAAGTGATTCAAAACTTAATTTTCCTAAACATGACAGAATTTAGTGTATGAGAGTGATATAATGCAAAAAATCTTTATTTTCCCTTGTTTATCACTCTTTTACATATTAATAAATGGGGGGAAAGCGCAACTTAAGACCTTAAGAATAACAGAAGACAACTGATATATTTAAAATGTATACTATTTAACCTGAACTTGACAACGTGCCTTGATTAAAGAAAGTACAAGGCCGCTTTTCTAGACTCAAAGGAGAACACTAAAAAATACAAGCAGTTCACATCATGCATGAAAATAGCTACATTCCCCTATGCCACTGGTGGAAGCCAAGCATTATAACACTATATTACAACTGATGTACAACTTAACATAACTGAATGATGTTTCTAAAAAGCAAGCAAGCAAGCAAATCTTACTTACAATATTATTCTATATGAAGGAAGCAATTTTTATTTTCTAATATTTTGATTTTCTAAATTCTAGTACAAAGTAATTCTAAAATTGAAATAGCACCCATGTCAACAGAGTGTAGAAAATATGAATTTTAAGGAGACTGCTGTTGAATAATTTAATAATTCTTCTGTTATCTATATAAAGAACAAACCATTTGGACCAAAATGTGCTTTATTTTTGTTTTAAAGAATATTTTTCAAAGACTGCTACTATCAGACGGGCATTATTCACTCCATATATCAGTGATACAACTAGTATTCATGAGTGGCTGTAAGATGGAACAAGCGATTTGCTCAGCCACTCATTATAGAAATTCTGCAGTAGATAGATGGCCCTAGAAAAAGGGCAATATTCTTGACATGACTGGAACAGATCTCATTAAATATAATATGGTTTGAAAGACTTTCAATTGGAATGGACCCTCATGATTGCCAGTAGGCTTTTAAAATATGTAATTAATACTGTCTAACATCTCTAGGCCTTGGCTTCAGAAGCAGTCTCTGAAAAATAGTTCTCAATGCAAAATTATAACCTCCTTAAGATAGGAAGATGCTAGATGTAACTGTAGCCTCAGTAATCTGAGATACTAATAATAGGGATTTTAACCCCTTTGGTACACTGGAAAGGAAAGCACATGCTTGTAGCTGATATAACATATTAAAATATTATTCTGATCATAACAAAAAATATTAAACATCTGATGACATCAAATACAATATTCAGATGAAAACAAATTCTGCTATCAGCCAAAGTCTTAAGTTCTTTCTTCTATCAAGACTGTTGATCTAAGCGTTCCATTAGACTGTCTTTAAAGGGAGCTCTACATTTTAAAGATACTGTTAAAAACAGAGGTAAATCGTTATGTCACGTCCAGTAAAAATACCATTGCGATTAATTCTAATTTCATTTTCCTATATATAATGCATTTGCTTTACTTTATCTAAAATTATGCTTTAACATTCTAATTTTTGTATGTTTATTTGCATAAACAGTGATTCATAGTTGTTGCATTTTAAAGATTTTAAGTTAAATATGCTTCCATATGCAAAAGAATGAATTTGAACTCTTAGCGGGGCCGAGGAGGGAGGATCACTTGAGCTCAGGAACTCAACACCAGCCTGGGTAATAGATTGAAACCTCATCTCAAAAATAAATAAATTAAATAAATAAATAAATAAAAATTTGAACCTGTACCTCACTCCATATACAAAAATTAACCAATAATAAACAAAGATATAAGTGGAAGAATAAAACTCTAAGAAGAAAACAAACAAAGATGAATTATCAGCATAATCTTGGATTAGACGATTTTTTTTTGACAACCAAAAGCACACACAGTCAAGGAAAAAATAAATTGCTCTTCATCAAAATAAAAAACTTAGGTGTGTTAAAGGACATTAACAAGAAAGTGAAAAAAAATCCGAAGGGTGAGAAAAAACATTTGTAGATTATATGTATAAGGAGTTTGTTTTCAGAATATATACTCTTACAACTCAACAATAAATAAGCAATTTTAAAATGTGCAAAGAATATTAATAAACACATCTCCAAAGAACACATATAAGCTGCCAATAAGAACATGAAAAAATGCTCAACATCATTAGTCATTAGGAAAATGGAAATTAAAACTACAGTAAGATACTACTTCACGCCCACTAGAATGCCTGTAACATGAAAACATTTAAAATAACAATTGTTGGCAAGAATGTGGAGAAATCAAAATATTCATATATTGCTAATGGGAATGTAAAATGGTATAATTACCATGAAAAACAGTTTGGCAGTTCCTCAAAAGCTTAAATAGAGAATTATTACCATATAACCCAGAAATTCTACTCCTGGGTACACACCCAAGAGAACTGAAAACATATACACAGAAAAACACTTGAAAACGAACGTTCATAGCAGCATTATTTATAATAGCCAACAAGCTGAAACAACCAAATGTCCATCAGCTGGTGAATAGATAGACAATATGTGGTAAATATATACAATGGAGTATTATTCAGTCACAAAAAGGAATGAAGTACTGTCACATTGTATGACATGGATGAACCTTGGAAGAATTATAAATGGAAGAAACTACATGCAAAAGGTCACATATTGTATGATTTTATTTATGTGAAATATCCAGTGTAGGTAAATCCATCAGGACCAGAATTAGACTAGTACTTGTTAG
The DNA here is from genome assembly GCF_000001405.40 of Homo sapiens. NCBI lineage: Eukaryota > Metazoa > Chordata > Mammalia > Primates > Hominidae > Homo > Homo sapiens. Next base: position 108,946,871 of record NC_000005.10, on the reverse strand, counting down.
GGGTGTATACACTGGAGTGCCTGTGTGTTTGAGGGGGAAAAAAAACTCCTTCTCCAAGTAAATAGAACTAATGCTTTAGAGAAACTCTTCTGTGTGTTTGTTCATGTGTATGAGATGGCCAAACTGCTGTTACTAAAGACAACTAATACTCTAGCACTACTGTGATATGCCAAACCCACATTTCAATGATTAATCTATCAAACAGACTTCAATTTTATAATCAAAATGTTCTTTAAAATATAAATATACACATAAATACATTTTTAAAATATATATAGTAATCCCTACTGTAAAAAGGTTATGTTTCACTAGAAAAGAATTGTTTACACTATTATTCCAGTAAGAATCAAAGTACATAAAATGTTTCTCATAATTATTTGTATATTGTAAAGGAAGCCTATAATTCAAGTTTATTTCTGTCTTCCCTATGTCAATGTTACATGGGATTTTACTATACACATATATAGACAGATTCATATGCACACAAAAAGTTAAATTATGCACTTATCTTTCCATTTGTAAGTGCAAATTTATATATGTATATACATATATATACACACACACACACATATATATATATTCATTAGTGCATCAGAAAGAAGCTAGACAATGACCATTTTCAGTAGCACAGAGAGTTAATCCTACTTACTGCTGAAGAGCCCAGTGCAGATTTTGGAGACCTAATTATTCCAGCAATTGAATGACGAATAGATTCAAATTTGGATAGCCTCTCCTTTCTTTCCTGGAGGGATTAAGAAACAAGCCTTCAGCAACAGTAAACTATCCAATATGTATAGACATTTATGTATTTAGGTACTTATCCACAGCTTATCCATCATGTCTTCCAACTAAATAAAATATAAACTTCCTGACATTCAAGATAACAAATAACCAAATACACATAAACTCTATAGCATTTTACTTTACTGACCCCTCAACAAATGTTTTGATTTGGGGGAAACAATAAGAAAGAAATAGAAATTCATATAGCAATTCATATAGAATTCATACAGATGAAAACAAGAAATGCAAAGGAAATTCACAGAAAACCAAGTATTAACACATGCAAAAAAGAACACAAGCTATAAGGAACCTATTTAACAGACTATTTCGGATAGGACTATAGTTGGGAGGGAATTCAAATAAGAAAAAATAATCACAAAAAAAAACAGGAATAAAAGTATATGGAACACATTTTTTAAAGGTGAATTTCACTTCAGTACCTAGGAAGTTTCCCAAAGATTCACATGATGATGATGACCATCATAATGATCCTGATGATAAGGAGGAGAAAGGCGGGTGGGAGGAGGATGAAGTAAAATAAGAAGGTAATGGCAGACATACCTACCACCAATCCTACCAAATCCAGATTGCTATTTGCCACACAATGTGTATTTCTGAATATCATATACCATAATGAAGGAAACTTTTCCTAAAATTTCAAATCTTTAGATCCATTTTATAAACATAAGTGAATGGGGTAGGTAAGAGGGCAGAAAAAAAGAGGGAAAAAGGAAAAAAAACCAAAACTAGGACATAAGAAGGGCACCAAGAGCAAAGCACGTGTGGTTTTGTAATGGAAGTATTGGTCAATTTTCCAATGACGACTACATTTCAACTGCTAATCAGCAGCAGACAAAAGAACAAGAGATCCTTTTGTCAAGCACACTAATTCCGTATGTCTTCCAGCATTAGTGATGCCAAATTTTACTTCTGGAAAACAAGTAAGTAGGTCACAAATAACATCTTTTGTTTCTTTTGTCTCCAATACCTAGGGTATATCTCTGTAACAGTAAATGTACATATTCTTGGCCACATGCTTTCTCCCAAAACCCTTTGGTAATATCAAAACAAAACATTTTCTAAGTGCGTAATACTAAAATTACCCAATGGATTAGAATTATCTAATGGAGAGGTCCAGTTAGGGGATAAAGAAAACTTTAAAAATTGCTCCCTTATATTAAGTTACAAAGCATAACATATTGTGTGTTAGACAGGATACAATTAGTGAAAACATCTTTTCATATGAAGGTTCTTTATAGATAGGTTGGCCTAAAAACATATTATCAAAAATAATAATGAGACCTTAAGTTTCATATAGCAGCAATCAAAATGCAAATAGGGTTAATAAAACATGCCAACCAGTGCCAGATCATTTGGTGCCCAGATTTCTACAAATAAAACATGAAACTCATTTGTCATGTAGTTCCTGTCTATGTAACATCTAGTATCAGCTTTAAATTACAGTCTACCTAATAACACATCAGACTGTGCTGAATTCATTGACAGGTTGATTTTTACATCAAACAATCAAATGGCTACTTTTAAAAATTAAAATTAAAAAACTTCCCTTCAACTGCCATGAATACAATGCCTAAGTTTGCTTTTAGGCCTGGCAGGGCTGGTGGTGATACTCTCATTTTACTCACCTCAAGTAATGGCAAGATACATTTTCCAGATAAAGGAGGTGTAGGAATTAGTTCTGGCAAAAGGATGGCCCCTCACAATGGAGGTAGTAGGGGACTAATGAAGGGGTGAAGGGAGAAGCAATGTTATTAAATAATACCTGAAATTGTAAAATAATATTCTGATGAGATGCTCAGAAAAAGTGCTGTAAGTACAACTATTACCTTGGCTTGAAAGAAAAGTTCTAGGTACAGTATCAGTTTCGCATCTCATTTAAGAATAGTTTTTCATTATTTTAAAATTAAATGAGACAGTGTGTGTGTTTGTGTGTGTGTGTGTGTGTGTGTGTGTGTGTGTACACATACACATAAAACTAAGAGACTGGTTCATAATAATTACAAGTTTATCTATTATCAGTTAAAAAGAACTCTATGCCAGGCTTGGTGGTTCATGCCTGTAATTCCAGCACTTTGGGTGACCAAGTGGGGAGTATTGCTCGAACCCAGGAGTTTGATACCAGCCTCGGCAACACAGTGAGACCCCATCTCTACAAAGTTTTTAAAAATTAGCCAGACATGGTAGCGTGTGCCTCTAGTCCCAGCTGCTCAGGAGGCTGAGGTGAGAGGATGGCTTGAGCCCAAGAGGTTGAGGTTGCAGTGAGGCCAGACTGTACCACTGTACTCCAGCCTGGGCAACAGAGCAAGACCCTGTCTCAAAACAAACAAAAAATAAAAACAAACAAACAGAAAAACTCTATTAAAAAAATACCTAAATTACTTAAAGTAAAATCATACCTATCAAGTTTTGAAATTATCCTTCATTAGAAAATTGCAGTGAAAAAGGCTCTTTCACTGCAATATTCCATTTAGTGCCCCCATTCCCTGCGCACTAAAGCACAAAGATATAAAGGGCAAGAATTAAGGTTCTGCTGATTGGAGTGGCTCTGACAAAGATCAAAAGCTCTAACCAATGACTGCCTATCTGGCTGCTGTAGAAAGTGACAACCAAAAAGCATATAACAGTTCTCAAAGTGAGGTTCTGAAAGGAGGCACTAAGGCAAAGGAATAAGGTTCTTGAAGTCAGAAGGGATAAAGAGTATGAGTCTGAGCAAATTACTCAACTACCCTGGCTCTCAGTTTCCACATCAGAAAAAAGAAAGGCACTGGCTAGATAAAATTTTCATCTCAAAAATTCTGTGACTTTTGTCCAACTCCCCATCATTTGCGTTACGCTGATCATTAATGAAAACCCCAGAGAAGAGTTTCATGGTACCAGGCTGGCAATGAGTACTTTCCTTGGAGCAGTTAGTCACAGTTCGCCTGAGGTACCCTTTGAATATGAACCAATGAGAAGGCTGAACTATCGTGAAAGGAAGACCTTTACTGTTGTTGTTAATAACGGGTCTTTAAAACAAAAACTGAATATTATTTCTCACAGACTTATGTAAATAAACCCAATCTAATAACATTCTTGGACAGAACAATGAAAGTGATTATTTGGCTCTGTAGGAACAGCCAGCTACTTATTAAAATCAGGAGGCAATAAGAATCAAGAAAAATATAATATTCATGCTCAAACTCCAGGCTGAGTGCCAAATATCTTAGGGGCTTCTTATGCAAAGCAGGCATAAAATTCAGAGGGATTTTGTGAGAAATAACTACAGGGAAATTATAACCCCAGAGAAGACTACCTTCTGAAAAAATTCTACATTACAGCTCATAATGTAAATGAAATACTGTAAATATCAGTATGTCCTTCATTTTAAAAAAATGCATTTATAAGTAAGTAACCTAAGGTTTTGAAAATGCTGATTTGCTGGGCACAATGAAAGATAGATAGCTTCTATTCCCATCAGGATACAGAATTTCAGTATTAAAACAGTTTCTAAATGATTTGTTTTAGCAACAGGGTTTCTGACTAAAGGCAAATCATTTTAGAAGTATTCACTCTCTAGTAACTCAGTTTGTCATGCTGTCTTTTCTCTTTGATGCTTGCATATTAAGAATATTTATTAAAAGAAAGAAAACCCCCTTGCTAAATCAAGCATATTCATTTTCTGAAATAATGAAATTAGAAACCAAATGCACAAAACAAACATCTGAATGATTATTAAGATCTTGTTTTAAAACAACAATGCTAAGGAAACCTAGAGTAAAACAGAATAGAGTTCGGTGAGATCCAGGTTGTAAAATGTCATAAATCATTCTTTTTGCTTTCTTTATTCTGTATCTCTTAAATAAGATGTCTCTAGGGAAATAAGACCCAAGAAGAAGGCTATAATTAGCTCCCGTCCTATTCAATAGCCAGTTCACGTTCCATGGTGCTTTTCCCAAATGTGTGACCAAAATGGCTAAACATATTTTTTTAAAGACTACTTTTTAGAACAGTCTTAGGTTCATAGCATAAGCAGGAGGAAGGAATGGATTTTCTCATATGTCCTCTGCCCCCACACATGCACAGCCTCCACCATTATCAACATCTCCCTCCAGCGTGTTGCCTGTGTTACAGTTGAGAACCTTCATTGACAGATCATTATCACTCAAGAGTCCATAGTTTTCATTAGGGTTTGCTCTTATTGCTGTACATTCTATGGGTTTGGACAAATGTTTAACAACATGTAGCCAACACTGTCCTAAAGATCCTCTGTGCTCTGCCTATTCATCCATCCTTCACCAAAATACGTTTTTTGTAAATTATCCAGTACTACAAGATGCACACCAACCAGCTTCCTGATGAGCATCTCACTGATACAACTTAAGAGCTGATTGACTTTGCTCAGTAAACAACTGTGTAATTTGCTTGTATGAAAAATCATAACTATTATAAATTAGATTATCAAGGTATCTTAACTAAGATTCTGCTTTTAATACAATTTAGGGACATAACGATACAACAGTAAATTTTTCTACTTGACTTAAACTAATAAACTGTGAGACAAGGAATACCTTATAATGAGAGTGAAAGTATTACATCCCTAAGCATTTTTGTAACGGCTATATTAACGAATATCTCATAATTCCAAGATCTGGGTCTACTTTCTTGCCTATGGGTCAAATTTCTCACTTTTTGGTGTGTCATATAATCTTTGATTGTAGGCCAGACAGTTTGTATAAAAGAACAGTAGAGTCTGAATTCAAGAATATTTTCCTCAAGAAATGGACATACCCACTCCTTTTTTTGACAGGCTGCTGGAGAGTTGGAGCTGTAGTTAATAAGTTGGTTCTAGCCTTTGCTACAGTTTTAGTTTAAATCAATTGCCACAGCCTTCAAATACTTTGAGAGAGATCAGTTTTCCTTCATCTAGAAATAAAGCTGAGCCATGATGAGATTCTAGCATCCTCCCTCAGCTTCAAAGCTGATCCACCAGCTTTAGGAAATACAGGAGATCTCTCCCAGCTTTACAGCCTCTCGGGTGGGAGAGAGAAGTCTCTTTGCTCTCACCCACTACTTTATGTACCTAAGAAGACAACTTTCAGCTCTAATACCCATTCCCCAGCCTAGTCTTTGAAGGGCCATTGCCCTAGAATGTGAAGACCCAGAATTCCCTACAGAGAATCAGTTTGGGAAGGGGCTCTTATATTCTTTTGTAAGTGAAAGCCTAGAGTACTCAGTTTTTCTGCCTGAACTCCTCCCCACGCCCACACCCCTCATCAGAAACACACCCTACATACCACCATTCTGATGTATTGAGGATTTCATCTGAAGTATCTCTCAAGTCTCCTTCTCTGATCTACTGCTTCACCCAGTGAAAACACTTGAGTAAGAGTAGATGGGTAGATAGTGCTTCGCTCTGTGGGTTAGGCTCCTCTAGATTCTAATCTTTCACATCGGCCTACACCTGATGCTACAAATCTCTTAAAAACTTTTGAGGATTGATCTGCTCATACAGTTCCACCGAGGATGAAAGTAATCATGGGTCTATTTTTTCCTGTAAAAGGCCTGTCACTTTCTGGATGTAGGTTCATTTAGGTTTACTTCTGTCCTTAGCTGTCTGATGAGGTTTCTAAAAACTACTATTTTGTAGCTTATTTTGGTTGTTAGGAAGAAATGATGGTCTCTTGTGACTTTCCATATCCAACCTGGATATAAATTTCATATGCTTTTCATTAAGGCCAGTAATTTGTTTAACACTAGTCATCATTTTACTTTCCTTTATTTATAAAGCAGGAAAACATAAAAACATCTTTTATGGTTATTCACTAAAATGTCCATCAAAAAGACCACTAATTTGTCAAAAGCTACAGATTTGATTTTGACTACCATTTTCTATGACAGTCAATTACTACACAGTTAAAGGCTACATTCCTCAGAAAATAATTTAACAGGTTAAAGGCCAAATGTCTCAAAAGTTTGATGTGTTATTTTGTGGGGTTTGGTTTGGTTTTGTTTTGTTTTCCTTTATTGATGAGTTTCAGGGGATAGAGAGGATAAGTTTTATGGGTTTTGTATTTGTTGCAGAGGACCTCACAAGGACGCAATAAAGATTACTAAGTACATATTTCATTTCTGTAAATGTTTTAAGTTTCCAACTTTATCTAAAAAGTTCCTGAATGGTTTTAATGTTTAGTATTCTTGTACTGTACATGCATCAATAATACTCTTATCAGAGCTCCTTTTGTTACTGCAACTAGTAACTGGGAACATTTGGAGTTTCAAGTCCTCAGTCAAGATTTTATTTATTAGAATGGAATCAGAAACTAAGAACCTAAACGAAAATCCTAAGATTTAATAAAAATATAGAAAAATTAAAATTTTTAAATAAAGAAAGATGGTGGTTATAATATTGTACTTCTTTTGTCAGCTAATAAAATCCAACCAGGAGATGCATTTTAGAAAGAAGTCAGTCAGATTCTAAGTGCTTGTCCCATCCTCAGCCTCTCTGAGAGAAACTGTCACACTGTAGGACATCAGTACATCCTGCCTGAGAATGAAGTCCATACAACAGAAGGTAGAGCTGCGAAATGAAAACAAATCCTTGACGACATGGTTTGAACTTCTGTGTATATCCAGCTACATGACTGGGTAAACTCTTCTTTGTTTTAACTAATCCAACTTGGGTAACTATTGTATAGAACTAATATAGTAGGCTTTCCTGGAATATCAATTACTAATTAAAGATTTTCAATAAGCAACTTCAAATGTCACAATGATCACTAACAAAACAATATATTAACTTACATTTTTAGGTTTTAGAAACATTTAATTTTAATAGGAAAAGAAATCTTTTGATATTGATATATATTAATGTAGATTAAATTCTTTATAAACTAAACACATATGTTGTGATAATTATTCTCACTTATTCCCATTAATTTAACAGTTTCAGCACATAACAAATAAAACAACTGCTCAAAAGTATGGAAAAACCCTAGTTTAAATGGCCATTAATAGATGTCATAGTACAAAAGCTTCTGTAGTCCCACAGATTTTAGAAATGCACAGTTAAACAAATTTAAACAGATTCATTAATGCAATATGTCTCAGAGTCTTAATAATGTATTACTATTTGCATCTTTTGGGAGAGAAAATATTCTGCAAAATACACCTCAGAAGGTGCTGTCACAAAGCTTTCAATCTGTAGGGGTGGAAGGGGAAACATTTTTGTCCACTCTACATCAGTCATGGCTTTGTCTTGGACACTATCATCACATGGAATAGCTCTAAATTCAAGCTCCCCTCTTTCTGGCCACAGTCTCCTATCCCATCAGTTTGCTTTCAACCAGTTCTGCTGTAACCATTTTTCAATCTCACTGGAACTCTTAAGTCTTGTAGTCTCCCACTTTCTCCCAATCAATCATCTTCTCTTCTCTTCTCTCTTTATCTAACTTAGATGCCATGCTACATCATTTTCAATGATACTCTTGCCAATATTCTAAATTCCCTTGCTACCCTGTCTCTTAGGTGCTCCCTTGTGGCAAAATTCAGCCCTGGATGGATCCAACTATCTGCTCTCTCTGAGTTCACACCCAAGCAACTAAACACTGTTACCGAGTATCACATGATTACTAACTTCAAATGGGCCCTAAATATCTGGCCAACTCATTTCTTATTTTCCACTCTCATTGTCAACCATTTCAAACTCTTCTTACTTTTCTATGTCTAAAACAACTTTTTTCCATACCTTCTAGCTTCTTTAGAATTAACAAAGGTAGGAACCTCTTCATTTTGTTTTTTCAAAGCTATAAAATTCTCTACCTATTATAATCTCCTTCCTTTTTTTGAAACATGAGGCAGATAACTCCCATCTTAGGATTACCACTCTACTTAACTTTGGATCTCATTGCTTCCTGACCTCCTAAGAACCTTACACCTTACAAGAACCTAATGGATCTCTGAGGTACTGTCAACCATCCCTTCTCAAATGGTTCTTTCCCATCAGCCCTTCAGTTTTTACGTGTGTGTGTGTGTGTGTGTGTGTGTGTGTGTGTGTGTGTGTGTGAGAGAGAGATAGGGAAAAAAAGGAGGGAAGAGAGTAGGAAATAAAGGAAGGAAAGAGCAGAAGAAAGAGAAGGATGAACCTCTCCCTTCACCACATATTCTGTTCCAGCTACTGCTTGCCCTTTATAAAAAAAAATTCCTAAAAGAGTTATATATGCTCACTGTCTCCATTTTCTCTACTCTCACTCATTCCTCAATCTGCTCTTATTTGGCTGTCACCCCATAACTACACCAAAGCAGATGGTCTTAGGAAACCAACAGACTCCATTTCACCAATCTAACAGACACATTTTCCACTTCTCTTACTTGACGTCTCAACACAATTCCACTCTATTGACCATGTATGCCTACATGAAACATTTATTCCCCTACCACACTATCCTCCAACCTCTCAGACTACACATTCTCAGTTTCTTCAGCAGGCTCACCCTCCTCTACCAGGTCATTAAATGGTAATGTGATTCTAGGCTCTACTGATTCCAGGTTTCTTCTTTTCTCACTCTGTACTTTCTCCCTAGGTAATCTCTTTTATGTCTCAACTTCAATTACCACCTGAACCAAGTCTACTCACAAATTTAAATCTGCAACTTAAACTTTTTTCACTGAGCTCCAAACTTGAATGTTGAAACATCCGTGTGACTTCTATTTAGATGTCGCAAGAGGTAGATAAAAGTCAATATATTACTGAACTCATAATTCCCAAAGCTGGCCTTTTATCAGTTTCCCATTTCAATGAATGGTACTACTACCTCTGTTATACAAGCCAGATATCTAGAGGCCCAAGCACACACTCACAATACAATCTAAGCTACAAGAAGGCAGGGGGATTTATTGGTTTCTTAACTCAAATTATTAAAATATTAAAATAAATGCTACATATTAATGATGAAGTTAAGCAAGACAGGAGCTATTAGACATCATTTAAATAGTAAATAAAAGGGAATATATTTACTTGAACTATTGTTTTGTGCTAAGAAACCTCAAATGACACATAAGAAAAAAATGAAATTAAAGTACTCAAATTTAACCCAAGTCATTCCAATTATAGGTAATCTTTTTAACTCAGACTGATTTTAAGAATCTGTAGTTATCCCTATTTAAATAGTAGGAAATTCTCAAAAACAACAGAGGAATACTATCTTGGGAGTTAAAAGATATTTTCCTTTGCATTTTTCAAAAAGATTGATTTTTCTAATTATTTTAATTTGAAAACTAGTTTGCTGTACTTATAAATAGCTAAAAGTGTTAATACAGAGAATATTTAACTTCTTAATAAAACAAGTTCAAGAAAGGCCTAGTACATACCTAGAAATAAAAATGTATTATTTAATCCCAACATTACCAATTACCAAATATTATAAATAACACCTCCAGGGCTTAATTTTTATCAATATGAATGTAAGTTAGAAATCTTAGGACCAGGTCTCTATTTCTATGTAATAGGCTCTAGTCTGCTTGAATTAATAAAGTACCCATGAGAATTGTTGTACACTGGGTATTTTCAGAAGTTCATTAACTATTACGTCAACAGGCAATAAGCATAGGAGAATCAATATGAAATAAACAACATAATAAACCACTGGCCTAAAGCAGCCATTGTGTAACTCCAAACATCAGACTTATAACCATGAAGACATCTGATTAAGAGTCATCATCCAAACTACAATTATCATCTAAAAATTAAGAATGGGTACTCACCAAATAACTGTATCAAAGGTTTAGCAAAATTATTAAAGGTAAAATAATAGCCACTGTTATTAAAATTGTATTTTTTATATTAAGCAGAATCATTTTCCTTGAATAAAAAGTTTAAATATTGAGAATTTGAAAATCCCCTCAATCCCTTTGCTCCCAATGAATCCCCAGGTATTTTCCAAATAGTGTGAGCCAGGACTGTGAGCCCTAGAAATACTAAGTGATTTGCTGAACGTCATGTGGTCAAGCAGCCGAAATTTAAATTCAGCTTTAATACAAATTTTTTGCTATTAATCATTATGCTATGTTGACTGCCTTGAATAAATAGTTCTTGCAAGACACAGACCTCATATTTCCCAAGGACTCTTTCCCAAACCATTCAAAAAGTAATGCTATTTGAAGTCTGCTCAATAAATGTATATTTAATTGCTCCAATAATGTAATAAACAGAGGACTTTCTGGTCTCATAATACAGACGTAAACACTTGATTCAGAATCTATGCTCTAGGCCTGGCTTTGACTCTAACTCAGAGTTGGACCATAAACAAAGTATCTGTGCTTCTGGCAAAAGAAAAATATTTTATAGTATCTTCCAGTCCCGAAATATTATGACTCACAGAGAAGTACTCAAAAAATTACTTGAATAAAAGGGCAGAAAGAACCAGCTTCTCTCAAGTTAAAGATTTCACCCACAACCAAAGTTTTAATTTTTGAGAACTTTCTTGATAATTAAACAGAAGATAGACACAAACTGTAGGTGGGTTGGATGGTGACTACCACCTCCCCGCACCCCACTCAGAAGATATTTCCACTAAGAACCTATGAATGTAACCTTATTTGGAAAAGCAAGTTTTGCAGATTTAATTAAGTCAAGGGTCTCAACATGAGATCAAACAGGATTATCCAGGGACCCTAAATCCAATGACAAGTTTCCTCGTAAGAGACTTAGAAGAGGAAGAAACACAGAAGGCGATGTGAAGAAGGAGACAGATTAGAGTGATGTGTTTATGAACCAAGGAATGATAGGATCTCCAGCAGCCACAAGAAGCTAGGATAGAGGCAGGGAACAATTCTCATTCAGAGACTCCTGAAGGAATCAACCCTGGCAAAACCTTGACTTTGGACTTCTGGCCTCCCGAACTGTGAAAGAAGAAATTTCTGTTGTTTTCAGCCACCAAATTTGTGGTAATTTTTTATGGAGGTCCTAGACAACTAATATATAGCTGAGAAAGAATCACTGCATATTTACCTTATAAGCAGCAGCTACCTTAAATGTCTAAGAAAAGAAAAATCACCCCTATATGTAATATATTAATCAGGAAAATGGGTTAAGAATTGCATGATTCACATAGATTCTATGCAATAAAAATGTGCATATACGCTTTTTTCTTTTTTTCCAATCCTGTTCCTTCTGTAGATATATGCATTTGTTAATCTTTCATTTCCCATCCAGTTTTTAGAACATTATCTCTAACTAAAGCGACACCTTGCCCCAAAATCCACTGTCAGAAATATAGCTGTAGTCCCAAAGATATTTTTTCTCAGCAAGAGCCTAAAGCCCTGATAATTCCAGGAAACTGTACAGCAACATTTACAGCTCAGCAGTAGCAAGGTCACTGGATAATCTCCCTCTGGCTATTCACACACCTACAGTGCAGTAGCTGGAAAACTAGCTAACTTTTTATTTGCTTCGCTAGCATCTCTTTTCACAGTAATTAGCACATGTGGTTTGAAGTTTCTTCCCATATTTTGGAGTCCAATATAGTTGCTGATTAGATATCAGCAAAGAAAGAATTTTAAAAAGCAACGAACTCCCAAGACAAAAATAAGTTGGTCAATATACGTTTATGTAAATAGGGCATTACTAAAAAGATTAACATTAAAAATAAGTGTGAAAATTACTGGGCCATAATTTTTATTCTATCACATTTTTTACAACGCTGTCATATAATGAAATGGTCTTAAACAATCAGTGGTAGAAGGAACCTTCTGTGTTAAAGATTTTCTATTTCAGCTTTTTCACTTCATAATACATGAGAAAATGAAGGTCAGAGGGGGTGAAATGACTTGCACTAAGGCACAGAAAAGATAACAAAGTAACTCTTTGCTTACTCTCTTTGTAGTAAGCCAGGTTGCCTAGATTACATACAGAAAGCCAAGCAAACGCTGGGCATCAGTCATTCATTCAAAACCAAGACAAGGATGCCCTGTCTCACCACTCCTATTCAACACAGTATTGAAAGTTCTCGCCAGGGCAATCAGGCAAGAGAAAGAAATAAAGGGTATTCAAACAGGAAGAGAGGAAGTCAAATTTTAGAAAACGCCATCGTCTCAGCCAAAATCTCCTTAAGCTGATAAAGAACTTCAGCAGTCTCAGGATACAAAATCAGTGTACAAAAATCACAAGCATTCCTATACACCAATAATAGACAAACAGCCAAATAATGAGTGAACTCCCATTCAAAACTGCTACAGAGAGAATAAAATATCTAGGAATACAACTTACAAGGGATGCAAAGGACCTCTTCAAGGAGAACTACAAACCACTGCTCAAGGAAATCAGAGAGGACACAAACAAATGGAAAAAAATTCCATGCTCATGGGTAGGAAGAATCAATATCGTAAAAATGTTCATACTGCCCAAAGTAGTTTATAGATTCAGTGCTTCAATGCTATCCGCATCAAGTTACCATTGACTTTCTTCATAGAATTAGAAAAAAAACTAGTTTAAATTTCATATGGAACCAAAAATGAGCCTATACAGCCAAGATAATCCTAAGCAAAAAGAATAAAGCTGGAAGCATCATGCTACCTGACTTCAACCTATACTACAAAGCTACAGTAACCAAAACAGCATGGTACTGGTACCAAAACACATATATAGACCAATGAAACAGAACAGAGGCCTCAGAAATAACACCACACATCTATAACCATCTAATCTTTGACAAATCTAACAAAAACAAGCAATGGGGAAAGGATTCCCTATTTAATAAACAGTGTTGGGAAAACTGGCTAGCCATATGCAGAAAACTAAAACTGGACCCCTTCCTCACACCTTATTAAAAAATTAACTCAAGATAGATTAAAGACTTAAACGTAAGACCTAAAATCATAAAAACTCTAGAAGAAAACCTAGGCAATACCATTCAGGACATAGGCATGGGCAAACACTTCATGACTAAAACACCAAAAGCAATGGCAACAAAAGCCAAAATTGACAAATGGGATCTAATTAAACTAAGGAGCTTTTGCACAGCAAAAGAAAGTATCATCAGAGTGAACAGGCAACCTACAAAATGGGAGAAAATTTTTGCAATCTATCCATCTGACAAAGGGCTAATATCCAGAATCTACAAGGAACTTAAACAAATTTACAAGAAAAGAACAACCCCAGGGCTAATATCCAGAATCTACAAGGAACTTAAACAAATTTACAAGAAAAAAACAAACAACCCCATCAAAAAAAAAAAAAAGTGGGCAAAGGATATGAACAGGCACTTCTCAAAAGAAGACATTTATGTAGCCAACAAACATACAAAAAAAAGCTCATCATCACTGGTCATTAGAGAAATGCAAATCAAAACCACAATGAGATACAATCTCATGCCAGCTAGAATGGTAATCATTAAAAAGTCAGGAAACAACAGATGCTGGAGAGGATGTAGAGAAACAGGAACACGTTTCTCCACTGTTGGTGGGAGTGTAAATTAGTTCACCTATTGTGGAAGACAATGTGGCAATTCCTCAAGGATCTAGAACTAGAAATACCATTTGACCCAGCAATCCCATTACTGGCTATATACCCAAAGGATTATAAATCATTCTACTATAAAGACACATGCAAATGTATGTTTACTGCAGCACTATTCACAATAGCAAAGACTTGGAACCAACCCAAATGTCCATCAGTGATAGGCTGGATAAAGAAAATGTGGCACATGCACACCATGGAATACTATGCTGCCATAAAAAAAGATGAGTTCATGTCTTTTGCAGGAACATGGATGAAGCGGGAAACCATCATTCTCAGCAAACTAACACAGGAACAGAAAACCAAACACCGCATGTTCTCACTCATAAGTGGGAGTTGAACAATGAGAACACATGGACACAGGGAGAGGAATATTACACACCAGGGCCTGTCAGGGGGTAGGGGGCTAGGTGAGGGATAGCATTAGGAGAAATACCTAATGTAGATGATGGGTTGATGGGTGCAGCAAACCACCATGGCATGTGTATACCTATGTACAAACCTGCACATTCTGCACATGTATCCCAGAACTTAAAGTATAATAAAAAAAAAATGTAACCAAGTGATATAACCAAGTATAATTTTAAAAAATGAAACACACACACACACACACACAAAATTTAAGATATTGGAAGGATGGAGGGCCTCTACCTCCTATATTTGAACAATTACCACATTCAAATGGACAATATTATATATAAAACTTGGTTAATTTATACCTAAGAATTATGCACTATTTTTTTTCCCCGAGATGGAGTTTCATTCTTGTCGCCTAGGGTGGAGTGCAATGGTGCATTCTTGGCTCACTGCAACCTCCACCTCCCAGGTTCAAGCGTTTCTCCTGCTTCAGCCTCCCAAGTAGCTGGGATTACAGGTCCCCGCCACCATGCCTAGCTAATTTTTCTATTTTTAGTAGAGACGGGGTTTCACCATGTTGGCCAGGCTGGTCTCGAACTCCTGACTTCAGGCATGCACTATTTTTAATACCACATCTCAAGAAAAGAGCCATTTTTGGCCTGGAATGATAAGAGAATTTAGACATGAATGAAAACTATGCAATATTAATGACATAAAATGATCACAAACTTTTTTCATTAAAGATAAAACACTAAGAGGAGAGGCCCTTGGATATAAACACAGGAAAGTTTGGATCTACATTTCAGAAATCCTTCGTTCAGTGACATAAGTTTATTAAATCTCAGTGTAGCTCAGTGAGACACCAAATTTTTTTTATTGTAAAATACACGGAAAAAAAAATACATGGAAAAAACAGAGTAACAATCACTATTGCTGAAGTTTTAAGGGCTACATAAAAGATAATAGTCACAATATACCATTTGAAGTCTCTGTTGAAAAGAGAATACTAACCTGCTTAGAAAAGGTCTCAAACACTGACAGCAGCACTAACTATAAGCCAAGCACCATCGCCCATTTTAATCTTCTATGAACACTATATAGCAGGTCCTGTTATTATCCTCATTTTATAGATTAGAAAGCCAAAGCCTAGAGTGGTTAAATAACTTTTCCAAAGATAATAATAAAAAGTTCTTACTCAGAATAAGAATTCTTATAATCAAATCTATAATGTAATTTAAGTCAAATCGTTTTCTTCCTTCCCTACACTGATAGGGGAGCAACAAAATTATTCATAGAACTAATGAGTTGGGCCAGGGGCGTTGGCTCACGCGTGTGATCTCAACACTTTGGGAGGCCAAGGCAGATGGATCACTTGAGGTTAGGAGTTCGAGCCCAGTCTGGGCAACATGGTGAAACCCTGTCTCTACTAAAAATACAAAAATCAGTAGAGTGTACTGTTGCTCACCTGTACTCCCAGCTACTCAGAAAGCTAAGGCAGGAGAATCATTTGAACTCAGGAGACAGAGGTTGCAGTGAACCCAGATGGCACAACCAGCCTGGGAGACAGAGCGAGACCCTGTCTCAAAAAGGAAGGAGAGGGAAGGAAAAAAGGAGGGGAGAGGAGGAGGGGAGGGCAGAGGAGGGGAAGAGAAGGGGCAGGAAGGGGAGGGGAGGGGAGGAGAAGGGGCACGAAGGGGAGGGGAGGGGAGGGGAGAAGAGGGGGAGAGGAGAAGAGGGAAAAGGGAGGGGAGGAGAAGGGGAGGGTAAGAAAAGGGGAAGGGGGGAGGAAACGGGGAGGGGGAGGGGAGGAAAAAAGAAGGGGAGAGGAGGAGAAGGGGAGGGGAGGGGAAAGGAGGGGAGAGGAGAGGGGAGGCGGGGAGGGGAGGGGATAAGAAAGAATTAATGGGTAGGGCCAGGCACGGAGGCTTATGCCTGTAATCCTTTTACTTTGGGAGGCCTGGTCAGGAAGACTGCTTGAAGCCAGGAGTTTGAGACCAGCCTGGGCAACAAAACATGACTGTGTCTCTACAAAACATTTTTTTAAGTTAAAAAATGTAAAACAAAAAAGAAAGACAAAAAAGGTACTAATGTGTTAATATCTGCAATTGCTTCACTGCTTAAGAATCATACATAGATTCAAACAAAGTATCCATAAATTATCTTGAGGGTGTAAAGGTACAAAAAACAAACAGCTAATTATTAGATATCTTAAAACTTTAGAAATTCACAATTTTTAAAACAATAACTTACCTTGGAACTAAAAGGCACTAATGAAATGCCTCATTCAGCCATATCTTTAAAAAGATTATCTTCAAAAACCAAATTATGTATTTGTGTCTTTTCAAACAGTTCAAAATGTACATGGTTTGACTTTCTCTTGATGACTCAAGGCTACGAGACTCTGCTTTGTAATTACTTCTATCTGTATTTTGTACGTTTTTCCCCTGATATTTTAAAGTATTTTTAACTTGGAGACAAGGTCATATTTCTGGAACATTTTTTAATCAACAGGCCCTCTTATTCTGTTACTACTCCCTTCATTCACAGAAAACCTATCACTAGAGAGTTATTCATTTCTTGATAGCCAGACATTTTTAATGACTTCCTTTAAAAAAAAAAAATCACCTCCTTCTTTGTAAGCCCAATTCCTTAAAAGGATCATGTACCTTATTTCTGTTAACTTAAATGCAAAGGAAAAGCCAACATTGCTTTGGGTGAAATAATGCAACAGATAAACCATATAACCAAGGATTTCTGTGATTCTAGTAAACAGTACCTTAGATGTCTAGATTCCAGCTAGCAACATCTGGTGAGATAGGAATTGACTTACAAGATGTAGCTTCATCTAATAAAGTATTTATACTTTGTTCTGGCACCACTTACAATGGATTAGCAGTAACACATTCTGGAACAGAGGAATCTATTTTTGTGTGCTTCTTTAATTAAAAAAAATGATTGGCAAAGAGAGACTTTAAGGCAGCCAACCCTTTTTTACTATCACAAACAAAACAAACAGTCTGTTTTTACTAATTACTGCAGGATATATACCTTTATGACATTAGGAATATAGAAACATCTTACCCGCTGTGATTGAGTAAAAAGGCTAAAACCCATTTCATACTTTTCCTCTTTCCCAGTCCCCTCAGGGTTATTTACAGTCTATATCTGGGGGTAAATTTTTATCATATATTCAATGTTCTCATATCCCTACAGATATATTTATTCATCAAAATAAAGTATACAAAACATTTTTAAATCCATAGAAAAATATAATAAAAAGTAAACTATAAAGACTCCAAGGCTTATGTGGCTAAAATATTAGACACAGATTAAAGCATTCACCTATCATTATCCTTTTGATTTATTTTCTAACTTTGACCATACTTTCTACTGCTCTGCTCCTCATTCTCTCTCACCCTCTTCTTTAAGAAAAGAGCAAAAACAGTTTATATGTATACAGACTTTATATATATGTATATGTACATATATTAAACAGTTTATATACATATATATATGCATGTATATGCTTTCAAGGGAGATGCTATATAAAAATTATACCGTTCATAGCTAGAATAAACCTTTTGCTAGAAATTAATTAGAAACTGAGTATCCAAAGCAGTACCTAAAACTAAACAATCAGAAAGGGCAATGTGAAATACAATTACCTTATTTTCTCTGAATATATTTAATAGCCATTAAAATCAATTCCTTACAATATTTATTTTATTCTTATTAAAAAGTTGAGCCCTATAATACATTTCAAGAACTCACGAATTTATTTTCATAAATACTATTGTCACATCACCAAAAACTGAAATATATACATAGCTTTAAAATATTTTGTGATATGATTGCCAATTGGCAGCAGTAAAAACTTCCTAAGAATTCCATCAGAAAGTATGGAGCTGGCAGGAGGGTAAGTACCAGGCCTTCAAAATATAGATATTTACAAAAGCAAGGTGTGATGGCCAGATTTTAAAATCCACCGTAACATCTAATTGATGCACTAGAATTCTTCTACCTTCATAAACTTAGTGCCACAAGAAGCTCCTGCATTTGGGAGCAAGCACCTTCTAAAAAAGGAACGAACAAACTACAGCAATCAAACTAGCGGTACTGTGCTAAGCCATATTATCTATTTTTGTCAACATTTTACCTACTCTTTCAGTTAGGGTTGCTTTCAGCTACTGTGGCAGAAATATGTCTAAAATTAACCTAGATAAATAAGGTTTTATGTCTCTCATGAAATGAAATTCATAAGTAAAGTAAGCAGTCCGGAGTTGGTGCTAGTTACTCAACAGAAACAAGAAGACCTAAGAGCCTTCTTCTGTCTTTCTTAGAAAAAGTCTCTTGACTTAAATTTGCTTATCAGCTACCATCCCTCAGTCAACACTATTTTTAGATCAATAAATGTAGAAACTAAATTTTAGGTGGGTCTTCCACGTGACTGCTAACGTCATCCCAAAATGACCAAAAGTAGAAAAAGAGACTAAACCAGAGAGCACATGCATTGATGAATAAGGAGGAATGAACAGAAGTTCCAAAGATTTCGACAATGAGCAGGGATAAAATGCAATACAACCAAACTTCACAAGCCTTGAAAACACAAAGACTTTCACATGAGGGTAAAGGAATAATAAAGCCCACATTAAGAGCCACTTCTCGCCGGGCGCGATGGCTCACGCCTGTAATCCCAGCACTTTGGGAGGCCGAGGCAGGTGGATCATGAGGTCAGGAGATCAAGACCATCCTGGCTAACAAGGTGAACCCCGTCTCTACTAAAAATACAAAAAATTAGCCGGGCGCGGTGGCGGGCGCCTGTAGTCCCAGCTACTCGGGAGGCTGAGGCAGAACAATGGCGTGAACCCGGGAAGCGGAGCTTGCAGTGAGCCAAGATTGCGCCACTGCAGTCCGCAGTCCGGCCTGGGCGACAGAGCGAGACTCCGTCTCAAAAAAAAAAAAAAAAAAAGAGCCACTTCTCAATGCTGAATTACATGGGATATGGGAGAATGAGCAATCTTCTGTTGAACAGGAAGTTTGCTTACCAGAATGAGCTTTCAAAGGCCAAATTTAAAAATTCTTACAAGATGGAAAAGTGTATTATAATAGGAGAGGGAAGTGAAATTCCAATAAAGAATGGATCTACCACACATAATACAATATCAATATGACACACTACTTGGAGGGAACAGATGACCCAGAAAAGCAGCTTGAGGGGCTATGGCTTACCAGAAAACTATGTCTAGACTAGTCTCATCTCCAGAGGAATGTCAGTTTCTGATAAAAGGACAACTTCTGCCTAAAATATACTCTCGTGAATCAGTATGTACTTTATGGTGGTAAGAATTCACTGAAAAAAAAATCATAAATAATACCAGAATATAAAAACAAAAGATGTCAAGAACATCTGTATAAAACACAGAGGCTAAATAGTGACTCCATGAGAATACAAAGGCTTCCTATGATCAATTCAGGTATGTGTGACTGAATATGTATGTCTCCAAGTGAGTGTGGTAACATCTGACTGAGCAGACTGACAATGAAAAGTACTTAAAAGTATATTTTTAGGTTTATCAAGAGGTCTCATTATACTTAGGTCAGTATTAGTTAATAACCAAGATAAATCATCAAGGCTATGGGTAGAAGTTCATAATTATGAGAGTTCAATTAAGTATGTACTTGTTGAATTGTTTTAAAATTTCAAGAGTCAGTGTGCATCCTTACATGTAATGCCTTCCTAAGGATGGTGGGTGATAGCCATCAAAGCAAAAATTCTTATTCTATTTACTCTGAACAGAATTTACATAAATGAGAAAAATAATAAAACTGTAATCTTTTCTACTTTACTTTGAAGATATGTAGTAGAACTACTATAAAAGAAAAAAGTTAATAAAATTTAAGAGGATTAAGAACTATTTCAAAAATAACAAATAAAAAGCACAAAATTGTTTTGAAAAGACAACGATGGTATGTATAAAAAAATACATAGAAAAATATTAAAGAAGGATAATAAAAGAATATATATCAGAGATTGAAGATTCTAATATAAAAGAAAAAAGTTAATAAAATTTAAGAGAATTAAGAACAATTTCAAAAATAAATAAAAAGCACAAAATGTTTTGAAAAGACAATGACTGTGTATAAAAAAAAAGAAAAATATTAAAGAAGGATCATAAAAGAATATATATCAGAGATTGAAGGGTAACAAGAAAGCGAGACTTTTTTAAAGTTAAAAAAATTTAAGTTATGCAAGTCACTAGCTAGCTATGTGAGTCATTAATTACCTCAGGCTTCAGAGACATTATTATATATAAAATGATAATTTGGAGAAGATGATCCCAATGGATTCAATATCCTCTAATATTTTTATAAATTTATAAACCAGATAAGCAAAACTTATGCACACAAGTAATGGTCATTATATTTACAAACAGTACTTATCCAATAATATAAGACACATATTTGGAACACCATAACCCAAACACTGGATGTAGTAATATTAAAGCAAGAATCGTGTATGTATTTCAACTATCTTCAAAATAAAGAAAATACATAAACTTTTTTGGCATTGACAATTCTTATTTGAAGACCAGAATTAGGTTTTCCTAATATAGTGAATCTGAAAAAAGAAAGCCTAAAAAAGAGAGGCATTAAATAAGGGACTCAAGAGAATGCAGGCAATTAAGTCGCAAAATGACATATAAATATAATTCTTCACCAACACAACAGATTTAAAATAGGGCTATATTCCTATTAGTAACAGAAATTATATTTTATACATTAAAAGAGTAAGGAATTAGTGTATTCCAAGTTCCTAAATTAAACCATAAACATTGATTACAAAATTAGCATTGAACTATATAGCTACATATCATAATGAAAAGCTTTACCAGTTATGGTCACCAACTATTAAATACCTATGTTCAAGAAAAACATTATTAGTTTCCTTTGGTGACAGACATTGAAAATAACAAGGCTAAATTGAGCTCACCAGCCAGAATAGAAACTGAAATTTGAAAAATAGAAATCTTAATATCATCTTTGTTGAATATTTGAGGAGAAACATGGCTCAGTTTAAAATCTGAGCCATGTTTCTCCTCAAATATTCAATAAAACTGCACTCTCTTTTACCTTCCATGTATTGAAATACTGGAAAGGACATATTTTTCTCAAAACTGAGAGGTGAATTAAGGAAACAAATGAAATAAAATACAAATGTGAAAAGAAGCCACTTTCATTTTTTTCAGTGGCTTTGGTTTAGCATCTAAGTGATAGCATTGTTCAAAAGAATTTTGTTTACCACCAGATTCAGAAGTCAAGAGAAATTATCCTTCCCATTTGAAGCAGCCGCATAAAATAGATGACCTGCTGGACTCTTAGATAATGTCTGGGGCCCTGGGTAAAGTAGGCCTGTGGCAGAACTTCTCCTTACCTGATCTCTGTGGACTTCTGATGTGGAAGGCTCAGAGCTGAACATTAAAGCACATGTTTTACAGGATTGGGAGCCGAAACCAGACTCCAGCTGATCCTTACAATGAGGACATTTCATTTTCTGCTCCATCTCAAAATTTAGCTAAGAGATAGTGACAGTGGGCCCAAGGAAGTCAATTTACCAACAAACCTTCCTGTGTGAGGCAAAAGCAAGATAGAAGAGAGGTGCAAATCTGGATCTCCTATTTCATACTATCTCCCCCTGTTGGCATGGAAGTATACTAGTCAGTTCTGGATTAAAGGAACAGATACAGCCAACAAATGTTGCGTTTTCGAGCAACAAACGGAAAATCCTTGTACATTAAGTAAAGAAACACTATCTAAGAAATAAATCTCTGTTCTACTTGATTTTTTTTTTTTTTTTTTTTTTGAGACAGAGTTTCGCTCTTGTCGCCCAGGCTGGAGTGCAATGGCATGCTCTTGACTCTCTGCAACCTCTGCTTCCCGGGTTCAAGTGATTATCCTGCCTGAGTCTCCTGAGTAGCTGGGATTACAGGTGCCCACCACCGTGCCTGGCTAAATTTTTTTGTATTTTTAGTAGAGACGGGGTTTTACCATGTTGGCCAGGCTAGTCTCGAACTCCTGACCTCAGGTGATCCGCCCGCCTCGGCCTCCCAAAGTGCTGGGATTACAGGTGTGAGCTTACTGCACCTGGCCTTTGATTTTTTAAATTAGATAAATAAAATACCTGATTTTATTCCTAAGAAACATATAGAAGTCTTCTTATTTTAGGTTTTGGATCTCAAGGTCTCTGAGAATATACCTCACTTTCAAGCACTTCTTGAAACAAAACCTTGCAGATAGCTGTGCTACAAAGCTTTTCTTAATCCAATGTGTTTTAATTTTTTTTATTTTTTATTGAGGTATAACTCTCCAATACTTTATAATTCTTCATTCAAAGGAAAAGAATATAAATTATGTGTAAATGATCTCTAAGGTCTCAACAGAAATAAAAATTTTAAATTTCCTTGCCACAAAAACCTACTACACTTAACACAAAATGAAGTGTCAGGGCTAGAGAGGAAGTAGAGTGGGATACTCAAAACCATAAATGTTTAATCGGAAAGTAAGGCTCCACTTTTGATAACCTATTCTATAATGATTTGTTAATTGCTTTATAAATCCCTGCTTTATTCATTCATTTTTTTAAACAAAGATACAACTACTAGATGCCAGGTATCATATTCAGGCATTGTACAGAACATTCTTTCTAAGGGACCAAAGTTCAAGAAACTTTATGAAACCAAATAAGAAAAATAGAAAAGAGCAAGAGAGTCAAAAGTCTTACTCCGTAAAACTTCCCTGGGTCACAATTCTGACATAAACATCTCCTTCTTTAAAGTCTTTGGCTCCCTTTATAATTAGATGCAATCAAAAA
Organism: Homo sapiens; assembly: GCF_000001405.40. NCBI lineage: Eukaryota > Metazoa > Chordata > Mammalia > Primates > Hominidae > Homo > Homo sapiens. The sequence goes on along the minus strand of NC_000005.10, from coordinate 108,923,352 downwards.
AAAATTTTTTAATTTTCTTGCCTTTTTGCATAATTTCCTCTAGTTTTCTTTTTTGGATACTCACTTTTTAAATTTTATTGTCCGCAACAACCATTCTTTATATCACGTCCATCAAAATAAATCTCATTTTGTACACTGAGAATAATTTTATAAAATTTTATATTTAATAAACAATAAAAGACAATATAGGGTAAAGAATTTCTTAGGAGAAAGCATTTTCTCGGCATTTTAGATGGATTATCTCATTTAACTCCCCACATTAACCCTATGAAATAGTTTCTGTTACAAACCCTAGTTTACAGATGAGAAAACTGAGGTACAGAAAGTTTAACTTGCCCAAAGTTATATAGCCAAAAAATAGCTGATGCCACATATTCAAATCCAAGGACTGTGGATCCAGAAACTATGCAACTTTGTTCCAGAAACTATGCAATTAACTACTATACTGTTTCTTAGATTAAGTCACTGCTCTATTTCACCAAAGGTATTCTTTTGCCAAAAAAGAGTCTCCAAAGATACATTAACAATTTATTAATTTTGTTTTTCTACTTAAGTGTTGATATATTCAGTAAACAATGCGTATAGTTTCCCAGTATTCACTCCCTGCACTCATTTTTCCCTAACTGTAACCATAATTTGAATTTTATACCAGAATAAGTTTATATTTTCATTAAAATAAAATTATATTTTCCTATATTTTATTCCCTGATTGGTTTCACTTATTTATTTTTTAAATATTCATTAAGCATTAATTAGGTGCCAGGCACTTACCCAGGCTCATAAAATCATAAAACATTAAATCTGGAAGCAATTTTCAACATTAAATGTGTTGAAATCAGTGCTTACAGTCAAAGAATATAAAATCTTAAGATGCTGGATTTGTTACTTGTTCTAGCACAGAGAGAAGCTAATTTTGGTGTTTCTTTGTTCATCATCTGTACTCACTGGTTTTGCTCTTCACAACTAGAAGACTTTAATGTCATCTAGATACCTCACTAGGAAGACCCTCCTCTTTCAGATCATTTATAAAGACAATAATCACAACAGATGTTGTACTAATTCCCTAGGGCTGCTGTAACACAGTACCAGAAATCGGGTGACTTCTAACAACAGAAACTTACTCTCCTACAGTTCTGGAGGCCAGAAGTCTGAAATCAAGGTGTTAGCCAAGGCCATGCTCCCTCCAAAATTTCTAGGGGATAACCCTTCCTTACTTCCTATAGCTTCTGGTAGCCCCAGGCATTCCTTTGCTTGTGATAGCATAATTCCAATATCTGCCTCTGTCTTCTCATGGCTGTCTTCCCTGTATGTCAGCCTCTCTTCTCTTCTTATAAGGGCACCAGTCACACTGGATTAGAGCTCACCCTAACAACTTCATATTAACTAGTTTACAACTACAGACCCTATTTCCAAAGTAGGTCACATACACAGGTATTTAGTATTACAACTTAAAGATATCTTTTGGGGGCACATAATTCAAACCATAACAGATGTGATCATCAATTGCTGGGGCACTCTCTTTATACTTTTCTAGTCAAATAAACATCTATTCCTACTGTTTGATTTCTGATTTTAAACCTGTTGTTGGGCCATTCTAAAAGCCTATTTCCCATTTCAGCAGTGACTTAACATTTAGTAACCTTTGGTAAAAAACATTGTCAACGTCTTTTCTAAAATCGAAGTAGCTTATTTTATATACCCTATTACCTTCATAAAAAAAGACTCTAAGAATAATCGGTCAGGTATGATTTCTTCCACTGATATGTTCCCTATCCCCTAGGAGATTATTTTACATAAATATTTGATAACTCTACTTGTTGATACGAGTTCTAAGAGCTTGTTCAATATTCAAAAAATATTTACTTAGCCTCCCCTACATAGCAAGCACTGTACAAGGCAGAGGAAATAGTAGTAAACATAATGAAAGTGCCTACCTTCTGAGAGCTACAGTTTAAGGAACAAGCAGGGATTATAGAAGACAGATAATAAAAACATACACACATACATACATACATACCATAATCAAATGAGTTCATACATACCAAAGTACATATATTAGTATTTAATGCATGGAAATATTTAGAACTAACCTACCACAGAGTAAATTCTAACCAACAAAATAGTAATAATTGTAGTAATAGTAGAAATAGTAAAGATACTAAAGTAAGTGCTTTGCAAGAAAAGGAAAAAGGCAATAGGATAAATAATGATGACAGGGGTCTGATAGGGCCTATTACAGCTGAAGTAGTCAGAGATCTCTCAAAGAAGTATCATTTGACCTGAAATTATCAAAAGAAGGCAGTTGGTCATACGAAGATCTGGGGAATAAGTATTAAAAAGAGATGAAACATAAAGTCCCAGAGATAAGAAGACACTTAGTGTACCCAAAGGACAGTAAGACCTCAATGGCTGGAGTGTGATGGATGAGGACTGGTAGGAAATAATGAGGGGAAGTAGGCAGGGATGAGATTATGTAATTGAGTTCATGGTGAGGATTAGAATTTCATTCTGGTTATATAGGAATACCAATGGAGGGTCATAAGCAGGAGAAATATAAAATCTCATTTATACATTACGATAACTCAAGTTATTATACAGAAAATAAAATTTACAAAGGGCAAGGGAACAAACAGGTAAACTGGCTGAAGTAGTTCAGACCTTAATTTATGGTGAATTTACCAGGATGATCACAATGGAAATGTTATCAAGAGGTCAGATTTGGAATATATTTTGGAGGTAATATCAAGACAACTTGCTAACAGGATTTGGAAGAAAGTGAACACAAGGGTGATTCCCAAGATTTGGACTTAAGCAATTGACTGAAAATACCCTAAGAAGACTGTGGGAATGGCAGATTTGAGGGTTTTGACAAGTTAAATTTAAGATTATCAGTGTAATTACTTTATTGTATGAAGTGACCAAATTTGAAGACAATCTTTATAAATTAAGTTCACATTAAAAATGTCTTATTCATGCAAATGAACTGTCATACCTTATGTATGACACCAGATATAGCAAACAATTTAAAATAATTATAACAAAAGCATTCCTTCTACATATTCAAAAACCAAGTTGCAGGGTGATAACTTTTGGTAGGTAGGATTAAAAAAGAAGGCCTTCACATGTAAATTTTAAAACTATATGCATTTAATTTTATTTTTAAAACATAAGGTGATAAAATACCTCAATTTCAGAAATTTGTTTTTTCTGATACTGAGCTCCACCTGCTGGTAATTTCTTACCTTCAGGTATTACATAACTAAAAAGAACTAAAATATCTATAATAAGGGGACTGTAGTCTCTGAAATGAAAATACTAAAAACTCTACTTCTTTATAGCTACCATTTATTGAACTTAGCTATATACCAGGCACTGTACTAAACATTTTTGCAAGCATTATTTCACGTAACTTTTAAGACAATTCTATGAGGTTTCTATGACTTGCCACTTTTAACCAGTAAGGAATCTTATCTCAGAGAGGTTATGTGATTTTGCCTATGGTGATACATTAATAGCACAGAGGATTTGAACTAAAGTCCCTCTGATTACACATCTGTTGGCTTAGTAATCATGCAACACTGATTGTATAAAATAGAAACTTCATTGTCAAGAAGTTTCTATTTGAGTTTGAATCTGCCACACCGATTCTGATAAAGTTCCTTAATCTCTTCAAGCTTCAATGTTCTTGTCTGAAAGGCTGGAATAACTCCCTTGCAGGACTGTTTGCCAGTAGTAAATAAAGTATGTTATATATCTAGCATACTGTTTAGCACACAGTAAAGAGTAATTAAGGATTAGTTCTTTTAGTAAGTTTTGTTAAATGACACATTAAAATGACTTAAGATATGAGGCCTTATTGACAAATGTCAATGAATCAAATTAAGTATCTCTCAAAGAATCTTTTGGAAAATTTAAAATTTTCCATTTTAATAGCTACTAAATAAACTTGTTTAGAAAAACCCTCCCTCCAAAATAGGACATGTTTCATACAATAGCTAAATTTTCTGTACTCTTTACTCATCTCTAAAACCTATAGAAATACTGATCATCTATAAAGCCATAAAAAAAAATCTACAAAGTGAAATCAAGAATAACCAACTAGAATTACAAGATCCAACTCTGATTTAAAAAAAAAAAACAAGCAGAAATAGTAAGATATCAATGAGTAAAATGTAACATGAAAATTATAAGCAAAAGTTGAAGTTTAACATTGAAAATTACCCTTCAATCATCAGTAATATTTTTTAATCCTAAAAAGGGAAGTGATTTCAATAACTTGTGGGAGTTATAATTTCACAAATATAAACATTATTTTTAACACAGAAATTATCTAATTGTTTTAAAATACAGCTTCAAAATTTTTGAAACTCAGCTAATGAATTAACTAACAAATCCTACTAATTTTACAGATCTAGCCTCAAACAAGTATAGAATATCTGCAATCGAGAACTCTCCTCAGAATACAATTGAGAACTCCACACAGAATACAATTATCCATTGCATATCCAAACTTTAGCTGAGAGAAATGACACTAAGAAAGGATTGTTAAAAACACACCCAGTCCAAGGCGGGGCGCGGTGGCTCACGCCTGTAATCCCAGCACTTTGGGAGGCTGAGGCGGGCGGATCATGAGGTCAGGAGATCGAGACCATCCTGGCTAACACAGTGAAACCCCGTCTCTAGTAAAAATACAAAAAAATTAGCCAGGCGTGGTGGCGGGGGCCTGTAGTCCCAGCTACTCGGGAGGCTGAGGCAGGAGAATGGTGTGAACCCGGGAGGCGGAGCTTGCAGTGAGCAGAGATCGCACCACTGCACTCCAGCCTGGGCAACAGAGCGAGACTCCATCTCAAAAAAAAAAAAAAGAAAAAACACACACCCAGTCCACTACCCATTATTCTAAGTCTAGATTATATTATTGGATAAAATCAATTTAGAGACAGCTGCATTCTTAGGCCCACATAGAATGATTTTGATGTCATGGCCTCCACTTTCACTGATGGATTCTAGATTCTGCAAGAGATGGTCTTATGAGTCTCCTTCCTACATTAGCTTTAGTGATATTGTCAAGGGCACCGCCACTAAGAACGTCAGAATGAAAGCCTCCAGTAAGAAATTCTATCAGGGCTCAATACAATGAAAAGCTTTGCTTCCCCTGCAATGTGACATGCTTTCTTTTATTTAAGAGTGTTATATGACTTTATCTCCCTTTTCATTTTGGCCTTTGGAAAGCTTAGAGACAAAATAGTAGCTCTAGGGTAGTAACTATACATACATCCTATGAACTATAGTCTTGATATCCTGTTACAACTTACATTGTTCCTGGTTCTCATTTTATTTTATATTTATATTTTCCTGAATGTTGTTGTCATTAGCTACCTCAAATACTCTGGGGAGTAAGGCAGGAAATAAATAAATGAGTAAATGAACACAAGCATGTAAATCTTTTATAAAAAGCCCTGCAATGTGAGGTTTACTTATTCAGGGAGCACAGTCTTATCTCTGAACAATTTAAAACAAAAGCCTGATTACCAAGAGTTGGTGACATCATGCTCCTTGGCATCTTCAGACTCCCAGACATGGTCATTCTACTGAGCTACCTTTCTTAGAGGTGATAAAGCTGAAGCTTAAAGTATCACCTTTTTCATACTTCCTGTTAATCATTTGTTTGACTCTAAGGAAAATTAGAAGCAAACAAGAAGCTTCCCTTGTGTTCTTTGGTTTTTAGTTATAATCCCAAGTCACATCATACACCTACTCAGCAAGAAATCAAAGCTGTCTCTGACTTTGGGAAATGGGAAAGAGGCAACATCCCCCAAAATCACCCAAGAAAACAATAAGGAAGAGCAAACAAAAATTAAATTATTTCTACTTAAACTGACTTATCTGAAAAAAAGTTAAATTAGACTTTCATATTCCTGTGGAGAACAAAAGACCAGTGTTTCATTGGTCTAGTGTGACTAGTCCATGCTTGTTTTACTCCCCATATACCAAATTATCTTAAGTGTTTACAATAATTACTCCATCACCTTAAAAGCATGGCCTATCTTAAAAATAGAAACAATTATGATTTAATTCCTCAGCACAATTTTAAAATTATAATGAGCAACCACTAAGTTAAAATGAGGCCTCTAAATGCTAGAAAGCACATAGGTATTAATTTCTGTTGAGTTAAATAGCTAGCAAAAAAGTCAAAATCAACGTATCTACATATCATCTTTGTATCATAGTTCTCTGGAATAGAAGAAAGCCTCGTGGATTGTCATTATTATTTTATAAAGACTGGCAATGAAATTTTCTGATTAAATACATGTTTAATACACAAAGACAATTATATGAATGAAAGATGATACAGAATACTGTATCACACTAGAAAATGCTAACTGATCAAAATATAGAATCCTATGTTCAATTAATTTGTATTAGATTTAATACAGGAATTAAATCCTGGAAAACATGATCAAATATAATATGAAATTGTTGGCAGTTATCCAAAAAGTCTATATGATTCTATTATACACAAAGGGAGAACAAAAACGAATCTCAGTAAGAGTTTTCATGATTATTTGAATTTCATCTTATGCCATCCAACCCATGAGCGAACATGATAGAGTTTTCTGGCAATTTTCTTTTATAATAACACACCTACACTGGGGCCTAATAAATAGCAAAGACTATGAATATTTTATAAGTAATAAAATTGGAAAAGGTTCACTATATCAAAAAATACAGCTATCTGTAATAATTATATAATACTGTGAACATAAGCTATATCTAAATACCCACAACATAATTAATAGATAATTGAAGTAACTATATATATAACGCAAGTCTATACTCATCCAGGCCCCTCCCGATCCAATGCTACAATTAATTACATTTCAGATTTCTGTTTGGCAGGGGGTCGGGGGGGTACCCAAATTATTAAGGTAAACATCTAAATTTCCCATTTCATTTTATCTTATTAAATACCTCCCAATAAAAACTTTGGGAATCAACAATTTGGAATGAATCAAGTAAGTACAGATAAACAAATTTTCTAAAAATTTTATACTAGGCTGTTGATGTAAAACTTGAATCAAGTATAATAATGAATTTTCCTAAGTATCTGAACCACAAATTGGATCCATATGTTAGATTTTATTAAACTATAAAGGAAGAGTTTTGACACCTTTAGGTAAGATTGGTTCAATAAATATTTTTATTTTAAATTCCAAATATTTTTAATTTGAGAATGCAAATATAATCAATGCCTTTTGTCTATGAATTCTTACCTTGTACAGCTCCAGTTTAAAAAAGAAACAGAGGAAAAGTTCACAAGTCAGTAGTCAATAAAAATGGAAACCTGGAGAGTAAAGCAGGAGAGAAGAGGGAAGTGGGTCATATCATAGTACCCTGTGTCAAGCAGGGGAGTATGGGAAAAGTGAAAGAAGAGGGAATGAAAAGCTTTTCTTACCTCAGACCCTCTTCTTCATCTCCTTTTTCCTACTCCCTTTTTGTTTGTCCTTTTATCTGCCTCTCATTCCTGTATTTTCTTTCTCTTCTGTTCTTTACCTTTCATCTTCCTCACCTTTCTTTACTGATCTTCTTCCTTCCCTCACCTGTTTCTTTTGCTACCTTTCTCCTGACACATATCTCCTTTTCCCTCTTTCTTAATTCTTCCTTAATGGCCTTAGCAACAAAAAACTGGGGGAGAGAAAAGAGTTCCCATCAAAATTAAATTTTAATTAGGACAGAGTAATTTATCCCCTTGCCAAAAAAAAAAAAGTCCTTTGTGGAATAAGAACAACGCTCAGGCTCCATAAAAACTGTGCCTTATTATAAAGAAACAAACAAGAGCCATTTAACTACCAGAGTTTCAGAAAGTAGTTATTTGTTTTTTGTTTTTGTTTTTGTTTTGAGATGGAGTGTCAATTTTGATTGATGGGGCAATCTCGGCTCATGCATCCTCTGCCTCCTGGGTTCAAGCGTTTCTCCTGCCTCAGCCTCTCGAGTAGCTGGGATTACAGGTGACACCACCACGCCTGGCTAATTTTTGTATTTTTAGTAGAGACGGGATTTCACCACATTGGCCAGGCTGGTCTCAAACTCCTGACCTCAGGTGATCCAACTGCCTCAGCCTCCCAAAGTGCTGGGATTACAGGCATGAGCCACTGGGCCGGGCCAAAAGTAGCTATTTGTAATGACTAAGGTTCTGGAGACTCTTAGGTTAACCAAATCTCTCAAAAGACAACTAAAGCTTTTTCTTACCAACTGGATTCCATCTCTACCTAACCTTCTTAGTCCTTTGTTCACTGACTTCTGAAACCAGGTGTCTTTCATAATCCATATCCTACTTTACTTCAACTCCTTCCAAGTTACATGCCTAACCCATATCCTCCTTGTCCTTGCTAAACCCTGTAGCCACCACCATTCCTGGCTATACCACAGAAAAGAAATGAGTTCTTCTTTCCAAAATTTCAAGAGCTTTTCCCAAGCCTTCTCCTCTATTCTAAATTATTTTTTCCTATATACTTATCTTAACCTAAATTACTTTTGAAAAGGGAAGAGCTAGGCTTACACAAATTTGTGAAATGGGCTAAATTAATCATCAGCAACTTCTCACCTTCCCTTCCAGCACTATGCCCCTCACTAGCCTGCCTATCAGAATAAAGACTACTTCAAAGTATCATTTCACATGCTTGTGCTATCTACTTCCATGCTGATTTCACCGCTCCTGCATTCCTCAAGCCCCTGAATTGAGGTACATATTAATGTCTGATGATGCTTAACATGCTACTTCTCCAAGAGGCATTCAGAATTTAATAAGGATCTTTAAGACAAAAATCCTTTGCCCAAAAGTCATTATTTTTCAACCACAAGAGATCTGAAGAATACAACACTTTGTTATCAAAAATAATAGCGAACTATAGTTTCTCAGTAAAAGAGAAAGAATAAGAGGTACATAGTCCATAGAAGAAACGTAATAATAATGGTTAGAGAGTCGGTAACAGAGAAAAGTAAGTATGGCATATATGGTTTAAAAAGCTCCTCCTTCTCCCAGATAATTCTGAAAAGATAGCCATAGAAAGCTCAACACACAATCTAACACATACACACACACACACACACACACACACACACAGAGAGACAAGTTAAGCATGCTTTCATTTTGGTCCTATGCTAAGTTAGAACAATTTTTTTCTAAATTTTTTCATTGAAGTACAAGATGAATATAGCAAAGTTTACAAATCAAAAGTGTGCAGGTTATAAATTTTTGCAGATTGAAAAAGTCCCTGTAACCAGAACACAGATCAAGAAACAAGTCACTGTCTATACTCTAGAAGTGTCTTGTGTGGCCCCTTTCAGTCACTACACCCACCCTACCAAGGGGAACCACTATTCTAAAATCGAATGTCATTGATTACTTTTACATTTTTTTGAGCTCCATATAAATGGAATCACAGAATATGTAATGTCTGGTGTCTTTTCACTTAGCATTATTTTTGTAAGATTCAGCCATACTGCTGCATGTAGTTGTAATCTGTTCATTTTCATTACTGCGGAGTATCCCATTGGGTAAGTATCCCACAATTTATGTATTCTACTGTTGACTGACATCTGGACAGTTTCTAGCTGGGGTCATTATAAATTGTGCTCCTGTGAATATTCTTGTACATGCCTTTTTGAGAGCATATGTATGTATTTCTATTGAGTATATATCCAGGAGCAGATATACTGAGTCACAGGGTGTACACATTTCCTTCTTTAGTAGACACTGCCCAATAGGCTTTCCAAAGTAGTGGTTGTGGCTAAGATATTTTAGAGGACATAGTTCATTCTGGCCCTGCTTAAATAACACAGTATGCCAAATTTCTACTTTGCCTATCTATAAATGATAGCTATGTTAGTCAAGACTATCACTCTGCATCCTTTCCTTTCTGTCAGAATTATGAGTTTATTACTTTATCACACAGATACTAGACTAATTTACCCCTATACATTAGCTTAGTGTTTTGTTTTTGTTTGGTATTTATATACAAGGAATATGTAGAGTGAGTCACACATTTAACTAAAAACTGCAACCTAAATGCTGATGGTTTCATTTTGCAATATCAAGCATGTTCAAAGAAAAATTTATCGAGTACCTACTCTTTGCCAGGTACTGTGTTAAGCAGTAAAAGTTTATATAGAAAATAATTATAAGAGATGCAGTAGGTATAATAATAGCATAAATGAAACCATTTGTGGATATTTACATTCTCAATACTCTCATCTACCTCTCAGACACTCCCTTTCATTTACTGAGGTATTTGTATTTGGCAAGTAGCTTAAGATTATTTTCTTTCCAGCTCAACCCCCAACAATATCATAAATGATTCTTATACCCAAGGCCTCAAAGTTCCTTGGATGGCTTCATCTCCAAGAGTACTCATCTAGGCTCAACTTCAGTAACTCATTCTACCATTTTTAACTTGGAACTTACCAGTCAGAATTTCTTCACTTGTAAGATTTCAGACCACACTTGATAGCTACTTACTCCAACTACACTTGTTCATAACTGAATTGATACAACCAGCCCAGGTAATACCCCCCAAATTTTTTTCCCAGGCCTTCAATCCTTATATCTTCCTTTCTTGTTTTGCTCTTCTTTCATAGCGTCATGTCTGTGATTACAACCAGTATCCATTCAGATTAGTAAGAGTTCATAGGGCCACGCACAGTGGCTCACACCTGTAGTCAATCTCAGCACTTTAGAAGGTCGAGGCAGGTGGATCACCTGAGGTCAGAGTTCGAAACCAGCCTGGCCAACATGGCAAAACCCAGTCTCTACTAAAAATACAAAAATTAGCCAGGCTTGGTGGTGGGCACCTGTAATCCCAGCTACTTGAGAGGCTGAGGCATGAGAATCTCTTGAACCTGGGAGACAGAGGTTGCAGTGAGCCAAGATTGTGCCACTGCACTCCAGCCTGGGTGACAAGAGCGAGACTCTGTCTCAAGAAAAAACAAAAAAAGTCCATGGTAGGAGCCAGACAAGGTAAACCCTTTAGGCAGGTCACTTAAAGAAATTTGTTGTTTAATCCTAAGCAAAAACAACAAATCTGGAGGCATCATATTACCTGACTTTAAATTATACTACAAGGCTAAAGTAACTTGTATTAGTCCGTTTTCACACTGCTAATAAAGACATACCTGAGACTGGGTAATTTATGAAGAAAAAGAGGCTTTACTCACAGTTCCAAGTGGCTGAGGAGGCCTCACAATTATGGTGGAAGGCAGAAGGCGAAAGGCACTTCTTACATGGCAGCAGACGAGAGAATGAGAGCCAAGCAAAAGAGGAAACCCCTTATAAAACCATCAGATCCTGTAACAATTATTCACTATCACAAGAACAGTATGGGGAAAACTGCCCTCGTGATTCAATTATCTCCAACCAGGTACCTGCCACAACACGTGGGAATTGTGGGAGCTACAATTCAAGATGAGATTTGGGTGGGGACACAGCCAAACCATATCATAACTAAAACTGCATGATACTTGTACAAATATAGACACAGATCAATGAAACAGAACAGAGAACCCAGAAATAAAGCCATCTACCTACAACCAACTGACCTTTGACAAAGTTCACAAAAATAAACAGTGAGGAAAGGCTACCCTATCCAATAAATGGTGCTCTGAAAATTGGCTAGCAATATGCAAAAGAATAAAACTAGACCCCTATCTCTCACCATATACAAAAATTAACTCGAGATGGATTAAAGACTCAAACGTAAACCTGAAACTATAAAAATTCCAGAAGAAAACCTAAGAAACACTCTTCCAGACATTGGCCTACACGAAGAATTTATGACAACAACCCCAAAAGCAAATGCAACAAAAACAAACATAGATAAATGAGACTTAAACTAGAAAGTTTTTATACATCAAAATAAATAATCAACAGAACAAACACACAATCTACAGTATAGGAGAAAATATTTGCAAGTTATGACTCTAACAAAGTACTAATATCCAGAATCTATAGGGAACTGAAACAACACAAGAAAAAAATGAACAACTCCATTAAAAAGTGGGCAAACGACATGAACACACATTTCTCAAAAGAAGACATACACATGACCAAGAAATATATGAAAAAAACCTCAACATCACTAATCATCAGAGAAATGCAAATTAAAACCACAATGAGATATCATTTTACGTCAGTCAGAATGGCTATGTTGAAAAAGTCAAAAAACAACAGATGCTAGTGCGGATGTGGTGAAAAGAAAATGTTATGCACTGTTGGTGGGAATGTAAATTAGTTAAACTTCTATGGAAAACAACATGGAGAATTTTTCAAAGAACTAAAAATAGAACTACTACTATTTGACCCAGTAATCCCACTACTGGGTATTATATCAAAAAGACACCTACACTCATATGTTTATTGTAATACTCTTCACAATAGCAAAGTCATGGAATCAACCTAAATATCCACCAATAGTTGATTGGATAAAGGAAATGTGGTATATATACCCTATGGAATACTATGCAGCCATAAAAAATAATGAAATAATGTCCTTTGCAGCAACTAGATGGAGCTGGAGGCCATGATCCATCATCCTAAGTGAAAAAACTCAGAAATAGAAAATCAAATACCGTATGTTCTCACTTATAAGCAGGGGCTAAATAATGGGTATATTGGACATAAAGCTGAAAATAATAGACACTGGGGACTCCTAAAGGGCGAAGTGGGAGAAGCGGAGGGGGTTGAAAATTACCTATGTGGTACAATGTTCACTATTTGGGTGATGGGTATACTAGAAGCCCAAACCCCACCATTATACAATATATTCATGTAACAAACCTGCACATATACCTACTGAATCTAAAATGGAATTAAATTTTTAAACAAACCTTTTTTTTAAAAAAAGTAAAAGCCTTCCAAAGAATAGGGAAATTATGCTAAGTGTGGTCAAGAAATTTGGTGTTTCACCTGAAAGTCATAAAAAGCCACTGTACCCATTCTTGTTGAGACCACTATAACCAGACTGGCTGATGTGAAATTTTAAAAGATAACTTTGGCTAGAGTAGAGAGCAGGTTCGAAGGAAGCCACTGTAGATGATGATAGACAAGTTTAACAGTTCATTAATTTCTAATTGCATTTCTTAATCATTATTTTCATTACTAGTGGCTTGAAAAGTTTTTAAATATCTTACAAAAATTTATATTTAATCTATTATGAATATCTTATTCATAATCTTTGTCCATTTTTAATTGGTGCATTACTTTTTTCTAAACCAATTTGGATGATCTACTTATATATTTACAAACATTAATACTTTGTCACAAGAGCAGTACATATTATTCCCAGTTTTTATCCTGCATTTTAATTCAGTTTATTTTCCAACATAGGAAAATGTTCAGTAATATTTTCTTCTAGTAGTTTTGTGGCTTTTTAAAAATATTTGAGTATTTAATACATCTGAAATTTCCTCTTTATGTAGCATAAGTTTAAAATCAAAATTGATATTTATCCAACATAAAAAGTTTTGTTTTCCTCAAAATATTATTTTATTTATATATAAGTATATATATGATACATATATAAATACATATACATTGGAGTTTACTTCACCGAAGTATTCTTCTCTATTAGTCTGTCCGAAGATTGTTTCTTAACTATGTGGTACCCTTCCAGCTGTTCAAATGTTTTTTTTCTAACATCACCAGTATGACAGCATTAATTCAAGTTTCAAAAAGAAGACAGATTTAAACATCTGAATTTGTTTATATTCTTCTTACAGTCCTCTGACAACATATACCATATAGTTAAATATAGAATAGAAGTGTAACTGATACTTTGGAATGAGTTGTTTCTCCTTCCAAGGAACAAATGATTTTTTTACACAACCTTGAGAATTTTCAAGAAAACTTAGCCTCTACTCTCAAAGATCTCTAGATACACTGTGATAGAGAAAACCTTTCCTTAGTTTCAGATCACATCCTTCATCTGTGATTTGCGAAGTAAACCGATGATTTAAAAAATTAACAGTGGATCCTTAAGCTTTTAAATATGTATAATGAGAAACAACTTTCTGCACAATACTATAATAAAAAAAAGGATTTAAAATTCATCTGGTACCAAATGAAGCAATAAATCATAACATTCACACATTCTCTTTATAAAAACTTTCAGTTAAAGAAATTAATGTCATAAAATAATTATCAAAATTCAAGACACAAGATTTTGGAGACAAAAACATATAAATCCTTCACTACATACATTGTCAAAAATCTACCCACAATTAAGCCGCCAGATAGAACATCTTCAAACATAATTGTTTTGTTTGTTTTCTAACACAGGGTCTGGTTCTGTTGCCCAGGCTGGAGAACAGTGATGTCATCTTGGCTCACTGCAACCTCTGCCTCCTGGGCTCAAGCCATCGTCCCACCTTAGTCTCCTGAGGACTACAGGCACGTGCCACCACACCCAGCTAATTTTTTACTTTTTGTAGATACAGGGTTTCTCCATGTGGCCCAGGCTAGTCTAGAACTTCTGAGCTCAAGCGATCCACCCACCTTGGCCTCTGAAAGTACAGAGATTACAGGCATGAGCCAGCCACCACACCTGGCCTTCAAATATAAATTTTTTTTTTTTTTTTTTTTGAGACGGAGTCTCGCTCACTCGCCCAGGCTAGAGTGCAATGGCGCCATCTCGGCTCACTGCAAGCTCCGCCTCCCGGGTTCACAGCATTCTCCTGCCTCAGCAAATACAAATTTTAAAACAAATACTACACAGTTTAATAGAGAGATTAGCAACCAAATTGTATAGGCTGGAATGACTTTTTTCAGGTTGAAGAAAATGAAATTATTTTTAAAAATCGTAACAAAATGACTTGAACATGTTATGTGATGGTTTATATGCCAAGTAATTACTTTTGATTGATTTATTAATATTTTTTAATGAGCACCCAAAAACTATTGTATAGGCAGAAAAAAGAACTATTAATCTATGAATAGAAATTTCTTTAGCAATTTCATTCTTAACAGCTATTATTTCGTTATAGCAATGTAAGGGAAGGAAAAAGGTTTTTAAAAAATTTTTTAACAGTTATTACAGCAAATTAGCCATGCATTTAAATATCTTTTATTCCTTTTTCCGGTAATTAAATTTCTGTTCAGTTTCTCAAACAATATATCCGCATTAAGCTACATCATCATAGTCCAAAGTTTTTGTTTTTTAATTAACACAAAACGAACGCCAGGTAATACTACCTCTATCAGGTAAACAGTTAATCTAAAAATGAAAATCAAAGGAAGAAAATCTAATTGGTATATAAATAATAATGAAATTGTTCTCAATAAACTAAAATGTTTTACTACATTTAACCTTTTCTGCATGAACTTGCTTAAATCACTTAACTTTCTCTCTGCTTTCATTTTTTGTCTTTATCTGGAGTGGTATTCCAGTACTCTCAATTTTCTCGAAAATGTACATTTGGGTGTCAATCAATTGATGTCTAAATCATGACAAAAGAAAAAAAAATCCACTGATACCTGAATACAAAGAAAAGAAAACAAACTGAAGACTGAGTGTTAAATACTGAAGCCTAAGGAATATTAATGATTAATTTCATCAGAGTACTTAGTTCTATCTGATGTTTTCTTGTTAATCATTTGTTTATTGCAATTTTCTGCTTGCTGAATGTAGATCTAAGAGTGCAGAGACTCTGTCTACTATTCCAGGTTATCTACATCCATGGCACTAGATACTTACAGAAGTTGGTTAACTGTGGCCGGGCCCAGGGGCTCACTCCTATAATCCCAGCACTTTGGGAGGCCGAGGCGGGTGGATCCCTAAGTCAGGAGCTCAAGACCAGCCTGAACAAGATGATAAAACCCCGTCTCTATCAAAAATACAAAAAAATTAGCTGGGTGTGGTGGCAGCACCTGTAATCCCAGCTACTCGGAAGGCTGAGCCCAAGAATTGCTTGAACCCAGGAGGCAGAGGTTTCAGTGAACCGAGATCCCGCCACTGCACTCCAGCCTGGGCAACAGAGTGAGACTCCATCTCAAAAAAAAAGAAAAGAAAAGAAAAGAAGTTGGCTAATTGTGTTTAATGAGAAGGCAGAGGAGGGAGGAAAAAGGTGGAAGAGACAAAAAAAAGAGGGAAAAAGGAAATGGAGAAAAAGGGGAAATAAAAGGAACAAAAACCAAATGTGCATTAAGCACCTTCCTAATTGTATCTGGAGCTGTATATTGTTTTTACATTCATTCATAAATACATCCAACAATCCTATGAAGTGTATATTATTAATTAGATTTTACCGATGAAGACATTGTAGTTTAGCGGGTGAAAATCCACCTAAAGGCAATTAAACCCAGGATAATGTGACTCCAATTCCCACAATTTTTTCCACCCTACACCACTGTTAGAAAGATAGACTTTGAACAATACTGAGAGAAAGGGACCAAAGGAAATGGAAAAAACAGGTTTCAACTGGTAGAATGAATAAAATCATGGTATTGCATAAGATGGCAGAAAGGAGAATTGTTAAAAGGAAGTATTATGAGTATCAAAAGCTGTTATTTTCCATAACAGCAAATTTAAACATATATATATATTATTTTAGTAATGAATAATCTTAAGATATAATTGTACTTAGGGATTTTTTTCTTTCATTCAAATTAAACTATAAAAGTAACATTAAAATAATGGGATTATGTACTATTTTTTATAAAAATTGCATCATGTAAAAATTTAAACACAAACTTTAATAATGTATGAGAAAGGAAAAAAGCAGACTTCTAATAAACTAGTAACACTAAAAATATTTGAAAAATTAGCTGATCAACTCTAATAACGTCATAAAAGGGCTATTATAAAGGTAATGCATAAGTCGTAAGTTAATTACATGACAGTTTTTTAAAAAATGTTTTCCAATCTATTGTGGCTAAAAGACAACAATATTTCAAGTACAGAGAAGAGTAGATCACAAACATGCTTACCTATCATCTAAAAATTAATAGTTTGCATTTTTAAAAGGAAGGATTTATGCTTAATGAAAAAATAACATCAAGAACAGGGAAAAAAAGACCAGCAAAAAAGTAAGCACACACATTAACTTATTATTGTTTCTGTGATGTTTCATCAAATAATCAAATATTAGACAATACTAGTTTACTAAGTGACAAGCACTGTTCTGCATGCTTTAAATGTATAAACTTAACTATTCCTGCAACAAACCCAAGAGTGGGTAACACAGTAATCTCATTTTACACACTGGGAAATGGGGACAGAAAAAGTCCCATAACTTGGCTTATACCCTGCACTTACTTAAGTGGTGAGGCAAAGACTCAAACCAAAGAAGTCTGGCTCTATAGCTGGGGCTCTCCCTAGAGCAAAGATTCTATCACAACCACTCATTAGTCATTATCTCTGTAACTACTCCAGATTTTTTCACCCTGTTAGAATACCATTGCCACAATTACTTATTAATAAAGTGGGAAATACTTGATGAAAACAATTTTAACATTTAAACCATTTTAAAAATTGAGTTACATCAATTTTAACCTGCTTTTGAAATTCTGTACCTATTCATTTCATCTATAAACATTTACTGAGTATATATATAGGTACTGCTAAACACAAGTTTAAAAAATGTTTTAATGTATAAATACATACAAGTCAAAATTCAGCCAACTTTCAATTAACTGTTAAATCAATTACTTGTGCTTCATGTCTCCGACCAAATCCTGTAACAGCTTCTAAATCTCTTTGACCCACCTTTCCCAAAAAACCCCATTACATAATAATCCTGTGGTAAGTAATCATTAAGCGCTGTTGAATCCCAAGTGACTGAATAAATAAATCTGAGGAATTCTTTTTATTTGCATTAATCATAGTAGATATTTAATTCTTACCTAACTTTATCTTCTCTCTCCTTTTATTATATCCTTCTAGGGCTAGTTCACCCCTGGCCAGTTAGTTTATGCTAAGAAATTAAGAAATTCATAATTTAAAAGATAAATTTGAAATATATACATATAGTTTTTCCAAAACCAAATGGAAAATCTTATTTTTATTTACTTCATTTTGGCCTATATATCAACTTCATATGAATATGAACACAGATAACAGTTAAAATATAAGCTAAAAAACACTTTGAAAGTTTAAGCATTGTTTTTTCTCTCCTGATACTGAAGATACTGTGGCCTAATGAAAAAGAGTGTTTCTGGCATCATCCATTGGCTAACGTGATATGAAATGACTTCATTTATATGAGCCAAAGAAAAATGGCTATTGATGAATGGAATCTTGACCTGAATCATTTGGAAAATGATTATAATCATAATCACCTCCTAGCTTACCTGTTTTATAAGTTAGAAATTTATATATCAAATTTATATACAGTATAACATACAACTGTAAATATACTTTAGGTGTCAGAGCCATAGAAGAATTTAATAATAGTAATGGTTTGTTAAGACACTGAAGTTCAGCATGGTAAAATTCATGCCACAGAAAAGCTGGAAGCAAAAATTTACTCATCTACAAAACTGAAATATTAATGTTATAATTAATATCTATAACTGACATTGTTCTCAGGTTCAGAAACTTTTCAACTTTTTTGACAGTAAAATCTAAACCTATATAAGCTGAACAAAACCTAAAATATATCTTACACATAAACTACACACAATAGTATTACAAGGATTTTCACTGAAGATGTATTTACAACAAAAAATTGAAAACCATGTAAAAATGTCACTCCCTCACTCAGAACGCTCAATGATTTCTAATTTCTCTATGAATTAGCACTGAAGTCCTACGTGGGTCTGTATGACTTTATGATCTAACTGCCCATTACTTCTCAGACCCTATCTCCTATTACTTTCTCTCTCTTCAGCTACACTGGCTTCCTTTTGGTTCCTCCTTTCATCTGCTCTTCCCACTGCCTGAAATATTCTCACCCCAAGCAGTCTCATTTGCTCTCTCAGTTCTTCCAGATATCTGCACAAATGGCACTTTATCAAGGAATCCTTCCTTAACCACACTATGTATAAAAATAACTCCCAGCACTCATTGCCTTATTGCCCCCAATCTTGCTTTTTTTCAAAAGAATTTACCACCATGTGACATACTATGTATTTATTTGTTTGTTTATTCACTGTCCCCTCCAATTAGAGTAAAAGGCCCATAACAGTGAAAACAAATTCTATTTTGTTCACTACTGTATCCCCAAAACCTAAAATGATACCTGACACCTGACATTCAATAAATATTTGCTTTTTGAATGGATAAATGAAAAAAAACTGAAGTAACTGTACATTCACTATTATAAAATGATACCTAAGATGCATTAAGTAAAAAAGCAAGATACAGAACACTACTGTTGTATGCTGTAACACTTGTGTAAAAAGAACAGCAGGCATATCATTTACACTTGTGTTTTTATTTGCATACAACACTTCTGGAAGATTACCTCTAAGGAAGAGAACTGGGACACTAAGAAAGGACACTTAGACCCATGTAAATGTGCATGTACTACCTATCCAAAGAAATTAAGGTTTTTCCTTTATGAATAAGAAATATGTAAAATAATCTTACAGAAAATCTACAATTCATACTTAAGAACTCAGTGAATATCAATTAATTTACCTGTAAACTAAGGTACATTTTTTAGAAAAACTGAAATAGAAGCTGATATTTTTCTACAGGATTTTATAATATACAAAATATGTTTATACACATTATCTCATTTCAGTGTCACAGAAATCCTGTAAGGCAAAAGAGGTATATATTCATTTCCTCCCTCTACGGAAAAGAAAACTCAGAAAGGTTAAGGGATCTTAACCATGTCTGGCTAATCTTTGTATTTTTAGTAGAGACAGGGTTTTGCCATGTTGGTCAGGCTGGTCTCGAACTCCTGACCTCAAGTGATCCACGGGCCTCAGCCTCCCAAAGTGCTAGGATTACAGGCGCAAACCACCAGGCCTGGCCTGACAATTTTTAGCCAACAAATTAAATGTGTTGTTGGTTGAAAATGTAACAAAATAGGATTTTACTGATACTGCTGCTCAATTAAGCAAAACTAAGTAACATGTGCAGAGAAGAAAAATCTATGTTGTGTGTTGGTCTAGCAAAAGGGCTTAAACAAAATGTGCAATTTCAGAAACAAAGGCAATTATCATACAGACTAGCTAATTACATTTATAAAGTAGAAATTCATTTTATGGTGCCATAAATTCTAGACATATCTGACATATAAGGGAGACTCTTTCAACAAAAATTATTATATGTTTGGTCCAAAGCATATATTGTCATAAAGTTAAATAACCAGATTATTCTGAAGGGAAAACGAAGTCCAATTATTTAATTCAGCATATACTAATTGAATATTTATTATGTTCTTACAACTAGATAACTAAAAAAAGAATGAAGAACATGTCTCTTAATAAATAAATAAATAAATAAATAAATATAATAAGAAAGCAGCTGATGTTTACTTGGAGATTAGAAAATTTTGATATTCTCATCACTGTGAGTCAACAGAGTTCACCCTCCTAATTTGCTCCAGAAGGCAGATTCTTCTACCCCAAAGAGCTAGAATTGAACTATTATATAAAATAATCCTTAAATTCAACAACACATAAGCAATTCAAAATTCTTCAGAATTATTAGACATTTAATCTGTCATTATCCCAATTCAATAAGAAAGGATTTATCTTCTAACTAAGCATTTCCCAAAGTATGCTCCATTACACTATGGTCCTCCCAGGAGGCTCCTTGAAAGGGAATTGGGACAATATTTTCAGAAACACTGCATCCCATATACTATTTCCCCCTTGGACATTTAATATTAAAGGCTTAGAAAGTTCCTGCAGTCAATATTACTGTTTCTTTTGGCTTCACCCAACATGACTCAAATTCTGCAACTCACTTCTCCATGGTACACTTCTTAACATCCCACAAACTAATGGGAAATACACAGAGAAAATAAAGATCTAATCTAATGAATCAAATCAATACAACAAAACTCAGACTAGTACTACTGCCAGCCTAGCAAAATAAATATGACTAACATTGCTAGGAAAACCTTCCATAAATTATCATTGTACTTCTCCTTTTGTAATTATAATGGTCTCAAAGATATCATCTCTAAATGCTCTAAAGATGTGTATTCTTATAGCCCGTTTTTTTCCTCTTTAATAGAGTACTGCCAAAGTTCAAATGAATTTATTCCCCCTCCGGTAGTCTATAAGCTTGATGGTATAACAGAAAAGACTAATCTTTCCAATGTTATCCTAAGCCTTAGAAACACTCTGTTAAGTTCAGAGAAGTAGAGTGAACCTTTGCAAATAAGGTAAAACTGTGATTTATGGTTTTTAAAGGTTACTCTACTAATAGACCAAAATTATTTTTATTTTATTTTGAGACTGGCTCTCACTCTGTCACCCAGGCTGGAGTGCAGTGGCACAATCGTGGAACACTGCAGTCTCAAACTACACACCTTAAACAATCCTTTTACCTCAAACTCCTGAGTGGTTAGCATTACAGGCATGTGCCACCACACCCGACTAATTTTTATATATTTGTAGAGACAAGGTTTTGCCATGTTGCCCAGGCTGGTCTCAAACTCCTGAACTCAGGCAGTAAATCCACCTCAGCCTCCCAAAATGCTGACATTACAGGTGTGAGCCACTACATCCAGTCTACCAAAATTATTTTTTAAATAATATTAAGGTTTATAAAATGGCAGGGTTTTATTTCTGTGGTAGACACAAAGTGATTATTATTTATTATATTCCCTTACAGGTGTGCCATTGAAGATGCTTCACTTTTATTTCTGATTCTGCTTACTGTCACTGGCTAGAGGAAATTCCAAAATTTTAAGATTCTATTATCTAACCTATTATGCCATAATCACCTGATTTAACAACCTATCTCCTCAAAGCACTTTTCCTTATACTCCATTCCTCTCTTGATGGCCTCTGTCTTTATTACACAGCTTTAATTCTTTAATCATTATAATCACTTTCTTATATGCATCTTCACTCCTCTTCCCCTCTCTTACTTAATTCATCATACTTATCTAGCATAACCACAGCTTTCCTCATTAGCATAGTTGTGAAGGAAAAAAAAAAGAAAGAAATTCATTTTTCACAGTTCCAGGAAGTCCAAGATCAAGGTGCTAGCAGACCTGGCATCTGAAAAGAGCCCAATCTCCAATTCCAAGATGGACCACTGAAGACTGCATCCTCCAAAGGAAAAGAATCCTTTGGTTTCACATGGCGGGGGTGGGGAGGTGGGCAAAGAGGTAAAGGGGAGCCAAACTCCCTCTTTTATAAAGACATTAATTACATCCATAAGGATGAAGCCCTCCTGACCTAATCACCTCTCAAAGGTCCCACCTCTTAACACTCTTACAATGGCAATTAAATTTCCACATGAGTTTTGGAGAGAGCAAACGTTTAAACTGTAACAATGAGCTTTAACTCTCATTGACTCATAGAGCTAAAATAAACATCAAGACTAAGACAAAATAAACATCAAACACTAAGAACTTGACTATACAACCCCAACCCTGATTACACATTTGATCATTTGGAACCTTTATAAGAATACCCAATGCATGGCACATTTCAATGGTACAGTTCCTTAAAGCACTCTTCTACAGAAGCATTCACCACCGAAGAGTCGGTATTTTCAGTAACACTGCCATTAACTAAGATCATGGAGCATAATTCATTGTCTCTCCTGCTCTCAAATAATATTTACACAAATTTTCACAATTTT
Source organism: Homo sapiens (assembly GCF_000001405.40). Taxonomy (NCBI): domain Eukaryota; kingdom Metazoa; phylum Chordata; class Mammalia; order Primates; family Hominidae; genus Homo; species Homo sapiens. The sequence goes on along the minus strand of NC_000005.10, from coordinate 108,900,586 downwards.
CCATGATACAATAGTTTAATTTTGAGTTCTTCCAATTCTTCCAATATTCAAATAAGTCTCTTATTGAAATTGTATACCATTTATAGCAATGGAATTTATAAAGAGAAAATACCAATAGAACCACTTATGTGAATTCCAGGCTTTTCTTGTAACATTATTCATAAAGCAATGCTTAAACAGTCATTTGGGGACAAAATCATTTAAAGCTTTGATTGTTTTCGTTTCCAAGTAAACTGAAAAGTAATATTCTAATTATTAATTGAAAAACTGAATTACACAAAGATTTCACTGACACATGTAGATGTATTCTTAAGTTTTAGGAATTGGGCATTGTAAAAATTTCTAATTGTTCTGAAAAAATGCTGTAAAATCTCATTAACTGGCATTAATTTGTAAGAATGCCCTGTCTTATTTGTAAAATATTAATTTATTGCTTTAAACTACATATATTATAGTATTCTTTTACAAAAAAATCCTTAATGACTAAAAGCATTGCTTCAGCAAATAGGCAAGATCTAATTTATAATTAGTATTTCAACAATTTAAAATAAATTTGATAAAATGAAATATGCAGCACCATCTTGTAAAAATATATTAAGTATTATCACCATTGAATTAATGGACACGAGAGCAGAACTTGAAGGTGCCGGAAGGCAATTCATTCTCTTAAACTACACTATACACTACCTCAGAAACATTATCTATTCATTAGTTAAACAAAACTTTTCTTCAATGATTATGAAATATTAAACTCCAGATGATCAGAATTTTTTTTTTTTTTTTTGAGATGGAGTCTTGCCCTTTCACCAGGCTGGAGTGCAGTGGCACGATCTCAGCTCACTGCAACCTCCACCTCCCAGGTTCAAATGATTCTCCCACCTCAGCCTCCTGAGTAGCTGGGATTACAGGCACACACCACCACACCCAGCTAATTTTTTTTTTTTTGTATTTTAGTAGAGACAGGGTTTCACCATGTTGGCCAGGATGGTCTCGATCTCCTGACCTTGTGATCCACCCACCTCGGCCTCCCAAGGTGCTGGGATTACAGGCGTGAGCCACCGCGCCCAGCCAAGCCTTTAAATAACCAATTCCACAACGTCATGGTAACAGGGAAATATTATAAACCACACTCAGTGAACAAAAGATTTACTAGATAAGATATTCCAAAGCCAAACAAAAGGAAAACATTTCAAAAGTTCCTTTGAAAGAACACATATGCCAGATACTTATCAAGAATCATGAAGCAAGAAAGGGAATTTAATAGGGTCCTTGGTACATGTGCTGAGATCCTTATAGCTAGGACAGTGAAAGAGTGCAAGGATTCATAATTCACAATTCACAAAGTGATGTGTAGATTAATATGGCTCAATATTACTAACAACCACAATAGTTTAATTTTAATATTTAATAGTAATAGTAATAACCACAATTGTTTAAATACTTCATATTCATTACTACATTTACCGTATTCTCAGATACGGTCTTTTTTTTTTTTTTTTGCTATGGAGACATATGAACCCACTTAATCAAATCATACTATTTAGAACAACATAAAGTAAAAAGTACTAAAATATCAGCTATAGCATAACTATAATAGTTCTGTAAGTTACCCACAGGAAATGCCAAGGATGTAGCTCAGACTTTTTTAACCTTGGCACTTTTGACATTTTAGCCTGGATAATTTTGTGCTGGGAGTGTGAAGGGAGGGGCTGTTCTGTGCATTCTAAGAGGTTTACCAGCATCACCAATCTCTACCCACTAGATCTGGTTATGACAATCACAGTGTCTGGTGATACTACCAAATGTCCCAGGTATGTGTGTGGCAGGGGGTGAGAACCACCAACATACATAGATAGATAGATCAATAGGTAGATAATAGAAAAAGGAAAGATAAAGAAAGAAAGAGGAAGAGAGAGAAAAGAAAGAGGAAGAGAGAAAGGAAAGAAAAAGAAAAAGAAAGGAAGGAAGGAAGGAAGGAAAGGGGAGGGGAAGGGAGGGGAGGGGAGGGGAAGGGAGGGAAGGGAAGGGAAGGGAGGAAGGGGAGGGGAAGGGAGGGAAAGGAAGGAAGAAGGAGAAAGGAGAGAGAAAGAGGAAGGAAAGGAAAGGAGAGGACAGAAAGGAAGAGGAGAGAGGGGAGCAAAGAAGAGAAGAAAGGAGAGGAGTGGAAAGGAAAGGAGAGAAGAAGAAAGACTTTATACTAGGCATTCTTAAACAGTTAATAAAACTATGAAATAAAGTTGAATTTCAAGTTGGTGAATTTGAATGTATTTATTGTAGTCTAAGGGTCACATTTATGAGCAGAAAAAAAATTCTTAAACTAAATCAATATTTTGTATTTTAAAAGCAATAAATACACCAGCAATCTCAGATAAATAAGATTCTACTTAAGAAGAAAAAAATCAATAAATAGCTTTCTTCTTATTGCTTACTTCTCTCTTAAGAATAAGACCCTACCTTCCTGCTGTCTCCCAGGAATAAAAACAACTGCAGTCTTTCCTTTCAGTTTTGAAGGCAAGAGAAGAACTTTTTCCTCTGACTCTACAGGTGGTTCCTGAAAGTGCTCTCCAGGTGACCTGAGGTGACTGACAAGTCTATTTTGCATTTACAAACAAGTTTAATAGGACCTGCATATTAACAAGAGTAACAATTTGTTATAGCAAATTTAAATAATTTTTGTATGCACTTATTACCTAGACACTACTCTTCCAAGTTTCTCATTGGATTATTCTTTAGCTTACCATAGATGTAACTGATCGTGCATCTTCTTCATAATTTACTACTGGAGGTGGCTCTTTCCCATCATTTTCTTGCACTTTTTGCTCTAGTAATTCCTTCTGTGCTGAAAACTTTGCTTCAGTGCATCTCAGCTGCTGGACTGACTGTTTCAGTTCTTCAAGTGCCTGTTTTTGGCTTAGCAGAAGCACAATACTAAAAGAGAATAAATATAAATGATTTCAACTTCATTAAGAAGACATTAAGGAAACCTCATATATGTAAATTATGCTTTTCTTTGATTTCATTTTTATAAGAGCCCTTTAGAATCATAAAAAATATGAAACTAAGCAGATTTTAAGTTATCACAGTATTTATTACATGCTAGCATTAACAAAATATAATGAAGTGTTTGGAGTCAAATCCAAATTCAAGATGCTTTCAAATATATTATGATCTATGGCATTCATTTTATTTTAGCTAAACTATATACCTCACAGAGTAGACACTTAGGTCCAGAGGTATAGGGCCTAGAATGAATTAAAATAACAGAAGCAGGATCTTAAATTTACTTTAAGTATCAAAGGCAATATAGCTAGGGTCAGATCTGTGCCTAGGGTAAAATAAATAAAATCAAGGTGACAGTCTGGACACAAAGCTTGTGTATATGTTGTGAGGGATGTGTGTCTGGCGGCAAGTGAAACTACTATGACAAGGACTAAGGGCTAAGATGTAACTGGAGGAATGAGTAAAACAAAGGTCTCCAAATCTTTCCAACGTCTCCAATATAAATACAGTATACTTTCCCATCCCTCCTTTAAAGTACAGGGCCACAGGTTGTCTTACTGTGACTTTTTAACCCTTGGAGGCTGCCTTCAATGGGAATTTCAAACTAATTCACCCACATTGAAGCCACGTGTAAACAGGTAGTGGTGGTAGATACTTCTGGAAATAGCCCACACTATATATTACAATAATTTCCAAAAAGGACCGTGCCATGCACTGCTGAAAGTAAGTTATTAATATGTAAGAGACAATAGATTATAAATTAGACAAAATGTCAAAATTGGAAAATAAGGTCAGAAAATACTATCTTCTTAAATTTAAACTATAAGTCTCAACATAAACTGAATAAATATTCACAGACAAAAGTAACCCACACTAAGAGAGATTTATTTATATATATGATGCTGATGGATATTTTGAAAACTAAATTCAAACTTAATTGAGCACAGTGCAACCTCAGTGACTGCTATAAAGAAAGCTGTAATCTCCTTATTGTAACAAGTTTCAGGTGAGTGTCCTAACAAACAGTAGAGAAAAAAGTCTAAGAAAAGTAAAACTAATGAGTAAGAACATTTGTGAGAGACCTAGTAATATCCAGAAGACAGACCTCTCCAGTGGAATTCAATAAATGGTAATCAGCATTTACATCATTATCATTCAACAGTCTGTGATCTGTGTTCTAAATCCACAGACTTCTTCATAAGTTCATGCTGGTTTATTTATTAGTTAGTATCTTCTTTTTAATAATAAATTGACATTTCTGATTTCTCAGTAATCTCTTGAAAGAAAGTTGATTTTTTAAAAGAATCACTTTTGTGAACATAAATTTCTAAGGACCAGGTCCTGGAAAAGACTGCACCCATTATGTACTTAAAGCTTCCAGAGGGTTTCCTCTTTGCATCTCCTAGCTACCAAGAAAAAAAAAAGACTCCAACAATGACAACAATATAAGAAATAATTTAAAACATACAAGGTAAAGTGGAAAAATATATTTTCATGTACTTCCGGAATATCAGTCACAAAAAGGTGAATGATTTCAAAAATGTGGGCAAAATCAACAGGGAGGTATACTTCAAAATAATAATACTCTAAAGTAGTATTGTTACAGTAATTTTACACAAACGAATTTCATAAAGACTACCAGGAAAAATAAAAAAAATTTAAAAGAATAAAAATAAACTTTGCAAAATGAAATCAGAAATGACAAGGCACAAGGCAAGTAAATATTAACTGAACATCTGAATATAATTCAAAAACATTTATTTATGGAAGTAAATAATATACATTTTACTCTCTTAAACCTATGGTCAGCTGAATAATGTCCCCCAAAAGATAACCACATCCTTATGCCCAGAACCTGTAGTGTTTGTCAGCTTACGTGGCAAAGAAACTTTTCAGATATGATTAAATTGAGGATGTTGAGATGTCCGATTATCCTGTATTATTCAGGTGGGCCTAGTGTAATCATAAGAATACTTACAAGAAGGAGGCAAGATGAACAATGTCAGAAAAGGTGATGTGACAATGGAAATGGTGGAAGAAAAGGCAGTGTAACTTGGGACCAAGAGTGATGTAATGAGGACAGCCTCTAAAAACTGGAAAAGGCAAAGGAAGCAAATTCTCCCCTAGAGTGTCTAGAAGAAACTAGCCCTAGGAATACCATAGTTTTAGGCCAGTAAAACTGATTTCTGACTTGTGACCTCCAGAACTATAAGAGAATAAATCTGTGTTGTTTTAAGCTACTGTACTCGTGGCAATTTGCTACAGCAGCAAGATGAAAGTAATACAAACCCTGATAGACAACATATCCATTTTATGTTCATTTAAAAGGAAAAGATTAAACCATTATAAAAAGTTAAAATTTTGAAAAAACGATTTCAAGTCATATATATTCTCAAGTTTAGAGAAACAGCTTAATTTTAACAAGTGACTTCTCATGATGTTTCCAATCTCTATGCTTTACTGTTATTTCACCTTTATTTTACCCTGGATAATAAATGGGATCTTCCAAAATGATTCTAAAACATTTGTATAATTTTTAAAAATCACTAATAACTGATTCTCTAACTACAACAATCCATTTTCTCTAATCCTCACTGGGAACCTGAATAGCCCGATATGATTTGGCTGTGTCCTCACCCAAATCTCAAATTGTAGCCCCCCTAATTCCCACGTATCATGAGAGGGACCTGTTGGGAGGTAATTGAAACATGATGGGGGGTCTTTTCTGTGCTGTTCTCGCGGCAGTACGTGAGTCTCATGAGATCTGGTGGTTTCATAAGGGGGATCCCCTGCACATGCTCTCTCTCTTGCCTGCTGCCATGTAAGACGTGTCTTGCTTCCCCTGCACCTTCCACCATGATTGTGAGGCCTCCCCAGGCATGTGGAACTGTGAGTCAATTAAACCTCTTTCCTTTCCCCTGTCCTCTTTCTGGTCCAGCCCGCAGGACCAGCACCACGCTCTTCTATTATTTTTTCAAGTCCCTTGAGGGCAAGCATGTGGTCGTGGAACTCAAGAATGACCTGAGCATCTGTGGAACCCTCCATTCTGTGGATCGGTATCTCAACATCAAACTAACTAATATCAGTGTCATAGACTCTGAGAAATATCCTCACATGTTATCAGTGAAGAACTGCTTCATTCAGGGCTCAGTGGTCCGATACATGCAGTTGCCAGCAGACGAGGTCCACAAACAGTTGCTACAGGATGCAGCAAGGAAGGAACCCTTGCAGCAGAAACAGTGATGGCTCCTCCTCCTCTTCCCCTTCCTCTTTCATTGGTGACCCCCAAGTCCCAACCTGAACCCCTAATGCCCAATACTTGAAGAGGTTTTGTTTGTTTGTTTACTAATGATCGTTTTGTGGGGTTTTTTAAGGGATGAGTGGATGAGAGGAATAATAGAGAACAGCTATCCTCTGTTGAGAAGGTGAGAAAAAGTAGGATGGAAAACTTCAAAGCCTTCCAGTCCCCAGCACCTGCCTTTGTTGCTACTTCCCTGGAGATGGTGGAAGAGTTTCCTAGGTCTTTCAGGGGCAGCATGTGATTCATTTGGAGATGGAAGGAATCTGTCCCACATCAGGAATAAAATTTATGATGCAGGGGAAAAAAAAAAAAAAAAACCTCTTTCCTTTATAATTTACCCAGTCTTGGGTATGTCTTTATTAGCAGTGTGAAAACAGACTAATACAGCCCCCTACCAGTTTTATGTGTTATTTAAATATCTGTTCATGGAGTCCTCCACTGTAAGTAGGAACACTTTCTTTAAAAGACGACTATTCATTGATTTTTATGCTCTTAGAACCATCCAAGATCAAGCTCTTATGACCATAAGGCCTTTTTTTCCTTTCCTTTTGCTTGCCCCACACAGTTGCCTTTTGTCTTGTTGCTGTTCGTCATTCAGCCGCTCACACAAATATGGGGGGAGACTTATGGGGACACTGTCACCTAGAATGCTGAACATGCTGTCTGTGGGATGTTTTTGTTCTTATTGTTGTTGTTTCCATGTGGTATCCTCATTACTATGCCTGCTTCTGAGAGACATTTTGGCCAGATTATAAAACTACATCCCAAGACCTCCTACTTCTAGGAAGATAGAATGTACTGACTCTGCAGAAAAGAGTTAACGTAGATTTAAATGTAAAATCTCAAACTATTATACTTGTAGAAAAAAAAAATAAAGAAGAAAACCTTTGAGATCTAGGATTAATAGAATGTACTGCCTCAGCAGAAAAGAGTTAACATAGATGTAAATGTAAAATCTCAAACTATTAAACTTTTAGAAAAAAAAAACAAGGGTAGGAAGAACCAATATCGTGAAAATGGCCATACTGCCCAAAGTAATTTATAGAGTCAATGCCATCCCCATCAAGCTACCAATGACTTTCTTCACAGAATTGGAAAAAACTACTTTAAAGTTCATATGGAACCAAAAAAGAGCCTGCATCGCCAAGTCAATCCTAAGCCAAAAGAACAAAGCTGGAGGCATCACGATACCTGACTTCAAACTATACTACAAGGCTACAGTAACCAAAACAGCATGGTACTGGTACCAAAACAGAGATGTAGACCAATGGAACAGAACAGAGCCCTCAGAAATAATGCCGCATATCTACAACTATCTGATCTTTGACAAACCTGACAAAAACAAGCACTGGGGAAAGGATTCCCTATTTAATAAATGGTGCTGGGAAAACTGGCTAGCCATATGTAGAAAGCTGAAACTGGATCCCTTCCTTACACCTTATACAGAAATTAATTCAAGATGGATTAAAGACTTAAACGTTAGACCTAACACCATAAAAACCCTAGAAGAAAACCTAGGCATTACCATTCAGGACATAGGCATGGGCAAGGACTTCATGTCTAGAACACCAAAAGAAATGGCAACAAAAGCCAAAATTGACAAACGGGATCTAATTAAACTAAAGAGCTTCTGCACAGCAAAAGAAACTACCATCAGAGTGAACAGGCAACCTACAGAAAGAGAGAAAATTTTTGCAAGCTGCTCATCTGACAAAGGGCTAATATCCAGAATCTACAATGAACTCAAACAAATTTACAAGAAAAAAACAAACAACCCCATCAAAAAGGGGGTGAAGGATATGAACAGACACTTCTCAAAAGAAGACATTTATGCAGCCAAAAGACACATGAAAAAAATGCTCATCATCACTGGCCATCAGAGAAATGCAAATCAAAACCACAATGAGATACCATCTCACACCAGTTAGAATGGCAATCATTAAAAAGTCAGGAAACAACAGGTGCTGGAGAGGATGTGGAGAAACAGGAACACTTTTACACTGTTGGTGGGACGGTAAACTAGTTCAACTGTTGTGGAAGTCAGTGTGGCGATTCCTCAGGGACCTAGAACTAGAAATACCATTTGACCCAGCCATCCCATTACTGGGTATATACCCAAAGGACTATAAATCATGCTGCTATAAAGACACATGCACACGTATGTTTATTGTGGCACTATTCACAATAGCAAAGACTTGGAACCAACCCAAATGTCCAACAATGATAGACTGGATTAAGAAAATGTGGCACATATACACCATGAAATACTATGCAGCCATAAAAAAGGATGAGTTCATGTCCTTTGTAGGGACATGGATGAAGCTGGAAACCATCATTCTCAGCAAACTATCACAAGGACAAAAAAACCAAACACCGCATGTTCTCACTCATAGGTGGGAATTGAACAATGAGAACACATGGACACAGGAAGGGGAACATCACACACCGGGGCCTGTTGTTGCGTGGGGGAAGGGGGAGGGATAGCATTTGGAGATATACCTAATGTTAAATGACGAGTTACTGGGTTCAGCACACCAGCATGGCACATGTATACATATGTAACTAACCTGCACGTTGTGCACATGTACCCTAAAACGTAAAGTATAATAAAAAAAAAAGAAAAAAAAAACAAACAAAAGAGAAAAAAACCTCTGAGATCTAGGACTAGGCAAAGACTTCTTAGACTTAACACCAAAGCACCAACCACAAACCTTAAAAGAAATAAAATGGACTTTTTTTTTAAGACTAGTCAAGTGCAGTAGTGAGAATGGGAGAAGGAGTAAAACGAGGAGTTCAATCTATAACTGACTGTGAACAATCAATTGAGTTATCCACTCTTCGGACCAGCCTAAAATGGACTTCTTTAAAATTAAAAAATTTTGTTCTATGAAAGACCCTGTCTCTTGAGAAGATAAAAAGACAAGGTACAGACTGGGAGAAAACTATTTACAAATGACATATGTGTCAAAGAACTAGAATATATAAAGAACTAGAATATATAAAGCTCTAGAATATATAAAGAGTGCAGAGTTAAAAAACAAAACAAAACAAAACAACCAAACATCCAATTAGAAAATGAGCAAAAAAGTTGAACAGGTATTTCACGAAAACAGGATATACAAATGACAAACCAGCACATTGAAAAGATGTTCCAGAACATCATTCATTAGGGAAATGCATATTAAAACAACAATGAGATATCACTACACATCTTTTAGAATGGCTCAAATATAGCATAGTGAAAAAGTGACACCACCAAATGCTGGCAAGGATGAGAAAAAACTGGATCACTCACACATTGCTGATGGAAATGTGTAATAGTACAAAACTAAACTAAACATACAATTACCATACAATTAGCAACTGTGATCCTAGGCAGTTACTCCAGAAAAATTGTAACTTATGTTCACATAAAAACCTATACATAAATGTTTGGAGACCTTTATTTGTACTAGCTCCAAACTAGAAACAAACCAAACATCCTTCAAAGGGTGAATGATTAGACAAATTGTGGTATATCCATACTGTTAGGGGTTGAATTGTATCCCCCAGGAAGATATGCTCAAGTCCTAATGCCTGAAATCTCAGAATGTGACCTTATTTGGAAACAGGGTTGTTTCAGATGTAGTTAAGATGAGATTATACAGGAGTAGGATAGGCCATTAATGGAAAAGACTGTTGCCCTTATAAGAAGAGGAAAATTTGGATACAGAGAAGAGACACACAGGCAGAGGGTCATATGGAGACAGAGGCAGAGACTAGAGTAAAGCTTCTACAAACCAAGAAATGTCAAGGATTGTCAGCCATCACCAGAAGCTAGGAGACAGGCATGAAACAGATTCTCCTTTGGAGTTCTCAGAAGGAACCAACACTGCCAACACCTCATTACATACTTTCACCCTCCAGAACTGAGAATAAATTTAATAAATAAAATTATGTTGCTTTAAGCTACCCACTGTGCAGTATTTTATTACAGCAGCCCTAAGAAACTGATACACATACCATGGAACACTGCACTACTCAACAGTAAAAAGGAATGAAAGTAGCTGGATGAATTTCTGAAGAATTATGCTGAATAAAAAGCCAATGCCAAAAGGTTACATACAACATGACTCCATTTATATCACATTCTTGAAAAAACACACTAATGGTTTCTAGGGGTTACTAAGGAGGTAGATGGACTGAAGGAAGTGTGGCTAAAAGTACAACATGAGAGATCCTTGTAGTGATGGAAATGTTCTGTATCTTAACTGCATAATGTCAGTATCTGGGTTGTGATATTATTTTATGGTTTTACAAGATGCTACCATTGAGGGAAACTGAGTATAGGGTACACGGGATCTCTCTGTATTATTTCTAACAACTAAATGTCAATCCATAATGATCTCAAAATAAAAAAATTAATTTAAAAATATGTATCACCGCTGCTACATCACGCTTCCTCTGGTGAGGTGAGGAATTTTTTCATTTTTTATTTTTGTGGGTACATAATAGGTATATATATTTATGAAGTACATGAGATATTTTGATAAAAGCATGTGATGTGTTATACTCACATCACGGTAAACGGGGTATCCATCACCTCAAGCATTTATCCTTTGTGTTATAAACTATCCTATTATACTCTTTTAGTTATTTTAAAATGTACAATTAAATTATTATTGACTACAGTTACCCTGTTGTGCTATCAAATATCAGGTCTCATTCATTTGCCCAGCACTTCCCACTACCCTTCCCAGCCTCTGATAACCATCCTTCTACTCTCTATCTCCAGGAGTTCAAATGTTTTAATTTTTAGCTCCTACAAATAAGCAAGAACATGCAAAGTTTGTCTTTCTGTGCCTGGCTTATTTCACTTAACATAATGACCTCCAGTGCCATCCATGTTGAAAATGACAGGATCTCATTCTTTTTTTAATGGCTGAATAGTAGTCCATTGTGTATAGGTACATTTCCTTTGTCTGTTGATGGACACGTAGGTTGCTTCGGACTCTTGACTATTGTGAATAGTGCTGCAATAAACATGGGAGTGTAAATATCTCTTGGAGACACTGACTTCCCTTCTTTTGAGTATATACCTAGCAGTGAGATTGCTGGATGGCATGGTAGCTCTATTTTTAGTTTTTTCAGGTACCTCCAAACTGTTCTCCATAGTGGTTACACTAACTGAGTTCAGGTTTTTATCTTCTCATATGTCTTGGGCGCCTACCCAAATAATCTGTTTTGGAGGAAGGTCTTTTTTATTCCCCTTCAGGACTTGAAAGTTTCTACTGTATTGTACCATGCTGGCAATCAATTAGATACTCAGAGACACTATCTTAATACCAAGAATAAGATTAAAACGTAAATTTCCTGGTTTTGATTTTTAGTGGTTTTTAAGGATAATGAGACTTGCAGGGGGTGTATGTCTCTAGTCCTAACATTTTAAAATCAACATGTCTGATCATGAAATCAATTAGAAAAATTCATTTCTTCCAATTAATCCCATTTCAGCCTTTATCTATGACATAATCTCTCATATATGAACATGTTCCTTTTGTTCAATAATTATTGAAAAAAATGTATTGCTGGTCTCACTATGTAAAATACTATACAATTATGTTTATAATACCATTGAGCAAACAAGCAATACATACTTCAGTAAGTAGAAATTATAGTAAATGTATGATTATTTAGTACATGATGCATAGGAGGCCATAAATAAATTTAAAACGTGGAAGCTTCCAGAACCCTTGCATGTGCTATTTCCTATGTCTGAACACTCTTTCCATGCATTCTTCACATGCAGGTTATCTTCTGCCTATCTCCTAGGAGACCTCTGACCGTACTTCTTAAGTAGCTGTTCCTCTGTTATTCTTCTATCTGAACCCTTATTTCACAGCAATGATAATAACTGGTAATTATTTTAATTTTGTGTTGGTTTCCTCCACAAAAGTGTAAGTTTCATGAGCCACGTGACCATACGTGTCTTACCTCTCACTGCAATCACAGCATCTGGTAGATGCACAATCAACATTGTTGAATGAATTCCCTATTTACATAGCACATTTTTTTTAAATCACATAATTCTAAAACTCTGAGCCAAAGGAAAAAAATGTAAGGTTCCTGAATTTCAAAACTAGAACACTATTCTAGATTATTAAGTCTTAGCTTTACCAGAAGCTAGATGTGACATTTTGCAAGTCTCTCAAAATTTCTGGACCTCAGATGTCACATTATTTGAAAGGCAGTGAGGCTAAATCAAATGATCTCTTAAGATTCTGCATGGCTCTATCATTTTATAATACATAAGGTATTTTTAAATACTAAGTGATAATGATATAAAACAGGTTAAGACAATACAAAATTAAATAATCATTTACTTTTTGTAAATCAAACCAAGCATTCAAACCAACAGTAACATCACTAGCTCTTTATGCCACCAAGTCATAAATGACATATGCTTGGTATTTTTTCCCATAACTTTTTTCTAATACAAAAGTCAAGGACCACAAATCAGGAAAAGATTGGTATTATTTCCATTTGAATAAAGAGACTTTAGAAGTAATGAGTGAAGGTATATATACTAGACTGATATTCTGTGTTGGATTAAAGTATATTTAGTGTATGTTATACAATACAAAATTTTAGCATATTAAATACACTAAATGCACGAAGTACATTAAATGTATTTAATTTAGCATATTTAGTGTATTTAATACATTAAAATTTTTTTATAAAAATTTCAAATGGTTGGTTTTATTTCTTTCATTCTATATTTTTTAAATAAAATTCTGCGATAGCTACATTTCAACTAAGACCTGCATTACTTATATAAGCTTGAACTCTGTTTTTGCTAATGTGTCAATTTAAAATCACATAAAAGCCATTCTTGAAGTTTATTTTTCTCTTCATATTATTCAATTATAGGAATCAAAGCCATCAAATGATTTATCATATAATTTATTTTTTCACTGTCATTAGATATTTTAGAGACATGGATATATTAAATTCAAATTATAAAAATGTGGTTTTAGTCTCATATTTTGATACAACAAATACTGTTATTTCTATTAAGTAAACATTCAATATAATTCCATTAATTTAAAAATAATTTAAGAATGCAAATATCTAACATAGACTATTTTTGACATTTAGGAAGAAATGTAGTCTCACAAGTAACACAGTACATGAAACTAACAAAGTGTTGAGAAGTAAAGATAATGTAAGTTTATTATTAAAACCAGATAAAAATTGATTTTAATTATATATGCATATTTAAACATACATGTGTAGTTATATACACATGTACACAATAAAAGGAAATATTCAAGAAATATTAAGAAATTAAAATGCAAACATTTGCCCTGGAATCCCTTTCAGACTATGTGTTTAGCAAAATATGTTAACATATAATTCAAAGGCAAACTTAACCCTACCAATGTCTGCATTTAATGAAATTTAGCAGTAACTCTTTAGTCATATAAATATACTTAACATTTTCAAGATTATACCTTGACTCTAACAATAATAACTCCATGGTAACAAAGGTTAACAAGAGTTGGGTTAAACAGGTCTCATCCCCTGAAAAGCTTGGCATACTTACCCCTGCTAACTTATTCTCTAAAGAATGCTGTTAAAATCATAAGATCAAGCAAATAATATGATCAAAAAGACAGAAGCTATGGAGTCAACAACTCATGTCTTTTCTACCATTTACTATGTATGTGATTGTAAGTAAGTTATGTAAAGTCTCAAAGACCTGAAGGTAAAACACAGGCTACTATACAAAAGGCACAGAAAGATAACATTCAATGAGTTAACATATATATATATGTACATTTATGTATGTTACATATATGTTTATGTATGTTATATATAATATATATGTTTATATGTTATAATATATATATATAAATACCCAGCATAATATGTGACACAAAGTAAAAACTCAAGAAATGTTACTTTCCATATATCCACTACCCTTCAAGGCTCCTCTCTTATATCCATTCTCATATCCTGATAAATATAAACAGGTAGAGGAACATGGATTATACACCCATTATGTAGATAAAAAGAGAGGCAAAGATTTGTCAAGAAAACATGCAAAAATTCAAATAATCTCATAACTTCTAGATTAGGGAGCCCTTAAAGATCATCTCCTCCAACAACTTATAGCCAGACATTCTGGTGAAATGGTTAGCACTTTCAATTTTCTTTCTTTATATCCACTAAATTTTAAAATAGGAGTCATTATAATGTGTCCTTTTGCAAAATTATAAAAAGTAGAACCACTTGGTCATCTATAAACATGTGAAGAGATTCATCCACAAACACAGAAAAGCAAAAGATAATTCTTTTGTTTAATTTTATATGTGCAATGGGTGATGTTTTATTTTACCATTCAAATAAAATCTTCTGTTAATGCAATACTAAAAATTTGCAGATTTAGTAAAGGAATGATCAGAGTAACTCAAATTTTCCTGTTCTCGCCTTTACAGGGCTCATCGATTCCCATTTAATGTTGCAATGGACTGAATGTTTGTATGCTGCCAAAATTCAGATGTTGAAAACTCCTAATACAATGGTATTAGGAGGTGGGGGCCTTTGGAAGGTAATTAAGTCATGAAGGTAGAGCCCTTATCAATGGGATTAGTGCCATTATAAAAGAGATCCCGGGGAGCTCTTACCCTCTTTCTGCCATGTGAGGATACAATGAGAAGACAGCAGTCTGCAGTCTGGAAAAGAGTCCTCACAAGAACCCAATCATGCTGGCACCCTGATTTCAGACTTACAGCCTCCAGAACTGTGAGAAATAAAGTCTGCTCTTTATTAAGTCACCTAGTCTATGGCACATTGTTATAGCAGACCAAACAGACCCAGACAAAAATTTAACACCAAGTTGTAATAACAGCTATAGTATAAATGAGAAAAGTAGCCCTCTAAAATTTGATGTGGTATAATAGAATGGATGATGTTGCCATTCACTGAAATAAAGAATACTAAGAGTGAACCAGGTTAGGTTGAGTTTGGTTGGGTTGTATGGAGATTTTTAATTCAGCCTTTAGACATTGGGAATTTAGGATACTTCTAAGACATTCAAAAAGGCATGTCAAGTAGGCAATTGGTTACATGGCCACGGAGTTCAGAAAATAAATCTGAGAGAGAGTAATAAATGGCTCATCTTCACCAGATCACTTAGGGAAAAAGTTCAGGGAAAGGAGTGAGACAGCCTAGGGCCGTGCCTTCCCTAACTCTAAAATGGATTGGCTGAGCGGAAGAGAATGGGTTTGCAAAGGAGTGGCCAGAAAGAGAGGATTAAGATCTGGCATTTTGAGTTCCAAAGGCCAAGGGAAAAGAAAATAAATGAAGTCAGTAAATTCAGATACTATTAAGAGGTCAAGTAAGATAGTTTCTAAATTTAGCTAGCAATGTAGACATCATTGTGATCTTAGAGCTACCCATTTCCATAGCGATAGGGCAAAAAGCCAGACTTTGAAAACTAAGTGGGAATTGAGGAAATGAGTGAGCATAATCACTCTTGGAACAAGTTCGAACTAAGAAAACAGAAAGCAAAGATAGTACGTGGGAAAAAATATGGAGATTTAAAAAGGATTATTTGGGGTGGGTAGGGAGGTGGAGATTGTTTTTCGGAGTCAAGACTTAAGTATATTTTAAAAGTGAGCACAAGGACCCAGTTGGGAAGGAAAGGTGAACATAATACATAAATTATGTAAAATCTGAGAAAGTAGAGACGAGAAAATACAAAAACAAACAAACAAACAAAAAAAAAACCAGGCATAAGAAATGAACTTAGGACAAAGAACTGTTCCTCTATTGAAGTAAGGAAAGATGTTGAGTACAAATTTGGGTGGGTTTGGAACTCTAATCTCAGAAAAGAAGAAAAATGTCATCCAATGTTTCTAATTTATTTCTGGGATGTGGATGTCCATCTGCTCACTATGATGAGGGAGATAAGTAATCAGAGATCTGAAATAAGTGGAGGATATATGAAAAGTTGTGCAGAAATAGCAGGTATAAACTGGAGAAATTCTATATATCACAAATTCCTTGAGAGTCTTGATAAATCAAAGAATATGTGAGAGTATAATAGCAAGAAATATGTGAGGTCTAGTCAGGATTAGAAAAACCACACCAGCACCCACTCTTGTAGATGCAATTAATAAAAGCAGATTAGAAACTTGAAGTTTAGATTAAATTTTAAATTCTTAAGCAGTAGAAAGCATAATGAAGTCAGTAAAAGAAGAGTATACCAACACAAGTAAAGTCTGTGGACCTAGGAAGATATTTGCAAATCCAGAAATCAGCAAGACAAAATAGCACAGCTAATCACTGAGTGATTTTTATCTGTTTTCTCATCAGTCTGCTTCCATTTAACAGAGTAGAGACTATTTATAGGTAATATTGGTCTGCCACTTTCTTAACAGGGGAATTCACAATGGGTCTGGTGAAAATGGATGTAGGAAAGTAAAGACAGCTTTTAACAATGAATTTTTGAAAGATAGTTCAAACTGTTAAAACATTGAGACATATGATCAGAATGCTATATTTACAAAAATACATAATCATTTTTCCCAAGGACACTATATTTTTTAAAACCACAGAATCATTTTTCCAGAATCCTAGAAATTAACTATACAAAACTTCATACTTAAAATAAAAGTTTCTGTTTCTAGAAATGTTAGGTTCACACTGCCATGTAACTAAAATATTTTTGTAAAATTACAATTAAACATTCTTCCTTCAAATTGTTTCTCTTTTACTCACTCAGACTTCTTCTCACAAGTTTCAGAAGATTCTTCAATTCTCTTCTCTAACTCCAAAACAGCCTCCTCCTTGTTTAAAAGCATCTGCTGTGTTTGCATAAGTTCTTCCGCTAACGTTTTCAACCTAGAATAAACAGTATCCTCAATAACAACCAACAAATTAATTTTCACTTTATACATATCAAAAAAGTATTCATACATCTTATGTTGCAATGTCCAAAACAGTAGCCACATATAATCTGATTCAAACTAAAATAAAATTTCAGCTCTTTGGTTGCATTAGACACATTTCAGGTGCTAAACAGAAATGTAGCTACTGGCTACCTTACTGGATGGTGGAAAAAAGAATATTTCAATAATCACAGTAAGTACTCGGGCAATACTGGTCTAGAGTCTTATTCACCAAAAAGAAAAAGAGAAGTAGGTAAAGAAAAGAGAAGAGAACAACTTTGGTAGACATTGAGTAAATGGTAAGTAGTATTATTTGCAGATGTTATCTCATTTACTCTTCACAACAATCTTATGAGATATATAGTATTATTTTAAAGAAATGAAAGTGAGGCTCAGTTATTTGTCATTTTAAATTCATGGTAAGCTATTTCTATTTTCACATATTGTAGTAATACTTTAGGAGTATTTTCTGTATAGAATTGAAGACAATTTAATACATAAATTAATATGCGCTCACAAACCAGATAATTTATGTTTGTATAAAATGCATTGAGTCCTTAACGGAAGTATTTCTACCACAAAAACATACATGGCTATCATATCACTTTAAAATTTTTATCTTCAGCTTTTCAAAGCAAGACATGAAACCCAAAAGACAAAAAAGAAAATATTAAATAATCTAACTCTATAAAAATGAAAATTTATTTGAACTTAAAGAGATCATAAAGTCAAAAGCAAACCTGAAGAAATACCTGCAGCGCAAATTACCAGAAAGAGCCCTTTTCGTGCAGAAAAACTCTTAGAAAAAAGACAAACTAATATGAAAATGGACAAAAAACACAATGGAAGTTCACCATGAAAAAATTAAATGATCAATAAGCATATGAAGTTCATATGCTTAACACAACGGAAGTTCACCATGAAAAAATTAAATGATCAATAAGCATATGACATTATTATAACTAGACTGACTATATAATAAGTTATTTTTCACCTACTAAAATTGACAAGCATGAAAAATACTTGGAATATCCAGTAATAGCAATATTATTTTTTTTTAATGGAAACAATTATACATCACTGATGTGAAAAAATTGGCACAGATTTTTCAGGGGTCATCTTGGAACTGTCTCTCAAATTTTAAATTAGAAAATTATCTGACCATCTAAAAATGTGTCTTACCAAAACACTTGTACAATATGCACAAAGTCTGTCCATACAAAAATATTTGTTGCAATATTGATTATAAAGCAAAAAACTACAAAATATTTAAATGCCCTAGTATAGCATACAGTCACTAAAACAGAATTAGGTACACATATATAAGGTTTTTCTAAGATACAATTTTAAATTAAAAGGCAAAATGTAGCAGAATACATATAGCATTGTTCTAATTATATTAAAATACATATACATGCATATGTTCCATGAACTGAATTGTGACCCCAAAATTCATCTGTTGGGGCCCTAACCCCCAATATAATGGTATCTGGAGATGGAGCCTCTAGGAGGTAATTAGAATTAGATGAAGTCATGAAGGTGGGGCCCTCATGATGGGATCAGAGCCCTTATAAGAAGAAGCAGCACAGAACCCACTACCTCTCCTCTCCCTCTCCTCATGTATGCAAAGAAAGGGTCATCTGAGGACACAGCAAGAATTACCTATCTACAAGTCAGGAAAAGAGACCTCATAAGTAACCCAAATCAGTTGACATCTTGATCTTGGGCTTCCCAGCCTCCATATCTATGAGAAATCATTTCTGTTGTTTCAGCCATCCAGCCTATGGTAATTTGTATGACAGTCTGATATGGTTTGGCTGTGTCCTCACCCAAATCTCATCTCGAATTGTAACTCCCACAATTTCCACGTGTTGTGAGAGGGACCCAGTGGGAGGTAACTGAATCATGGGGGCAGGTCTTTCTCACGCTCTTTTCACAATAGTGAGTAAGTCTCATGAAATCTGATGGTTTTAAAATGAAGAGTTCCCCTGCACAAACTCTCTTTGCCTGCTGCCATCCGTGTAAAACGTGACTTGCTCCTCCTTGCCTTCTACCATGATTGTGAGGCCTCCCAAGCTATGGGGAACTGTAAGTCCATTAAACTTCTTTGTCTTCCCAGGCTCAAAAGTCTTTATCAGCATCGTGAAAACAGACTAATACAGTCCAAACAGACTAATACAATATATTTATGTGGTATGTGTTTATATGTGAGTGCACAGGATAAGAAACAGATGACTATAAACCAAAGTTTTATCAATACTCTGAGAGGTGTGCGATTGGACTAGGGAGTGATTTAAGTCCAAAGAAGTCTTTCATAGTTTACTCCATATATATCATTGTTTGAATCTCTTATAACAGGAATAGATTTTTTTAGAATCATTAAATAATAGGTAATAGAAATAAGAGAGGCAGAAAAACTATTATACATATTCAGAAGAATGCTAAATACAGCAATAAATATTATTTCATTTTTATTTAGAGTGAAACAACGTCATAAATTTCAGTAAGTCTCTGACGGCATTTGATATTAAAGCAAAATAAAGCAATAATACTTATAATAATGATCGAGAGTCATCAGGGAAAGGTCAGATTGAACATTTTTCTTTAATCATATATATATATTCATAAGACATTTGTATCAAATCCAGTAAAATTATGTTTTTGAATATCATGGAGATACAAGCTTCAGTTATTGAGAGAATTGGCTTGCATGGAATAGTTCATATTCTGACTATCAGATAAAGAAAACATTACTATATTAAGATTCAAGATCATTGTCAAGAAAGCTACATTTCAACCACTGGCTCCAACTTCCTTATTAAATAATTATAAATAAATAAATAAGTAAATAACACATAATGCTTTGCTGTTCCAACTGTGCCTTATATATAATCTCATTTAATTCAAATGAAAGTTTAGAACACAGAGCCCTACCTCAGAATCTGTCCCAACCACTTTCTGACACCCAAGTCTGGTGGAAACAGAAAAAACAACCAGCTTCTTATCACTGCCTTGACCATGCTACATCAAAGCTGAATTTAATAAAAAGCCTTTCCTCTCCTTATCACTTTCTTCTGTTCTATCCTTTGCTGCTCTTCCCTGCACATTTCCCTTATTCTCATTCTCTTCCTGGTTAATTTTCCATTCATCTCTCTTCTCAAAACTTCAATCATTCATTTAAACAAGTGTTTATTAAACACATTCCTTGTGTCAGACAGTCTGCTAGACAGTAGGGATACAATAATAAACAAGTTTGCCTTCAGGAAACTTACATTCTACTAGACAGACATCAAAGAAGAAAAGACAAATGAATTTAGAAGAATAAAATTATACAGGGAGGCCAGGAGCAGTGGCTCACATCTGTAATCCCAGCACTTTGGGAGGTTGAGGGCGGGTGGATCATTTGAGGTCAGGAGTTTGAGACCAGCCTGGCCAACATGGTGAAACCTCGTCTCTACTAAAAATACAAAAATTAGCTGGGTGTGGTGGCAGGCACCTGTAATCCCAGCTACTCAGGCGGCTGAGGCAGGAGAATCACTTTAACCTGAGAGGCGGAGGTTACAGTGACCCAAGATCGTGCCACTGCACTCCAGCCTAGGCAACAGAGTGAGACTTTGCCTCAAATATATATATATATATATATATATTTTTTTTTAATCTAAAAAAAATACATATGGTGAAAGTATTTACTCTTTCTTACCATTATCCCCTTAAAAATAAAAAAAAACCTGTAATGTGTGAATTAAGTGAAGAGAAAAACATTTGAGTAATTACAGTTCATGTATAGATGACATAACAAATGTAAGAATAGTTCATAAATTTCAAAGTACAATATTCACCATCATGTTATTACATGTTTCGTATACAAATATAATAGTAACAGTTCAAATGAGAACACACAGATACAGGGAGGGGAATAACACACACTGGGGCCTCTGAGGGGAGGGCCGGCAGGGTGAGGGACAGCATTAGGATATATAGTTAATGCATGCGAGACAATACCCAGTGATGGGTCTATAGGTGCAGCAAACCACCATGGCACACGTTATATATAACAAACCTGCATGTACTGCACATGTATCTGGAACTTAAATAAAATAAAATAGCATAAAAAATAGTAACAGTTCAAATGGCTTATTCTTTATATTTTTAAATTAAATATTATAATATTATAAGGCAAAGCAGTTAAAAGTCATAAAATGACCCTACCTGGAAAAAAATCACAAAATGACATAATACTTAACATTTGAGTGCCAAGCATAGTTTTAAGCACTTTATAAATAAGCACTTAAATTTATATAATTCTTATAACACCCTTATAATCCCCATTTACATATGAAGAACTGAAGCAGAGAGGTTAAAGCTCTTGTCCACCGTCACAGAGCCGGTAAGTGGGAAAAGCTGATAATAGAGCCCAAGCAGCTTAAATCCTGAATCCACACCCTTAACAACTAATATCCTGTCTTAGTAATTACACATCCTAGAATTTATCCCATATATATGCTTCAAAAGTGTACAAAGATGTAAATACAAGAATGTTTATTGTATAATCACAATAAACAAAAGTAAATGTATCATGATGCTAATGATGCTTAGTTCTCAGGTGCCTCACTTGCATGATCCCTTCCAAGACTCTCTACTTAATTTTGTATTTGTAAGTTTGTATAGATTTTCTTAAAGATGTTCCCCACACTCCAATTTTATAAGCTTAGAGTCCCACAAAACCTAGCACCAACTCCATCAATGGAAAAAACTGGAAATAACCTAAATGCCCATCAATAAATAACAAAACTAAAGAAATTACATTACATACAAGTAGTAAAACACTGTACACATTAAGAAGATTTAATACATGTTAAAAAAAAGAAGATGATGCTAAGGAATATGCATAAAATAATTCCTACTTACACAGAAGAAAACAATTCACACACATGTATATACATTGTATATACATTCTGGAAAAATACATACACTTTCTTCATGAGTTAAACCTAGAAGGTAGTGATGGTGGTCGACGAAAAGAAGAAAGGAAAATGTTAATTTTTATTGTATACCTTTTTGTAAGATTTTATAGATTTTATCATCTGCATGCTTTAGTTAGATAATTTTTAAAGATTTAATTGTATTAAACGATACAAAGGAAGCCCAGCATGTTGGCTCCCGAATGTAATCGCAGCACTTTGGGAGGCTGCGGCGGGTAGATCAGTTGAGGTCAGGAGTTCGAGACCAGCCTGGCCAACATGGTGAAACCCCATCTCTAATAAAAATACAAAAAATTAGCCAAGTATGGTGGTGCACACCCGTAGTTCCAATTACTTGGAAAGCTGAGGCAGGTAAATCACTTGAAAGTGGGAGGCAGAGGCTGCAGTGAGCAGAGATTGCGCCACTGCACTCCAGCCTGGGCAACAGAGCAAGACTCAGTCTAAAAAAAAAAGATACAAAGTCTTAAAACCTTTACTATGGATAATAAAAAGTTTCCAATACTTATCCAACACTTTTCATATCATAATCATTGGATGTCACGATCTAAATCTTACAACACTCTTAAAGGGATCAAACTTCCAACTTCCAAAAAAAATTATGACTTGACAAACCATCTTAACTTTCATTTCTTACATGAAATTTGCAATGCTGAAACTTTAAGTGTGACATTTGGGTTAATTAAAAAAATGGAATTTATAGTTGCCTGAGGTAACTTTTCTGGCATCTCTTTTTCTCTATTGTTGCAATATAAATTGAAAACATAAACTATTTCTTGCCATCTCTTTCTTAAAATATAATTGCAAGAGCATAGGATTTTTATGGATGACAATCTATACCATGACACAAATCTTTATGAGCTTTTCTCAAGAGTAAACAGAAGATGGCTTCTACAACCAAGTGAAAGTTACGAGTTTCTGTTAAATACAGTCACCTCCTAATACCCACTTAATCCACCTCCAATCCAACAAATCCATCTGCTTTCTTCCATACAACTTTGTTTCCCTTAATCAAACGGTCCTTCCGACATGTCACCTGACTTCAATATTTTACATTTTTCCAAATCTTTCCAACTCACTCTTAAAGTATTCCCCTAACACAGCCTGAGCAAATTATAATACTGTATATGTTCAACCAGAGACCAAACTTGAGCTAATACTGTAAACAAGAACAGCCAAAAACAGATTTGGTAAAAGCAAGGCTCTATGCAAGAGATGGAGTAGTGAAGTATTTGACACCCCATTAAATACAAGGTTGATTCAGATAGTTGGATGGGTTAAATTGGTATCATCCTCTGTAACAGGAGTCAGCAACCATTTTCTGATAAAAGCACAGAAAGCAAATATTTTAGACTTTGCCACCAAGAAGCAAAATCAAGCATGGTACATAGGTATTTATATAACAAAAGAGAAAACAAAGATTCACAAATATTTTGTTGGCAAATTCAAAATACAGTAATAACTGGGCACATGTTATCGTAATGCAAGTCTCTTAATGAGAAGAATGAAAATTTTTTGATGGCCATAATACTTCCTATCACTGCAGTTCAAAGTTAGTGTTTATAATCAAAATCAACTATAAATGTTCACCTATTAATGCAGATATTTAATAAAATTTTAAGTCTTTCACATTTGTACAGTACATAGACTAGTACTGCCAAATACCAATAGCAATCCATGACCATAAGATTTTAATTAAGTATATTCAGTGCTTAGCAGGCATGGTGCAATTGCATAATAAACACAATGTTTCTTCATCTAATTCAATAACAAAATAATCCACATTCTGCTATGCCTTAAAAGTGCCACATTTGAAATCTATTTTCTCTTCTTCTTTTGACACTATAGGCATGAACTGATAATAAAAATAAGATGCCACAGTATACTGATATGTGTGGCACTCAAAATGCTGTTGAGTTATAACTGTGTCACTGTGATTTGTATAGTGCCAAGCAGATGTGTGAAGTAATGAGTGTGCCACATATGGTCTCTGTCACAACTGCTTGGCTCTGCCACTGTAGTGTGAAATCACCCACAGATAGCAGGTAAGTGAATGAGCATGGCTGTGTTCCAATAAAACTTTATTTACGTACTCTGATATTTAAACATCACATAATTTTTGTGTGTCACAAAATATAATTCTTCCTTTGATTTTTTTCCAACCATTTAAAATGCAAACAGCATTCTTAGCCTCGTGGGCTGCATAAAAATGGGCAACTAGCTGGATTTGCCTCATGGGCTATAGTTTGCTGACTCATGCCCTACAAGATCCAAGACAATCACTTTTCCACATAAAGAATTACCATTCTTCAATTGAGATATCCTATTTATATTCTAAAAGCTAAATATGTTCTGATTTTAAACTTTAAAAAATGTACTTGAAATCATAAGGCCTGAGACTAGATTTTGTTTTAGAATACAAGACTACACATTTTACGTAATCATGGTATTCAAATATATCTACTACTGATAGGCAATAACACCTTATAATAAAGAGACCTCATTTGAAATCAGAAAACAGAGTCAACAAAATAACTAAATAGGACCTTAATTCTTTACTGCTTTATTAAAATTAATCAAAATTTCTTCTTTTGCAGACAAGTTAATGCTTATATTATTTTAGAATAACCTGCTATCTTTAATTTGTCATACTTAGCCTACTGATGTGTTGATTCAAAACTCCATTTAAGTTTGCAATAGGTCACCATTAGATGACTCATCTGTCCATAATGACAAAAAGCACGAAACAGACACTTAAATATATTCTTCTAATGTTCAAAATTGTATGGACTTTACTTTTTCAACTAATTTGAAAAACTAAAATTACTGAGTCCCAAATTATTCAATTAAATAGTAACTAGATGAGATGAAATATTTGCATATATAATTTTAATAAATAGATGATTAAAAATAAATTAAGCACAAAAACGCTTTCAGCATTTGGCAAAGAAGGTAGATGCAAAAAAAGAGGCAGATGGGAGATAGGTGTTGGTAGGGAAGGAGAGAAATTATATTATATATAATAGATACAAAGAAAGTAACCTCAGATTTAAGCCCGAAAATAATGTAGCATAAATGCATGTGTGATGGGAAGTGCACAGCTTCAGGTGTCCAGTACTAGAAGTTACCTGAAGCTGAGAAATAGCCTTTGACCACATGGTAAGATACCATCCAAAAAATTTTCCTATAAATAGGAGATAATCCTACAAATAATTGAGTTTAACTCTCCTATGTATTTAGACCTTGATAAATATGGCTGATAGATAAATAATGAGATTACGATAAAATGCTTCGTGGTACATATTCAGATAGGTAAAGGTGATAACTTTATCAGGTACATGTCATAGTGTTAGATTTCCATAACAGAGGGGATAAGTTATCTGTCCAGTTTCACAAATATAATTTGCCAAATTATACACCAACTTACATATGTAGCAACATTTTATAAGAGGGCTTATATATCTGTACTTTATACAACACTGGGTATTATCCAATTATTTAATGTTTTCTAATCTGGTAAGTTAAATAGCCTATTTCTTTTTAATTTATATTTAATTGCCAAAGAAGAATATCTTTTCCAAGTACTATTGGTAATTTGTATTTCTTTTTCCAGGAACTAACTGTTCATTTGTTTCTTTCACTTCTATTAGAATAATATTACAACACGAATCTACGACTAAATTAACAATATTAATGCCTTCAGGAAAGAAAAGATGTTTAACTTTAAAGCACTACTAAGTTAAAAAAAAAAAGGAAGAAAGATTTTTCTAAGTCTTATATTACATTAAAAAAATACATACAGTTTTAATGGAATTACCTTATACTTATTTGAAAGTGCCAACAGAGATGCTGAATAACTCTCTGGGAATAAAATTCTTGAAGAAACCCCTAATCTTAAACTCATATCCTGAATACAGACACTGTTAAATGAAATGTAACTAAAGTTTATCTCAGTAAAATGTGAGCAATTAAAACTTCTACCACATTATCAAAGATTTATTACCTTCAATTTATTGCATTTTTGTTTACTGCTTCATCACTATAATTAAGAAACAATGATTTATGAGCATACCTAATTTTGGTCTCATTATACCCTAGAAAGCTATAAAACAAATTCTTCTTTGGTCACAAAATCTCTGATTTTACATAAGCTTATAACAGGTAGCTATTTTTAATTTTACCACACTATATTCCAAAATCTATATACTCACTCTTTCTGGTGTTTATTAAAACATATTAATCAATTTCAGTGTAAAGTCCTTGAAGGCATTAACCCTTACAACCTTAGATATACAGTAAATATATCAGATGAATAAATTAGTAAGTTATTTGGGAGCAATATTATAATAAAAAGAAACAGGAGTAATCTATGTCATATTCCTTCACCAGCAGCACGTGAATTGAGAAATGGAATGTCTCACTGCACAGGAATTGAGAAACTCTGCTATCCATTTTGCACCATACATTCAACTCCATTGTTTAAAGCAGAGTCTCTCAGCCTCAACACTACTGATATTTTCACCAGATAATTCTTTGTTTGGGAGGCTGTCCTGTGCACTGTAGGACGTTTAGCAGCATCTACGGCTAATGTCTTCAGATACTGTCAAATGTCCCCTGGAGTATAAAATCACCCAGGGCAAGGACTACTGGTTTAGAGATGGCTGACATTGTAAATATCAATGGTCAGAAACCTAGTCAAGTGAGACCCCTGTATAGGGCATGAAAAACTTAGGAACAGCTTCAAAAATCCCAATAAGGCTGCTAGGAAAAACTCTGTAATGCAGTGTACTCTCATGCCTCCATTGCTCTCACCAGTAGTCAGTATGCCATAATTACTAAGCCTTCATCTTGTACACATGATTTGCGGACAAATATTTGTTAGTTTCTTCAATCCTATCTAGCCAGCTTTAAAGATTCCAAAACCTGGCTGGGCACAGTGGCTCACGCCTGTAATCCCAGCACTCTGGCAGGCCGAGGTGGGTGAATCACTTGAAGTCAGGAATTTGAGATCAGCCTGGCCAGCAGGGCAAAACCCCATCTCTACAAAAAAAACACAAAAATTAGCCAGGCATGGTGGCACATGCCTGTAATCCAGCTACTCAGGAGGCTGAGGCATGAGAATCATTTGAACTGCGAGGCAGAGGTTGCAGTGAGCCGAGATCGCACCACTGCACTCCAGCCTGGGCCACAAAGTGAGACCTCATCTCAAAATTAAAATGAAATAAAATTAAAAAAACAAAAAAAAAGATTCCAAACCTCTTTCCAAGAGCCAGTCTGCATTTCCTACCTTAGCTAATTACCCGTACCACCACCATGTTACTGAACAATAGAAAGAAGATTGTTTAATTATATTAGGTGGGGACATTTGGCTGAGTCATTTGAGGTAAATTTCCAACAGGTGATATGATATAACATGTCTAACATTGAGGAGCAATGAGTGCATAATCATTTATAGCTGTGGTTCTGGCATAAAGAAAAAATACATGCAATGTTTGTTAATAAATATATTTCCTTGTGTTGCTCCCACACAAAATCAAGAGATAGGTTAAATATTTAGAAGTAGAGCACCTTATGTTTTCTAAATTCAAAAATATACTACTAATTGCTTTTAATGTTTGAAAAGAACTAAAAACACATTGTGATTTCTCAAAATTCCTTTAATATTTTACACAACAAAAACAACAAAGTGAAGAAGGAACTGATTTAACAGCCTATAACAGAAGACATCCCTGCTTCAAGAGAAAATAATTCAATTAAAAGTCAATTTTTTGTACTAAGTGCTCTGACATCAATAAGTCTCTTATCTCTAACAGTAAACAACCTAATTTCCAAAATGGTTCTTCCAATAAATTGTGAGGATGAAATGAGATTTTAATATATATATAAATTTTGAAAAGCATAAAGCATTATTCCAATGTCAAATACTAGCAACAATTGGGCAAATGAATGTAACATCACACAGAACTTTGATATTCGGAATTACCAAAAGTAGTGACGAAAATGAGTAAAATTAACATATTTCTCAAAACATGTCACTCTGACCCCAAAAATTTACTGTTCAATACTTGTAAAAATAATTGATATTTTAAATCTGAGTACAACAATAAAGCAATAATAATACTAGTATTTAAACTGTTGATATTTTGTGAATACTTACATTACTTGCAAACTTTCTGCTGTTAAGTTATTCCACATGATCTCATTTGCCTGAAGATTTTCATTTTCTTCCAGTAAGGAAGTATCAAACTCTATTTCTTGTTCTTTAGCAGCCGTTGTTCTAGTAAAGCATGGCAAATAATTTTGATCATTGTAAATACAGTATCATAATATATCTTCATATACACTAAAGGCAGAATATTTGTTTTTATCCAAAATTATGTTAACAAAGAAAACACAAATAGTATAAATCAAACTAAATCCTGGGTTTCAAAATTGTGTAACTTGAGACTTAGATTCCTTATCTGTAGAATTCAGGCATTAACCTGCTTTATTCCTGTCACAATTGTATTAAGTATAAAATAAGATGCCATGGAAAAGTATTTGGCGCATCATAAAGTGTAATATACATATAAAGTCATGGTTTTATTATATAAGCATAAAAAAAAAATTTCATGGATTAAATATGGATTTAAGCATGGATTAAATATGGATTAACAACTAACAAATTTTTACATATCAAAAACTATACATTATATAGTTATCATCATTGACAAAGAACTTTTAAAATTAAAAGCAGATAAATTAATATGAAATATTCTATGTCTTAATAAGATCTTAAGTATTTCTTATTTTTATCTGTGGTTAACTATTGTATGAATGAAAAATAATACTGTCATAAATCCTTAAAGAGGAATAAACATGTCATACCTGTGAACATCTATGAAATTATTGTATTCTGTACTAGGATCTATCTGTTCAACCGACATTTGAATCTCTTTATGGACATTCACTATTTCCTCTGTGACAAGACTGGTTATCTGGCTGTATTCATCAAATATACCTTTGCTGAAAACAAAAATAAAATTTTGCAGCATTTTAAAGTTTTATCAAGAGAGATACTATCTCAAAAAGGATTCAGAACAATAAGCATAAGAAATGTAATGTTGAAATGTACAGATGGTTGTTTCCTGTACCACCTTATTTCATACCTGGAGAGTAAAGAAGAGGGATTATATAAATGT
Organism: Homo sapiens; assembly: GCF_000001405.40. Taxonomy (NCBI): domain Eukaryota; kingdom Metazoa; phylum Chordata; class Mammalia; order Primates; family Hominidae; genus Homo; species Homo sapiens. The sequence goes on along the minus strand of NC_000005.10, from coordinate 108,871,188 downwards.
ACAGATTAGCAATTTATATTTGTTATAATACAATAATTACAAATGATATAGAATATGGCATTACCTTTTCAAAAATGTATTTGATATGTCCAAAATGCAGGGCCAGAGTTGATAACTTTCTATGTCTAAATATTCTCGTATAAATTTTGGGTTGAATAACATGGAACTCTGATCAACTCCTGACTCTTTAATGTTCCTTTCCAGTGTCTGTTACTTCCTCACATGCTCTACCTGACTGGTTCTTCCCTGCTCCTCTGGGCCTCTGCTCTTTTTTGTATACTTAGTTGAACTGGTTCTATACCTTGAATGACATCTAAATTTCTTCTCTTGACCTCCAATCAGTAGCAAAAATGTCATCAAAATTATTAGCCTGGTCTAATAAATGCAAAAGGGAAAAAACTATTCTGTCGCAGAGACCAGCTTCCTACTTAAAAATGCTATACTGTAAAAATATGCCATAGGTCACTGTCAACAGCAAGTGTAGACAGACAAGGTTATCCTGCATATGCTGAAATAAATACAAAGCATGGTTTTTCTTTTCCACCATCATTACTTATAAAAAACTAATATGTACAAAAGCTCCCTTATTGTGAAGTATTCTCTCAATTACTTTATTTTAAATAGGAAAATATCATTTGGGTAAAAAAACTGAGATTTAAATTGTTTCAGGCAATGCTAGTTTCAAATAATTAGAGAAATCAACTGGCAGACACAATTTAAAGAAAAGGGGAGGCAGAAAAATTTAATACAGATTTAGTCAGTATCTCTGGGATTATAATCTCATAAGTAAAAGTACTGAATGTTGCTAATGTAAATGAGCCTATCTAAATAACTCTTTTAAAGCAATACAGTAAATAGGTGTAATGTGGAGATCATTAACATTTACCTTTAATACAAATGGGGAGGAAAAATGAAAAACATCTCCTAATATTATATGAATGGGTATTTGTTCCATGAGATTCATCTGTGGTGATATAATCATGCTTGGATTTTTAAAATTCTAAATCTAAAATAATGTATTACACAAAGTACAGATAACATACCATGAGAAACCATTATATGTCTCAAAAAAATATTCCAGTGATGATGAAGATACTATTATTGAAAATCATGTGAACAGTTTAAATATGTCTATTAATAAATGAAAGTAGGAAAGGAAATATTTCTAAATCAATAGTACTTTAGAGATAAGTAAATCTATGAATCAAATATTTAACTAGACATTTCACTATTTTATCAACACTAAAAAGTTTACATATTCAAATTAACTAAAAACACTTTATCTTCTTATGTGAATATGGAGGATCACCTAAAATTTAGTCTTACCTACACACAAGTATATACTATCAAATTATCTTTATTTTCACATAAAGAGAAGTAAAAGTCAGTCAAGCAGAGTCTGGAAGGCAGCAAAGACAAATTTGCGCTTCTAATTTCAGAGGCTGTGGAAGTCAATAGCCCAAGAAATATTATCCCTAATCTGAAATATTTGTATGTAAAACAGAATAATATAACACAATGATAGCTAGTTATACTAAATCTGTCATGGCACGGGGGAGCCCTTCAAAGAAAACGATGTCAATCTCTGCCTCTGTCTTCACAAGGCCTTCTCTGTGTCTCTCTCTGTCCTTCCTCCCGTCTTCTTATAAAGACTCCAGCCATTGGATTTAGGGCCTACTCTAAATCCAGAATGATTTCAACTTGAGATCCTTGACTAATTACATCTGCAAAGACCCTATTTCCAAATAAGTTCACATTCTGAGATTCTGGGTACACAAGAATTTTGAGGGTACATTCTTCAAATCACTACATTCCTCTCACGGAGAGTGCAGGGTTAGTCAGAAGACTCAAGCTTCAAGTTCCAGATGTGCCACCTCTTAGCTTTGTGAATCTGGGTCCATTCTCACTTGTCTGTCATAGATATACCCTGGATATAACCTGTACTTCCTAACTCTACAGGATACTGTAAGGAACAAGTAAGCAAATGCACATGAAAGTGCTTTGCAAACTGCAATGTAGTCTATAAATGAAATGTTTTGTTTTAGAAATTATCATTTTACCTTTAACAGTTACTTTGGCATTTATTAACCCATTTATGACTAGTGTTCCATTATTGGAACACTAAACTTATGGGAGTTATTCATATCCTACTGCTCAAGGTTATCGCTAAGGTCTGATTTTATGCACAAAAAAAAATGTTCACACAAAAAAATTTGCAACCTCTGGCTTAAATGGGTTAATTGATGTAATATTCAGGCTTCCTCTTGCACCATAACCTGAAAAATGCTCATAATAATTTTTCATATCAATTTACCACTACATTTCAAAATATGCTAAACCTAAGAGCTTATGTGCTAATTTATGTAATTACAGATAAATTAAGTACAATGCAAGAACCTGCATTAAACTGGTCCAAGTTCCTTTTCTCATACTTCACTACTTTTTTTGAATTTTAACTCCACCTGAGAGATAACCATTTACTTCTTTTCTAATGCTCTTCCATTACTACACCATTCTTCAACCCTACTCATAGTTCACAGCAACTCTAACATTGAAGAATTCCCCGACACAATTTTCAGTGAAAGAAAATTGAATTTAGTCATTTGGAAGGCACTAAAACAACTAAGCAAGGAAATAGGGTCTACCAAAGGATGACTTATTTTTTCTGTCATTTTGTATCAGTGTGTGTGATAAACATGTGTCCATTTGACTCACTAATTAAAGTATACTGTTAGATCAAGAAGGCAAGAATTGTGCCCTGCTCATCTCTATATCCCTAAGCATCAGATAATGTGCTTTGCATACGTAAAACTTCAATAAACATTTGTTGATTTTAATCTTATACAGAAAAAAAAACAAGAAGCTGACAAATAAACTTTCAAAAAATCTCTTCCTTGAGCCTCTTCAGTTGTTCAAGATTTAAATACCCAACTCTCTGGAGGCAGATATTCACTTCCTAACACTTTTCAACTTATAATTTTTTCATTTAAATTTCCAGCTAAGGAAACAAAACAAAAACATACAAAAGAAGGACCATTTTGGAAGCTAGCTAGAAGGTTTAGGGGATAAGCACAAACTGAAGGGACATGAAAAGTGAAAATCAAGAAGAATCAAGGTCTGAAATACCCCCTGGACTGGGTTAATAATAAAACTTATGAAGCAACACCTAAACTAGAGAGAAAATATGTTGAAATCATTTTGTGAAGGGATTTTATGATAAAAAGAAAATGTATCTTACAGTGCTTTTATCATTTCTTCTTGCATCTTTTGTAAGGAGTCCAGAAGCAGGGGAAGTGTGATATCATAATACTGATTCTGATGGAGCTGTGCCCCTTTCAACGCCAATACATACTGATTGTGCAACATATGAAGTTTCATTGTGGCTTTGTCGTATCGTTCCTTGGCCTTTTCAGTTTCCTTCCCTGAAAAAAAAAAAAACTGAAGAAAGTTAGTAAAGAGATAAGAAAAAAAATTGTATCTTCACTACATACAAACTGAATTACTACTGTTTTATGTTATTTCACGCATTTTTTAAACAAAAAAATTTTATTGAACACATAATATGTGCTTAGCTTTATGCAAGGTACTGTTAGATTTGCAAATCCTTAACACAAAGGTTGCCAAGGAGGCATGTAGGATACTAAATGGTGAATAAAGGTCAAAGTAAAACACAAAAAAGTACAGATATATGATCCTTTTCATCTTCAAGAAGCTTATACCAAATTGAAACAGCAGTGCACATAAAACTGTAAAACCAAGAAACCAAGAAAGTTTGTAAATAATGTTAAATTTTGAGGTCTATGTTTGAGATATCAACAAAGACAAGGGTAGTCAGAGGAGGCTTTGTGGAGAAGACAAACCTTAAAATATGGGACATATCTGGGGAAGCATAAAAAAGATAAGAACAGATAGTTCCTTCCTCTCACCTTCCTTTTTTCCCTTCATTCCTTCCTTCCTTTCATTCAATGAATATTATTAGCTGAACGCTACTAGGAACTGTGCTAAACATTGGGAATTCAGTATTTGGCAAAACAGTCCTTGAAATAGAGCCTTGTGAACTGCAATATTGAGTGAATACATGGAAAGAACAAAGTTACATAGAGATAAGCTTGTCTACAGACAGCAAGTTTTGAGAAAGTTGAAGAAATAGGTCTCCTTAGGTAGTGCAGTTCTAGGTGCTGAATGACTTGAAAATCAAGCAGAGAAATTTAGACTTCATGTGGAAGAAGTCTGAGAGATACTGATAATGTTATGAGTTAAAAACATTTTATGGTTCCTTTACTAGTCATTTAGAAAACATTTACAGATTGCCAATATAAGCAAATGAAGATATAAAGAAATGAAAATTTTAAGCAGATCTTAAACTTTTGATGCAAATTACACAAATATTTCTTGTCATTGTAGACTCAGAAAATAAACTGTTCAAGATATTTACTACTTTCTGCCCTTTCCAAAGAAGTCCTCCAAATAAATCCTCTCCCCAGAAACAGATCTTTTTTTTTAATGTAAATAAATTTTATTTGCATTCTTTTGTAACTTGTATTTCATTGCATTGAGATTCATTGGTGTCAAGGCATCAGTTTCTAGCTGATTCTTTTTTTTTTTAATACTTTAAGTTTTAGGGTACATGTGCACAACATGCAGGTTTGTTACATATGTATACATGTGCCACGTTGGTGTGTGGCACCCATTAACTTGTCATTTAACATTAGGTATATCTCCTAAGGCTATCACTCCCCCTTCCCCCCATCCCACAACAGTCCTTGGTGTGTAATGTTCCCCTTCCTGTGTCCATGTGTTCTCACTGTTCAATACCCACCTATGGGTGAGAACACGCGGTGTTTAGTTTTTTGTCCTTGTGACAGTCTGCTGAGAATGATGGTTTCCAGCTTCATCCATGTCCCTACAAAGGACATGAACTCATCCTTTTTTATGGCTGCATAGTATTCCATGGTGTATATGTGCCATATTTTCTTAATCCAGTCTATCACTGTTGGACATTGGGTTGGTTCCAAGTCTTTGCTATTGTGAATAGTACCGCAATAAACATACATGTGCATGTGTCTTTATAGCAGCATGATTTATAATATTTTTGGTATATACTCAGTAATGGGATGGCTGGGTCAAATGGTACTTCTAGTTCCAGATCCCTGAAGAATCACCACACTGACTTCCACAATGGTTGAACTTGTTTACAGTCCCACCAACAGTGTAAAAGTGTTCCTATTTCTCCACATCCTCTCCAGCACCTGTTGTTTCCTGACTTCTTAATGATTGCCATTCTAACTGGTGTGAGATGGTATCTCATTGTGGTTTTGATTTGCATTTCTCTGATGGCCAGTGATGGTGAGCATTTTTTCATGTGTCTTTTGGCTGCATAAATGTCTTCTTTTGAGAAGTGTCTGTTCATATCCTTCGCCCACTTTTTGATGGGGTTGTTTGTTTTTTTCTTGTAAACTTGTTTGAGTTCATTGTAGATTCTGGATATTAGCCCTTTGTCAGATGAGTAGATTGCAAAAATTTTCTCCCATTCTGTAGGCTGCCTGTTCAATCTGATGGTAGGTTTCTTTTGCTGTGCAGAAGCTCTTTAGTTTAATTAGATCCTGTTTGTCAATTTTGGCTTTTGTTGCCATTGCTTTTGGTGTTTTAGACATGAAGTCCTTACCCATGCCTATGTCCTGAATGGTATTGCCAAGGTTTTCTTCTGGGGTTTTTATGGTTTTAGGTCTAACATTTAAGTCTTTACTCCATCCTGAATTAATTTTTGTATAAGGTGTAACTCACTATTCCTATTCAACATAGTGTTGGAAGTTCTGGCCAGGGCAATCAGGCAGGAGAAGGAAATAGAGGGTATTCAATTAGGAAAAGAGGAAGTCAAATTGTCCCTGTTTGCAGATGACATGATTGTTTATTTAGAAAACCCCATCATCTCAGCCCAAAATCTCCTTAAGCTGATAGGCAACTTCAGCAAAGTCTCAGGATACAAAATCAATGTGCAAAAATCACAAGCATTCTTATACACCAATAACAGACAGAGAGCCAAATCATGAGTGAACTCCCATTCACAATTGCTTCAAAGAGAATAAAATACTTAGGAATCCAACTTACAAGGGACGTGAAGGACCTCTTCAAGGAGAACAACAAACCACTGCTCAATGAAATAAAAGAGGATACAAACAAATGGAAGAACATTCCATGCTCATGGGTAGGAAGAATCAATATCGTGAAAATGGCCATACTGCCCAAGGTAATTTATAGATTCAATGCCATCCCCATCAAGCTACCAATGACTTTCTTCAAAGAATTGGAAAAAACTACTTTAAAGTTCATATGGAACCAAAAAAGAGCCCACATTGCCAAGTCAACCCTAAGCCAAAAGAACAAAGCTGGAGGCATCATGCTACCTGACTTCAAACTATACTACAAGGCTACTGTAACCAAAACAGCATGGTACTGGTACCAAAACAGAGATATAGACCAATGGAACAGAACAGAGCCCTTAGAAATAATGCCGCATATCTACAACCATCTGATCTTTGACAACCCTGACAAAAACAAGCACTGGGGAAAGGATTCCCTATTTAATAAATGGTGCTGGGAAAACTGGCTAGCCATATGTAGAAAGCTGAAACAGAAACAGATCTTAAGTTGAGAATTTTTGACGGCAGGCTCCCTTCTGTTGCCATTCTGCTTAGGCTCAGCAACCATCTGAGTATTCCTCATTTAAGAATCTCAGTACCCCAGAGCAAAGAGCAGAGAAAAGGTGAGGGTTTTTGCAAAGAGGGACAATTTCAGACCTCAGACCATTCCTAGGAAGAACAACAGAATGAGAAATAGAATTCCCTTGCTTTCTCATCATCCCTCCAATTCTGATGCTCAGGAACTACATCCACATCGTATAAACAGAAACAAACCTTCTGGCAGACTTGTATGTCTCTACTATCAATAAATTCTAGAGTTCACAAATACTAGAATCACCACTGACTTCTATGGAGCAACACATAATTTTTTTAAAGAGTTTAATTCTGTACCCATTGTCCATTCACTGGCTCTTGCACATGAGGATATTAATAACTGTCCAAGTTTTTAACAAAATGTTACCCAGATAATCTATTTCACTTTATAACATAAAGAACTTCTTAATAAGAAAATAATCTTTTCACCTGAGTATCTCTAACCCCTGTCACTGCTGAAGAGAAACATGTTCTAAAACTAGAGTGGCAGGAGGGAAGCAAGTACATTAATTTAGTTCTCACCTGAAGAAAATCAGAAAGAAAGAAAAAAACTTGAATCACTAAAGTAATACTTTTCAAACTTTTTGACTACCACCCACAAGATAATATATTTTATGTCATGAACCAGTAAATAATCAAATATGTGTTTATATAAATGTAATATAAAATGATTATTCTCCTTACTATGAGGTATGCCCAGTGATTTTTTCAAAAATTCTAATCTATTTGAATTTTTTTAATGTTTATCAGAAATCAGTAAATTTTTTGCCTCAGTTAAAATAAATCCCTAGAGAAGATTTATCTCACTCTGCATGACACTTGGCACAATTTTTTAACTTAGCAATTAATAAAATAACTTCAGTAATACTAACCATGAATGATTTTTAATGTTCTAAGGAACATATCCTCCCACATGATCAGTTACTAATAATTTTTCATAGAATAATACAATAGCATTTTTATCCATGAATATTACTACTTAGCATTCTTCTTACAGAATATATTTCATTAAAAGTCCCCAAAAGTCAATGCAATTGCCTGGGTGCAGCAGCTCACGTGTAATCCCAACACTTTCAGAGGCCGAGGCGGGCGGATTACTTGAGGTCAGGAGTTCGAGGCCAGCCTGGCCAACACAGTGAAACCCCATCTCTACTAAAATACAAAACAAGTAGCCAGGTGTGGTGGTGCATGCCTGTGGTCCCAGCCAATCGGGAGGCTGAGGCAGGAGAATCACTTTAACCCAGGAGGCGGAGGTTGCAGTGAACCAAGATCAAGCCTCTTCACTCCAGCCTGGGCAACAGAGCTAGACTCTGTCAAACAAACAAAAAAAAAGGTCAGTGCAACTGACATATCTATGGCCAGCCCACAGCCTTCCATCTAAAAGTGATCACCCCTTTTTGTCCCCACCCACACAAGTTAGGAGGAGGCTCCTACATGGAGCTGACATCCAAGATCTAAGGTACATACCTGACAATATAGGAACCAATATTTTGGCTAGAAGCTAAGTCATATTAATTCCTGAATAAGAGTAAAAGTTCACTAACTCCTGCTACAGAAGCTGCCTTTTCTGAGGCCCATTTCAAGGTTTTTGGTTTTTAGTCTGGTTTTTTTTTTTACTCACCATTTTTAAGCTAGTTTAAGTTTCTGTTAACTACTTGAAATTGAACAAATTAATTCTGACAACAGTTCAAAAGGTCAGGTACAATTAACCAGATAAGTTAATTCCAAGTAATAAAGACACTTTCCACAGTCCACATGTTCATAATAAGAAAACAAAACAGGCAGTTACCATGCAAGTGTATTTGAGTACTGTGTTCTAAGATGTTACTTTTTACTGTCAGTTCAAAAGGTATAATCAATTCACTGAATTCCATATTTTGCCTCTTATTTAAAAATTTTATTTTGTTATATTAACTATTATTCCTAATTAATTCCCTGAATTTTTTAGTCTAACTTCAGAAGACAATCTCTCTACACATTTTCATTGAGACATTTAAACCATTTAAACCACCCATCTGTCCTCTCATTTGCACAGATATTTAAACTGCACACTACCCATCTGTCTTTCTAGCTGGTGTAAAATGATTCACTAAACATACAACACTCAACTCAGTAAGATTTTATGCTCCAAGATAACATTAGAGAAGTTAAGAATTTCCCAGATACCTTTTTCTTTATTAAATATAGTATATGACAAACAGCCTGAAGTCATTAGAGCCAAAATTTAATCACCAACAGCTTACCAATGGTCATTAATAACAATTACAAAAATATTTACTGCCTTTGGAAATATCCAATGCAGAATCTATTGTATTAAAATAATAATAATAAATTCTCAAAACCACTTTCAGGTTTAAAACCAGATTTCAGGTTATGTTTTGACAGATTTTGGGGAGGAGTACTCCACAGCTCACATACACTTCTACATTTGGTTATAAGGCATACTTATGCATGCACATTATCAATCAATCTGTTATCTCCTTCCCTTGCAGGTAAAAACAAAGAGTTTTAAAAACATGCTCACTTACCATGATTTGGAAAGGGATTCTATGTTACTTTTTACTGATTTGTTTTAAAATAAATGTTTAGGGTGCTATACAGGATACATAAGTCAATTTCAGAAATGTTAATACCATATAAAAACCAATGTTACAAATAAAAATTTTAAAATTCCTTTTACTTAACAAAATTATTGCAAAAAATAACCTAATACAATTCTATTTACTTCGAAATATCTTAGATCACTAATATACTTTCTTAACTTTTAAATAAATGCATATGCTCTTAAAATTAACGTGAAGTACATAGAATGAAAAAATTCTTATTTTTCATTCAACAGACACAGTATCCTATCTTTGTTTTGTGTGCTTTTTTTCTTTTTTCTTTAAATGATGACAGGCATTGGAGCAGGGCATGAGTGTTCTACATGTCAATCAACAAGGAGGAAAACATCCAATTTTTCCTCCTCCACATAATAAAATTCACAAAGAGATTAAATTATAATTTGTTTGCCACAACTTGTTGACAAATCTATTTAATGTTTTGTAATAACAGAATGCATAAACAACATATCATGCCATCAACAATATTATGAAGCTAGCAAAACTCAATTATGTAAGTTTGACATTTACAAGAGAAAGGCTAGACTACTCATTAAGCTAGTCTAAAAAGTCACTTTTTTTATTATAAACTTCTGAAGTGTTTGCCATTTGCGAATTATGGTAGAAACCTGCTGATAATAAATAAGAAGTGATTATTTTCTAAAAATAAAGTGCCTACAAGTAGACTCTGCTTTGATTTGGATAACTAAACATTCCACCACCTTACAATTTTCCTTTCTTTCAGAACATTCCTTGTTAATATGGTTTGGCTCTATGTCCCCACCCAAATCTCATCTGGAATTATAATCCCTATAATTCCCATGTATCAAGGGAAGGACCAGGTGGAAGGTGGTTAAATCATGAAGGGGTATTTTTACCCCCATGCTGTTCTTGTGATAGTGAGTTCTCAGAAGATCTGGTGGTTTTACAAGGCAGTTTTCCCTACTCTTGCTCAGTCTCTCTCACCTGCCACCATGAAGTCATGCCTCTTCCTCTTCCACCATGATTGTAAGTTTCCTGAGGCCTCCCCAGCAATGTGGAACTGTGAGCCAATTAAACCTCTTTTCTTTATAAATTACCCAGTAATTATATGTCTTTATAGCAGTGTGAAAACAGACTAATACGCTGCTCAATTTCACAATTTTACTTATTACTCTACACTCGCTATCCTAGGCACACTGAGTATGAAGAAAATGAACAGGAATTCATCTTAACTTATAGTTACTTGGGTCAAATGTATACACATGTTTTTTTCACATGGAAGTTAAATTCAAGTGTGATATGTAGAAACAATGAAGGAGCTACCTTTTTTACTCAGTGTGGTTCTGACAAGAACAATGTTAAAAAGTCAGTACTAGTCTCAGCTTTTCCTTTGATTAGATGTGCAGCCCCAAGCAAAACATTTAATCTAAATTTTAGTTTCTGATTTTTAAACATAGGAATTAAATTATCTGCCCTTTCTAATTCACTGGGTTGTAATGTAGATTAAATGGCAGAAAACTGACAAAATGCAGTTAATAGCAAAGGCTAAATAAAGCACAGAATTTGGAAAGACAAAAAGAAAATGTTTGTGTTTATATGCTCCTATAAAGCATTAAAAACAAAAATAGGTATGGCCAGGCACAGTGGCTCACATCTGTAATCCCAGCACTTTGGGGGACTGAGGTGGAAGGATCATGAGGTCAGGAGTTTGAGACCAGCCTGGCCAATATGGTGAAACCCTGTCTCTCTTAAAAAATACAAAAATTAGCTGGGCGTGGTGGTGCACACCTGTAGTCCCAGCTACTTGGGAGGCTGAGGCAGGACAATCACTGGAACCCGGGAGGTGGAGGTTGCAGTGAGCCGAGATCGCACAACTGCACTCCAGCCTGGGCGACAGAGAGAGACTCCATCTCAAAATAATAATAATAATAATAATAATAATAATAATAATAGGTATATACATATCTTGCTACTTTTAATAAATTTCCTGGCATAAGAAAATTTGATTTATCAAGAAACATTTACTAAACATTTTATGGGTTTTGAACTGTTCAGAGAACTGAAA